>NC_000009.12:73220552-73845552 GCF_000001405.40 Homo sapiens
TTACTCAGACATTTGCCTCTAGCACTGCAAAACAATACATTGCTGTTGCTTAAGCCAGTCAGTTTGTGGTACTTCATTATGTCAGCCCTAGGACACTAATACAGTATTGTTCTTTGAGTTAGTTCTTTTGTTATATTAAAAAGTCAAAATAACATAGTGAGAAGTTTGCAATAATAACTACAAATTAGGAAAGTTCCTTTTCCATACTTGTGTATCCTCTCTGAAGTACAGCTGAGAAACAGAGATGAGATAAGAATTTGAACCTACAAACTTAAGAATAAATCAAGGTGATAACACTGAATGCCTTGAGAGGATTTAGATTGATAATTTATCTTCAGCAGAAGCAAAATGATAAAAGCATTCAAGGTTGGTCCATTAATTTTGAAAGCAAAATCCCCCATCAAAGTTTATAAATACTTCCAGAATTCCTGAAGGTTCTAATCTCCATTTATGCTGCAGAGGTAGCTATAAGGTAAGTTAAATCTCAAGCAGCCAGATCCCTATTGATTATGTATCAGCAGAGGCTAGAAGATTTTATTTCTTCTCCCAAGTGGATTGTGAGAGCTTCATTCTGACAACATACCCGTGAACATCTAAATGAATCAAGCTTTTTAAAAAGTTGACAATACAAAAAAAGAGATGCAATTCAACATCTAAGGGTCTGAGAACACATCTTTGAAAATGAAATACAGCAAAAACCTAGGCCACCAACATCCTCCATTATGCAAGGCAACAATGCAAGCAACTACAGGGTCTTAAGAGAAGATAATAGGAAATGAAATAGAGCAAAGTAGAGGAAAATGTAGAAATTTAATGAACAACATTAAAAAACATTGTTATGTGGGGAAATCTGACATTTCTAGATTTTAACTACAGGACCAAATTGACCTTGAAACATGTATGCATAAGATCAATGCAATAATAATGCCTTCAATCTTAAATGTGCCAGTTGCTTTTCTAAGCACATAATATATTATATTATATATAATCATATATAATATATTATATATTATATAATATTTACATACACCTTTTTAGTTGGGTTATCTTATTATTTCATTTTACAGATAAGTAACCTGAAGCTTAAAGAAGTATTATTTTTAGGATGAAACAGCTAACTGGCTGGAGGCTAGAGTTGATCCAAAGTATGACTCCAAAACCAACGATCTGTACTATAGCTGTGTTTACAGAATTTCATTTTCAAAGTTAGACATTTTCAATGTAACAACAACAATAAGGAACATATTTAGTGTTGGTAATAATTTCCTTAGCCCAACCAATTAATTAGTATAAGATTTGTGTTCCTACAAATTTACATTGTTTTACCTAAAATCACCTCAGAGTCAAAGACTTAATCTCTACTTGACACAGTTTGGAGAACATCTGTCTTAACATTATTATCCATTACCGTTTAAGAATCAAGAATTTCTTCAATCCATAGGCATTATTGATAAGGAAGAGTGTTTTTAAAAGTATCTTCTGTGATGCTGTATCTACAGGCTTGCATGCCTCCTTGGAAGGAAGGAAAATAATGTCTGGAAATCGAATGCCACAATTTGGCATTCAATTATATGTACATCTGATGAAGTTTTATTTTTTGGTTGCCAAAAATTAAGTGGTCTCCCTGGGGGAAGTACTGCCAAGTTAAATACTTGTCTTTTTTTTTGTTTTGTTTTCCTTGGTATTATTAGACATGGGTGTTATAACCAATCTGTTTCAACAATGCTTAGAGAAAACCATTTTTGCTAAGATCCCTCCTTCTAATGGACTGTACAGAGCATTGCTTATTCTAAGAAGGGAAAAAAATATCCCCTTAAAACAAAAGAGAAGCTGATGTTGGCATTTTGAATGGATTCTTTGATTTCAAAAATTGTGCCCTCTCAAAATGCTCTCAAAAACAAGTAGCAATTAAAGCATGTGTGAAATCCAAACATATGCATGGAGACCATTAGCAAGTTAATTAAAAAGTCAAATGTTTTCCATACTTTGCCCATTTATGAATTATTTTTAAGATGTTTGGCCAGGCGCGGTGGCTCATGCCTGTAATCCCAGCACTTTGGGAGGCCAAGGCAGGCAGATCATAAGGTCAGGAGTTTGAGACCAGCCTGACCAACATGGTAAAACCCCGTCTCTACTAAGAATACAAAAAAAAAAAAAAATAGCCAGGTGTGGTGGTGCACACCTGTAATCCAGGCTACTCAGGAGGCTGAGGCAAGAGAATCCCTTGAACCCAGCAGACAGAGGTTGCAGTGAGCCTAGATTGTGCCACTGCACTCCAGCCTGGGTGACACAGCAAGACTTTGTCTCAAAAAAAATTTTTATTTTTTACTATAATTGTATACTACAAATACTATTGGTTACAGTGTATTTTCTTTAGATTAATTACTTTTTTCTTAAACATTTTAAGAAATACTATCTTTGAAATTCACAAATTTTTATATACAAGTTACAGACATGAAATGAAATATATTGCTATTAAAATAAAACAGCATTTAACTCTGTGCAACTTAATGTGATCTGCTTCACAGTCTCAACATACTCACTATGTGAGAAATGTGTGGGCTTAAAGCTGCCAACAAGATGATAGCTAGCCTCTTCATCCCACAAAGTTCCCCACTCCAAACTACAACCTCAGTTGAAAAATAAGTTAAAATAAAATCTGTTCCAGAATGCAGATCTTTCAAATACCTGTTCAGTTAATAATATTTCTAATCACAGTGAATCTCATGCAGTGTCTGAAGTTTTTTTTAAACTCCCAAGGAGGCTCATCCCTGGATTCTCCCTTTGCTTATCTGAATATCCTATCACCCCCATTCCTACTTTCTCTCTAAGAGTCCCTTCTGGCGGGTGAGTCCTGCAGGAAAAATCAAAAAAGGACAAATTCTGTCTTTACTCACCAAAACCAACTTCTCCCAAATGGCTAACACTGTCCCATATCGATGCTGGCTCTGCAGCTGAAATATGGAAATATTTTTGCTTGGTTGAAACCACACCCTGGATCACTCCTGCTTGCGGGGCACGGAGAAGGCACCCACACCTGCACCTCCCAGTTTCTTGCCCTAAGCCAACACCACCTCCAGCCTGACCACCCACACAGTCACCATCAGCCCCCAACCCCACTCCCTTTCAGCTGCATTGACTCTATTACTGTGGTGAACACCTGCAGGAAGGTAGGTACTCCAGCACCTGCTAGCAGTCTACTGCAGCTGCCGCTATCACTGCTGCTGGCATGCACAAATGAGGACGGATCCCACTTACCACATCACAGAACCTTTTGGCTGACACCACCTATGGGAGTGTGATGAGAAGCAGTCTGTGAGAACCTCAGCATCCCCAGTGCAGTAGATTCCTGACCTCCAGGAGACAGAGAACAAAGTTGCAGCCCAGTACAAGTCTCCCATATTTAAAGCACACAGTCCAGGAGTTAGGAGCTGAGTGTTGGCTCCCTAAAATCTTCTAGAAATGAAGCCAGTCAGCTGAATCCACCTTATACCAGAATCAAACACTCAAGGTTATCAAATAGGATAAGAGAAAAAAAAATCCAAACACCAGCAACCTAAAAAATTGAAGGAAGATAAGCCCAAAACGATGAGAAAGAATCAGTGCAAGAACCCTGAGAACTTAAAAAGCCAGAGTGCCTTCTTTCTTCCAAATGACTGCATCACCTCTATAGCAAGGGTTCTGACTGGGTTGAGATGGCTGAAATTACAGAAATAGAATTCAGAATATGGATAGTAACAAAGATCCTTGAGCTATAGGAGAACATTAAAACCCTATACAAGGAAGCTACAAATCATGATAAAACAATGCAGGAGCTGACAGAAAAAAATACTCAGTATAGAAAAAATACCATAAACCAACCTGATAGAGCTGAAAAACACACTATAAGAATTTTACAATGCAAATTGCAAGTATTAAAAGAAAAATATACCAAGTGAAGAATAGACTCTCAGAGCTTGAAGACTGGCTTTCTGAAATAAGACAGGCAGACAAGAATACAGAAAAACAGAATGAAAAAAGAATGAACAAAAACTTCAAGAAATATGGAATTATGTAAAGAGACCAAATCTATGACTCACTGGTGTCCCTGAAAGAGATGGGGAGAATGGAACCAACTTGGAAAATGTACTTCAAGATATTGTCCATGAGAACTTTCACAACCTAGCAAGACAGGCCAACATTCAAATTCAGGAAAGGCGGAAAACCCCAGTATAATATTGCAAAAGAAGATCATCCTCAAGACACATAATTATCAGATTCTCCAATGTTGAAATGAAATAAAAAATGTTAAATGCAGCTAGAGAGAAAGGTCAGGTCACCTACAAAGGGAAGCCCATCAGACTAATAGCAGACCTCTTAGCAGAAACCCTACAAGCCAGAAGAAATTGGAGGCCAATATTCAACATTCCTAAAGAAAAGAAATTCCAACCAATAATTTCATATCCGGCCAAACTAAGCTTCATAAGCAAAGGAGAAATAAGATCTTTTTCAGAGAAGCAAATGCTAAAGGAATTTATGACTACCTGACTAGCCTTACAAGAGCTCCTGAAGGAAACACTAAATATGGAACAGAAAGACTATTAACAACCAGTACAAAAACACACTGAAGTACACAGACCAGTGACACTATAAAGCAAACACATAAATAAGTCTGAAAAAGAGCCAGCTAACATCATGCTGATAAGATCAAATCCACACATATCAATACTAACCTTGAATGTAAATGGGCTCAATGTCCCAATTGAAAAGCAGAGAGTGGCAAGCTGCATAAAGAACCAAGATCTATTGAAAGGCTGTATTCCAGAGACCCATCTCAAATGCAATGGCACATATTGGCTTAAAATAAAGGAATGGGGAAAAATCTACCAAGCAAATTGAAAACAGAAAAAAGAGGGATTGCAATCCTAGTTTCAGACAAAACACACTTTAAATAAACAAAGATAAAAAAAGACAAAGAATGGACATTACGTAATTGAAAAGGGTTTAATTCCACAAGAATACCTAACTATCCTAAACATACATGCACCCAATACAGGAGCACCCAGTTTCATAAGGAAAGTTCTTAGAGACCTTCAAAGAGATTCAGACTCCTACACAATAATAGTGGGAGACTTTATCACCTCACTGACAATATTAGACTGATAATCAAGTCAGAAACTTAACAAAGATATTCAGGACCTAAACTCAACACAGGGTCAAATGGACTTGACAGACATCTAGAGAACTCTCCACTCAAAGAGAACAGAATATAAATTCTCATTGCCACATGGTATATACTCTGAAATCAATCACATAACCAAAAGTAAACACTTTTCAGCAAATAAAATAGAACTACAATCATAAAAAAACAGTCTCTTAGACCACAGTGCAACCAAATTAGAAATCAAGATGATGGGCGCGGTGGCTCACACCTGTAATCCAAGCACTTTGGGAGGCTGAGGTGGGTGGGTCATGAGGTCAGGAGATTGAGACCATCCTGCTTAACATGGTGAAACCCTATCTCTACTAAAAATACAAAAAATTAGCCAGGCGTGGTGGCGGGCGCCTGTAGTCCCAGCTACTTGGGAAGCTGAGGCAGGAGAATGGCGTGAACCTGGGAGGCGGAGCTTGCAGTGAGCCGAGATCATGCCACTGCCCTCCAGCCTGGGCAAGAGAGCAAGAAGACTCTGTCTCAAAAAAAAAAAAAAAAAAAAAAAAAAAAGAAATCAAGACCAAGAAATACACTTAAAACCATACAATTATATAGAAATTGAATAACCTATTCCTTAATGACTTTTGGGTAAATAATGAAATTAAGGCAGAAATCAAACTAATGAGAACAAAGATACAACACACTAGAATCTCTGAGACACAGCTAAGGCAGTGTTAGGAGGGAAATTTATAGCACTAAATGCCCACATCAAAAAGTTAGAAAGATCTTAATTTAAAAACCTAACATCAGCCGGGTGCGGTGGCTGATGCCTGTAATCCCAGCACTTTGGGAAGCCAAGGCGAGCGGATCACAAGGTCAGGAGATCAAGACCATCCTGGCTAACACGGTGAAACCTCGTCTCTACTAAAAATACAAAAAATTAGCCAGGCATGGTGGCGGGCACCTGTAGTCCCAGCTACTCAGGAGGCTGAGGCAGGAGAATGGCGTGAACCCAGGAGGCGGAGCTTGCAGTGAGTGGAGATCGAGCCACTGCACTCCAGCCTGGGTGACAGAGCGAGACTCCATCTCAAAATAAATAAATAAATAAATTAAATAAATAAATAAATAAATATAAAATAAAAAAAAACCCTAACATCACAAATGAAAGAACTAGAGAACCAAGAACAAACCAATCCCAAAGCTAGCAGAAGACAAGAAATAACTAAAATCAGAGTTGAACTGAAGGAGATTGAGACACAAAAAAACCATTCAAAAGCTCAACTAATCCAGGAGCTTTTTTTTTTTTGAAAAAATTAATAAAATAGATAGACTTCTAGCTAGATTAATAAAGGAGAAAAGAGAGAGGATTCAAATAAACAATCAGAAATGACAAGTGGGATATTAACACCTACCCTACAGAAATACAAACAACCATCAGAGAATATTATGATCACTTCTATCACATAAACTAAAAAACATAGAAGAAATGGATAAATTACTGGACACACACACCTTCCCAAGACTGAATTAGGAAGAAATTGAATCTCTAAACAGATCAATAATGAGTTCTGAAATTTGAATCAATAATAAATAGCCTACCAACAAAAAAAATCCAAGACCAGACAGATTCACAGCTGAATTCTACCAGATATACAAAGAAGAGCTCGCACCAGTCTTGCTGAAACTATTCGAAAAAATTGAGGAGGAGAGACTCCTCCCTAACTCATTCTATGAGGCCAGCATCATCCTAACACCAAAACCTGGCAGAGACCCAACAAAAAGAGAAAACTTCAGGCCAATATCCTTGATAAACATCAATACAAAAATCTTCAACAAAATACTGGCAAACCAAATCCAGCAGCACATCAAAAAGTGTATCTGCCACAATCGAGTAGGCTTTATTCCTGGAATGCAAGATTGGTTCAACATACACAAATCAATAAATGTGATAAATCACATAAGCAGAACTAAAGACAAAAACCATGATTACCTTAATAGATGCAGAAAAAGCTTTGATAAAATTAAACGCCCCTTCAAGTTAAAAACTCTCAATAAACTAGGTGTTGAAGGAACAATACCTCAAAATAATAAGAGTCATCTATGACAAACCCACAGGCAACATCACACTGAATGGGTAAAAACTGGAAGCATTCCCCTTCAAAAGTGGCACAAGACAAGAATGCCTTCTCTTACCACTCCTATTCAACATAGGATTGAAAGTCCTGGCCAGCTCAATCAGGCAAGAGAAAGAAATAAACAGCATCTAACTAGGAAGAGAGGAAGTCAGATTATTCCTGTTTGCAGAGAACATGATTCTATATCTAGAAATCCCCATAGTCTCTGCCCCAAAGCTCCTTAAACTGATAACTTCAGAAAGTCCATGTGTAAAAATCACTAATATTCCTATACGCCACCAACAGTCGAGACAAGAATCAAATCAGAAATGCAAACCCTTTCACAATTGCCACTAATAAAATAAAACACCTATGCACACAGCTACCAGTGAAGTAAAAGATCTCTGAAAGCAGAACTATGAAACACTTCTCAAAGAAATCAGAGATAACACAAATAAATGGAAAAATATTCCATGCTCATGGATAGGAAAATTCAATATTATTAAAATGGCTACACAGCCAAAAGCAATTTATAGATTTGATAGGGTTTGGTTGCGGCCCCACCCAAATCTCACCTTGAATTGTAGCTCCCATAATTCCTACATGTTGTGGGAGGGATCCAGTGGGAGATAATTGAATCATGGGGGAAGTTTCCCCCATACTGTTCTCATGGTAGTTAATAAGTTTCAGGAGATATGATGGTTTTATAAGGGGAAACCTCTTTTGCTTGGTTCTCATTCTCTCTTGCCACCGCCATGTAAGAAGCGCCTTTCATCTTCCACCATGATTGTGAGGCCTTCCAGCCACATGGAACTGTGAGTCCGTTAAACCTCTTTTTCTTTACAAATTACCCAGTCTTGGGTATGTCTTTATCAGCACTGTAAAGATGGACTAATACAAGATTCAGTGCTATTCCTATTAAACTACCATTGCAATTCTTTAAAGAACTGGAAAAAACTATTTTAATATTCATGTGGTACCAAAAAAGAGCCCAAACAGCCAAGGAAAACCTAAGCAAAAAGAACAAAGCTGGAGGCATTGTGCTACCTGACTTCAAACCACTATGTGGTTACAGTAACAAAAACAGCATGCTACTGATACAAAAACAGACACCCAGACAATAGAATACAATAGGAAACCCAGAAATAATTCTGCACACCTACAGCTGTTTGATTTTCAACAAACCTGATGAAACAAGCTTATATGGTTTGGTTGTGTCCCCAAGTGGTCTTCAAAAGTCCATGGAAAATGTGTATTATGAAAAAAACTATGCATGAGTTTCAAAAATTTTTTGCACCAAACTAAGCTCATGCTGTTATACCATGTCCGAACATAATCTAGTTTGAGGCACTAAGCACTATAAGGCATCAATTTGAAAAAGGCTGCTATCAGAACAACATGAATTCTGCTAATACTGAAGCAAGAACAAACATGAAATTCATGGTGAAGGTTGTGTGGAAGAATGGTGACTTCATTAATGCTTTATGAAAAGTTTATGAGGACAACGTCCCAAAGAAATGGGCAGTTTACAAATGGAGAACTCACTTTAAGATGGGCTGAGACAGTGTTGAAGATGAAGCCTGCAGCAGCAGACCATCTACATTAATTTGTGAGGAAAAAATTCATCTTTTTCGATGCCCTAATTGAAGAGGACCAGTGAGTAACAGCAGAAACAATAGCCAATACCATATACATCTTAAACGGTTCAGCTTACACAATTCTGACTAAAAAATTAATTAAAGTTGAGCAAACTTTCTCCTCAATGGGTGCCAAAACTGTTGTGCCCACATCAGCTACAGACAAAAGCAGAGCTTTCAATGGATATTTTAAATAAGTAAAATAAAGATCCTGAAGTATTTCTTTGAAGAAACATAACAGGAGATGAAACATGGCTTAACCAGTATAATCCTGAAGACAAGGCACAGTCAAAGCAATAGCTACCAAGAGGTGGAAGTGGCCTAGTCAAAGCAAAAGCAGACCTGTCAAGAGCAAAGGTCATGGCAACCGTTTTTTGGGATGTTCAAGGCATTTTGCCTTTTGACTTTCTGAAGGGCCAAAGAATGGTAACATCTGCTTGTTATGAGAGTGTTTTGGAAAGGTTAGCCAAAACTTTAGCAGAAAAATGCCCGAGAAACCTTAACCACAGAGTTCTTCTCCACTACAGCAATGCTCCAGCTCATTCTTTTCATCAAATGAGGGAAATTTTGTGAGCGTTTTGAAGGGAAATCATTAGCCATCCACCTTACAATCCTGACATAGCTCCTTCTGACTTCTTTTTGTTTTTTTTTTAATCCTAAAAAGTCTTAAAAATGTGCCCATTTTTCTGCAGTAAATAATGTAAAAAAAGACTGTGTTGACATAATTAAATTCCCAGGACATTCAGTTCTTTAGAGACAAACTAAATGGCTGGTATCATTACTTAACAAAAGTGTCTTGAGTTTGATAGAGCTTATGTTGAGATGTAAAGTATCTATTTTTATTTTTATCTTTAAATCCGATTTTCCATAATCTTTTTGAGTCCTTTTGTACAATGCAATGATCAGATAACAGTCTGAGTCAGAAGCAAGTAGACCACAACTCTTTGCCCACTTTTTCTGCAGTTGGGCAATTGCCTTGCCTTCCATCTGATGCCAACAACAGCAGAAGCCTGAACAAGTGGAAATGAAGCCACGATAAGGAAGAAACCACCTACACTATGTCAAGATCCTTGCCACCTGCCTCCTATGCTTGACTCAGGACCTTGCAGCTAGGCTTGTACCTCCCACACAGAAAATTGGAAGATTTCTCTGCAGGAAGCTGACCATCCCACCAAATGGGTGCTTAGAATGAAATTGCTCAGTCAGATCCCATACAATGAAGTTCACAAGGTGACAAATCAAGTCTGAGAAAACAGAGAATTTAATTATGCTTTCCAGAGCCTCAAGTTTATACATAAGCAGGCAGTTAAGTATAGGCAGGTATTTGTAGGAGACCTCTAACATAAAAGACTGAGACCAAACAGACAGTCAAACAAGCAAACAGATAAAATGAATTTCCAGAAAAAACACAAATGCAAGCAAGAAAATAAAATATTGAAACATTAAAAACATTACAATTAATATTCTCAGAGAATAAGATAGTGTATTCTTGAAATAACATAGAATGCTATTTTTAGAGAAGGAACATTTAGAATCAATAAATGTGCAGTTGGAACTTTAAAAAAAATAAAAAGAAATCCATAGCAAGGCTGGAAAATAAGTTGGAGATATCAGCCAGAAAATAGTATCCCTTGTTAATAGGGAAAAAAGAGAAGATAAAAGAGAGAAAAGATAAGAAAATTTTATCATTATGACTCTAAAAAGAATGTTACACGACTCTAAAATTGAGTGCTAAAGGATCAGGTAATAGGATTGGGGTCTGTGAAAGGAGAGGGTCCAGTTGAAAGTTTAGATACTGTAGCCACAGCTGGTCCTACTGACAAGGTGGCTTTTGGATAAAGGCATGAAGTGAAGTGAAGAGGCTCACACCTGTGATACCTGGGGATGGCAATCCCAACAGAGGCAATGACAAATAGAAAGGAAGTAGGCTTCCTATGTTTAAGAAACAGCAAGTAGGTCATTGTGGCTGGAGTGGAGTCAAAGAGAAACTGGAGGTAAAGATGGCAGATTCTGGTTGGTTTTATATAGAACTGTTATGGGTCAGGCTTGATTGATTTTTTTCTTCCATTAAGATCAGTTTTTTTTTTCTCATGAATGTCCTCAGTCATTCTTCAAGTAGAATTCTGTAAGTAGACTCTGCTCAAATAATATATTGAGTATCTTCAGTTATGGAATAAATGTAATATAGTTTTCTACTACTATGAATTTTCCTTAAAGGTATTTCTTTAGAGATTCTCTTCCCTAGTAGTGTCTTGAAAACATTTGATTTTTATTTGCTTTCTCTCTTGAATCATGGTTTTCCCGGAATTATTCTAGTTTTTAACAGCTAAAAACTAATAAGAAATTGCAACTAACTGGCAGCCTACTGGCATATTTTTTCCAGTTGGTAGAATTGTGGCTAGTGCTAAAACAAAGAAGCAAGCGATTCTCAACATATGAAGTTAGCTGATTTCATACATGACCTTTGGATTTCTGGCTTCCGTTGAATAATGGGGCTCTCTGGCAACACTGGGCTTACATTCCCACTGGTCAGTTGGTTGGAATTATATCACATGGCTGCTTTTTGTTCTGAGAATACCCCTCTCACTTTTCCTGCTGCCTCAAACTCCTGAAATGTTTTACTCATTTATATTACCTCTATTCTCTCTTGAAGGTATTTAAGTTTTCCAACTCTGTTCTAGATGAACAGGGTAGATTAAAATATGAATCTCTGAAAGGTAGGTTAAAATATGAATCTCTCACTTAATAAACTGGTACATTCTATGGCTGTCCCACTCCCAGGGAAATGTAGAGGGACAGCTTGAATTATTTTGAGTGGCAGGTCCCTTTGTTGGAACAGAAATTATCCGGGGGGAAACAACCTCCTTTAGTGTTGGCATCAGGCTACTTTGGATCTGGTGTACTGCTCCTTATCTCACTAACACCAATTCATTCAATTTGAGGAATATAAAAAAAGAAATTTCTCAAAGTATTCTTAGTCTGTCTGATTTCATGTTCTCATCAGACAAGTTTATGCCCGATGAGGAATATGAATACTATTATTTAGATAGATCATTAAAAATGTCTTTGAACTCATACAATTTCTATTTATTATGTCAAATGGCATTTCACTAACATACTATAAAACATTGGCAGGCTATTGGTCAGGGTAATGTCAGGCTATATTGCAGCAACACATACACCTTATAATTGCAAGTGCTTAACCCAACAAAGTCTTTTTTTTCCCCCTCGAAAATTCTCATGATGGTTGGGGGGATTCTCCAAGGCTGTTATCTTCTTCCTAGCTTTTCAAGGAATCCCATCTTCTTACAAGTAGTGATGCTTTCAGCTCAACAAGTATCTTCTAGAGTAGTTGCAGCAAGGGATGAGAAATTTAGAAAATTCAAAGTAAGATTACCAGAAAAAACAGGAGGCCCAGTCAAATTTGAATTTCAGATTAACCAGGAATAATTTTTACTATAATTATGTCCCAAATATTGCATGGCACATGCTTGCTTATACTAAGAATATTTGTTGTTTATCTAAAATTCAAATATAGCTGTTGTCTAGTATTTTTATTTGCTAAATCTGGCAATCCTAAATCAAACCTGATTTTGGGTATCTCAGCCTAAAGATGACATACCTCTTTACTGCTCACAGCCCTTTGGAAAGAACTGGTCAGGTAGTCTTAACCTGAATCTGAAGGAGGCCAGGAAATTTAGAGAAACACATAGATTATTTGGTAAGCATTTTTATATTTATTGCACAGTTTTAGAAATAGAAGTTTTAGAATCAAAGCCATCTCTGATATATTCACCTCATTAACATTTAGTCACTTTACAGATGAGAAAACTAAACCCAGAGGGGTGAAGGAATGTGTTCATTTTACACAGTTATTTAGTGGCTGGCTGAGAATCCCAGATACTACTGAGTCACATCTTAGGTCTACTTCCATTAAATGGCGCCGACTCTCTGGACCTCCTTTGAAATTAACATATAACTTATTTCCATAATAAATGTGTAAGTCATACACATGTGTGAGAAATTTTCTCAGATCTAGTTATCCCTTAAGATTGAGAAGCCAATCACAATGCATACAAAAATGTACCTGAATGTTTAATTCATAAAATACCCTGTCAGCATAATCAGAAGCAAAATATTGTTGGTGTAGAGTTACAGAATATAGAAAAATGGAGGGAAACATTTAGTTCATATTAAAACGTACAACTTTTACCTTTTTTCGTTTTACTCCTTTTCCTAGTAAATCAGAGTCCCAGCTACAATGCATCAAGTAATGGCTTAATCAGCAGCTAGAGATGGTCTGAGGTCTGCTTCAGTGAGTGAGAAGCTGGCACTAAAGGCATTTAAGCATCTTCCAGCCATTTCACACAGTTGATTGTAATGATTGTTGATTGTAATGATTTTTGAGCCATTCTATATTATGGGAAATGTCAAAATCAGTATTGTCCAAGAACTCAAACATTTGAAAAACGAGTTTATGGGATGTGGAAGTGGAGAAGAAACCACTAGTTGTGGACAGCAGCTAATCTAATAGCCGAATTTTTTTCTTTGTTAGATTGAAGTGGCTCTTTATCACTGCCAACCACTCCTCACTGCTCTTGCCTGTCCTCCTTTTCCCCCTACATCATCACTTCATATTGATTATTCTGAGTGTAGGGTATTATTTGTGAAGTGCTTTGTCATTTGTACTAGCAGAAAGGTCACCATTTGCAACACTTTCACAGCAGAACATCCCCTTTTTGGTGTTATGCAAGTTGTTTTTCACTCATATTGTAAAAGACAGAGGCTATCAAAACATTTGGCAGCTAATCACAATAAAAATACATATTGTATCTGTCTCCCTACATGTATATTTCAGAGACAGTCTTGAAATAGTACCCTGCCTTGAATAATACACTGACGTTATCTTTGCTTTCCTATTTTATATTTTTTTTCTATTTTTTTGTTATCGTCTCCTTCATTCTATTAAAAATGCTTCAATATATTAAATTGATTTGACTCAATAAGGGTCTTAGCTCATATTTTCTAAACATTGATATAAGCATGCTTACTTGACTGCCTCTAGAATGCTTCAAAAAGTTAGCGTTTTTGACCAATATTACTTAGACTGGAGGGGGAGTTCTATGAGTTCTCCTTGTATTTGCATGCTTAAAAATATTAAAATAAACTTAACTTGTGGATTTTGTAAGCATTGTTCCCAGAATTTTGCCCTATTTCTTTCATTTTTCATTTCTTTATTCCCATGTCTTCTCATATGCACTTAATTTTTTAAAACATACTTTTGAATTTCAGATGATGTGCAATCATCTTAGTTGTTTTGCATAGCACAATGCTAAGAACTTAGAAATTTTGATAATAATGCTAAACAATTAATAAAAAGTTACATTATTTTTGATATACATTCCACTGCTTAATTAACATTATTTATTTACCAAATGTTTCTAAATTATATTTTAAATTTTTTGATCACTGCATAAATATAGACACATACATTGTATATATGTGTACATATATAAATTCATTTATATCTGTTTGCTTTAATGTAGTACAGTAAAATTTAACAATTTAACAAAATAATTAATTCATTTTTTAAAAGCATTTATAATCAGCCCTCCATAACTGTGGGTTCCACATTGGTGTACTCAACCAACTATGGTTAGAAAATATTTAGAAAATGCAGGGTGCGGTGGCTCACGCCCGTAATCCCAGCACTTTGGGAGGTCAAGGTGGGCGGATCACCTGAGGTCAGGAGTTTGAGACCAGCCTGGCCAACATGCTGAAATTCCATCTCTACTACAAATACAGGAAATTAGCAGGGTGTGGTGACATGTGCCTGTAGTTCCAGCTACTTGGGAGCTTGGGAGGCTGAGGCAGGAGAATTGCTTGAACTCAGGAGGCCGAGGTTGCAGTGAGCCGAGACCGTGCCACTACACTCCAGCCTGGGTGACAGAGTGAGACTCCGTCTCCAAAGGAAAAAAAAAAGAAAATATTTAGAAAAAAAAGAAGATGGTTACTTCTGTACTGAACATGTACAGATTATTTTTCTTGTCATTATTCTCTAAACAACACACTACAGCAACTGTTCCCATACATATAATTTAAATTGAGTTAGGTATTATAGGTAATCTAGAGACAATTTGCAGTGTTTGGGAGGATGTTAATAGGTTATATGCAAGTACTACACCATTTTCTATCAGGGACTTGAGCATCCATGGATTTTGGTATCTTCAAGGGTCCTGAAATCAACCCCCCATTGATACTGAGGATGACTGTATTCCCATATTATATGGAGATATAGGCTTCAAAGCTCCCATACTATTGCTTCTCCCCTGCACTGCCATGTGTTTGATATATGCCATTTTTCAATGTTTTGGCAGCTTCAAATGAGAAAATAGTAGACATTATTTCTGTTTTGTTTTCTGGTGTTCATTAAGTTGGCTCTCAAATTTCTATTGATCCTACATTTCACAAATAACCATCAAAAGAATATAAAAACTATGAAATTTGGTCAGGGAAAACAAAACCCAGAACAGAGGCTCTGTTGAAGAGCAGCTGCACATTCTCCTCTCCTGGGGATCAGGGCTGGAGATTGACTGGGGGAAAGAATGGACCAGAAGCACATGGGGGCCTGGGGGATGGGGAGGAAACTGCTGAGTCCAGGTGTGGTGCTCAGGATCTCAGGTCTCACTCATTTCTCCATCCACAGGCATTATGCCTGTCTAAGGCATTGAGTCTGTTTTGCACTTTTCTCTTTTTTTCTCTTTCTATTTTCTTTACTAAGTCCAACACTTTTTCTTTTCTTTTCCATTTTCCTCTATTCTCCCAATCTTTTTTTGCCCTCTCTTTCTTTCTTCTTTTCTCTGATTTCCCTTTTCCACCTTCTCCCTTCTTTCTTCTTTTTCTTTGTTCTTTTCCTTTCTCTCATTGCCAAATGGCTTTTTCAAAAGGTTCAAAAGTTTACACTAACTTATACTCACACCAGCACTTATAAGCCTGTGCCTGTTTTCTTATAGTCTCACAAAAAGTACACATTTATAAAATAATTTTTACTTTTTCCCATTATGCTAGGAGAAAAGTAATCTCTCTTACATTAAATGTATTTAATTACTCAAATGCTTTCAGAAAAGGGACGTTACATACCAGAGACAAATAAATAGAATAGTAGTTGTATCTCTTTACTAGATGCTTTTCATTATTATCACTTTACAACAAGGCTGGAAAGATTCTCTCCTCATAAAAATATGAAATGAAGCTCTGAGAGAATAAACTTTTTCACAAATATCACCACTGGTAAAGCTCAGGTGTGTGATCAAATAACATAGCTTTATTTTACAATAACTAGGAGCAAGATGTTTTGTTAGGGACCGATCATGCAAATAAATCAGTCCCAGAATGGCATTCAAAGAATACAGAAAGCTATATGTTTATATAATTATCCAACGTGGTGATTTATTTCAGATATGTCAAAATACCACTTTCTATGCATAAGGCATGTAGGTGAACAGAAAATAAATGACACATTTTTCTTCTCAAGATGCTTACAATATGTTAAAGAAGGTAAGTAATAAATATAAGTAAGTATAATCCAAAATAGCATGTCATAAAATAAAGTGAGGAAAGCAGAAATATAACAGTTTCTCAGGAAAGAGGGTTTCTGAAATTAAAATCTTGAAGGTGGATCAGATGCCTTTTAATATATGAGAGATTACTTTTCTTCTAGCATATTGGGAAAGAGAAAAATTATTTTATAAATGTGGACTTTTTGTGAGACTATAAGAAAACAAGCACAGGCTTATAAATGCTGGTGTGAGTATAAGTTAGTGTAAACTTTTGAAACTTTTGAAAAAGCCGTTTGCAAAATAGGAGGCAGATTATGTCCACACCCAGATGTGTAAAGGCAATGAAGTTTGAGGAAGTATGTAGCTAAGTTATCACAGGGTTATAAATGTGCATTTTCAAGTATTTCAGACACTGGGTATAATCAGAAGTGCAAAGACAAAGATGTGCCTTATGGACTGAGTCCTTTCATGTTAGAACAATGTCCTGGGTGTTGGTAGACAAGGAGGTGAGGTTAACCAAGAGGGGAGAAGAAACAGGAAAATTTCTGTTAGCCTACTCCTTGATGCTAATAGATTTAACCACAGTAAATATGAATGTTTTTATGTCATATGTGAGATATATGAGTTATTTTATGTATGTAATAGCTATCAAATTGTTATGTGCTCCTGGAGGAGTCAGTGTGCTTGAACTAATTTGAAGGAGACTCTTTTGTTAGACTGGATGTGGAAAAGAAGAAAATAGTAAGAGAACACCAGGTTGGAGTGGGGGAGATAGAGGGATGCACCCAGAAACATAATTAAAGTGTGTTCTCTGTGTCTTCCAATGTGGTCATATCTGTGACCTAGAGAAGAAGAAGCTACAAGCAGAAACTGAAGGAGATCTTCTCAAAGAGCCCATCGTGAGGCACAAGGTGAACAAAGGACTGTATAAGGATCCAAAGGACTATGTGATCACAAAATAGGAAGATGGATGTCTTCTTCTTATCCATGCAGAGCATGGCATAACTGATGCTTGAAAGTTCTATTCCTGTCCAATTAAGTGACCCTTAGCAACTTTTGGCTATTTAAATTTAAAATAATTCAAATAAAATTTAAAACTCGGCCCCTTATTCACACTAGCCATATGTGTGCTCAACAAGTCCTTGGAGCTAATGGTTACCATACTGGACAGTATAGATATAAAGAATTTTCATAAATACAGAAAGTTCTGTTGGATAGGGATAGAACTTGACCACAGGACTGAGCAGAGCAAAGACCAAGACTGTGATACTTGATGGGAGACAGAAAAAGAGGTGGACATGACAGCATAACAAGGAAGTCTGGAAAGACACTCCTTGAAGACACTTTGGACCACTTGAGAGCACTATCAGAGAGATATGGCCCTCAGGAAGCTAATGAGCAAAAGAGCCAGTATAATTTACGCCATTGTTGTTAATGTGTCCCCACTTATATAATTGTGAAGCTTGAGTAACAAGTGTAAAGTTAATTATATAAGAGACCATATCTTACACACTGAGAATGTGCAGATAAAATAGAGTCAACCTACCCAGCCTCAGTCAACAATAACGACCAGTATTACAAGTACGACTAGTTGCTAACATATATTGGACACATACAATATGGTAGGCACTGTTCTAAGTGGTTGGAATGCATTAACTCATTGGATCCTTACAGCAGCTCTAAGAGATTGATGCTCAAGTTATCCACATTTTCAGATAAGGAAACTAAAGCAAGGCTGGATAATACAGGCTGCCTGACTTCAGGGCCCATACCCTTTTTCACAATGAAAGTGGAAATGACTAATTCTTCATATCCCAATGGCAGAGGAATATTAGACATATTCTGAAATCAGTGAGGACAAATCAATGGACAGTTATTAATACTGAGATACATTTGATTAATAATTTGGTTAAAGACTGAATAAAATATTTAAAAGTAACACACCAAAATGTCAAACCAAGTCAGAAAAGCACTATTTCACACAGACGTAACAAGCAAATGGATATATAACTCAGACAAGAATGTAATGAATGAACCTCAAAATATAGTTTCTGTGATGATCTAGGTCAGGGATAGCAAAGATGCTTTAATTTCCTAGGCCAACGCTGATTGATTGTGGTGCTGGAGTGGAGATGTGTTGAGAATTCTGAGACTCAATAAAAATGCATGCAATAATTAATTAGTAATGTCTAACATAGTTGGGGAAGGCAGATAATCAGCATATATATCAAGTATCTGTGATTCCTGATTTGGAGAGATGTGGAGGAAGGCATTTCAGGTTTAAAGCAAAACTTTTTAAAAAAGTAGCAAGTTAGCCTACATGTGCATAATCCTGCACATAAAAAATTTGACCAATTTTGAAGAAACAATGTATACTATAGGGCCAGAAAAGAAAACTATAGTCAAGTTGCAAAATGCAAGTTATAGTAAAGTGTAACAATTTTATTGTCTCTATGAATTTAGGAATTGATCTGTCATTGAGATGGAAAATCATAATGAATTCCTATTATTTTCATGAGTTTTTGGAGTGGATACTAAATTTTGGTGAGTTGATGACGGAAAGAAGGAACTGGCAAGATTATAGCTTATAGTGTATGTCACTGGCCTAAAAGATGTAGGTAGTCCTTGATATAGTCTTTTTTCCTTCCCATCTATACTCATATATTTTTTATTCTATCATTGCTGAGAGTTTAGGCAGTTGAACAAATACTGAGGCAAAATGGAAGGCACTGTTTCTTCACTTCACTCTGTCCTCAGAGAAGGCTCAGCCCTGAGGCTCTTTACCAGCCACTCATAACTCTTCTTTTTAGCATTAGCTGAAAATATTTATATAGTACCTTTTGGTAGAGAGCCATGAAGTATCATGTTACTCAATAGGGAAGATAGCTCAGTAGAGATAAGAAGGTTGATTAGATTTTGTTTATTCTCTATCCTGAGTGTGAAAATGTAATGCTTGGAGAGGTAAAATTATTGTCAGAAGAGCAAAGTGCTGATCTCTCTTCTCTCAGAAGATGGGTGGGAGGATCCTTGTGCGCTCTTACATTGCATCATTACCTTTTCCAGGATTCTTCTATAGTATGAGTCATCATGGATATGAGTCCTTGGTGGATCCGTTTATGGGTTGTGTTGATGTTGTGGATTATTGGCAGCTTACATAGGCATGGCTTGTACTAAATACTCAATGTTTATTTGCTGAACTGAATTAAATGTATCATTTACATGTTCACACATAATTACCCATAACACATTAAGCAATACACCAAGTGTCTATTGAATGAAGAACATTCATGGTGTAACCCAGAAGGCACAGCTATAATAGAAGATCAATTTTTATTTTGTTTTGTTCAAACAGGAAGAGTTTTGTTGCATCCAAAGATAATATGACCCCTTTCATATGCCAAAGGAGAAACCAACCAACCAACCAAAAAAAAAAAAAAACCAAAAACCACAAGTCACTACAATGAATACAGGTCATCATTACATAGGCATTCCTAACATTAACAAAAGAAGACTCAACATCAAAAGACTGTCCTTCCAGGAACTTGTCAAGCATGAACTAAGACTGAATAAGGGTCTTGCAGCAGGAGCCATATATCCAGGCATAGAGAGATGGTGTAAGGCCAGAAGAGAAGGACCCAAAACAGTTGCCAGGGAAGATTCAGATAAAGGTTTCTAGTTACACTACTTAAAAATTACCATCAATTTTTAGTAAAAAGAGGTTAAATGAGTTACAAAAAATCCTTACTTCCTATAGTATTGTCTTTAGCTATGTATCACAAAGTATATACAGTTAAAAAACAAGAAACCAAATGAGGACCCAGCTCACAAGAGTCATTACAGGTCATGGCAATTTAAATTAAGCTGGTCTTAAATAGTTTTGAATGTTGCGAAAAGAGTTTTTCTCTGGTTTTGCTCTGAGGCTTTGCATTTTTAAAAGAGCATTGAACAAAGTTACAACTAAGCGATATGTTAGTACAAAGAGAAAAATTGCAAAGGCTACAAATACACACACACAAATTTTCAATATGCTATGATGAATATAACATAATATAATGCCTACCATTAATTTTGCAATAAGGTCAAGGCAATGATGTTATCAGCAATGAACGAAAGCAGAGTGATTCTTGACACAGTCAGAATTAAGCATTAATAATGTTTCCTATTTGTGTCGTAATGGGGTGTGATTTGCCTCCGACAGCACCTTTTATTATCAGTACAGCCAGGCATCTATGTTTTCCATCTGAGGTGGTCATTGTTCTAATTATTCCCACATGCTTACCATCCTCAATACATGCGAAATAATACCAGTAATGCATTTTTAAAAAGAAGCAATATGCTTAAATATATTATAGATACTCTGTCATCCTGGATTGCTTTTTACTCTTTAGACTGTAGAAAGCTGCGTGGCTATTTTACGTTGATAGGCATTTGTATTGATTGGAGGAGTAAAAAGAAAGTACTCATTACAGAGCTGCTAACAGTGTAATTATAGAGTGGCACCCACGCTGGGGTGTGTTAGGAATCACGTTCCTGTTTTAACATCATGTAGAGTGTAACACCGGTAGCTTAGTGGAATATGCCCTTTGTACTTATAATTGCTTGCAATTAGTCCAGGGTAGTAGGTATCTTTTTATCTCCTACCTATCAGAATTCTGATGTTGGGATATTGGTCATCGGATTTACTTGCAATACTTAAAACTGTCGAAATTCATACAATAAAATTTATTTCTTTTTAGACTTTAGCTTAATGGTTAGAGGCCTCAATTTCAATCTAGGTTCTGTCACTTACCAGCTCTGTGAGCTTGGGGAAATTTCTTCATCTTTCCAACCCTCGGTTTTCTTATCTGAAATGTGGGGTTACTAATGCCACCCCTGGAAGATTTATGAAAAGAATAAATTATGGAGGCAGAGTACTATGCGTGCGAAAAAACAGCAGCTGGAACAATGTTGTCATGGTTATGGCACATGAATCAGTTGATCCAGAATCTAAATTATTTTTAGGATAACGTTACGTTTTCAGTAGTGACCTAGCATCCTACCAATATGTTTCCTGTAATATTAACAGAAATTGGCACGTTCAGTTAGTATCTAATTGTCTTAAAGATGTTTAAAAATTCCATAGACTGGGCTCACACTCTTAAAGTTTCTTGAAGCCTTTAAGAACGGTTCTTTCAACCGTTCGGCTGAACTTCCTTTTCCCTGTGGTTGGGTTTCCTATTCATTTGTCAAATTGCTTGAGTTTCATGCTGCTAAAAGCAAATTTACATGCAGATCCAGCACAACTTGAGGTTCTTGGCCAGTCTACAACTGACCAGTTCACAGCCTTCCTCTATGGAAATGCAGAAGGTAAAAAAGGGAGCAATTTTCCTCTGAGTGAAATCCTCCAGGCCTCACATGCCTGTATTTTATCTCCGACTTCTTACAGAAATTCTGGTTCTGGAATTAAAGCAGAGGCTTTTTAACCATCAATAACACTAATATTTTCTCCCTTAAAGTGTCTGTTTGACAGAGTTTTATGGTCCTAACAAAGGTATCAGATTTCTCGGCTGGAGTGCACAGAGTTTAGTGGACAATGACAAACTCTAGAGAAGCAGTTAGGTCTAGCTCCTAATTCTAGTTCTGTTACTCCTTCGCTGTGGGAGCGGCAGCCAGTTACTTAGATTCCCAGAGCTTCAGTTTTTTCCATTCATGCAGTGATTGTAATCACAGCTCCTTCTTGGGTGTTTTGGGTGAAAAGTAAAAGAGAAAATACATAAAAAGAAACCTGTAGAATCTCTTCCATTTTTCCTGTGATATTTCTTTTTGTATTCCAATGATAAGGAAATCCCCTAAACTTATTTTCCCCTGCTGTAGAGTACAGACGGCACCTGCGAAGCTATAAGATGTGTGTCCAATTAAAAACATTTCAGCTCTTTTGCTTACAATATCAGAGTTAATAAACTTATAGCTAGAGAATGGACCATATACTCTACTCTAATACAATGCTTATCTCTGTATATGGAAAGATTGAAACATATTAGTGACAAAAGCTGAAATTTTAAAACGTTTTCCTTTACTCACTTATACCATGCATTATTTAACTGATGTAGGGCAAAGTCATTTAAATTTTGTCCTTTAGACAGAATTCATCTGTCCCTTCATGTGCAAAATAGTTTACCTTAATTTCCCATAGGTAGAAGGTTTGAAGTTTCTCCTGTGAATTCTGGCTTCCCAAATTATACTTGCACAACCAGTAAACAGGACAGAGCCATGCGGTAAGAGGGCAGCACTCGCTTCACAGAGCCTACTAATGTCTCAGAGAGAGGAGACCTCAGTCAGGATATTGCTGAGGTTTTGAAGTCTGGCTTCAGACAGGTCTGTCAATGCAGGGACTTCATTAGGGCTGGAGAAAAATAATGAAATAAAGGTTTTGGAGTATTGGCTAAAGCAAGGTGTTTTGAGGCAAGATCTTCAAAGAGCCTTGGGGTGTAAACTGGCATGTGATGATTTCTACTGAAAAGCTGATGAATTAGAAAGTTCTCAGAATAAAAAGTAAAGTCATTTGTAACTTTTATCTTCCTGAGCAAGAGTCCCTTGAAATAATCACGTTCTCTTTAAAAAGACAGTGGAATAGTAAATGTTAATGTAGATACTCATCAGACTGGTAAAATTAACACCTTTTTTGGGGGGATGATAAAAAAGGGGTCCTCTTAAATATTGGAAATGTGAAGTGTTACAGTTTTTAAGTAATCTAATATCCTCTTTTAGACATAAAAGGTTATATATTTATACATTGTTTATGGTAGCAAAACTTGAAAGCAAAATGAGTGCCCATCAATAGGAAGATACATTATGGTATACTCAAACCATAGAATTTTACAGCTATTACAAATAAGCTTTATTGAGAGAATTTGCATGAAGTACTGTTGCGATAGAGATGTGTAATATGACTTCATTTTTTATAAAATAAAAAATGTGTTTCTATGTGTGTGGATGTATGTGTATGTGTGGAATGTATATTGTGAACAGCAAAATGCATTGCACAATTTTGATTTTATTATTCAGGCTATTGCAATAGGGAGAATGTTCATTAATGAAGGACATCTTGAAAAAATAACAAAAAAAGAACAGAAAAAAAGGGAGTACTAGTTTTATAAAAAGAAAAACAATAAAGTCATAAAAGGTGAAAGAGAGATTTCTAAGTCCTGAGGAAGGACTTAGAAAAAAAAAGTGGGTCTTAGAAAAAAAAAAGTGGGTCTTAGAAAAAAAGGACTTAGAAAAAAAAGTGGGTCTTTTTTCATAATATGGGAGGGGGCAGGTAAGATGGCTCTTTGAGGTTACAAAAGGGTTCTGGGGTGTTTCACACACCATTGCTTTGTGAGATCACAGAACTCTGAGTTCTGCATTGTACATATGTCTATATGAATTTGTATGTATAACGTGTATTCATGTGTAATTGTATATATACGTGTATATACACTAAGATAATAGGTGAGTACTATGGGGGTTCAAGAGCAGAGATCAAGCAAAAAAGGAAAAATCTCTGCCTTATAAAACAACAAGTAACATGATCATATTACTCATTTACATATAATTTAGACATAGATCAATCAATTTATTCATGTATATAAGAACATTTGGATAATAGTAATAGAAATAACATTAAGTTTAATAGCACATATTTTTCTGAGCATAAAATGAACGCATAGAACAACTAGATAGTATTCAAAGCATCTGCAGGTTTAGCTGTCTTTCTACGGCAACTTTACACAGACAGACATTCTTATTTTTCCGTCAAGAAAAATTGTGTCCATTTCCATTGTGTTCTCAGATTCACAATTAGAACAGTGTCATATTTAAAATAATTTTTTAGTTTGATATTACAAAAATTCTATAAGCATAGAATTGCTTTAATTGAGTAAAATACATGGGTAATACTTTGCCAAGTATTCACATGTTCAGTAGCCTTTGTAATCCTTAACACGTGACTTTATTACTTCCAAGAAAAATTGTCTGGGGGCTCAATAAGTTCAAGAAAGGAATGCTCCTGTGATATTAGAGAGGTTTGGTAACAAAGATCTAATTAGGAACAATCACTTCTCCACATCCCTATCATTAACATATACCATTGCATTTTTTAAACTAAAACTGAATGAGCTTAAAAATATAATAATCCATGCCTTAAGATTACAAATCTTACCAGAACAATAAGTGAGCAATTTCCAAGTAAATGAAGTACTGCCTCCCCTGTGGTTTAATTGTGTTTTGTGTCCTCTTATTGTCCTTCTGATGACATTTTCCCACCTTACTCAAGAGCTCTACCTATAGTTAGGGCAGCTTTGGGAACAGACTCTATTCATTTCCCAGTTAAAAAGATGAACAAGAAGAAAAAGCACTAGAACAAGGCTCTTGTCCTCTGAATGTGTACTCCAAATGATGTTGGAACAAGAGGCAGATGTAAAAAGAGGATAGCTTACAATGTGAAATCCTTCTTGACATAAGTGAGATTTCTGAAGCAAAATTAATTTTCAATAAAAATTAAAATAAAATATTTTCTAATAATGAATATGCACTGAAGAATCTAAGATAGTCACACAAAAAATAAAGACATCTAGAGCATTCCATTCACCAAGACAATCACTTTCTCTTTTCTTTTAAGTGGAATTCCTTTTTCCAAATCTTAACCTTCATTCCTTCAACACACAAGTCCTTAATACTTGCGGCATCTTATTTTGTCCTCATTTCTCATAATATCAGAATAAGACAGTTTTTCTATAATAGTGCACTTATTTGAGATTCTGTTTTTACTTGAGTGCTTGCAAAAATGGAATAAAGAGAATGAACCAATAAAATGATAACTTGAAGAGTAGTTCTAATCCTCAAAATGGGATTAACCCAAGGGAAAAAGAGTTGTAATTATTCGGCTTCCTACAAAACAAAGCTAGTTCCCACATGCCTTCTCCTTTTGGCTCTTTCTTCTTTATTTACAGTACAGTAGGACTTTTGAGTGAAGGAATGGCAAACAGTTAATAAAACCTTTGATGGGTATTAATTACTTTCCACTTAATTACCTGCCTTGTGGATCTTGTTGAGCTATTGATTACTGGCAAACATACATCCCACTGGGGATAAGTGTGATTTAACTTCATCCAAAGAGTCAATTAGCCCAAGTAACATAGGGAGAGCTGGTGCTTTGCCTCAATAGCTGGAGATTCTTGCCAAGAAGGGTAGATATGCATTTATTTGTTCATTAAAACACAGTGTTACTATCAACAGGAGTCACTTACCAGGTGTTATTGAGATTGGTAAAATGTTACTCTGTGTCATCAAAGATTAGCTGCATGGTGTGGAAGCAACATGGGCAAAGGGATGTTTTTCTTGCTTGAGAACCCTGAAAGAACTGGTGAGGTTTTGAGATTAACCTTAGAGGTATAGTCCAAGTGCTGTTCTCTATTTTATGAAATTATAACCAAACAACTCTATCAAATACACCTACACACAACTATAGTTTACAAAGACAACGTTGCCTTCTGCTGCATGAAATTCAGGATCCCAGATTTTTTTCTTTGATATGCTATACCAAAAGAGCAAGATGTTTTCTGCAACTTCACTTAATAATTTACTGATTTCTGTGTTCATTTCTGCCAGCAAGTCAATGGGAAAAAAATACTTGAAATTCAGGTCTTTGGTGGATTGGGGGAGAGGAGGAAAAATTGTGTGAGAGAAAGAAAAATTGTTCCATTGACCAAACTTTGGCATGAAATTATACTTTTAAACCCATAAGAAAATTCACAAAGCTGATATTCTTAAAACTTTATCTATTTAGCTTCAAATTAGAATTTTTAAAACATCTTATTAGGTAGCTCTTTTGTAGTATTCCTATGAGAAGAATTAATCCTGTAAAA
This sequence comes from Homo sapiens, assembly GCF_000001405.40. NCBI lineage: Eukaryota > Metazoa > Chordata > Mammalia > Primates > Hominidae > Homo > Homo sapiens. The sequence goes on from NC_000009.12 coordinate 73,246,878, forward strand.
TATGTCAAACTCTAGGAGTTAGCAAGGGATAGAAGAATATGCTGAATTGCAGGTGAGTTAGAACTTTGATCAATAAATTATGTGAAGCAGAAATTTTATTGTGAAAAGTTGTAATAATACAAAAACCCACAATATTTTATTTAAAAATTAGGGCATGCAGAGTGTAAATAATTTGCTTTGTTGTGGAATTCAGTGTGTGCTGAATCAATAGGGTGATTACTCCAAAGTTGACTATTGAATACATGTAAATAACAGTTACTAACATTTGTATTATTAAGAAGTTTACATTATCATTGTATAACCATCATCATATTTTATCGTACAGACTTTTCATAATATTCAGGTGAGATACAGTAATCGTTATCTACTCATTTTGAGAAAGTTGGAACTGAGGAGCAGAAAAGTTTAAATAACTTGGCTACGGACACCTAAGTTCTCCAATCAGAACTTGGTCTCAAGTCACCTGGACTTCAAATCTTCCCTCCACTCCTTCTTGGTTAGTCTTTTAGCATGATCTTGCACTGTGAACTCTGAAGACAGAAAACAGTTAACTCAGAGTGAATGTGAATATCTACCTCTGGGGTCAGTTTAACTGCTAGTGTGGTATTTTTTCGTTTTGCTCTTGTTCCCTGCACTGTAATTTTTGTGTCCTGCTTCTCTCTCATCCCCTTTCTCTCTTACGCATTTCCTTTTCCTTTGGCTTTTTGTGATAATGTTATATACTTGCTAGAGTGAACAGATTTATTTCCATCATTGCAGTGTGATAATTAAAATATTTTAAACAAGAAATTAACCTCACCATTGCCTGCACTTTTTAAAAGTATTTTTTTCTGATTAAAGCAGGAAATTCAGGCACAAAAGGAGAGGATACTCATGCTTGTCATCTTCACATTTCAGGTATTTGGGTGTTATTGCTCCAAGGGGTGTTCCTGCTGAAAGACACAGAATGTATATGTCACCTCTATCCATCAGGTCAAAAGATCTTGCCAACAACAATATTCACATTAATGCCCAGTTGGTCTCCCTGTTTACAAGAGGCGTTCTTGTGAAAGGCCCTACTTTTTAGATTAAATATTTCCTGTGCCAAAACATTCTGCATCAGTGAGTTAAAACAGACTATAGTCCAAAAGGATATATCCTGGCTGTGAGCACAGATTTGGTATAATTTGAGTTTTTTCTTGTTTTATTTTTAAAACAAAATATATCGGGCTTATGATTATTAGAGAAACTCAGATTTAAGGCTCAGGAAAATGTAAATGACAGCTAAAGATAATTCCAAAATCTTCTCTGTTTTCTCCAATACCTTGACTAATAGATTGTCTCATAAAACTTTATTTTTCTTTTCTTTTAGTCTCCAAAGGTCTATTTTTCTGCAGAAAGCTAATGAATCCTGACAGAGTTTCTGAAAAGCTAAACATATATTTTTTGTGCAAATTAGAAAATTTGGCACAAAGCCATACATTTCCAGTTTCACAGGGTAGAGCTGTGCATTAAAACCAGCAGGCTCGGTGTGGTGGCAGGCTCACACCTGTAATCCCAGCACTTTGGGAGGCCGAGGTGGGCAGATCCCTTGAGCCCAGGAGTTTGAGACCAGCCTGGGCAACATGGTGAAACCCCATCTCTAGAGAAGACACAAAAAATTTGCCGGGTGTGGTGGCATGTGCCTGTAGATCCAGCTACTCTAGAGGCTGAGGTGGGAGGATTACTCGAGCCCAGGAGGAGGAGGTTGCAATGAGATGGCACCACTGCACTAGGCCTGGGCAACAAAGCAAACAAACATCTCAACAAGCAAACTAACAAAAAACTCAAACCACCAGCTCCCTTTTTACAAAACGATGTGTGTGTGTGTGTGTGTGTGTCTGTGTGTGTGTAAACTCCTTGTTTAGTAGTTGTGATGAAGTAGAGAGGGAATTGCAAACATCTGACAAATAGGTTTCATTGAGGTACATCTTTGTATATATTATCTCATCTAAATCTCAAAACAACCTATTTAGTTTGGAATTTTTGTTTCTATTATACTGACAAAGAAGATAAGGCACAGAGAGGTAAAACAATTTGTCTAAAGAAACATACTCAGTAAATGATTTAATCCCATCTTAGTTGACTGAAAAACCAAAAACTCTCCATCCTAACTTCCTGCTTTCCTGGGAAACACTTTATAAGCCCAGGAGGCAGTTATTCTTTTTACTCCTCACAAGAACGATGTAGAACAAATGAATTTTGACTCTTAAACTATAGCATATATGTAGCATTTAAAAATTCATTTCTTGAGCTTCAAAGCAATCACAAGGCTAAAAATTTATAGTGGCAGCTGACATTTCCTTGTAACGGACATGATAATAAATATTTTTAGGGCCATATAAGTTTGTATTACATACTCTTGCTTGCTTTTGTTTATTTGTTTTTATTTCACAACCCTTTATTAAAATAAAAAAATTCTTAGCTGAGTGACCATACAAAAACAGCCCTTAGACAATATTTGGCCCACAGTCATAGTTTGATGACCCTTGCTCTGTATCTTGATTTTGATGGTGTTTATATGACTACAGAAGTTTGTCAAATTCCAAAATTTTACACTTAAAATTGTAAATTTCAAGGAACATAAATTACCTTTTAATGAAATAAATGGGGGACCATCATAAACAGTATGTTCTTTCACCACAAACATAGAAATTTTAAGTAGCCTTACATCTATTGATTAAATAGAATTTGTAATTAAATAAATTCCCATAAAAATATTCATATCCAAAGTAGCTCATCAGAAATTTTATCAAACATTTAATAAACTAAAATTGCCAATATCACACAAACTCTTTCATGGAATAGTGGAATGAAGATACTTTCCAAGTCATTTCATGAGGCCAATATAACTCTGACACCAAATCTAGGAAAGGATATTATATGCAAAGAAAATTAAAGACTAATATTCATTGTGAGCATAGACACAAAAGCCCATAACCAAACATTGTCAAATTGGATTTGGCAATATCTAGAGATGTTAAATAATCCTGACCATGTGGCAGTGGCAATCCCAGGAATGGCAAGTTGGTTTATTATATGGAAATCACAGTGGAACTCACACATTAACACATTAAAGAAGAAAAATTATATTTAATTAAGTAGATTCTGGAAAAGCACTTAAAAATTCAGCACCTGTTCATAATAAAAACGCTCCACAAACTGGGGACAAAAGAGAACTTTTTTCTTCTAGGCAAATAAAGTCTGTGAGAAATCAACATTAAATATATTTTACTCATGAAGAAGGAATGAGCATTATATCCCAAAATAAGGAAAAGATAAAGATGTGCATTTCTACCACTTCTAGTCAACATTGTACTGGAGCTCTTAATGTAGTAAGTAAAAAAAAAAAAAAAAAGGCATACATTTAGAAAAGAATAAATAATAAAATCTCTATTTGAAGATAATATAACATATGCCTAGAAAGTTATAAGGAGGGAGCTCATGTCTTTGTGGGACTCCATGTATATGTGCATAATTAAAATTGTTTTCTATTGTTTTTTGTAAAAAAAAAGTCATAAAGAATAAAAAAGTGAACTTTGCAATGTCACAGGATGCAAAGAAAATATACAAAGATAAATTGTATTTCTAACCAACAACAATAAGCAATTGGAAAGAAAATAAAAGAGATGCTATATTTATGGATTATAAGGCTCAGTATTGTTAAAGTTATTAAAATGTAAATTCGCCACAAATCTATCTTTATATTCAACACAATCCTAACCAAAATTATATTTGGCTTTAAAAAAAGGCAATTTGCTGTGTTCAAATATATATCAAAATGAAAATGTCTTAGAACAGTTGGAGGACTTACCCTACCTGACTGCCATACATACTATACAGCTATGGAAATCAAGAGTATGACACTAGCAATATGATAGATGAATAGATCAATTGAAAACAATTGTGGATCCTGATATAGACTCACACATACAAAGTCAAATTATTTTTTGTCATGGGCTCTAAAACAATTCAACAGAAAAAGGGAAACAACTTTAGCAAATGGTGATGAATCAAGTAGATAGGAATAAAGAAAATATAGAACCTCAACCTCAATTTGACTCATACACTAAAAAAAACATCTCATATACATGAGGTATATGATATCTAAACCTAAAGGAAAGTTTAAAATATTCGAGAAAAAAATCTTCATGGGCTTAGAGTGGTAATAATATATTAGCCTTGAACAGAAAGCCCAAATAATAAAAAAAAAGCACTTTATCAAAAGCAAAATACTTTGTTCTTCAAAAAATCACCAGTAAGACTGTTTTAAAAAGCAAGTCATAGATTATGAGAAAATATTTGATATACTTATACCTGACAGAGGATGTGTAACCAGCATATAAAAAGAACTCTTAAAACTCAATAATATAAACACAGGCATCCCAACATAAAAAATAAAAATTGAGATTCTATATCTTGAGAAAATATCCTTCAGAAATGAAGGAGAAATCAACACATTCCTAGATGAAGGAAACATAAGAAAATATGTTGCCAGGAGATTTACCCTACAGGAATGGCTAAATAAAATTTCTAAAAGTATAGGAAATAACAAAAGAATAAAGCTTGTGACATCAGGAAGAAAGACCAATACAGTAAACAAAAAATATGGGTAAATACAATAGGCTCTTCTCTTGAGTGTTCTAAATTATGCTTGATGGTTGAAGCAAAAATTAAAACACCAATGTTGTTCTAAATATTTGTAGAAGAAATATCTAAGACAATTATAAATGGGGGAGAATAAAGAGATGTAAAGGGAAGTAATCTTTCTATACTTCACTAGGACTGGTAAAATGAGAACACGAGTAGACTGTGGTAAGTTACAGATATGTAACAACATAATAACTAGTGCAACCACTAAGACAGCTATACAAAGAGACACAGTCAAAACACTATAGATAAAGAAAAGGGAAATTGTAAAAAATGTTTTATATGATGATTTATATGTTTTATATGTGTTGTGGGTTTCCACAGAAAGGGAGGAAAAAGAAGACATAAATGAAAAGCAGAGAGAACAAACAGAAAACAAAAATAAAATAGCTGATTTAACTCTAAGGTATCAGTAATTATATTAAATTTAAATGGTATAAACATAGCAATCAAAAGACAGAGATTAACAGAGGGTATTTACAAATACAACCTAACTAAATGTTGCCCATAAGAAATTAACTTGAAATACAACAATATAAGCTGTTGAAAGTAAAAGGATTGAAAATATATCTTACAAAAATTTTAATAAAAGGAAAGAGAGAGTGACTATATTGATATTATATGAAGTAGACTTCGGAGAAAATAAAATTATTAAAGATAGAGAAGGAGATTAATAACAAGAAAAGTTTAAATCCATCAAAAAGACAGAAATTCTAAATGTATGTACACCAAAGACAGATCAGCAAAATAGGTGAAGCAAAAATTGATCAAACTGAAAGGATAAATAGACACATACATAGATATAGTTACAGACATGAACACTACTCTCTCAGCAATTCATGGAATAAGTAAAGAGAATTTCAACAAAGATATAGAAGGGCTCCACCAATAAAATCTAATTGACATTTATGGAACACTGTATTTTCTTTTCTTTTCTTTTTTTTTTTTTTGAGATGGACTGTCACTCTGTTGCCCTGACTAGAGTGCAGTGGTATGATCTCAGCTCATCGCAACCTCCACTTCCCGGGTTCAAGCGATTCTCCTACCTTAGTCTCCCGAGTAGCTGGGATTACAGGCACCTGCCACCACCCCTGGCTAATTTTTGTATTTTTAGTAGAGACAAGGTTTCACCATTTTGGCCAGGCTGGTCTTGAACTCCTGACCTCAGGTGATCCAACCGCCTTGGCCTCCCGAAGTGCTGGGATTACAAGCATGAGCCACCGCACCCAGCCAACTACACATTATTTTCAAATCATAACTATACCAACATAAACCATACTCTGGGTCATAAAACCAACCCCAACAACTTTAGAACAATTGAATTTATACAGAATATATTCTCTGATACAATGGAATTAAAATACAAATCAAAAACAGGAAAATTACAGAAAAGTTTCCAAACACTTGGGAACACATTTATAAATAATGCATGGGGTCAAACAAAAGTCAAGAGAATTTTAAAAATTCATTGAATTGAATGAAAATGAAAATACAATATAACAAAATTTGTGAGATACAGCTAAAACTGTGCTAAAAGGCGAAATTATAGCCCTAAATGCATACATGGGAAAAGAGGAAAAGTTTGAAACCAATAACCTAAGCTCCTACCTCAAGAACCTGGAAGGGAAAAAAAAATTATCCCAAAGTAAGCAGAATGAAGACAACAATAAACAACAGAAATCAATAAAATGGAAAACAGAATAGAAAAAATCAATGAAACACAGAATTAGTTCTTTGAAAAGATCAGTAAAATTGTCAAAATTTGTCATTAATAATTTTCAAAAAGAAACCTCCAAACCCACAGGGTTACATTGGAGAATTCTGTCAAATTTTTTTAAAACAACATCAATTATACACAATATCTTTCAGAAAAAAAGAAGAGTGAACACTTACTTATCTATTTTATGAAGCTATTGATGTGGTTTGGCTCTGTGTTCACACACAAATCTCACTTTTTTTTTTTTTTTGAGCTGGAGTCTCACAATGTCGCCAGGCTGGTGTGCAGTGGTGCAATCTCGTCTCACTGCAACCTCCACCTCCCCAGTTCAAGCGATTCTCCTGCCTCAACCTCCCAAGTAGCTGGGACTACAGGTGCCCACCACCACGACTGGCTAATTTTTGTATTTTTAGTAAAGATGGGGTTTCACCATGTGGGCCAGGATGGTCTCGATTTCTTGACCTCGTGATCCGCCCACCCTGGCCTCCCAAAATGCTGGGACAACAGGCATGAGCCACCACGCCTGGCCCCAAATCTCACTTTGTATTGCAATAATGCCCATGTGTCATGGTGTGGACCCAGTGGGAGGTAATTAAGTTATGGATGTGGGTTTTTCCCATGCTGTTCTTGTGATACAGTATAAGTTTCATGAAATCTGATGGTTTTATAAAGGAGAATCCCCGTGCACATGTCTCAGGTCAGCTGCCATGTAAGACATCTTTTTGCTCTTCCTTCATCTTTTGCCATGATTGTGAGGCCTCCTGAGCCATGTGGAATTGTGAGTTTATTATACCTCTTTCCTTTATAAAGCACCCAGTCTCAGGTATGCCTTTATTAATAGCATGAGGATGGACTAATACAGTAAATTGGTACTGGGTAGTGGGGAGTTGCTATAAAGATACCTGAAAATGTGGAACTGGGTAACAGGCAGAAGTTGGAACAGTTTAGAGGGCTCAGAAGAAGATAGAAAACTGTGAGTAGATTTGGAACTTCCTAGAGACGTGGAGTGCTCAGAAGACAGGAAGATGAAGGAAAGTTTGGAACTTTCTGGAGACTTGTTGAATGGCTTTGACCAAAATGTTGAGTGACGTGAACAGTAAATTCCAAGCTGAGGTGGTCTCAGATGGAGATGAGGAACTTGTTGAGAACTGGAGCAAAGGTAACTCTTGTTATGCTTTAGCAAAGAGACTGGTATCACTTTGCCCCTGCCCTAGAGATTTGTGGAACTTTGAACTTGAGAGAGATAATTTAGAGCATCTGGTGGAAGAAATTTCTAAGCAATGAAACACTCAAGATGTGACTTGTGTACTGTTAAAAGCATTCAGTTTTATGTATTCCCAAAGATATGGTTTGGAATTGGAACTTATGTTTAAAAGGAAAGCAGAGCATAAACATTCAGAAAATTTGCAGGCTGAAGACGAGAAAGAAAGGAAAACCCCATTTTCTGAGGAGAAATTCAAGCCAGCTGCAGAAATTTGCATAAGTATTGAGGAGCTAAATGCCAATTGCCAAGACAATGGGGAAAATGTCTCCAGGGCATATCAGAGGTGTTCATGGCAGCCCCTCCTATCACAGGTCTGGAAGCCTAGGAGGAAACAATGGTTTTTTGGGTTGGGCACAGAGCCTTGCTGCTTTGTGCAGTCTTGAGACTTGTTGACCTGCACCCCATCTGTGGCTAAAAGGGGCCAACATAGAGCTCAGGCCATTGCTTCAGAAGTTGCAAGCTCCATGCTTTGGTGACTTACACATGGTGTTGGGCCTGCAAATCAGAGAAGTCAACAATTGAAGTTTGAGAACCTCTGCCTGGATTTCAAAGGATGTATTGAAATGCCTGCATGTCCAGGCAGAGGGGTGCTGCAAGGGCAGAGCCCTCATGGAGAACCTCTGTTTGGGAAGTACAGAAGGGAACTGTTGGGTGCCAGCCTCTACACAGAGTCCCCACTGGGGCACTGCCTAGTGGAGCTGTGAGAAGAGGACCACCATCCTCCAGATCCCAGAATGGTAAAGCCACAGACAGCTTGCACTGTGTGCCTAGAAAAGCCACAGACACTCAATGCCAGCCTGTGAAAGCATTCAGGAAGGGGGCTGCACCCTGCAAAGCCACAGAGGCATAGCTGCCCAAGACCATGGGAACCCACCTCTTGCATCAGTGTGACCTGGATGTGAGACATGGAGTCAAAGAAGATCATTTTGGAGCTTTAAGGTTTGACTGCCCTCCTGGATTATGGACTTGCACGGGGCCTGTAGCCCCTTTGTTTTGGCCAATTTCTCCCATTTGGAATGGGTGTATTTACCCAATGCCTTAACCTCCATTCTATCTAGGAAGTAATTAACTTGCTTTTGATTTTACAGTCTCATAGGTGGAAGGGACTTGCCTTGTCTCAGATGAGACTTGGACTTTTGGGTTAATGCTGGAACGAGTTGAGACTTTGGGGGACTGTTGGAAGGCATGATTGGTTTTGAAATGTGAGGACATGAGATTTGGGAGCGGCTGGGAGCAGAATGATATGGTTTGCCTCTGTGTCCACACCCAAATCTCACCTTGAATTATAATAATCCTCATGTGTCATGGGAGGGACCTGGAGGGAGGTAATTGAATTGTGGGGGCAGGTTTTCCTGTTCTTGTGATAGTGAAAAAGTCTCACAAGATCTGATGGTTTTATAAAGGGGAGTACCCCTGCAAATGTCTCTTGCCTCCCACCATGTAAGACAAAGCTCTTTACTCTTCCTTCATTTTCTGCCATGATTGTGAGGCCTCCCCCGCCACATGGAACTGCTAGTTCATTAAACCTCTTTCCTTTATAAATTATCCAATCTCGGGTATGTCTTTGTTAGTAGCATGAGAATGGACTAATACAGCCATTATTAGTCTGATTCTAAAACTAAGCAAATACAGTATGAAATAAAATTACAGGCAGATATCCTTCCTGAATATAAACATAAAATTCCTAACAAAATATTAGTAAATAGATTTCAACAACATATAAAAAGATTATATAATATGACCAAGTGGGGTTGTTAAAGGAATATAAAGCTGATTCAATAAGAGGCTCAAGAACAATCTTATTATCACATCAATCAATGTACTAATAGCACTTGACAAAATTCAATACCCATGTTATAAAAATGCACAGAAAAATTGGAATAGAGTTAAAATTCCTCAACTTGATAAAGAACATATACAGAAAACCCACAGCTAATATTATACTTGATAGTGAAAAATCAAATGCATTTCTCCTATGACCAGAGCAAGACAAGCATGTCTGCTCTCACCACTCTTATTTAACATCAAGGTGAAAGTTTTAAACAGGCAAGAGAAGTAAATACAGAAAAGAAGTAAGTACAACTGTCTCTATTTGCAGATGACATATTTGTCTACATAGAAAATTCCAAGGAAGTCTATAAAAGATCTTTCAGATCTAATACATGAATTCATCGAGTTTGCAGGACACGAGATAAACATACATTAATCAATTATATGTATATATACTGGCCATAACCACGTAGGCACCAACATTAATACTACAATTCCATTTATAATTACTGAAAAAAATACTTAGGAGTAAATCTAACCAAACATCTATAGTGCTAGTCTGCTGAAAATAACACAGTGATGATGGAAGAAATCAAAGAGATAAGTAAATGAATAGATAAATCATGTTCACGGATTGGAAGACTTAATGTAATAAAGCTGTCAATATTTCCTAATTTGATGTACAGGTTTAAAATACTTATCAAAATTTCAGGGAGATAATTTTGTAAATATAGACAGAACTATCTTAAAATTTATATGAAACTAGAATAGCTAAAAACAATTTTGAAAAAGAAGAATAAATTGAAAAAATATATCAAAATTATGTATCTACAGTAATCAAAATTTTGTGGTATTGCTGGAGGGATACACACATAGTTCAATAGAACACAGTAAAGAATCCAAAATAGACCCACACATATATATACAACATCTGTATGATTTTTGACTAAGTTGCAAAAGCAGTTCAGTACAGGAAATATAGCCTTTTCAACAGCTAGTACTGGAGCAATTGAATATCTACAGGCAAAAATAAAATTATAAACCTGGACCTAACTATTATATCTTATGCAAAAATTAGCTAAATAGGCCACTACTAAAATGTAAAATTTAAACCATAGAACTCTTAAGGGGAAAAAACAACAGAGGAAAATTTTTACAATTTGGGGCCAAATAATTTATAGATTTGACACTAAAAGTAGGATTCACTTAAAAACTTGCTAAGTTTAACTATATCAAATTTGAATGATTTTGATCTGTAAAAGACCCAGTTAATATAATAGAAAGACAAGCTATAGAATGGGAGAAAATATTTGCAAAGGACTAGTGTCTAGAATACACAAAGAACACTCAAAACTCACAATTAAAAAGCAAAGAATCCAATTAGAATGTGGGTAACAGATATAAAGGGACATTTCAAATAGGAGTGCATACAGATGGCAAACAAATATGTGAAAAGATGGTCAACATCACTAGTTATTAAGGAAATGTCAATTAAAACCATAATGAGATATCACTAAATACCTATCAACATGGCTAAAATTATGAACAGTGACAACAAATGCTGGAGAGAAGGCAAAGGAACTGGATCACTTCTATATTGGTGGTAGAAATGTAAATGGTATTCTCACTCAAAAAAACTGTTTGGCAGTTTTTAAAAAAAAAATCTAAACATGAAAGTACCATGTAACCCAGCAATACCACTCCTGGGCATTTATCCCAGAAAAATGAACACATACTCACACCAAAAACTTTGTGTGAGTATTTATAACAGCGTTATTTGTGGTAGCTCATATAGTAGGAACAACTCAAATGTCCATAATAGATGAATGATTAAATTAACTATAGTGCCTTCATACCATGAAATACTACTCAGCAATATAAAGGAATGTACTATTGATACATTCCGTCCATACAACCATATGGACGAATCTCCAGAAAATTATGCTAATTGAAGAAGTCAAAAACAAAAGGTTGCATGTTGTGTGATCCTATTTGTACAACATTCTTGAAATAACAGAAGTACAGTAATGAAGAGGCGATTAGTGGCCTACAGGGTTTAAGGAGGACGTTGGGGAGAAAAAGAAGTGGATGTGGCCATAATGGGAAATGTCACAAACCTTTGTAGTGATGGAAATTCTTGGTATCTTGACTGTATCCACATCAATATCTTGATTGTGATATTGTGCCACAGTTTTGCAAGACGTGCCATAGTTTTCCACTGGGGGAAACTGGGTAGCGGATACATGGGATTTCTGTATTCTTTTTTTTTTTTTTTTTTTTTTTTTGAGACGGAGTCTCGCTCTGTCGCCCAAGCTGGAGTGCAGTGGCGCAAACTCTGCTCACTGCAAGCTCCGCCTGCCGGGTTCACGCCATTCTCCTGCCTCAGTCTTCCGAGTAGCTGGGACTACAGGCGCCCCGCCGCCACACCCGGCTAATTTTTTTTTTTGTATTTTTTGGTAGAGACGGGGTTTCACCGTGTTAGCTAGGATGGTCTGGATCTCCTGACCTCATGATACGCCCGCCTCGGCCTCCCAAAGTGCTGGGATTACAGGCGTGAGCCACTGCACCCGGCCGGATTTCTGTATTCTTTCTTCCAATTACATCTACAATTATCTCAAGACAAAAATTTAATTAAAAGAATGGAAAATACTTGAATCCATACTTCAGAAAATAGAGGTACATATGGTCAGTAAGCTCATAAAAATGGTTGACATTATTAATGATCAGAGAAATGCAAATTTAAACCACAGTTAGATACCACTCTACATCTAACAGGCTGGTTACAATTTAAAAGATTGGCAATACCAGACTGATACGGTTTGGATTTGCGTCCTTGCCCAAATCTCGTGTTGAATTGGAGGAGGGGCTTAGTGGGAGGTGATTGAATCATGGGGGAGGATTCCCCCCTGGTATTCTCGTGATAGTGAGTAAGTTCTCACGAGATCTGATGGTTTAAAGGTTAAAGGTTAAAGGTGTGGCACTTCCCGCTTCTCTCTCTCTCTCTCTTTCCTGCTCCGCCGCGGTGAGACGTACTTGCTTCTCCTCACCTTCTACCGTGATTGTAAGTTTCCTGAGGCGTCCCAGTCATGCTTCCTGTTAAGCCTGCAGAACTGTGAGCCAATTAAACTTATTTTCTTCATAAATTATCCAGTTTCAGGTAGCTCTTTATAGCAGTGTGAAAATGGACTAATACAGAAACATTGTGGAGTATGTGGTGTAACCAAACCTGTGGCTCTTTCATAACGGGTTAACCATGAACAATTACATAGGTAGTTAACTATTCATGATTTTGTCCACAAAAACCTCATACAATAATATTTATTGCTACATATATTTAGCATTATACATGTAATATTTATATGTATAAGCTATATATAAAGAGTAGGTGTTTGTGAAGTTTTAGATATAATCAAAGTTAAGCAATTGTGATAGAAATCATGTAAGTAGTTTCTGTGGTGGAGAATAGAATTGACTGGGTAAGAGACAGAGACTTGTTCAAATACCCTGTGCTTTGATCACATGGATTTCACAGCTATGTGCATATTTCCAAACTTATTAAACTCAAGTTATGCATTTTACTGTAAATAATGTATACCTGAATTTTAAAAAATCTTTAACAATGAAAGTGGAAAAAACATTAATAAAAGTTAGGTCTTATTACATTTTAGCTTTTAAAAATTACATATGTGTTTTTATCAAGGGCCTAGTGAGTAGTTGATTTTTGGGTCCTCACCACATTATAAACAGTAATCAACTTAGTAACTCAGAATAAATGAGCCATGCCTAATGATGATAGTCGGTGATGAACAAGAATTATGATGAATCAAATCTGATGTTCTTGAGATAGTCCCTCTTAAAAATATAATAAAACGGGCTGGGTATGGTGGCTCACGCCTGTAATCTCAGCACTTTCGGAGGCCAAGGCGGGCAGATCACCGGAGATCAGGAGTTCAAGATCAGCCTGGCCAACATGAAGAAACCCCGTCTCTACTAAAAACACAAAAACTAGCTGAGCGTGGTGGCACACACCTATAATCCCAGCTACATGGGAGACTGAGGTAGGAGAATTGCTTGAACCCAGGAGGCGGAGGTTGCAGTGAGCTGAAATAGAGCCACTGCACTCTAGCCTGGGCAACAGAGTGAGACACTGTCTCAAAAAACAAACAAACAAACAAACCAATAAAATGAGGCCTTTTGCTGTTCTGATTTGACTCAAAGAAACAACTTAGTTTAGGCAGAAGAGAGTGGATAGGTAGCATTTACATTTACTTCCCTAAACTCAGTTTTTTATAAATATTAGCTATTATATGATTGAATTTTATATTTGTTGGTGAGAGCCTCAAGCTCAGACAGCATAATGTGGTGATGAGTAAGTGCAGTGATTTGGTAGTCAGCTGTCTGAGTTTGCAATCATAGTTCTGCCACTTATCAGCTGTATGTATGATCTTGGGCAGTTTTGTACTTAAACCTTCTGTTGTCTTTGTTCATCTCTGGGGTTGATAATACCCAGATAATACTCATCTGAAAAGATTGCTTTGAATCTAAACAAGCTGAACACAGAAATGTGTCTGGCAAATAGCAATGGCTCAGTAAATACTAATTGCTGTAATTGCTAATACTAATAATATTCAATACTATTGATTAAAATTAACACTACTGTTTTGGAAACAAAATAAGCAAATGGCATGACTTATTATATTATAAAGAAATATCAGAACAAATGATGCCAGTTTTCCACCAGAATCATTAATAAAAACTGTATAATAGTCTTATAGGTTGTGTAATTTAAAAGACAGTGACCTCTTGATATGTTTATGTTATTGACAAAATTCAAAATATTATTGACAAAAACAGAACAAAGTGCCCTGATGCATGGAATTAGTTAATATTAGCCACTTATATATTAGAGAATTATTTAGCCCTACTAAAATAATAGGTACCTATGCCATCACAATTAATGTTAATGGCCTCTTCTTCATAGGAACTATTGACTTTATAATTCTTCTAAGGTCTATCTTGATCCAGATGACCCTTATAGAGAAGGGTAATTATTTTCCTCTTTACTGTTGCAAGTAGGCAAGGATCCAATTTCTTTAAAAAGAATATAAAAATATCTAGATAAAAATAAAAAGAAGGTCCAAAACTCATTTTATTCTTATGCATTTAAATTGCTGTCTTGCTTGATTCTGGCAATGATACCGTGGATGTAGATTTTGCAAGCATATTAATAATTGGAGACTTATCTTAAACTCACAGAGCTTAAAAAACATATCCATAGAATCAAAGGCAGATGTAAAGTTAATCAAAGCTCTGAAGAGTCCTGAAAAGAGCAGTTTTTTCAATGAGATTAAAAAGAGTTCAATAATAATCAATACTTCAAGAGTGAGGTCTAAAATCTCCTTGCACTTCATATAAAGAATTACAATGAGAGCCCAAACCTTAAATTGTTCAATTAGAAAGATATTAAAGCTCAGAAGGCATATTAAATTAACAATTGGGCCTTTATTTTAAAAATATTGGTGGGTTACCATTTTTAAGTTGTAGAAAACAGCATGTTGAATGCATTTAGATGGAATTGTAACTGGGAGATATGTAGAGTAAATGACTTGATGCAGAACGGTGTCTTCTCGTAAGAACAAATTTCAAGTACATTTACTTTATTAAGCTTGCAATGGCTAATAATTTTAGTCTTTCCCGTAGCTAGAACCTATAACCATTTTGGAGTTATACTCGCATTATGCAACTGTGTTAGGATCTTGAAGCCGGGAGAGGCTAACTTTCAGTATGTAGAGAGAACAACATGGTTCTTCAGAATTTCTAAATAGAACTCAGCCAATCAAGAGACAAATATCTCAAAATCTACCTTATTAACATCATTATTCATCCTAAAAGCCTTTCAGGAAACTTTAATTAGTGTCCTTTAAACCCCTTCAGTAAATGTTTACGATTCTTTACAAGGTTTGTGGGAAATGGAATTTGTTTGTTTAATTTGTAACCATCTAAACAATCCAGTTTTATTTGGGTTACATTAGTAAGGTATGAAAAATAGTCAACTTGTGTCAGTCAGGTCTTCAGAATGACTTTATCCTTTGAAGGGAAATGTAAATATTTAAATTATAAAACAAAACAAAGTTATATTCATATATATCAGTGGTTCTCAGCCAGAGGTGATCTGTTCCCCAAATCCCTTCTAGGAAATACTGGGCAACGTTTGGAAGCCTTTTTCGTTGTCACATCTAAGGTATATGCTACTGGCATTTAGTGGGTAGACACCAGGGATGCTGCTAAACATCCTACCATGTAACAGACAGCCTCCCACAAGGAAGAATATCTAGTCCAAATGTCAATAGTGCTGAGGTTGAGAAACTTGAACACATGAATCAACATACACTCCAAACCAAAGTAAACTGATTCTAATGGTCTGCCTTTAATCATTTCCATTAATGTGAATAGTCAAGTATTTACCACATTACATATAGTATGCAATACCTACTAGATTATTGACTAATCTATTACCTAAATAGATTATTGTCTAAGGATTTTCTTAAATGTAAGCTACAAGCTAAAATGCATCCAATTTTTCTCTCTCTCATCCACTCATTTAACTGAAACACCGTGCAAAATAAATGTTTTCCCAAATTAAAAAGTAGCGTGTTGTGGAGGTGAATTATTAAGCTTATTTGTTTATGTTTTTTTAAACTTATTTTACTTTCATGATTTGAAATTTTAAAAGTGATGCTAACATACTAAAGATTTTATCTGGAGTGCTGTGTCCTGGGAATAACTTCTTCAGGCATTCAGCAAAGTGACCCTCTGAGGTTATATAGGCAGAACATCATGGAGATGTCTGGCTGCTGTGACAGACTCTAAATATCAATCAAAATCAATAAACAGGCATTAAGAATTTATTGCAGGCCAATCCTGTGCTTTAGCAGATGCCTTCTCCAAATATTGTGGGATATATTGGGAAAAAAAGCTCTCTTCTGTTCTCTAAATTGATATTTTTAAAAGCTGTTATTATTTTTTTAATTTTGTATATAAAATACATACACAATTATGCATTTAGTACTGTTTAGCTATCAGTCACAAGGCTAAACAACACATGTACTGTAGAGGTAGATACCAAAAAAGTAAAATACTCAGAGTTTACTTACTAGTTATAACAAAACAATTAAAGTATATAGAACAATTTTTTTGATTGAGTACCAAATTTCATCATAAAATAGGGTTATAGTCGTTAAGAAAATGGAATAAACAACATATGTGGAATGATAAATAATACATCAAAAGTAGACCTGACCTTGAACTTGGATGCCAAACCATGAATTAAGTTTGTACAATATAAATGTTAAAAGATAAGACAGGAAGAAAATAAAGATGTTATCAAGGGTTTAAATAAAAAACAGTAGAGATGAGAAACAATGTGTCTTCCTAATGTTTACTTTGTTTTTTAAGTAAAATATAAACTTTATATACCTTTTTAGTTCTCCTCTACATTATATAGATGGATAGTTAGTAGATAGGTAGATAATTATTTCAGTAATTGCATTTATTTATCAACATGAAAATGTTTATCCTATCGATAATTTTGAAGGGCTATTATTGTACTGTGTCTAGCAAGTAATCACTCTCAGTTTATGTATCACTTTTGGAATGAAGATGTTTAACTGCATAACTAAAGTGCTATATTAATATCCTAAGTCATTAAAAACACTATTTAAGCTAAATGAATTAGTTGTGTGGTGAATAAAATTAAAATAATAAGCCTATGACATAATGTACAATATAAATTTTATGTCCATTTGATTAGGTATATGTTACTATTATCATCATAATAATTCTTACATAATTTGATTATCTTGCTAAATTATTATCAATTTATGTCTACCACTTACTAAGAAATTAGTGAATGTTACACACTGTGGTGAACACTTTATATATAATTGACAAAAATAAATATTGCTATCTAAAACCATGGCTGCCTTATAAAGCTAGTGGTTCATTGTAAAATAAAGGCTCTTTTATTCTTTTGAGAATCTATGATAAGGAACAATTTGTAAAGATAGACTCTGCTGAGTTTGGAGTAATTGCCATATTTTTTCTGCAAAAAGGCAAAGAAGAATTTGGAGTTCCTGTGGGTGATGAGGAAAGTAGTGGGAAGAAGCTCTGAGTGATTTGGCAGGAAGCAAGAGGATGTGTTTTGAAAATGGCCCAGAAAAGTTTTGATTACAAAATACCTACTATTCACTTTAAAGAATTTTTGCATTTTTGTCTATCTATCTATCTGTCTGTCTGTCTGTCTGTCTGTCTGTCTGTCTGTCTGTCTATCCATCCTATCTATCTATCTATCTATCTATCTATCTATCTATCTATCTATCTATCTATCATCTGCTGTGGTTTGAGTGTGTCTCCTCTGAAATTCAGGTTGAAATTTGAATCCCAGTATGGCAGTGTTGGAGATAGAACCTAGTGGGAGGTGTTTGGGTCATGGGGGAAAATCCCTTATGAATTAATTAATGCTCTTTCGTGGGAGTGAGTAAGCTCTCACTCATGCAGGAATGGATTGGTTTCCAGTAGAGTGGGTTGTTACAAGCAAGTCCAACCTCTTGTATGTGTCTCTTTGCATGTGCCCACTTGCCCTTCTGCTTTCCACCATGAATTGAAGGACAAGACCCTCACCAGATGCGCTGCCCGATCTTTGGCTTTCCAGCTCCCAGAATCAGAAATCGAATACATTTTTTTTTAAATAAATTACTCAGACTTAGGTGTTCCGTTATCACAACACTAAACAAACTAAGATGGAAAACTGGTACTGAGGTATGAGGTGTTGCTATACAGATAGCTGGAAATGTGAAAGTGGCTTTGGAACTGGGTAATGGGTAGTGGCTTGAAGAACTTGGAGGAACAGGTCAGAAAAGGCCTGTACTGCTGTGCACAGAGCATCAAAGGTTTTATAAGGGGCTCTTCCCCCCTTTCCTGGGCATTTCCCCTTCCTGCCACCTTGTGAAGAGCATTATGGTGAGGGCGCAGGAGATGAGAAGACTAGGGAAAGTTTGGAACTTTTTAGAGATTGATTACATAGTCATGACCAAATGCACATAGAAATTTGGTGACTAAAGGCCATGCTGATGAGGACTCAGATAAAAAATGAGGAGTAGCTTATTGGGAAGTTGTTGTGCAAAAGTACACTTGTTATACATGTACAAAAAACTTGGTTGCATTGTGTCCGTGCTCTAGGGCTTTATGGAAGGCAGGACTTAAGAGTGATGAACTAGGATTTTTGGCAGAATAAATTTCTCAGCAAAATATAGAAGGAGTTGCATAGTTACTTTTGGCCACTTGTGCTGAGATTTGAGAGCAAAAGAATAATTTAAAGACAGAATTTATAATTAAAGGGAAGCAGAGTGGAAAATTTTGGAAAAATTGCAGCCTGACTACGTAAACAGCAAAAAGCTGTATTTGGGAGAGAGTGCTAAGGGTGTCGCTGCCCAAGGACCCCTTGATAAAGAGAACAAAAGAGAGCATGAACAAAAGAGAGTCAGTGCTGTGTGCATCAGGACGTAGTGAAAAAGGCCCACAGGCCTCAGAGGGTAGAATGGTTTCCAGAGACAGGCTTGCGGTAATCTCCACCAGCTCACTGTTTAGAGTTGCCTTGGGAACGTGACTCCTGCATTTTGGTACTCTGGTCACTTCAGCCATAGCTCAAGGAGCCGCAGGTGTGGCTTGAGTTGCTCCTTCAGAGGATGCAGGTGGTAGGCCTGTGGAGTGTCCACATCCACATGGTGCTGATTCATCAGGCCTATATAATGCAAGAGTCATGGAGGCATGGCAACCTTTATCAAAGGATGTACAAAACTGCCTGGGAGCCCAGGCAGAAACCTGCCTCAGAGGCGGAGCTGCCACAGAGAATAGTCACTGGAGTGCCTAATGGAGCTGTGGGAGTGGGGTTCCCACCCTCTGGACCCCAGAATGGTTACAGCACGAGAAACATGCAATGCCTACCTGAGAAAGCTACAGGCACTGGACTCTAACCAGCGAACAGCCACGCGAGCTGCACTCAGCAAAGCCATAGAGGTGAAGCTACCTGAGGCCTTGGTGGGCCAACTTCCAACCCAGTGTATCCAGGAGGTGGCATATGGAACATTTTGGAGCTTTAAGATTTAATGTCTGACCTGCTAGGTTCTGAACTTGCTTTGTGCTGGGCACTCCTTTTTTTTTTTTTGCCCATTTTCCCTTTTGGAATGGGAATGTTTGCCCAATGTCTATCCATTGTAACTTGGAAGTAGATAACTTGATTTCTGGTTTTGCATTCTTACAGCTTGAAGGAACTTACCTTAAGTCTCAAATGAGACTTTTGACTTTTAAGTTGGTGGTAGAGAAAGTTAGGACTTTTGGGACAATTGAGATTGGATAATTGTATTTTGTATGTGAGAACAGCATGGATTTCAGGGGGCCAGAGGCAGAATGCTATGGTTTGAATGTGTTCCTTCCAAAACTCATATTGAAATTTGATTCCCAAAGACATGGTTTGGCTGTGTTCCCACCCAAAATCTCTGTCTCAGGTTCAAGAGATTCTCCTGCCTTGGCATTCCGAGTAGCTGGGACAACAGGTGCCCGCCATTGTGCCTGGCTAATTTTTGTATTTAATTTTTGTATTTTTAGTAGACACAAGGTTTTACCATGTTGGCCAGGCTGGTCTAGACCTCCTAACTTCAAGCGATCCACCTGCCTTGGCCTCCCAAAGTGCTGGGATTGCCGTGCCTGGCCTAAAATCTCATTTTGAATTGTAATCCCCATAATCCCCACATGTTAAGGGAGAAGCCAGGTGGAGGGAATTGAACCATGGGAGCAGTTTTCCCATGCTGTTCTTATGATAGTGAGTGAGTTCTCACGAGGTCTGATGGTTTTATAAGGGGCTCTTCTCCCCTTTCCTGGGCATTTCCCCTTCCTGCCACCTTGTGAAGAAGGTGTCTTGCTTCCACTTCGACTTCTGCAGTGATTTTAAGTTTCCTGAGGCCTCCTGAGCCATGTAGAACTGTGAGTCAATTACATCTCTTTTCTTTACAAATTACCCAGTCTTGGGCAGTTCTTTATAGCAGTATGGAAATGGACTAATACACCCAATATGGCAGTGTTGGGTAGTGAGGCCTAATGGGAGGCATTTGGGTAATATGGTGAATCCCTCATGAAGAGATTAGTGCCCTTTACGGGAATGAGTTTTCACTCTTGCAGGAATGGAATAGTTCGTGTGACAGCAGGTTGTTATAAAGTGAGCCCAGCCTCTCTTGTATGTCTCTTTGCAGGTGCCCATTTGTCCTTCCACTCTGAGCAATCAGTTGAAGCAACACACGACCCTCACCAGATGGGCTGCCTGATCTTGGACAGCATCATTAGCCAAATAAAATTATTTTCTTTATAAATTACCCAGTTTCAGTATTATGTTATCATAACATAAAACAGGCTAAGGCACTTCTATCATCATCTTCATCTATTTATCGCCATCATCATCATTATCTTAATATCTAATTCTAATTTTCCCAAACCTATCTTCCGCCCCCAAAGTGCATGATATCCTCACAAATTCCTCATGGAAGTAATTTATACAATAGAAATAAAGAAAAAGACTGAATTCCATATCTTGAAGGAGCTGCAAGCAAAGGATAGAAAGAGTCCCAAATGATCTACATAAGCAGAGGAAGGAGCTTAGATTCAAACCTGACCAGAAGATGATAGTAAGCACTCGGGGGCTTTGCAGAAAGTGTAGAGAAGCTATTGGACATTTTACAATTTATAAGACAAAAATGTGTGCTATTCTAATCTAGATATTTTGGCATAGTGACCACAGAAAATAACAAAATTCCATATATATAATTCAATTTAAATTTATCTTTGAAATAAAGCTGCCTTACTTCATACTAGATAATTTGAAATAAACTATCTGAGAGATTCACCTTAAAGATCTAGATCCAGTGAAACTTTCCCAATGAACCATTTCCAAAGCTCCTATTTCCCTTCCTCTTGGTTACAAAGTATTGAATCCTTTGTCTTGTGGTTGTGCTAATTATTGGTGATTTTACTAGAAGTTGTTTACAAATCTTCCTTCCTCTGCAGATGTAGCCTTGCCTTTTCTCCATTGTGAGACACATGAAAGTTGTTTCACAGTGTTTGTTGAATGAATTATTTCTTTGGTATCACCAAGGAGAGGAGTGATATCTTTTTTCTCTTTATATTCCCCAAATATATAACATAGTATCTACCATACAGAAGATGCTCTGTAAACCTTTACTATTTGGCCAGAGTAAGATATATTCAGTTCTGATAAGGTTCCTTTTAATTTCTTACTGTTCTGAGAAAACATGCAAATAAAGTAAGTATCTGTTGAGAGTGGGATTTGAAAGACGCTAAATGTTTACCTGCCACACAACTAATTTCTCAAACGCTCAGTCAATTGGTGTGATTTAAAAACAAAACCAAAAAAACATTGTGCAGTGTTGTAGCAAGATGAAATGTTTATCAGCTGCCTGACTTTGGGAAAACCACATGCATGTTATTGGTAAATTGGAAATGTGAATATTTTAGAAGATAGCTATGTGTTCAAGTCTGATAAAATATGTTCCATTGCCTAGCAGAGTTACTGGCACATGGAAAGGATGACAACAAAAGTTAATTCCTTTCTTTTTTCCTAAATTTTATATATAAAGCACTGTGAAGAAATTTCAGAAGTTCCCTATGAGAGTTAAACACGCTTCTAATATATTCAGTATATTCAATAACAAAGCTTGAAGAAAAACAATATTCGCCAACTGTCACCTTCTCTAGGATACAGCTGTAAAGCGATTGAATATGAGAAGAGCAAATATTTATGGTAGAATTTTCAAGAGTCTAAAAGAAAAGTTGACTCATTGTTTAGGCCAGCAGTAGGTAAATCTTAGTTTCCAGGAGCTAGCATGTAAAAACTGTCACCGAACAAAGAGGAAGGATGGTTAAAACACAGAAAATAGATGAACAGAGAGACTAGGTAATAAAGTATCACAGACGAACTTAATACAATGCTATTAATCAGAATATCAAAGAACATAACTGCGTTTTCCTTTTGCAAGCTTTATAAACCTATCTTTCGTTTGTCTCCTTAACAACCCTTGTGCTCCAAGCAGTCATTAACTAGGTTTAATGCAAGACTTTTACAGACTCATAAGGAAGAAAAATGGAAGAACTGACTTCCTGCCTCTTTGGCACATAGAACTGCAGTTGCAATTGAAGTGAAAGGAAAAGCATGATTCTAGAGGAAAAAAAGTGCATGCCACCATTATGCCTTACATATTCTAGTCTCCACTTTAAATAACTTCCTGCCATAAGGTGGAGCTATATCCTATCAAGAGAAAAGTATTGGATATAAGTTCTGGCAAAAGTCCACTTAGATTATTTTTCACTTGGCTTCTTGTAGTTTGTGATTTTAAAAAGTTAAAATGCATGGCAGCAAATCCCAAACCCACTACCAACTGATGTAGAAAGAGTTGTTATATTGGTGCAGCTAGGATTTTTAACGTGGCGAAAAGGTGTGTGAAAGCAAGCAGGACCTTGTTTTTTAGCTTATGCTGTAAACACAGCTTGGGGGAAACTCTTTGAAGTACTGAGATCTGAGGTGGCAGGGTTTGAAGCCCCCCGAGGTAGTACAGAGAAACCTCAGGTATCTGATAGTGTTTGTTCTTGAGTAAATCATCCAGAGCATCAAACAGAGTGTTGACAAACAAAACGAAAAAATATAGTGCTTTATTTAAAACACTATATTGTTGCATATACTCATGTTAAATAGGAGCTTGCTAAAATTTATGATGCTGAATTATATTAGCTGCAAGAGAGGTTTTGCTTCTCAGTTTGTAATTGTGAGAGGTATGGCCATGAAAACCCCCAACTGAGTTATCTGTAAAACCCTAGTATCTCCACCCAAAGGAAAAAATGATTCCCTGAAGAGTGAGAGCACTACGGGTTTCCTGATAACACATCAAGGGTAATCGAGATAAAGGAGAATGGCTCAACAGAAGTGTGTGTTGCATGACTCCCTGGGCAGTGCTGTCTATCTGGAAATCAATTATTAAGGGCAAGGTATACCAGCTCATAGCTGGTTTGGGATTTCCTTAGTAGAAATTTGCATATAAACCTTTCAAACAACTAAAACCTATTGTAAAATCCAAGGATGGGGTTGATCTTGGTGGAGAAAAACGTCTATCTAATAAGAACTAATATTGGGACATATTTGTTACACCAAAATTTATCTAATGTGCAAATCTATGTCTCACTTACTGATAACATAATTTATCAGAACATGTGCAACATAAAGAGAATTTGTAGTACATCCCTTATTACCTTCCTAGACACTCAACACACTTTTACAAACACGGAAAGGTGTTATTACCAGAGTGCTATAAGATGGCTTGCTATTATTAGCTTCACATCTCCGGATGATAAAATCAGCACTGTTGAGGGGATGCAGAGCAAAGACAGGACAAAAGAATAGAGTCAGGACAAGTAATACAACTACTTCTATTTGAATATTTGTGCTAAGCATGTTACTAGATACTTTATATGCACTCTCTAATTTCATCCTCACCATAATCATGTGAAGATCATACATAACATTATAATTTTCATTTCATGGTTTTAAACACCTGCCTATGATCATACAACTACTAAGTGGTAGAACCAGGAACCCAAACTCAGGAAGTGTGATGGCAGAGTTCTCAAAACCACTGCATATCTGCTGAAGACAATTTCTCTTCTTAAACTAGTCATTCAACCAATGTATATATGTTCCCATGTTGTTTATTAACAGGCTAGCTAGCCCTTTCTCTTCTAAAAACTTACTGGAGAAGACACCATCTCTCCTTCTATATATGAGTCATCACTGGCTCCTCATAGAACCTTGTGCATTCCAGTTACGCAAGAAACATTTCCTGAATATGTAACCCTCAGTCCAACTGGGAAACCTGTACATGCAATGAGTCACCCTGTTCATTTATATAATATCCCTCCCCTCCCATATCTTTTCTTTCTTATGTATTTTCATTTTACCCTGACAAATGCATGTTGTTTTTTTAAAAAGTATGCTTTTGTTGTTGAAACAAGGCTCTTATCCATTCCCCTAGGCATTTTGTCTTCTAACTTTGAAGATCTTTCTGCTTTCTCTACTACAAAACACGACTCACAAGGCTTTGCCTTTTGCCACTCCCCTGAGTCTCTGAGCTACAGCTTCACACTGTAGGGGACTGTCCATCCATCTAGAGCACCTGGGGTTTAAGGTGTAAGCAATTTGACTGTAATTGCTTCTTTCCAGCAGTTATTCCTTGAAGTAGCGAAGGGGGACATTTGGTTGGTTCTCTTTTTCTATCTACATAAATAGGTATTGGAACCAAATCCAAAGAGCATGGCGTATTTAGAAATAAATGTTACCCCCCTTGAGGAGAGTTTTTAGCTATGCTTTTGTCTTATTCTTTTCTTGGATTATGTTTTAGCAGAACCTTAGTTCACTCTTTCCATTTCCGTTTGATCTGTTGATTCCTCTGGGGGAACTCAAACTTAGGTTTTAATACTATATTACTTAAATAAATCACACGTTCTTTTTTTTTCTCTCATATCTCCATTTTGAATTGATGTAATACAGTATTGGACTCAACTACTATTTCTCAAGCTGTAGGTAAAAAGCATTTCAAAGATATCTTTTTATTATAAGATTTTGGTTCTCTCAAACCTCCTTACCAGTTTTTAGTAGAGGATAGCAGATATGGTTTCACAACAGAGAATGAATGGGTTTGAAAGTATATTTAGTAATTTTTTGTCTAGCTTGTGCTTCATTTCTATTTTATGCAAAGAATTACACTAGTATGGTCTTCCTTGTCAAGGGAAATGTTATGTGAGTAACAGGATATCTTCATATATACTTTAATGCAGAATTTAAAACATTTTAAAGGGTACTGAGACAAAAATTAAGTGCAATCTGTATAAAAAAGGCAGTTAGTGAGGTGGGCTATAATATTTTTCTCTTCTATGTTTATTTGCTTCACATACCCAGGTGTTCCAGCAAGTCCATTCAGGTGTCACTTTTTTGAAGAAAACAAGAGCATGGTTTACTAACAACCTACCCTAAGATAAGGAGGTCATTCACCTTCCTTCTCATGTGTTAGCATACTATCAGAGTGTCTTTGACCCTGGAGAGAAAATAAGCCAATGCATAGAAAAGTCAGCCTGTAATAATGTACTTGCACAATGATCCAGATTGACCTGATACAGGTTAAAATCTTGACGAAGAAATTGCAAGAGTAAGAATGGCACCATCTCTCTAGTGGCTAGGGAACACTTTACTACTGTCTGATATGGTTTTGCTCTGTGTGCCCACCAGAATCTCAGCTTGAATTGTCATCCCCATAATCCCCACGTGTTGAGGGAGGGACCGTATGGGAGGTTGATTGTATCATGGGGATGGTTTCCCCATGCTGTTCTCATTATAGTGAGTGAGTTCCCATGAGATCTGATGGTTTTATAAATGTTTGACAGTTCCTTCTTTACACTCTCTTCTCTCTCCTGCTGCCTTGTGAAGAAGATGCTTGCTTCTCCTTTGCCTTCTGCCATGATTGTAATTTTCCTGAGGCTTCCCCAGCCATGTGGAACTGTGAGTCAATTAAACCTGTTTTCTTTATAAATTACTAGTCTCATCTATTTCTTTACAGCAGTGTGAAAATGAACCAATATACTTTCCCAAAGTAAGTGTGGAATTTTGTTTATTATATATTATTTATGAGATCATCTCATTTTAATTCAATGTCTTTCCATTGTAAAATTCATAGTTGTTGAAAAGCAGTTTCAGAGAAACTATACACACATTGATTAGAAATTAATGTTATTCCCTTGAAAACACTGATTTCCTCTAAGGGCAAACTCTCCTGGCATGCTATCCTTACACCATCATTTTTGATAGAGTGACCATTCAACTTATCATCTAAATCAGTACACCTTTCAAAATAAAATTGGATACCATTAATAATTACATGGAGACAATAGGCACAAATTGAGACTGTTCTGGGAAAACTGGGGCATATGATTACTACTCTTATAATACACTATGTAAAGTGACACGTAAAGTAAGTGTGTCAATTTCTAAGGTCTTGGTGACTTGAGACCCTGCCTCCTGTTACTGTGGTGGCTAAGACACAGACATCAGAAGCTGGAAATCCCATAACAAATGCAGCACATATTTTTGTTATGGTGATTTTTTTTCTTATTCTTGCAAGGATAAATGTAGTATATTAAGGAATAGATTAAGTAGCTTATACTACTAGAGGGAATTTGGATGTAACCAGGATAGATAGGATAGAGGACTGTGTGGAAAGGGGGTAGTTCTTCATCTAAATCCATGAGGACACCTTTCTTGACTCCTCTGAGAAGTCTACAGAGATGGGAAAAGAACACTGTCCTTGGATGATTTTGAGATCCCCTAAACAGTAGATGTCTCTGTATCCTTCGGTCTCTTCTATTCTGTAACTATGCCCTGTGTGATCCCTGGGTATTCCACTTAATTGCATGACATTTCATCCTTGTTCAGTAATTATACTTGTGCATAGTTATGAGTAAAGTGATTTTCCTATATATGCATTAAAGTTAAATTTTGCTCCTGGGGTTTAGTGCATGTGCCTTCTAGTGGCATCAATAAGGAGCATGTGTGCTTCTTCCTGCCATGTGTGAGAGAAGAATATGGTCAATTACGATAGTGAAATTTACTAAATGTGATGATAAACACTTTTAAAAGCAGCTCAACAAATGATTATGGATTTCACACTTTTACTAATTGCTTCAATTTTTGACTGAAATAAAAATCTTCCACTTGCTTTAGTATGGTGGGATAGAGATCTCTAGAATATATTACAAATATCCTCAAAGTTTGTCTCACTGTGCATGTTACCCTTTTATTCTGGCTTCTTTATTCCTAAAAGCTGATAACTCTTTTCTTTTTTCCCATATAAAAGTTATTTGTAGAGGTAAATACATTCCTACTTTTACAGATCACTATTTATTTATATATAGTTATATCAAATGTCTTTCTGATATCAATAATCTCCAATTATTTCAACATAAATATTCAGATTTTAAAATTCTTTAGGATACAGTGCAGATTCGAGTTGCATTTCTTCTTCCTCATTGCTTCACTTCTCTCTCAAACATGGCTGTCTTAAGGAAGCTTTCCCAGATTCATGCCCATCACCTTACATCTTGACTATGTTGGTTATTCCCTGTTACACTCTTTCAAGTTGCTGTCTACTTTTTCACTATAGAATTTTCCACATTGTGTTTTATATTTATGTTTACTTGTTTCAGTTCTGCCCAGTAGAATATAATTTTATGATGTCAAGGAGCATGTCTACTTTGCTTGCCATTTTTTCCCATTGACTTATAAAGAACACACATATTCAAAATCTACATGAGAAGAAAAGAGGGATGAAAGGAAAGAAGAAAGGAGAGGGAGAACGGGCCAGTCACAGTGGCTCATGCCTAAACCCAGCAGTTTGGGAGATTGTAGCAGGAGGTTTGCTTGAACCCAGGAGTGTGAGACCAGTCTGGGCAACAAAATGAGAACCCATCTCTACAAAAATCAAAAAAATAGCTGGGTTTGGTGGTATGCATCTGTGGTCCCAGCTCTGCATGGGAGGCAGAGGCAAGGGGAATGCTTGAGCCGAGTAGATTGAGCCACAGCTTTTTCCTTGAGGTCCTTTCCAACATTTCGAATGTTAATGAATCTGTCAATAAATGATGATTTTATGTATGTATATATATATATACACACACACACACACACACACACATATATATAATTTGTTTTACATTGACATATGAAATTTATGTATTTACTGTGTACAATATGATGTTTGGAGTATATTTTATACATTGTGGAATGACTAAACCTATGCATTAGTTCACATAGTTATCATTTTGTGGTGAGAACACTACATCCACTCTCTTAGCATTTTTCAAGAGTACAATATATGATTAACTGTAATTATCATGTTGTATGGTAGAACTCTTGAACTTATTCCTCTTGCATATCTGAAGTATATCCTTTGATCAACATCTCCCCAGGCCCCCCACCCACCGAAATCATCTCAGCTCCTGGTAGCCACCATTCAACTCTACTTCTACAAGGTCAACTTTTTTAGATTCCACATATGAGTGAGATAATGTGGTATTTGTCTTTCTGTACCTGGCTTATTTTCTTTAACATAAGGCCCTCAAGGTTCATTCTGTTGCAAATGACAGGATTTCCTTCATTTTTTTTATGGCCAAATAGTAATCTATTGTGTATATACACCGTATTTTCTTTATCCATTCATCCATTGATGAACACTTAGTTTGATTCCAAATCTTGGCTATTGTGAATTGTGCTGTTACGAACGTGGGAGTGCAGATTTCTCTTCAACATACTGATTTCATTTCTTTTGGATGTACACCTAGTACTGGGATTATAAGATGAAATGGTAGTTTTATTTTTAATTTTTTGAGGAAGCTTCCCACATATTTACCATAATTAATTTACATTTCTACTTATAGTGTGCAAGGATTCCCTATTCTCCATACAATGATAATTTCTTTGAGAGTAAGTATGGATATTCAGCCCCAGGCCAAGGTGACAAAAACAGAATATAATTTGTTCTGAATTTTGGGGGGAAAGAAGGCCTTTATTACCTTGTTTTTATTCCCCTTTTTTACATTGTATTTTCCTGTGTTCTTAGCCTTCTTTTCTTCTATTGCTTTTCCTTCCTTCCTCTTTATTGGGTCCTTCCTGTAATTTAATTATCTTTAGTTTGTGGGTATCTGTTGCATTGGTTGATAGAAAGACAGCAATGTGAAGACTGAGGGCTTCATAAAGCCTTAAGTATTTTGTTCAATATTGTTATAGAACCAATAAGACTTTGCTATCCTAATTGGTTCATATGTCTGTCTTGTTATTATTCATTAAGCTATTTGAAGAAAATTGCTGTAGTATGTTTGTGTTGGATATTTGTCTCTATGTCACCCAAGTCCAATCTCTACTTTTTTCTGTTGTGTTTTCCCAGGGGTGCCTGCTTGGGTTAAACTGATGAAAGGTACCAGTAGGGGATCATAGGTGGGGATAGAGTTAAGCTGGAATTGATTCCCTGGCTCCTGAGCGATAGCCCGTTCCATTCAGTGCTCTCTGGGCTCCAGTAACTGCTCCTTCTTCTTGTTACTTAGTCCTAGGGTGAAGTGAAGCCCCCCGTAGTTACTAGGCACGGGGCACTACATCATCCTTTGTTCTTTAGCCAATTTCTTCTAATTTGCCCACTTTGAATATGCTGTTTCCTGAATTCATATTTTTCTCAGTGCCTAGTACAAATTCTACATTTTTGTTGAATGAAAAATGCATTTTATCCAAAATTCTATTTTACAAATTATAATTTCTCTTGACTATTTAAGTTTCAAAAACATCAGAGATCCAAAATCGGAAGTTAGAGCAATAGTTCCTACTGATTCTATGAAGAATGACATAATATTGGAGTCCTTACTCTAGGCAACTGGTTTTTAAATTTATATAAATATTAGTCAGTTCCTAGACCATTTCTTAACCATGGTCTTAGAAAGAAAAGACACAACTTTTCTGAGCCAAGATTTCTTTACTTGTACTTTAAAAGATGTAACTTACTAAATGGTTTAATGTACTGCTGGTAATATAATTAATAGTCAACATTTTCATTTTGAATTTTATTGAGATATCTTGGAAAGGATATTCAAATAAACAAAGAAGACACAAATGGACAAATGTGAGGACTAGTACTTTTGTTTGTGGAACTTATGTATACTATTAGGTTTAATCATAATAAATGTACTTTTCAACTCTTTTCATCTGTGAGCCATGTTTAGTTGCTAAAGAATGATTTCTTTTCTACAGAAAGCATGTGGCAGAAAGGGTTTGAAATATCTTAGTAGTTTTATGTTCTTCAGATGCTTCTACTTTGAATGCAATTTTTAACCTTTTCTGTTTATTTATTTACAAAAATCATTTGGACACTGATTTTTCTCCAGATATGCACAACTTTTGGTGCTGCAGCCCATTAGGTACTTGGCATTTTAAAAATTTCCTACAAATGGCTAACAGATTTTTTTCCCTTTCAATTTCCCTGCTAATTTTGGAAATTTTTAGTGTTTCATGTGTATTCAAATGTGGTATAGCATTCATTAGATTAGAAAAGAATTGTTAATGAATACATGATAATGATAGCAATTGTGTTTTCTTTCTCAAGTACTCCAACATGAAAAATGAGATTTTTTGGTGTGATTTTATAGTTTATCTGAACATATAATGTGTACAAAATTGTTCATTGAGTACTCACAGCTTTTTTTTGGTTTTATTTATAACTTGCACAGGTATTATATTTCATTATTGTAAGGAAGACAATATATCGTGTCCATTCCTTAAATAGTTTTGCTATGCCTCAGTTAAAATCCATGATCCACCACTTATTTCTGAGTCTCAGTTTCCTCATCACTAAAAAGTGGATAAAAATCATACTTACTAATATGGTAGTTATGAGAATTCAAGGAATTATTGCTAGTAAAGTGTTTAAGAATATTGTCTTATATTTTGTGCTGCAAATATGTTAGAAGTTTTTATTCTGAAATCTCATAGTATTTTTCTGTACCTTTCAAAATGCATGGGTATTTCTGCTATTTTACTTATTTTTGTAAAAACTATATCATCGGTTCGTTATTTTTGTAAATTCCTACAGGCTTTTTTTTTCCTTTTTAAAAATTTTTTTAATAGAGATGGAATCTCACTACGTTGCTCAGGCTGGAATGCAGTGGCTATTCACAGGTGTGATTATAGCACACTGCAGCCTCCAACTTCTGAGTTCAATCAGTCTTCCAGGCTTAGCCTCCTGCCTAACTAGGAATGTAGGTGTGCATCCATATCTTTGGCAGTGTTTTATCTACCACAACAACAATTCTTACTTTATCAGGTGTGTAATAAATATTTGCACACATACGAAGGAATGTATTTCTAATGAGTATATGTATTTTATTTTTTTACAGGAAAATCACTATCTGAAATTCTCCATTGCTTCTTTCTAAAATAAAATAATTTTATCATTTTGCTAAAAAGATGTAATACAAGCTGTAGAGCTTCAATTAGCCCTTAGAAAGCATGGCTATTTTCATGAAGTGTGAATGTTCTCTGAGAATGGAAATTTTAAGAACAGGAACTTAACTGAAAGTTAAGATTATAAAAGGGAAACAAGAATGAAAGAGGAATCATCAAACCACAGTTCATTAAGTGTCTTCAAGATGTTACCTACTTCGTATAGACTTAGCACTCCAGGTGGAGCATGGCAAAGGAAGATTCAATTCCCAGGCTGCTCTCCCTGTGGTTAGATAAAAGAAAAAGAAAAAGGAAAAGAAGGATACAAGTTATACAACTGAGATTATATGAGAATCTTTGCACAAAGTAATAAAAAGATAAAAAGAAAACTGGACTTGCTATAGACTCGCTGTGTGGCTGTGGGGGATTGTTTCTCCCTTCTCTATACGTTGGGAGAAACGAAAACTTTTTTAAAGTGCCTCCAGACGAGATAATCTGTTAGATCTTTTACAGAGAATAAACATTAATTATTACCATTATGCTTTTTTTCATCAGAGATAGACTGCTTTTAAATTATTTTCAGTTATTGCATAACCGTTAGACTCTGTGAACAAAAAAATAGAGGCATTTGCTAGATGTTAAAAAAAATAACAACTTAGGTTCGATTCTTTATTTGTGCATGACAAGAAACAGTGCTTATGAGCTAGAATTAAAGGACGTCACTATATATATATATTTCCATATTGTCCTGAAGAGGATGCTTTAGAGATAAACTATTTTTAAGGAGTTTGTGAGCTTGAAATATATGTGTATATATATATATGTGTGTGTGTGTGTGTGTATACACATGTGTGTATATATGTATATATACTAATGCAAATGGATCTAAAACTGTGATACCCTGAGTTTAGCTGTTCAGCTTGCAAGATCTTAGCCCAGAATTATTTAACCACTAGTTGAAAAAGGTGAAGGACTAGGAGTTTAAGCTTTTATATGGGCCCGTTTGTTCCCCTTTAAGCATGTATTTTCTTTGTATTGCTGAATTTTGTTGATGCTCAAAGAATGAGCTAAGTCTTTCTATCTGGGTTGGGTTAAAGACGTTATTTTCATTTCTTTTTTAATAAGATAGAAAAAGCATCATTTCGCTTTTACTAAAAATGCACTTTATAAAGTGAATTTCTCAAATTTAAATATGAGGGCATGAAAGGATAGAAAACAATGTTTGTCAGTCCATAGATATGACATATCTTATAAAACAAAACAAACAAACAAAAAAGCCCACCTCTGTAGGATTTCCCAGCCTGCTGTGCTTCATTTTAGATTGTAGAGCTATGATTAAGAAAAACCTGCTTTTTCTTTTATCTGTGCCACATATTGTATTCATTCTCCTCTAAGCTATTATGAGCACTCAGGTCCCTAAACTGAAATCCTTTTAAAATTTCTGTCTTCAGTCTCTTTGTAAATATGCTAAGTTATTCTCCACACTCCCTGCCACCAATGAGCAGACTTAATCGAGATAATATGCAAAATGTTATTTCTCCACTGTTTACACCTCCAAAAGGGGAGCATTATTTTCAAGTCAAGATACCTAGTGTAAAAGTAAGGGTGTTGGAGGATAATCCTGTGATTGCATAGCTTGTTGAGATGCACTGCCCTAGCCCAATTCTCATTTTGATTTATTTAAGTTTGGAAATAACAGTATTAAATTAGCAAAGACAAGCAATGAACAAAGCCCTGGAGATGAATTAGCCATTGTCTCTGGTCCATTAATCTCCTCTTCAATTCTAGAGAATTGTGGCTCACCCAGACCCGAAGATCAAATAAAATGCCTAATTGGGAAAATCCTAAACAAGTGTGTCCTGGGGAGCTTGAATTTATTTGTCACCCGCTCAAACAACTGTGTTGTTTATATAAGTCTTTAAAACCCTGATACTTTTCCGCTACTATGTCTTAATCCCTGGTTCTTTATGCTCAGGAGGGCAATTTAGAGTTGTTTTCAATTAAGTAGAATGGAGAGGGGCACTTATTCCAAAAACAGATAGCTGTGTTGTGAGTATTTTGCCAAACATGCTGAGTGGTTTAGATTTAAGCATCAGGTTGGGAGAAGCTTTGGGATCTCCTTGAAGATAATGATATCTGCTGTTTGGTGCTTTTAATATCAGTAATACATAGTTGAACATAATCACAATTAACGACATAAATGTGGCAAGGAAGGTTGAGATGTTAAGGCTAAACACAAATGTGAAGCAAAGAGCTGAGATAATTATCTAGGATGGCAATCCAGATCATGCAATACTTTCGATTAGAATATGCAGATGATATGCAAATAATTGAGGTCAAAATTTTATTTAACACTGGGCAAAATAGAATGAAAATCAATCCATTGAATTTTGTTCACACAGAGGTGGGACATTTATTTTCATGACCTAAAATGTACCAATACTTTATGTTACATAGAAAAAGTCAGACTAGAAACTGGGTATCAACTTACTAACAGCAAAGTAACTACACACGCTGTTAATATTGACTCTGTCTCAACAATAATTTAAACTGCAGTACTTAGGTTCCATCGTGTTTTACAAAACTCATGTCATTTAATTCTCACAGTGAACCAAGGGAAGATAATGTTATTAACTCAATTTCATAGGTGAACAAATGGCGGCGGCATCTAAAAGTTAGAGATTCACCCAAGATTGGTCAGCTGGTGAGTGGGTGGAACCAAAGTTTGCACTCAAGTCTACCTACTTCTAAAGACTAGGCTTTTGGTACTCAACTGCATGGCTATTAGCACTAAGTTTGCAGAATGACTAGTAGGGTTTGTTGAATGGGTTGTTTAAATAGAATAAAATATAAGTTAAAAAATTGACTAACTCTTAGATGAGACACAAGGGCATTAGATTTCAGAAGTGCATGAAGAAATTTTCTGCTTAGCAATATCTATGCAATGGTGAAAACCCACTTAAAGTCTTCACTGTCTGTTTATTTGGCTAAACTGACTGATGGCAGGGTGTCTACTTTGTACTGTGTTCCTTCAGCCTGGCTCCCTATTTTTTGGTGTGTTAGTATAGTTTGTTTTCAGCTGAAGTTATTAATTGGGGCAAAATATTAACATGCTTGGGAATGTTGCATATGGATTAGGTCAACCTGTTGTTATTCTGACTTAATTTTCTATTATTGATCAGCTATACATTAATTTGTTTTTAAGAAATATTCATTGAGGTAAAACAGTCCATATTTAAGATGAAGAAGAATTTAAAGGAGAAGGGTTATGTGATGATAATTAGCCTGATACTTTAGGCATAACAATTTTAAATTTTGTTTATATTTAGGCTTATTGATAGTTATTAGGTTGGACAATCATATATCAAATGGATTATTTAAATATTTTAATATATAATAATCACACTGTGATTTACCATGTACTTTTCAGTTAAGAGATGTATAGGTACAGTGTTTTACTTGATTTTCAAAATAGTCTTGTGGGTTATGACATTTTTATCATTTTCACTTTACAAATGAAGAAATAAAGACATACAAAAATAAGTGATCAGATTAACTATAGCAGTAAAACAGATACCTGAAGTAAAACCTGGGTAAAAGAACAAAACATTGAGACAGGAGGGATTATACAAATATTAGAGTGAAACACTGAAATATTTTAATTATTCTACTTTACCTTTTATGTGAAATTATAACAACTAGTATGTTTGGAGTGGGCAAATCTAAGCATTCTCAACTCTTAAGGAGGCAAAATTTAGAGAAAGTCAACAATCCTGATAAGGGGCAAAAAAAAAAAATTAAAAAAAGATACTGACAGGTTGAAACTGATGTAAAATTTTTATGTAACTCAAACGTTTCTAGGGCTAATTTCTACAATTTCAAGTACTCAAAGAGAATTTTAAAATTGAGTAGGATTATAATCAGATTTTCTAACCTTAAAAGAGATACTTATTTTCAGTCTAAAATATTTACTCATACATTACTAATCAGTTATATATCAGTGAGCAACAGATCTCTGGAAGACTCTAGGTTTGTGGTCAATAACATTGAATTTAAGAAATCTCCCTCTCTCTCAAAATAGCATAATCTCCATGTTTGTTAATTAATGGAAGGTGATACTGAAGCGTTGTCTATATCTGATATTGGAAGGTGTTAGGATTCTGAAACTGTACTTGTAGCAATGTAGCCAGGCAGTTCAGGCAGATAACATACTGATTGTTTAACCTTTTGCATAGAGAATTAATTATAGCTTGACTTTGCTCATGTTTTGTTCTGGTTGTTTTAACACTGTGTAGCTTCTAATTGCCTTTTTAGAAGCATTCTATAAGAGAAGCAAAATTAATCTCACTGGCTAATAATTCATTTAGCCAGAAGTTAACAAAAATGTATTGATTACTTCCTATGCACCAGAAACTGTTAGAATCTGGACAAAACGTGGGCAAAAATGGACATACTCTCTGTTTTCATAAAATTTAATGTCAAGTGTAAAAGACAGATATTAATCAAGTAATGTGTAACAAATAATATGAAACTACTTTCTTAAAAGTCATGAAAGAGAGGTATATTGTAGTCTGTAACTATGAGAACATATGATTCAGGAAACTAAATTCGTCTGGAGAGTCTGATAATGTTTCCTTGCAAAATCAATGAATAAATGAAGAGTGAATATAAGTTAGGTAAAAAGTGAAGGAAAGAGCAGCTGTACAATGGGTACAGTCCATGCAAAAGTCTCATCACAGGAAGAAGCAAGGCATACACAGTGATTGGGGAGGAGAAAGTGAGGAAGAGTATGGTGGATTATGAGACTAGAAAAATGGGTTGGTAACCAACCCTGTAGGAATTTGGCTTATTAATCCCAAATGGTCATTTCTTCATATGTATATATATTCAATACATTGAGAACTTATTATACACAATAGATTTGCTATGAATGATGGTTAATTTAATGGGTCCAGTTGGCTTTGTATGGTGCCCAGATGTTTGGTCAAACATGCTTGTAGATGTTTCTATGAAGGTGTTTTCTTGGATGGGATTAACATTTAAGTTGATGGGCTTTGAGTAAAGCAGATTACCTTCCATAATGTGGCTGCACCTCCTTCCATCAGGTGAAGGACTTAATAGAACAAAGACCATCCTCCACTCATCAAGAAAGACTTATGCCAGGAGACTGCCTCTGAACTCAAACAGTGAGTTTCCCGTGGTCTGTAGCCTGCCAGTCTACTTTGTAAGTTTTGAATTTACCAAGTCTTCAAAGTCATGTGAGCCAATTTTTAAAAGTTACTCTTTCTCTCAGTGTTTCTCTCTGTTCCTCTAGATAGGTAGATAGACAGATAGATAGATAGATAGATAGATAGATAGATAGATAAGAACAGATAGAGAGAGAGAGAGATGATAGAGAGAGAGATCGATCCCATTGGTTCTATTTCTCTAGAGAACCCTAACTAATACACTAGGTTATTATAATGATGGAGGACATACCTATTTGGATACTTAAGGCAGAGTTTAAAACTAATAAGCAGGTAAGAAATACAGTGTGGTAATATGAAACTAAGACAAATAAGTGAGCTAGACAAATCACAGTAAGAGCTATAAGAATGAGAGCATCTGGTGGGCCACAGTGCCTAGGCAGGCTCAAGGAGTTGGTAGGACTTGACAGATGGGACAGGGGAGGGTAGCCCGGTTATGGTATGCAGTAGAGTAGAGGGAGAAGTAAGTGTGGGATGTTTGCAAGCCTCTGAGCAGAACAGCCTGGATAAAGTAGAGTCTTCTGTTAATAAGCCCTCAAGCCTGGCATTCATCCCTCCCTCAAGAGGAGTATCAGAACCCAGAGCTATCTTGTTTTTAGAAGGAAGACACTGTGTGGAGGGAAACTGGATGTGTGGCAACCTCACAGGAAAGGCAAGTTGATAAGATTTTCTTTATGAATTATTCAGAAACAGAAAATTAAGTAACGAGTCCTGTATGATAGTCTAGTTCTATCTGGATTGTTTTCACCTCACAGGGGGATACAAAATAAGATGAGTAGAGCAAAAAGAAAGTAAAATAACCAGTCAGCCAAATATAGCGAGAGAAACAGTGCCTTGGACTCACAGCATGTGGACTCAATGAGAGACGTGCTCCTGAGGGAGCGGTAAAGCAAGCCTTCTGTTCACTGGTGATGCGAACCTACGAGCGCGAACTGCATTGCCAGAGTCCTTTACTGCTCTTTATGCAACTAGGTTAATCCTTTTTGTTGCTTCTTTCTTTCTTTCCGGAAAAGAACTCAGAGAGGATTTTACTGTAGGTAATGTCTGGGAACAGTTCTTTCTTTTATGTGCACTGTGGTGCTTGCTGCTATAAAGCCAGTGACTTAGCCAACTTTGAAGTCATCAGTTCTGATTTGTCACTCAGTAGGTTCAGTTTATGGGGGCAAAGAACCAAGCCATCCCATTCTGGGGAGGTATAGGATGCATTTCTTATGAGCTGCTAAAGGCAGAGGTTCATTTGTTCCATGGTCTCAACTGCTCTAAATAACAGATTAGTGAGATGTTGCACCTGACATTTAACCCTGGGCATTAATTAAAAGTGGCCTGCTGTGATATTTGGGCAGGTGTGGGTAGAAGTAGGCAGTAGTAATACTGCTAGAGAGCAAGCTGTGAAAATCTTTTAACAGCATTTTCACATATTTATGTTGTAGAAATGTATTTTAATGACACTGACATAATTTTAGGGCAAAAGAAATAGCGTATCTCAAAAAATTCAGTTGTATTTTGCATTCAGTTGATGAGGAGGTAAGACACGGTACAGAGTGTTTCACTATTATTCAGCTTAATCACAATGTGTAGTCAATTTACAATATATACCAAGCCCTGTGTTAGGCAGTCTATATGCTTTCTTTTATTGTCATGTTGGAACAACGTGTATTTAACCTTTAGTAAATTTTATTGAGCACTTATTTTGTGCCAGTTGCTGGAGATGTAGCTGTGTACACAATAGATGAGGTTTCTCATGTCAAGGAAGTTAAATTCTGGTCAGCCACAGACAATATTCAAAAGTAGTGTGAACTTTGGGAGGCCTAGGCGGGTGGATCACGAGGTCAGGGGATTGAGACCATCCTGGCCAACATGGTGAAATCCCATCTGTACTAAAAATACAAGAATTAGCTGGGCCTGGTAGTGAGCGCATATAGTCCCAGCTACTCAGGAGGCTGAGGCAGGAGCATCACTTGAACCCGAGAGGTGAAGGTTGCAGTGAGCCAAGATCACGCCATTGCACTCCAGCCTGGGTGACAGAACGAGACTCCATCTCAAAAACAAACAAACAAAAAAATACAAAAAAATTAGCTGGGCCTGGGGGTGTGTGCCTGCAGTCCCAAATACTCAGGAGGTTGAGGTAGGAGAATTGCTTGATCCTGGGAGACGGAGTGCAGCCGAGACCGCGACACTGCACTTCAACCTGCCTGGGCAACAGAGTGAGACTCCCCATCTTGAAAAAAATAAATAAATAAAAATAAAAAAGAAGAGTGGAAGTTCCACAAAGACAGGGGTTTGTGTCTGTTATATCTACGGTTTAACTTCATCAACTAGAACAGTACCTGACAAAAAATATATACAACAACACTGTTTGTTAAATGCCTGGAAGGTAAGAGATGAAGATTAGAGACACTGAATTCTTTGTCCATGGATCCCTATGCCTATAAAATACATAAGCCTTCTAGATATTATTTGTTTTTTCATTTTCTACTTTTACATTTGTTTTCAATTGAGGAAAATTCTAACTTAAAAGCTCAAACCTTTCCCCACATGTTCTCTTGTCTGAATATTGAGGGGATTTTGTTGTTGTTGTTGTCACTCTTGTTAGAGTTGTTATTTTGAGTATAGCTTTCTTACATTTCAATTGAAACCATTATTCACAGAAAGTTAACAAAATGTTGATATCAAAAACAGTTTCTAAAGTACTGCCTATATCACACACATTCTTTTAGGTATAGAAGATACAAAAATGGGCTGGGTGCGGTGGCTCATGCCTGTAATCCCAGCACTTCGCAAGGCCGAGATGGGTGTATCACCTGAGGTCAGGAGTTCAAGACCATCCTGGCCAATATGGTGAAACCCCGTCTCTACTAAAAATACAAAAATTAGCTGGGCGTGGTGGCGAACGCCTGTAGTCCCAGCTACTGGGGAAGTTGAGGCAGGAGAATCGCTTGAACCCAGGAGGCAGAGGTTGCAGTGAGCTGAGATCGTACCACTGCACTCCAGCCTGGGCGACAGAGCAAGACTCTGTCTCGAAAAACAAAAACAACAACAACAAAAAACAAGGCAATAAACAGGTAAACAAATAAGCATGTGATAAGCAACACATTAATAAGTTAAATGAAGAAAACAAAATATGAAAATGTGATAGTGAACAGGGAGAAGTTGATGGTCAGGGAGGGCCTCTCTCTCTAAGTGGTAACATTTGAATTGAGACCTGAATGATGAAAAATACGTAGCTATGAAAGGAAATTATAGAGAATTGTACATGAAGAGAAAATAATGACATATGGGAAAGAGTTTGGCTTCTAAGTTGAAAGAAATATTGCCATTTTGGATAGGACATGGTAACTCAGATGGTATGTGTAGGGAAATAGAGTAAGCAAGGTAGGTGTGAGAGGAGTTTGAATTTTAATTTAATTGCAATAGGAAGGATAGACTTGTCTTTGTCCTGGTGAATGAAAAGATCCAAATTGCACTTGGAAAAAATAACTCTGGATGTCATTGGAATGGACAGAGTGTTGAACATAATGAGAATGACCAGGTGAAAACTTGTTTTTATATTTTGGGCAAGAGTTTATGGTTGAAATAATGAGATATAGTCAGAGAAGCGTTATGTTTTAAAGACAAAAGAGACAGA
Source organism: Homo sapiens (assembly GCF_000001405.40). Classification (NCBI taxonomy): domain Eukaryota; kingdom Metazoa; phylum Chordata; class Mammalia; order Primates; family Hominidae; genus Homo; species Homo sapiens. Next base: position 73,287,303 of record NC_000009.12, read on the forward strand.
ATTATTGGTGGGTGGGAGAAAAGTAGAGTGTGAAGAAAATAATCAAGGATGATTCTAAGTTTGAATAACTGGTTGAGTAACTGGTTGGGAGGTGACTCAATGGCAGTGAAGAAGACTTGAGAGCAGTGGTATATAAATGTACACAAGGTGGGTGAGAAGAGTAAATACTGTTTGGCTTAGTGTGTTTTCAATGATATTAATGCAAAATGAATATGGTGATATATGGAGATGGGTATGAATCTGGAGCAAAGAGAGATATTAGAGATAAAATTTTCAAAGTCCTCAAAGTGTAGTATTTGAAACCATGAGACTGAATTAGACAACTTAGGAGAAAGTTGTAGGTGGAGAAGAAGGCAGAAAAAGAGATCTCATGGGTGTTTCAATATTTTAAAATCTGGTGCACAGCCAGGTGTGGTGGTGTGCACCTGTAGTCTCAGCTACTAGTGAGGCTGATGTGGGAGGATCACTTGAGCCCAGGAGGTTGAGGCTACAGTGAGTCATAAGGATGCCACTGCACTCCAGCCTGGGTGACAGAATGAGACCCTGTCTATAAACAAATAAAATAAGCAAACAAATAAACAAACAAATAAATACCTGGTGCAAAAGTCAAGAATCTAGCAACTGAAATTGGGAGGTGTCTAGGAATATAAGGTAAAAACCTAACAATATTTAGAAAAAGAAAGTATAATAATAAAAATAGTGCATTAAAGATGTCAGCAGGATTTTTCCATTTTAACTTAAGGAAAAATATGTGGTTAGGTAGGTTAGGGTAATTGGTAAAGAAAAAAAGGAGATATTGGGTAGATTTGCCTTATGAGATTTAGTTATTGCCTGAAGGTCAGTTATAGAATTATGAGAGATTTGAGGAGAGGAGAGAGTATGAAATAATCATAATAAAGAGTGTGAATTACCAAAGATTTATTGTAGGACTGTAAAATATTGGGTTGTCCATTTGAGATTTTCAGCTATAAATTTTAAGGTGACCAGTCAGCAGAATTGTTCAGTTTTCTAGGGTTATATTTAGTATCTTGAGTACAGATGCAGAGTAAGATTTACATAATTTAATTTGAGTTGGGAATTTTTCAAATATGTACAGTAAGAAAAAGAAAGGCAAGGAGGTTGTGTGTGTTTGCAAGGAAATGGATATAATGCTAAACCATGGAGCTGGTGCAGATAAGAAGGGAAGTACAAACGTGAACAGGGTAATGGATATTGAAGAAGTGATCAGTGGATTTTAATTCTCACAAAGATAGTTTTTAAAGTAGCAATATTAGAGTAAGTGATCTGAAAGAATAAAAAGTAATAGGTTGTTTAAAGTCCATGTTTATAGCTAATGTGTGGTATTGATGAATTCTAGGTCTAATTTTTGATCATGTGAGTGGATAGTTAAGGTGGAATGGAGGAAAAGGATCAATAGAGATAAGAATATCAAATAACTTGAAATTCAGGGTGTGGCAATTATGACAGGAGTAATGGAATATTTGATGAATTACGTTGTGGGGGAATGACTGGGAGTTTCAAGGAGGAAAAAATAGGAGAGGTAAAGGATGGTAAAAATATGATATACATATAAATATGCCCGCACATACACATAAATATGATGCATACACCAAAGAAACTGAAATCGTTGAAGGCTGAAGGAGAGAAATAGTTTAGAAGTTGCAATGGTGGATGAATGCCTAGAGAAAGTCAGTTTAATGCCTTCTGCCTGGTACAATACTTAGTACCCCCTTTTATTTTAAGCATCCCAGTGTTAAATGGTCACTGCAATAAAATGATATTTCTATTATCTCCCTGTTTTATATGGGGTATAAGTAAGGAAAAATTAATACTCTGAAAGAGTTTTTAAAGCTATTTTTCTCAGTGGACGGTCATGTTTCTAATAGAACCAGAAGAGGAGGAAACTATTTAGAAGACAGTTTGCAAATATATGCGTACTTGTAGGGGGCTAGTTTGAGAGCTTTATAGATAGCCAAGGTTCTTGGGAGTAAGAGAAGAAATGACTGCTGGGGTCATATTAGGGGATTCACAGAATGAGGTGAAGGGCATCTGTGAGCCTTAGATCTTTCACAGTGACCAGTCCTATACCACAGAGCATATGGAGATTGAATACCTCAGGGTCAGATGGGCGGTCTCACAAAAAAAAAATGTAGATTCTGTTGCAAATGAAATTATGCAGTGATTGAAGATGCAATATTTTGGTGGCCAGTCATGCTTTAAAGAAGGGGCTACCTCACAGGAGCAATGGACTGGACAGAGACCTAATTTCTATTACTTCAAATCACAATGTAGTACATAGCTTAACCCCATCATTGAATTATCCTCTTGATTCATTCACTCATTGATTCATTTATTCAATAAAACATCATTTATGGATTGCTATGTTAACAGTCATGGCAGAATCTGTCTATCTAAACCTAAAGAGTATAAATTCTGGCTGGGTGTGATGGCTCACACCTGTAATCCCAGCACTTTGGGAGGCTGAGGTGGGTGGATCCCTGAGGTCAGGAGTTCGAGACCAGCCTGGCCAACATGGTGAAACCCCATCTCTACTAAAACTACAAAAATTAGCCAGGCGTGGTGGCAGGCACCTGTAGTCCCAGCTACTTGGGAGGCTGAGGCAGGAGAATCACTTGCACTTGGGAGGTGGAGGTTGCAGTGAACCAAGACTGCACCACCGCACTCCAGCCTGGGCGATAAGAGCAAAACTCCATCTCAAAAAAACAAAACGAAACGAAACAAAACAGTATAAATTCTACAAGAGGAAGCTCAGAAGATGAAATCTAACTACAATAAAATTTGAGAGATAAATACCGTAAAGCATATTAGTTGGTATTATTAACATCATCATATTAATGACTGCTATTTACTGAATGCTCATATAGTGTAGGAACTGTCCAAACACTAAAGCCCTGTTTATTGAGTGCCATGGGGGCAGATATTCATTACCCACCTTTTGGGACTGACTGGTTGATTAGTAAGTGCTTGGGGTCACTCACTTGGCACACACTTAAAACACAAAGTGCTCTGTTCAAAAATGGGTTGCTTTTACCAACAGAAAAGTCTTTAGGAGATAACGGCCTTTAGTTGGGCCTTAGAATATAGCTACATTCAAGATGTAAGTGGGGAAACACGAGTCAATGTGGAGGTGATTTTTGGAAGGCATTTCTATGAAACAATGAGATAATTATTTTGGCTAGATTATAAGCTGGTGAAAGGCATGGGTGAGAAATAATACTCAAAAGACATGTCATGCCTGAAGCCATGCCATATATGCATTGAACATATAAATATCCGCTAAAAAACAAGGAAAAAGAAAGAAATCATAAATTGTGCAGCAATAGAACATTTTCAGAAATCCTAATCCATGTCACCTTCCTCTCTCCGCCGACCATAGCTGCTATTTCTACCTTTTGCCATTCCCCAAATTCAAGCAGGTGGCTTGATCTTTGTTTACAAAATCTTAAGTCTTATGTGGAATAAGGAGAGGATTTGGGAAATAGACAATGTGATTCCATCAAAGTCATAAAAGGACAAGGATTTTTCCTAGTCAGAAATAGAGGGAGGAGAGGCAGGGAGAAGAGGCGTATGCAAATGACTGACAGCTGTGGCAGGAGGTCCAGAAGCTACCTGTGAGGAAGAGCCAAATGTGGCCAAACAAATAAATTAACAGTGATGGGATATCTGGACCTAAAAGAATATGATGGCTTTGAGGTTGGATATTGTGATAGGGTGATAAAAGACTCGAAGCCTAAGTGTCCTTTACCCTCTATAACCCCAAGTAACTTTGATAGAGACCTTGAATAGGGGTAGACAGAAGTATTAGGCTGGTGCAAAAGCAATTGCAGTTTTTGCCATTAAAAGTAATGTAGAAGTAACTAAAAGCAATGGCAAAAACCGCGATTACTTTTGTGCCAACCTAATACTAGTAGATGGAGTGGTAATCAAAGTCAAGAAAGACAAAGTTTCTCACATGTCTAGTATGATGGGAAGAAACTTGAACATAACATTAATCTATTAAAAATCAAGTTATAGAAAATAAAGCCATAGTTTTTAAATATCAAAATTTGTTGGCTGATTAGTGTCAGCTGTTTCAAAATATTCAGGCTGTATTTATCAGGCTAGGCTAGCCTAAGATGGGGCAAGAAAAAACAAAAAACAAAAAACAAATCTCAGTGCCTTAACCCAATACACATGTATCTTTCTGCCTGCTTAGAGTCTGATATGGTTCAGCAGCCCTTCTTTATCTTGTGGAAAAATGAAACACTCTAAGGTTACTATTGAGAAAAAAGAGGTAGGTAGACAAAGCACACTAGTTTCTAATTGCTCCAGCCTGGAAGACACATTGTTGTCTTGCAGTAGTTAGATAGTTTTAAATTAAATAGTAGAGGGGAAGGGGCAGTGAGAAATACAGAATAGCGCATAGATATTTGGTTGGCACCAACCATCTGTGACCCAGAGACCCCAGCAGTTGGACAAAGGAGAAATCTTGTTTCAGCTTCTGCATTGCAAATACTTCACTTCTTCGAGATAAGTGCTATTTTCCTTCCTGTGGCAGAGGGCTTTTTGAATCCATGGTTCTTGCTTTCTGGACTCTCAGAATATTCCATGAAGTCCATTTGTATGTTCAAATGATGCTTTAATTCTTCTTCCCCCTCATTTTCTGCCTTTCTCCCCCATAAAAGTTACAAAACTAATGAAACAGTTAATTGTGTGACATAAAGAAAAATTCATCAATTGCATTTCAAAATTTGTGTTAAAATTGAAAATCTGGGGTTATTTAATTATTGCTCTAATAATTCAATAGCATACTGTTTTAAGACTATTTTTTGGGCCAATAATTGAATTGAATTGCAGCAAATCTTTATCAGTTTGATGTCTGTAAATTTCTTCTACTAAAAAAAAGTCTTTGCAGTGATTGTACTAATATGGCATAAGGGTGGCATTTAAGATTGTCCCTTGAGGAGTAAAGAAAGAACAGACCATTTCAGACACTTTAAAACATAGGATATTCTCTTGGTGTCTGCAATTTATGCTCACACACTGCAAGCCATCCTCTACTACCATGGACATGTGCAAAAAACAAAAATGTCATGGGTCCCTGTAAATGCTAGATTATCTCTGTCTTGAGAATTCCATCTTATTAAACTGATTTGACATTGGATTAAAACAACTCACCAAACAGTGTGTTATAACCAGAGGCAAGAGGGCATTATAGGATTAACATTTGGTCCTAAGAGAGGTTAAGTTTCCAGCTGATTTGTCAGTGACTCAATTCAATGATCTCTACTGAGGTCTTTTTTTTTTTTTGAGAGGTCTTTTTTTTTTCTTGCTCTGTCACCCAGGCTGGAGTGCAGTGGTGCGATCTCGGCTCACTGCAAGCTCTGCCTCCTGGGTTCAGGCCATTCTCCTGCCTCAGCCTCCCGAGTAGCTGAGACTACAGGCGCCCACCACCACGTCTGGCTAATTATTTGTATTTTTAGTAGAGACGGGGTTTCACCGTGTTAGCCAGGATGGTCTCGATCTCCTGACCTCGTTATTCGCCCGCCTTGACCTCCCAAAGTGCTGGGATTACAGGCGTGAGCCTCCTGCCCGCCCCCCCCTTTTTTTTTTCTTTAATTATAACCTAGATCCTGATTCTAGCAAATAATATAGGGAAAATATGTATGTATGATTTGCATGATTTGTTGATTTTGTAGCAAAACTTTTCCCCAAAATGCAGATCTATGTAAATAAGCCTCTACATTCTGCTTTTAATGTGCTATTATTTCAGACTTAAAGTATAAAGAAAAATAAGAGATGAAAGGAGAGATAAAACAAAAAAAGGAATAAATGAATAAATAAATGAAAGAAAAATGAGAAAAGAAAGACTGTACATTGCCATACATTTTTTTCTTCACTGATGATGCAAGTTATTGCCTTATTCTTGGTTTAAAAAAAATCTTCAGGTGGACTCTACTAAATGATTGTCATTTATCACATCAGAGAACTTGGCACATAGGTTTAGATAGTTTATTGTGTTGTATGCTGCTGATAAATTTACAAACACAGCAACTGTCACCCTCTCTCTCAAATTCATTTTCCATATGCTGAGTGGTTTTAAAAAAATATTTGGCCTGTACAAGTTTTTCCTGGCTAAATTGAGCTTGTTTGAATATTAAATGTTTTAAGAATCAGAAAGAATAAGATATTTATAAATGTACTCTGAGATATCAGCAAATTTGTTCAGATGAGAAGAATCATTCTTTGACAACACAGAATTATTACACCCTTTTGTACAGCAAAGCTATTGAGGAGTTGAAGAATGGATGTTAAGTGCAGCAATGCCTAAAACTGGGATATTGGCCCAGGATTTTTATTCTTTTGCCACTTACAGATGCCAGCAAGCTTATCTGCTTTAATATTCTTCAGCATTTAATTAATCTGAAGAGTAGCATGAAAATAACTTTTTTCCAGATCAGTTTGCCATCTGACCAATAGTTTATATTACACAGTTGGGATTTCCCATTAAACAGACCTTTACCTGTTGCCTGGCTTGCTCTGACGTTGCTAAGGGTATTATTCTTTCAGCTTATGAATGATAGACTATACTTTCCTATCACTGAGGACTATACTTTTTCAATATCATTTTAGTAACTCCATTCATTTATGTTATAGGTCAGTCTTCTTTGAGATCATTTCACCGGCAGATAGGGAAAGTTAGAATTGTTCTTTTATAAAAGAATTTTATAACTTAGGACTTTTTTTTCCATTCCATCTAATACTGTTACATTTTGAAGAAAATAAAAGATTTTAAATAATAGTTTCCTATTTCTACTCTCTACTGGAACCCATCACAGTGTTTGAAAATATTGAATTTTGTTGTTATTCTGCTAATAACACTCTGAAGTTCCAACTTGGTGGGTCAAGTGAACTCCATGAAATATGCTAAACACTGTGTGGACATCTTCCTTCATATGTAGCTGCCAAGTTATTAATATTTTACACTTTAAAAGAAAGGAAGTATTTCTTTCTGACCCTATCTTAGTTTTCAACAGGTATTTTATGATGGATTTAAGGTAGAGATATGAAAGTTACATTGCCGTAACCAATGGCTTCATTTTGGTCTCTCTAGTTTTTGTTATTGTATTAAGATTCTGTGGTTTGACTGTATTCTTCTAACTTCTGTATTCTTTCTTAAATATTTATTTCTGCCAAGGGCTACATTTCTCTGAATTGTGAAATTTTTGAGCCATGTTTCAACATCACTTATATATGTCAGAATCTCAAATCAGTTCATTTTCTGGATGTTCGTGGTGCTAATATGAATTTAAAAAAAGAAAAGGAAAGCAGATATAGGGAACCTACAATTGAATATTATATTCAGAGCTTTCTTTTTTTTTCTTTTAAATTATAATATGAATAACAAAGAAAGCATGCATTTGGCATCTGTAAATGATCACTTTATTAATCAATATTAAAAACATTTTAAACATTTCTGAATCTGATATTTTTCCAAAGTAAATTTAGAGACTTGTATCCCTTAAGTAGTTTTCCTTAAGTAGTTTCAAGTACTAAAGAATTCGGCTTTTGGAAATGTAATACATGGAAAGAACAAAGACATGGGGAGAGAAAGACTTGGTTTTAAATCTTAATTCCATAATGTATTATTTTATAGTCTGAAAACATTATCTCTTTTGAGTCTCCCAGTTTCCCAGTCCTGGTTGAGGTATAGTGATAATCATACATATTTCTCTGGGTTATTAGAGGTTTAAATTAGAAAATATATAAGTTCTCAGTAATTGTTAGTTTTTCCCTCACTCTATTCCTCCTGTTTCAGATCTGTTTTATGTAATAATTGTCCATTTAATATCTTAGCTGTAGGCCAGGGGTTACAGAGGTATTCTGGTAAATGTTTAACAACTATTTCTTCAGAGAAAGAAAATCCTGATTTATAGTGCTTATTAGTTTCTTTGGGGGTGGGAGGAACCAACATGACCAACTAGAAGCTGTCAATATGATGTCATGAGGGAAGAGTTGGGAAGAGATGCACACAATCCCTTCTTGCAGGCTGGCAGGACAGGGCACTAGCACACCACTAATGTTTCACATATAAAGCTGATTCCTCTATTCTTTCTCCACAGTCTTTCTATAGTTAACTAAAAAGAGGGAAAATGGAAAAGAATTAGTTCAGCAAGTGACCGCTTAAACAAAAATAATCAAGTGGAGATGTCTTGTGAGTTATTTATAGGTTCTAAATTCAAGATGGTAGAAAGAGCTGAAAATTTGGATGGTGAGTCCTGACTTCCTCCCTGCCTCTCACCCACTTCTTGTTTTAATGCAGACCCTGTTTTAGGTGTTGATTATATGATTTTAAATAAAAATTATTGGTTTCTTATTACTTTATGTCGTTGATAGTCTTATGAGAGATTAACAAGCAAATAAAAGCAAAAAATCACAAGTTATGGTGTGTATATGAAGAAAGTTTTACAGCTGTCATTCAAACCCTTCCCAAGAGCTAGTTTCCTTCTAGAAAATATTTGGAAAGGAGAGAATTTATTTGTACTTCTTCTAGGGTAAGATATTAAGGCTTCTCCATAATCTCCTGGTGCCTTTTCACTGCCCCTGGTCTTACTGTGACAAGCTCACTTTGCTGCCAGTTACTGCCTGGAACTGCCTGGAACCTGCATTCAATCACCTTTGACAACGGAGAGGTATATGAAGATGGGCCACACCTCCTCTCCCTGAACTTCTGATCAAGATGGCCTTAAGATTTCCCTCATCTTGACTAAACTTTAAAAAGCTTTATTCCTGACTCTATTGTCTTCTGAATTCCCTTTTCTTGGAGCATTTACTTTAGAAAACTTGCAGTTATAAATTATTTCTCTGACCCTTTGAGATGTAAGTCTTCTACAACCCAGAACTTCTCAAGGACTTGAGAGCCGTCTCTTTGAAATGTAATAATAAGAAAAGATCTAAAAGATCACATCCCATTTCAGTGGGAAGGTAGGAGACTACTTTCTTTGGTAAGTGCTGATGATGGCCTTATCACATTAACCAACCTCATCCTAAGATTCTCCAGTACTTTTCCACTAGCTCACCTTAGCTGAAAAACTCTTCTGCCTTTTATTTCAACGGAGTTGAGTTCAACCTCTTTCTTCTTACAGTAGTCTTGATTGAAGTCTTCCTTGCCTGTTTAACTGGTCCAGTGCAATTTTTCTTTTACACTTGTGTATTGATTTTTCTCTGTATAAAAATACAACTGAAGAGCATTGAGTATAAATAAAGCCAACAAATATGGGAAGGAAACTGCAAAGTAGATCCTAAATAGGACTTTCTCAACAACCTACAGAAAAGGCACCTTCATAACCCCATAGAAGTGTCCACTCACAGGTATACCTCACTTCATAACCTTAATGCTTTCAGGTATGCATTTCACAAAAAACAAAGACAATAGAAACAAGGGCAGCAAGAACAATGAAACACTTTCCTTTCTTTATGCCTTCCCTGAGCTTTACTGTTGTTATTTTCTTTTTTATGGGAGACCTCACCCTTCGTCCTCAAAGATTGTTGTGCCTTTAGTAAGCAACCCTTCTCTTTTCCCACACCCACTGTCAGTACATTGTAGGTTTCTCCAAGTTAGAGTATTCAGTCAATAGCCCTTTGACATTCTAGGGACAGCCTGGGGAGAGAAGCACATTTGATTAAATAGCCCAGGGTAGAAGTGAGCATTCCAACACAAGTCCACTTAGAGTTTTCACCACAGCATGAGTTGTAAACATGTTTGTCTAATTATCACATATGTACAAGGTAGCTGCTGGATCCTACACACAAAGACATGTCCCAACAACAAATAGTAATTCTCAGAAACATTCTAAACCCACCAGGAGGAAGAGGAATATTTTCCAAATTGCATTCGTAATTTACGTGGCTATCTCTTTCACCACGAAGTCAGATCTTGGCATTAGCATTCATTTTTTTTTTTCTGTCTCTGCTACGTTGTGCCCTTTTGATTGCCCAAGAATAAGAAAAGGGAATATTCTTCAGTAGAATTGCAACTTTTGCCACACAAAGACCTGTATGCCGTTTTGGCATAATATTTGTGAACTTTTGGTAATGACCATCCTCAACATCTTTTGAGGAGTGAGAAGTGGACAAAAGTGATTCTAGTTAAAATAAAACAATAAACAGTAAATAGTAGGGTAAGAATTAAGCAGACACTTAGCTTTTTTCTTATTTTATTGATGAGTTATAAAATCTCTAGATTTGAATTAAGGTTTGATGTTATAGCTTATTTAGTTTTACATCTTCCATAATGTCTAGTACATGACCTTAGATCTTTCAGACTCATATGAAATATCAGGGCCAGGGAATGTAATAGGAGAATGGTATTTCACTGACAACAACGTTATAAGCATATCTGTTGAACACACCAGTTTTCCAAAAGTCTCAGTGAATTTTTGCATCATTATAGACTTGCTGTTATTACTATACTATAAGGAATTTGGGATTTCAAAACTGACTTTGGAGAATGAGAGACCTTATTCCCAAGAAATATATGTCTTTCTAGAATTCACTCTGTAATTTTTTTGATACCTTTGGACTTTCAGAGTAAACATTAATGGACATTGGTAAAATTGATGAAACAAGTAAGTGGATGAGTAACATTGGCATGCCTCCATTTGTTTCTACAACTTGAGATAATTGTGATAGCAGATTTATCCAAATAATGCAGTTTATTTTTTAAATGGGACCTCAGCTCTTTATCTAATTGTGCATGTTTCAAGAGAGGAGAATTCAAGTGGCAAATTTTAGTTCTGACCACAGATGACAATATTTGGTTTTCTGTGAAATATATTCAGTTTAGGTTTAGTTATGTGTATTAGTTCATTTTCATGCTGCTGATGAAGACATACCCAAGACTGAGCAATTTACAAGAGGTTTAATAGACTTACAGTTCCACATGGCTGGGGAGGCCTCACAATCATGGCAGAAGGTGAAAGGCACATCTCATATGGTGGCAGACAAGAGAAGAGAGCTTGTGCAGGGAAACTCCCCTTTTGAAAACCATCAGATCTTGTGAGACTTTTTCACTATCATAAGAACAGCATGGGAAAGACCTGCTCCCATGATTCAATTACCTCCCACCAGGTCACTGTCACAACATGTGGGAATTCAGGATGAGATTCGGGTGGGGACACAGCCAAACCACATTATTCCACCCCAGCCCCTTTCAAATCTCATGTGCTCACATTTCAAAACCAATCACACCTTCCCAACAGTCCCCCAAAGTCTTAACTCATTTCAGCATTAAATCAAAAGCCCACAGTCCAACATCTCATCTGAGACAGGGCAAGTCCCTTCCACCTATAAGCCTGTAAAATCAAAAGCAAGTTAGTTACTTCCTAGATACAATGGAGATACAGGCATTAGGTAAATGCAGCCATTCCAAGTGGGAGACATTGGCCAAAACAAAGGAACTCCAGGACTCATGCAAGTCTGAAATCCAGCAGAGCAGGCAAATCTTAAAGCTCCAAAATGATCTCATTTGACTCCATGTCTCATATCCAGGTAATGCTGATGCAAGAGGTGGGCTCCCATGGCCTTGGGCAGCTCTACCCCTGTAACTTTGCTGGGTATAGCCCCCCTCCTGGCTGCGTTCATGGACTAGTGTTGAGTGTCTGGAGCTTTTCCAGGCTCATGGTGCAGACTGTTGGTGGATCTACCATTCTGGGTTCTGGAGGACAGTGGTTCTCTTCTCACAGCTCCACTAGGCAGTGCTCCAGTAGGGACTCTGGATCGAGGCTCCAACCCCACATTTCCCTTCTGCACTGCCTGTTACATGCGTCCATATGAAGAGACCACCAAACAGGCTTTGTGTGAGCAATTAAGCTTTCTAATCACCTGGGTGCAGGTGGGCTGAGTCCAAAAAGAGAGTCAGTGAAGGGAGATGGGGTGGGGCCATTTTATAGGATTTGGGTAGGTAAAGGAAAATTCCAGTCAAAGGGGGATGGTCTCTGGTGGGCAGGGGCAGTGGTCACAAGGTGCTCAGTGGGAGAGCTTCTGAGCCAGGAGAAGGAATTTCACAAGGTAATGTCATCAGTTAAGGCAGGAACCAGCCATTTTCACTTCTTTTGTGATTCTTCAGTTACTTCAGGCCATCTGGATGTATATGTGCAGGCTTGGGCTCAGAGGCCTAACACTGCCCTAGCAGAAATTCTCCATGAGGACTGTACCCCTGCAGCAAACTTCTGCCTGGGCATCCAGGCATTTCCTTACATCCTCTGAAATCTAGGCAGAAGTTCCCAAACCCCAGTTCTTGACTTCTGTGCACTCACAGGCTCAACACCACATGGAAGCTGCCAAGGCTTGGTGCTGTACCCTCTGAAGCCAGGTCCTAAGCTCTATGTTATTTCCATACATCCTCTGGAATCTGGGCAGAGGTTCCCAAACCTCAGTTTTTTACTTCTGTGCACCTGCAAGCTTAACACCATGTGGAAGCTGCCAAGACTTGGGGCCCCCACCCTCTGAAACAACAACCTGAGCTGTACCTTTGCCCCTTTTAGTCATGGCTGGAGTGGCTGGGATGCAGGGCACCAAGTCCCTAGACTGCGCACAGCAGAGAGACACTGGACCCAGCTCACAAAACCAGTTTTTCCTCCTAAACCTCCAGGCCTGTGATGGGAGGGGCTGCCACAAAGTTCTCTGACATGCCTTGGAGACATTTTCCCCATTGTCTTGGAGATTAACATTTGGCTCCTTTTTACTTATGCAAATTTATGCAGCTGGTTTGAATTTCTCCTCAGATAATGGGATTTTATTTTCTATCGCATTGACAGGCTGCAAAATTTTCAAACATTTATGCACTGTTTCCCTTCTAAAACTGAATGCATTTAACAGCATCCAAGTCACCTCTTGAATACTTTGCTGCTTAGAAATTTCTTCCATAAGACACCCTAAATCATGTCTCTCAAGTTCAAAGTTCCACAAATCTCTGGGGCAAAGCAAAATGCCACCAGTCTCTTTGATAAAACGTAACAGGAGTCACCTTTGCTCCAGTTCCCAACAAGTTCCTTATTTCCATTTGAGACCACCTCAGCCTGGATTTCATTGCCCGTATCATTATCAGCATTTTGGGCAAAGCCATTCAGCAAATCTCTAGGGAGTTCCAAACTTTCCCACATTTTTCTGTCTTCTGAGCTCTCCAATCTGTTCCAACTTCTGCCTGTTACCCAGTTCCAAAGTCACTTCCACATTTTTGGGTCTCTTTTCAGCAGCACCCCACTATACTGGTACCAATTTACTGTATTATTCTGTTTTCATGCTGCTGATAAAGAAATACCTGAGACTTGGAAATTTACAAAAGAAAGAGGTTTAATGGACTTACAGTTCCACATGGCTAGGGAGACCTCACAATCATGGTGGAAGGCAAGGAGGAACAAGTCACATGTTACATGGATGGCAGCAGGCCAAAGGAGAGATTGTGCAGGGACATTCCCCCTTATAAAACCATCAAATCTCATGAGACTTCTTCACTATATTCATGAGAACAGTATGGGAAAGACCTGCTCTCATGATTCAATTACCTCCCACTGGGTCCCTCCTATAACACATTGGCATTCATTAATGAGATTTGGGTGGGGACGCAGCCAAACCATATTAACAATATTTGGTTTTCTGTCAAATATTTTCAGTTTAGGTTAGTTATCCTATTTTATGCAGGTTAATTTTAAGTCTAACTAGTTTTGTGATGGTTATGCAAAGAAAATATAACACCATCATAATCACCGCATTTTGCTTACAGGTTAAACAACATGTCTAGAATCTTCTAAACATCTAAAAGCCTGGATTATGCCTGTAAACTGTAGTTTTATTTACTATTCTCAAGAGACTGTATAGTAAGTATTAAGAATGTTTGGGTGGAAGCAACTCAATTAATCATTTAGGACCATGTCTGGCCCTAGGATAGAGTGAAGTTATTTTATAACAGAAACAGAAGCACAGTCTTGATATAACCTGTTAGGGATTTACTAATATACTCCAGTGTAATTACCATTACCTGTGCTTGTGGTTGCTCTACTGGGATTACTTGGAAGATATCATAATCTTGGATGATACTCACTTCTGAAACATTCACTTTGAATTCCTGCTTTAGTACCTCAGTCAAAGAAAGTGTAACAATGTTCTCAGTTATTATCAATCCAGGTTAAGAGCAATAATTTTCATGATACTCTCATTTGATAATCTATTAGTGAACAATGTTATGATTTCATCTCTGTTGTTTGTTAATATTATTACCTTGGTCTGAGTCTCATTTTGGTGAGTCAGAAAATGAAAGTATTGAATTTGATAATGTAGTAAAAATTCTTAGTTCTTACGAATGTTTCTGCTTTTGCCCCATTCTGCAATGCAGTGATGTCTCCTTTAAGTTAGGAGTGGTACTGATTTATTTGAGTAATGACACAAAAGCTGAATTGATCAGTATTAGCTGCTTTAGCCCATGGTATTTTCCCCCTCCACAGGGATTGTGGAAGCGCATATTGAGGTAGAGGTGCCATGAAACTGAAGGCATCTGAAATGCTAAATCATCTCATGGAGGACAGCTGCCCTGGAGGGTCATCTAGACTTTGCTTGAATGATAAATTTTCACTGTGTTAAGCAATGAAGTGCTTCTGTACTTTGTTGCCACAGCATTACCTACACTATTCTTATTGATGTAGATGATTCCTAGAGCATCTTTCCCTCCTATGAATTTGTGAACCATGATAAAATATGCTTGTCTGAAACTTCAACAAAATCAGTAAGGAAGACTATTGACTTAAAACGCTTATACTGTATGTCAAACACATGTTATTAGAGATAGAGTTTGGAATTCTTCAGAAATAGCTCACATATACTATAAATTTTCTAATGGTATGCATATGCAGTATCTTTAAGGTGTACCAGTAGGCTTTATATCTTGAAATTATTTTACAATCTGATGTATATTTTTTTTCTCTAGCAAATAGTTACTTGACTTAGAACAAACTTAAAATGGGTAAGCAGTGTTCAACAAATTTAGTATGGTCTTTGGGATTAAGTCATGCTTGAATAATTCTTGACATGTAAATTCATAATGACAGCATTAATTTGCAGCAATGGATTTGGTTTTGGCCTTATGAAAGATGGATATAATATGGAATGGAGACGGTCATTAGCTCCATGGTGGAAATGAAATGTCAGGTGTCTGCTATATTGCCCATCAATAGTTCAGGGTTGCCAGCTTTTCAGGCCTGGTCATATTTCATTCAAAATAGATTTGGAAGAATATGATTTAATTCAGGCTGTTATTGTGTTATTAAATTATTCTTGGAGGATATTTGAACACTTATTGAGGTTTTAATCTTATGTTTAAAAGCACTACACTTTGATCCATGGATTTTTAAAATATGACATATATTTCATTTTTGCAATAAGGTGTTCATGTTTACAGTTTTTGAGCTGAAATCTTCCTGACAAAAAGTGGGAAATATCAATGTTTAAGTATATTGATCTATTTCATATTTTTTGCAATATGAAAATTTTTTTTTCTTTTCTTTTTTGAGGTATTTGTGGACTATACATCTCGATGCTTCTCTCCAAAAAATGTAGTCAAATAAATTCAGAATATATATGAAAATTCCAGAAGTACAAATCTTTCATAATAAGTTACTTTGTTTTGGCTGGGCATGGTGGTTCACACCTGTAATTCCAGCATTTTGGAAGGCCGAGGCAGGTGGATCACCTGAGGTTGGTAGTTTGAGACCAGCCTGACCAACATGGAGAAACCCCATCTCTACTAAAAAAAAAAATATAAGATTAGCCAGGCATAGTGGCGCATGCCTGTAATCCCAACTACTCGGGAGGCTGAGGCAGGAGAATCGCTTGAACCCAGGAGGTGGAGGTTGCAGTGAGCTGAGATTGTGCAATTGCACTCCAACCTGGGCAACAAGAGCGAAACACCATCTCAAAAAAAGAAAGAAAGAAAAAGAGAGAGATACTTTGTTTTGCTCAGATGCTATTTTGCTTCAATGAAAATGAAATTAATTATGCCAAAGTTAGTAAGAAGAAATATAAAGAAATATAAGTAATCTTAATTCTATCCCACTCTCTGCTGTCTTCGTTTTCCTTCATAATCATTCTTTGGATAATTGTTAATGCCAAGTTACTATTAATTTTATATATGTGGAAATCATAACACTAAGCTTCAAATGTTTATTGAATGCTTATTCAGCTCTAAAAGTATCTGCCTGATTTTTATTATCCTAATTATTACTGTTGTATGGCATTTTTTTCTTATCAAATGCCAATTGTGTCATTCTTATTTGCTTAATAATTCTTTTTTTCCCCACTGTTTTCCAATGTTCCCTCTATTGTTCTTAAAGTTCTCATTTATGCTTACATTTAAAGCTGAGTAACTTTTTAATCACTTTCCAGTTTATCAGTTCATTGATTAAGAAATTGAGAGTTAGAAATGATTGAATACTTTTTCCAAGCTCGTAGTTTCAAGTAAATTAAGAAGTACTAACAAATAGAGTCAGAAATTAAATGATCCTTAAGTGTCTTCTTACAAACATCCATGCAAAAAGAAAAAAATAAATACAAGGTCGTAAGGTAGTTGCTACTCGCTTGTTGGACATAAGTGGAAAGGTCAGAGAACCATGGAGAGAGCAATTAGAAGTTGAATTGTTGTGAAGCAAATTCCTGAAGGAAAAACACCTTCATTCCTTTCAAGTAAAGCAGGTAGTTGCAACTCTTCCACCAGCAAAGACTAGGGTTGGAGAGGGAGATAAACTCACACTGGTTGTCTCTATTTTGTTCATCACAGTGAACAGAATAATGAGAGTAGGATAGCTTTGGCTTTAGCCAAGAATGCAGGCTGGGAATTTCTTGTAAAAAAGTTAAATATTTAATGAAAAAGGAATTGAGAATTGAGTACAAGCCGTGGGTTAAAGGTTGATAAAGTCTCAAATCAACTTTATTTGCTTGGCCTGTTTCACAGTCCCCTTGTGCTCAGAAGGGGACCATCTAGAGCCAATTGTCAATGTACAATGTGTGCAGTGTGTCACACACTGAGCTAATGGTACTGGTTGGGCTAGAAGTAATTGGCCTGTTATAAATTACAGGACAAGCTTATGATTTGTCATTCTAGAAGGAGAAGCCTGTAAGAATCGTGCCAGGTGCACACCATAGATCAGTGTCAATATTCATGATTACACCTGTGAGTAAACCTATTTCATTTTTCTGTACATCCAATAAATTGTATATCTAGACAGAAGATGTATCCACTATTAGGTAGTGATAGCTGGTACAGAAGTAATTTTTCTCTATATTTTTTTCCAGTGATGCTTGCTACCTTTCCAGTAATGCAAATTGAAAAAATGTTGGAAGAATACATTTAATATACTGTATGTTGCTTTATTCAAATATCATCATATTTTAGATTAGTAGAGAAAATGAACAGAATAATATTATGAGATGAAAAAGCAAATGAGACTTATTCCTGTCCTTTTCTTTGTCATCTTTAAGAGATTTATTTCCCAGTAGTTTGAGATTTTTTTTTTTCTGTATCGGAAACCATCTGCTGCCACTTTTTCATTTCAGGTTGCTGCTTCATTTTATATTTTGAGAGGCAATAAACTCAGTCATCTACTCCTATGAGCCTTATTTCACTATCTATACTGTAGAAGAGCTATCTTTTAGATGGGTTCAAGCAATTTGGGGCCCAGAAAATATTTTCTATCTTTTTATGCGTTCCATTTTATAGTCCATACTTATTGTCCAGTGCATTTATCTCCTTCAACTAATTATTGTATCTGGAAACAAGTAAGATATCTATTTTACTATTGCATATAGCTCAAGGGACCTACATAAAGTAATTTAGTAGATTACATTGTTGTCATCATTCACTAGTTCTTCAATTTAAAATGACCTGAATACTATATTCCCCCCTTATCTGCGGGGAAATGTTCCAAGACCATTAGTAGATGCCTGAAACCATGTATAATACTAAACCATGTATACACGCACACACACACACACACATACAGACATTATGCTTTTTCCTATACAAACATACCTATGATTAAGGTCTAATTTAGAAATTTGACACAGTTAAAGATGAACAATAATAATGAATAAAATAGGACAGTTGTAATATACTGTAATAAAAGTTATGTGAATGTAATCTCTTTCAAAATATCTTCTTGTACTGTATTGACCTACGGGCATTTTCAGACCTATTTACCGCAAGTAACTGAAACTACAGAAAGAAAAACTGTGGATGAGGAGTGGCTACTGTAATTTGAGATAAGGTATGTGATATGGTTTGGCTGTGTCCCCACCCAAATCTCATCTTGAATTGTACTCCCATAATTCCCATGTGTTGTGGGAGGGACCCAGTGGAGATAATTGAATCATGGGGGAGGTTCCCCCATACTGTTCTCATGGTAGTGAATAAGTGTCATGAGATCTGATAGTTTTTATAAGGGGCTTCCCCTTTTGCTCTCATTCTCTCTGGCCTGCTGCCATGTAAGATGTACCTTTCACCTTCCGCCATGATTGTGAGGCCTCCCCAGCCACGTGGAACTTTGAGTCCAGTAAACCTCTCTTTCTTTATAAATTACCCAGTCTTGGATTTATCTTTATCAGCAGCATAACAGACTAATATAGTATGCATTTTCTAAATACTACCCAAGGGGGATTCATTATTGCATGTGTCCCATTATACATGGGGGCATTTATAATATGGGTACATAGTATGAAGTTTGATCATGTATTTAATTATTTAAATTAGATTATTAGAAATTTTTTTAATCCATCAGGTGACTTAAAAAAACTGTGAACACTGTCTTTGGAGTTTATCCCCACAAGATAAATTTCTATGGCAACCTATTCAAAAATAATAGAAAAGGAAAATATTATATTCCTTTGGGATATACTGATATTTTTCTTCAGGTCTCAAACATGGATTCATGTATGTAAAAATAGTCATTGTTAATGACTACTGGTATGATTTGTAGAGTTTGTCCAGCCTGAGCTAGCAAAGAAAGATTCTTTTTTCTCATCTTGTAAATGAAGCTGGTTGTTAGGGACAAGGATACAATGAGAAACCATGGCGAATCATAAAGGAAATGATATAGGTTGGTGCAAACGTAATTGTAATGTTTACAATTACTTTTAATTGAGAAAACTGCAATTACATTTGCACCAACCTTTATATTATCTCAGTTATGCAGAGTTGAGGCCTTAAGGTTTGTTCACTTCTACCATTCACTGTCCTTCTCCTCATCCCTACATCTAATAGGATACTAAGGTCTCTGGAATCTTCAGCATTTCCATTGCTATCATCTTTGGGCCCAAGTTTTTGTTTCATTCTTACATAGTCATGGTAGGAGTACCCTCTTAATGGCCTGCCAGCTCCAGGCGTGTTCTTTTCAAGCTCATCCTGGTTTCCCATTCTCTATCATATAAAATCCCAGCTCTCTAATTTGGCCTTATTCTAGATCATTCCCAGTAATCTTGCACTATTATTTTTCCTCATTGTTCCCATGTTTAGGCCTATGCTCTGAAATGTTCCAGCCCTATATCTCACCATTTAAGGTATACTTTTTCAAAAGTCCTCCTCTTTTGAAACACCTCTTTTGAAACACCTCCTCTGAAAGCTTTCTGATCACTCTAGCAAGAAAATAACTTCTTTCTCTGAACTCCTGAACCTTTGTACTATTTGATGCTATTAACATTTAGTGATGAATTTTGAGTGTCTTGAGTTCATGGACTATGCTACATATCTTTTTATTCCTTACAATGTCTAATACATTGTTCTAAACATAGTATGCATTTAGTAGATAAGGTTAAAAGTATGAATTAACATTCATCTGATTTAAGATCAGTTTTGTGTTTCTACGAATGCAACTTTAATTGTTTATTTAATCCAGTGCTTTTATCCTTTTCTCCTTGGTCACTTTTCTAAGGAATCTTTTTGGATTTTTTTTCCTAGTTGTCAATTAATGAAATAATATCACACAAATATTGTATTTATGTTTATGTATACCTGTGTTTTAGGCATAAAAAGCAGCATTGTTTTCATCTATCAATAACCAACATTTGACCTTTTAGAAGCAATACTGCTTTCTTTGAGAATGTAAGGTTTAGTTTTTTCACTGAAAGCAGTTAGCATTTGCAAGCAGAAAATCTTGCTTAAGTTACAATGCTACAGAAGAATGATGGAATTTAAACATGTGGAAGAAGGGAGAGAAGGAGCAATTGTTTATTCACCATCCACAAGTTTGCTGAACTTCATGCCATGTGTTTTGCATACATTATTTTATTGACTCTCCTAAAAATCCTACAAAGCAAATAACACTATTCTGCTCAGCTTGCCACAAATTATCCATTTTCTCTTAAAATTCCTGTCTCTGTTAATATTCGCTAAATACTATTTTTTCTTTTTGAAATTTCTTTGCATCATCAATAGTAGTGATTTTATCTGCTAGTGTACCTTAGTTAGTACAGCATCAGCAAGGATTCTTCCTCCTTTAAACTACAGACACTACTTGTTTATCTGAATTATATTTATGGGATTCAAGTAAGAATTTTTGTGAGAAAAAGTGAGTTCTACTTTTTAAACAAATTCTGAAAACTGCTCTTCTGTTATAATTCTCTTCCATTCAATTTTATAGATGACAACCTGTCTCTGAGAAGTTAGCTCTCTTACTCTGGTTACATATTAATTTCGTTGTACAAATGGAAGTAGATTTCAACTTTTTCTTATCCAGTGGACAAATTAATTCCCTAATAAAGAAAGTTCAGATTTGCTCTAAGGTATGTTGCTAGCTCTATTTAGGTCTTATATTAATTCTTCATTAACTGTATTATGTCTATACATTTTGACTATAAAAAACTATTCACCTTATAGTATATAGTCTTTTGATTACTAAGATTCAGTACTTATTCTAAACTGAAATATATTTTATGATTCACTATGGTGCAAAATTGGTTTTACTTATCAAAAGAAAGTCACCCAGTTAATGAAAATGTTTTGAACAGTACATTAAGTAAATGAACAATCATTTGGATATTTTTACTACACACTAGTATTTATAAAAATTCCATTGATAAAATTAAGTGGTGCTGAATGAAAATAATTTTTAGTTATATTTTTTAGAATTGTGTGTATTTTGGTGAACGTGTGTTTTAGGCATAGTGTCTTAAAAGATTATTATTTTATATTTGCTAGGATCTGGCTTTCATCTGAACTGGTTTCTTTCTGTTTTCAAAGGCCACGTAGAATGAAAGTGTGACTCAGTAATATTTAAACTTTTATTGTTATGAAATCTATAATTAATATGAGGTGTACATTCAAAATAGTATGTCAGATTCATTTTTGATGACAAATTTAACAATCCGAAGAATAAGATTAATGAGTTGAATAAATTGATGGCTTAGTAGAAGACTGAATAAAAATGGATTTTCTTGGTTCATTTTTGTGTTGCCTCTTTACTTCTCCATCTACCCAGATCCCCGCCATGTCACATCTCTGAGTGCTGGGAAGAGGAAATTATTTATTCTCTCCAAAGGCACGTATATCTTTCTTCCTTATTCTATAGTTGTCTGTGTGCTTGTTTTATCTCCCCTACAAAAATATAAGCCATCAACAAACGGAGCCTGCAACTTTTCTAAAATGAACAGAGCTTCATGTTTCTATTACTTATTTTTCTCATAGCTATGGCATTTGGCCCAAGATTTGATGAATTAATGGAGATGGTTTCCTTCAGTTTTAGGCTTTCTATTGCTTGAAGAATAGAAAATGGCACTTGCCACCTTCCCCATTTTTCTCTAACTAGTTAGTTTGAGAGACTGAAAGGTTGCCATTTTAGCATAATAGCTGCCAGTGCTGCTAAGAAGGGTACCAATTAATTCTTATTGCAGTGGCAACTTTTAGGATGTTGACTCTTCTTTATTAGGATTATAACCAGCAATTTAATATACATAGATCACTATATACATGTCAAATAACAGCAACTTCCAATCAATTTCTACCTCTATTGGATTCAACCTGAGACCTAGAGTTGAGTATCAGTCCCTTGAGTCATCACTTCCTCAAGAAAATAATGTTTATTTCCTTTCTAAATCAGGCATTTATGATTGCTTTTAATACCACCTCAGTGTCACCAGGTTTGGGAAGTGAACTTTCATGTACAAATGTTCATTTTAATCTTATAAAGTTATAGTGATGTGTTTAAGGCATATAATGTATATTTTCTTTCACAGAACATATCTTGATAGATATAAAGGGACATTCTTTATAGTATAATGTGCAATGAAAATATTTCATGGTCAAGTAAAACTATGAGTCAGTGTCAAACTGAATATTTTAAAGTGCTAAAAATAGAATCAAACTTTTTCACAATGAGACACATCTCTTTAGGAGATCTCTTTCAGTAATTATTTTAAATCAGGAAATTTGACTAGAATACATAGAGTGATATTGAGCAAAAATGAATAATCATAGTAGCAATTAAATATTTGACTCTATATTGAAAATAGGATGGAACATAAAGTTATAGTTTTGCTAATGAGATTACATTTTATAACAAAAAAGCTGCTATTTTTCTAACTTTATACAATATATCATAATAAAAATTTCTAATATTTGTTATATATCTGTAAGTGTCTTTATGGTGTTTTTTTAAAGCATTGTTTTAAGAAGAAGGTACCATGTATGTCTAGTTATAGGACATTTATTCAAAACATGGATAATTCCTACATGACTTTTTCACTGGAATGACATGTGATTCCAGTGTTCATCTGCCTCTACTAGGAGTCAAAACTATCATCACTCAAACCAGAATCTACAGTCCATCCCAAAAGAGAGTAGGAGGATTACAGAGAAAGAAAACCAAGCAATAGGATGTCTGAAAAGGCAGCCCTTGCTAAATTCTGAGACAGAGGTACTCTCTGAAGGGAACCACAACTTTAGGGTAAATTTACTGGACTCACAGATATAAACTCAGTTGATCCTATTGAAAAAAGATAAAGTCTTTCATATTGAAAAATGATAAATTTTATAAGCAAACATACTATTAACAAAGACCAAACCTACATTTGATTGCTGTACCTGAAAGTGATAGGGAGAATGGAACCAAGTTGGAAAACACTCTTTAGGATATCATCCAGGAGAACTTCCCCAACCTAGCAAGGCAGGCCAACATTCAAATTCAGGAAATACAGAGAACACCACAAAGACACTTCTCGAGAAGAGCAATCCCAAGACACATAATCATCATATTCATCAATGTTGAAATGAAGGAAAAAATGTTAAGGGCAGCCAGAGAGAAAGGTCAGGTTATCCACAAAGGGAAGCCCATCAGACTAACAGCAGATATCTCAGCAGAAACCCTATAAGCAAGAAGAGAATGAGGGCCAATACTCGACATTCTTAAAGAAAAGAATTTTCAACCCAGAATTTCATATCCAGCCAAACTAAGTTTCATAAGCGAAGGAGAAATAAAATCCTTTACAGACAAGCAAATGCTGGGAGATTTTGTCACCACCAGGCCTAACTTATAAGAGCTCCTGAAGGAAGCACTAAATATGGAAAGGAAAAAATGGTACCAGCCACTGCAAAAACAAACCAAATTGTAAAGACCATTGACACTATGAAGAAACTGCATCAACTAACAAGCAAAATTATCAGCTAGTATCGTAATGACAGGATCAAATCCACACATAGCAATATTAACCTTAAATGTAAATGGGCTAAATGCCCCGATTAAAAGACACAGACTTGTAAATTGGATAGAGTCAACACCCATCAGTGTACTGTATTCAGGAGGAATGGATAAATTCCTGGACACATACACCCTCCCAAGACTAAACCAGGAAGAAGTCGAATCCCTGAGCAGACCAATAACAACTTCTGAGATTGAGTCAGTAATTAATAGCCTACCAACCAAAAAAAGTCCAGGACAAGATGGATTCATAGCCAAATTCTACCAGAGGTACAAAGAGGAGCTGATACCATTCCTTCTGAAACTATTCCAAACAATAGAAAAAGAGGGAATCCTCCCTAACTCATTTTATGAGGCCAACATCTTCCTGATACCAAAACCTGGCAGAGAAACAACAAAAAAAGAAAATTTCAGGCCAATATCCCGGATGAACATTGATGCGAAAATCCTCAGTAAAATAATGGCAAACTGAATCCAACAGCACATCAAAAAGCTCATCCACCACAATCAAGTCAGCTTCATCCCTGGGATGCAAGTCTGGTTCAATATATGCAAATCAAAGGATTATAAATCATTCTACTATAAAGACACATTCACACGTATGTTTATTGCAGCACTATTCACAATAGCAAAGACTTGGAACCAATCCAAATGCCCATCAATGATAGACTGGATAAAAAAAATGTGGCACATATACACCATGGAATACTATGCAGCCATAAAAAAGGATGAGTTCATGTCCTTTTTAGGGACATGGATGAAGCTGGAAACCATCATTCTCAGCACACTAACACAGGAACAGAAAACCAAACACTACATGTTCTCACTTGTAAGTGGGAGTTGAACAATTAGAACACATGGACACAGGGAGGGGAACGTCACACAGCGGGGCCTGTAGGAAGGTAGGGGGCTAGGGGAGGGATAGCATTAGGAGAAATACCTAATGTAGATGACAAGTTGATGGGTGCAGCAAACTACCATGGCATGTGTATGCCTTTGTAACAACCCTGCACGTTCTGCACCTGTATCCCAGAACTTTAAGTATAATAATAATAATAATAACAATAATAATAAAAAGGACCTAGAACTATATTTGTGGTAGACCTTAGTTGTCTTCTAATAACAAGGCCTGATTTAAGCTGCAGTCTTCTCAAAACACTAGATTCCCTTAGAAATAAGATGCTTTAAGTATCAATAGGATTGCAGAGGTTAAATATATTAACATGTCCTAATCTGTTTGATGCATTTACTGTGATCCCAATTAAGATACAACTAGTTTTATTGCTGTTGTTATTGTTGTTTGTTTGTTTTTACTGGGACACTTGAAAAAAATGACACAATATTTACAGTAAAAGAACACACGGAAAATCTTGAGACAGAATCATGTATTTCCCCTACTAGATATTTAACATAATTTAAAGATATAAGAATTAAAATAATATGGTACTATTATATAGTCAGTAGATGATAGTAAGAAGAGAGTAAATAAAACCAAGCATATTTGTGAATTTATTATATAATAGAGGTGATAATTCAAATCAAGGGGAAAATGAATTATTCAATAAATATTATTGAGACAAATGGCCCCATAACCACTAGAGGGAAAAGAAAAGAGAAAACCAAAACTGACTAATAGGGGGCTGGGGGAAATTCAGCTCTTTACCTTCTTCTTTACCTCCAAAATTTCAATATTAAATGAAGGTTAACTCCAAAAATAAAATCAGAAAAACACAAGAAGAGAGCGTAAATGGCTGTGTTTAGTCCTGAGTCCAGGATGAGACAACAATGGTATATAATTCACAGTCTAAACTTTAAAAGTATTTGATAACATATAAATTATATCAGTTCGTTTTAACACTGCTGATAAAGACATACCTGAAACCAGAAGGAAAAAGAGGCTTAATGGACTTAACAGTTCCACATGGCTGGGGAGACCTCACATTCACGGTGGAAGGCAAGGAGGAGCAAGTCATGTCTTATATGGATGGCAGCAGGCAAAGAGAGAGCTTGGGCAGGAAAACTCCTTCTTATAAACCATCAGGTCTTGTGAGACATACTCACTATCATGAGAACAGCACAGGAAAGACCTGCCCCCATGATTCAGTTATCTTCCACTGGGTACCTCCCATAACATGGT
Organism: Homo sapiens; assembly: GCF_000001405.40. Lineage (NCBI taxonomy): Eukaryota > Metazoa > Chordata > Mammalia > Primates > Hominidae > Homo > Homo sapiens. Next base: position 73,313,169 of record NC_000009.12, read on the forward strand.
GGAATTATGGGAGCTACAAGATGAGATTTGGGTGGGGACACAGAGCCAAACCATATCATTCTGCCCCAGGCCCCTCCAAAATCTCATGTCCTCACGTTTCAAAACCAATCATGCCTTCCCAACAATCCTCCAAAGTGTGACATTCAACACTAACTCAACACTAATTTCAACATTAACTCAAAAGTCCACAGTCCAACATCTCATCTGAGACAAGGCAAGTCCCTTCTGCCTGTGAGCCTGTAAAATCAAAAGCAAGTTAGTTGCTTCCTAGATACAATGAGGGCACAGGCAATGGGTAAGTACAGCTGTTCCAAATGGGAGACATTGGCCAAAACAAAGGAACTCCAGGCCCCATGCAAGTCCTATATCCAGCAGGGCAGTCAAATTTTAAAGCTCCAAAATGATCTCCTTTGACTTCATGTCTCACATCCAGGTCATGCTGATGCAGGAGGTGGGTTCCCATGGTCTTGGGCAGCTCTGCTCCTGTGGCTTTGGAGGGTACAGCCTCCCTCTCAGCTGCCTGCATGAGCTGGTATTGAGCGTCTGTGGCTTTTCCAGGTGTACAGTGTAAGCTGTTAGTGGATCTACCACTCTGGGGTCTGCAGGACAGTGGCCCTCTTCTCACAACCCCACTAGGCAGTGTCCCAGTAGGGGCTCTGTGTGGGGGCTCCACCCCACATTTTCCTTCCACATTGCCCTAGCAGAGGTCCTTCATGAGGGCCCTGCCCCTGCAGCAAACTTTGGCCTGGGCATCTGGGCATTTCATACATCCTCTGAAATCTAGGCAGAGGTTCTCAACCCCCAGTTCTCGACTTCTGTGCACTCACAGGCTCAACACTACGTGGAAGCTGCCCAGGCTTGGTGCTTGTACCCTCTAAAGCCATGGCCTGAGCTCTACATTGGCCCCTTTCAGGCATGGCTGGAGTAGCTGGGATGCAGGGCATCAAGTCCCTAGGCTGCACACAGCATGGGGACCCTGAGCCTGGCCCACAAAGCCACTTTTTTTCTCCTAGGCCTTTGGGACTGTGATGGGAGGGTCTACTGAGAAGACCACTGACATGCCCTGGAGACATTTTCCTCATTGTCTTGGGGATTAACATTCTGCTCCTTGTTACTTTGCACATTTGTGCAGCCAGCTTGAATTTCTCCTCAGAGAATGGGATTTTCTTTTCTATTGCATTGTGAGGCTGTAAATTTTCTGAACTTTTGTGCACTGCTTCCCTTATAAAACTGAATGCCTTTAACAACACCCAAGTCACCTCTTGAATGCTTTGTTACTTAGAAATTTCTTCTTCCAGTTACACTAAATCATCTCTCTCAAGTTCAAAGTTCTACAAATCTCTAGGGCAGGGGGAAAATGCCATCAGTCTCTTTGCTAAAATATAACAAGAGTTACCTTTGCTCCAGTTCCCAACAAGTTCCTCATTTCCATCTGAGACCACCTCAGCCTGGACTTTATGTCCATATAATTATCAGCATTTTGGGCAAAGCCATTCAACAATTCTCTAGGAAGTTCCAAACTTTCCCACATTTTCCTATCTTCTTCTGAGCCCTCCAAACTATTCCAGCCTTTCCTGTTACCCAATTCCAAAGTTGCTTCCACATTTTTGGGTATCTTTTCAGCAGTGTCCCACTCTACTGGTACCAATTTACTGCATTAGTCTGTTTTCACACTGCTGGTAAAGACATACCCAAGACCGGGAAGAAAAAGAAGTTTAATGGACTTAAAGTTCCACGTGGCTGGGGGAGGTTTCACAATCCTGGTAGAAGGCAAGGAGGAGCAAGTCACATCTTACATGGATGGCGGCAGGCAAAGAGAGAGCTTGTGCATGAAAACTCCTTCTCATAAAATTACCAGTTCTCTTGAGACTTATTCACTATCACAAGAACAGCACAGGAAAGACCTGCTCCCATGATTCAATTATCTCCCACCAATTCTCTCCCAGAACAGGTGGGAATTATGGAAGCTACAAGATAAGATTTGTATGGGGACACAGAGCCAAACCATATAATAAATTAAAACCTTAATTAAACAATGAAAGAAGACAAAATTTAAAGCCCAAATTGGAAAAATATTCATGAATCAAAATACTAGAAGGCTAATATTTCTTACAATAAGAACTCTTAGCCATCAATAAGAAAAGAGCAAATTTAATTGAATAAAAATATCAATAATCAATTTAGAAAAGTAAAAGAAGTCATACAATAATATGTGTGGTCTCATATGGCATTATTTAAATAAAATATTCTTACCACCAGTTTCTTTCAAGAAAAGATAAAATTTTGTGTAAAGCTTCTTGTTTTTAAAATATTGACTAAATTACAAAAAAAATGTTGGCCAAAAAAAATTAAAGAAAAGGCAACTCTCTGGGCCATGACTTTGTAAGCATGATTGAAAAAATTTAAGGATGACTAGCTCCTTTATCAGACATCTAAGGATGTCTTCTAGGCAGCACCGAACAAGCTCTGCAGAGTTTGGGATGGCATACTTTGTGAGGATGACAGTTACTTCTCATGATTTACTTTCTTGAGACCACTATTAAATAGTACAATGGAATTGTTCTTCCATTAGTAGAATTTTCTGCAAAGTTTGAGATTACAACATTTGACATGGTGAATGAGTAGAATTTTGGTAAATAATAAAAGTAATTAAATTTCTTACTATTCCAATGTCTACACAATATATAGTTACTTTTCAGGAGAAAAATACAAAGATGTACTGGTATTGTTTTTATCAGCTGTATTGAAATATATTTTGCAAACAATAAAATTCACTCTTTTAAAATGTATACTCCAAATTTTAAAAAATATATGTATTCTTGTGTCACAAAAAAGTATGCATAACATTTCCATCACCCTGAAAGTTCCTTCCTGTCCTTTTACAGTTAATCTTCTCTTGCAGCCCCTAACTCTAACAATCACTGATTTGCATTCTGTTACTATTGTTTTGCCTTATTTTGATTATATAAATGGAATCATGAACTATGTGTTCATCTGTCTACATTCTTTCCCTTATTATTATTTTGAGCATCATCCATGTTTATACTGTATTTCAATAGTATGATTGAAGACTATATGCCATTGTATGATTACATGATAATTTGTTAATTAATTCATCAGATAATGAGCATTTGGGTTGCTTCTGGTTTTTGGCTATTAAGAATAAAACAACTGCAAAACACTGCACATAGGTCTTTTTGTGGAAATATGTTCATTTCTCTTCGGTAAATATCTAGGAATGAAATTGCTAAGCTATTGGTCACTTGATTGAATGTTTAACTGTATAAGGAAATGGAATAGTTTTTAACATAAATATACAATTTTGCATTCCTGTCTGAAATGTATGAGAGTTTGAGTTGCTCCACATCCTCATCAATACTTGATTTTATCTGTCTTTTTAACTTTAGCCATTTCAGTGGTGTAAAGTGCAATTCCACTGTGCTTTTAGTTTTCATTTCCTTAATGTTTAGTGATAATGAACACCTTTTCTTGTTCTTATTTGCCATAAATATCTCTTCTTGAGTTAAGTGTCTGTTTCAATCTTTCACTTATTTGTTAATATTTGGGTTTATTACTTTTTAATTATACATTTCTGAGAACCTTTTATATATTCTGGATACAAGTTATCAGGTATATGTTTTACAAATATTTTCTCCCAATTGGTATCATTTTGAGTTTCTTTAACAGTGCCTCTCAGAGAGCAAAATACTTTACTTTTGACAAAGATCTTTTATCACTTTTAATTTTTTAAATTATATATATATATATATATATATATACTTTTTTGAAACAGAGTTTAGCTCTTGTTGCCCAGGCTGGAGTTCAATGGCACGATCTTGGCTCACTGCAAACTCTGCCTCCCAGGTTCAAGCAATTCTCCTGCCTCAGCTTCCTGAGTAGCTGGGATTACCGGCATGCACCACCACGCCTGGCTAATTTTGTATTTTTAGTAGAGATGGGGTTTCTCCATGTTGGCCAGGCTGGTTTCTAACTTCTGACCTCAGGTAATCCACCCGCCTCATTCTCCCAAAGTGCTGGTATTACAGGCATGAGCCACCCTGCCCTGCAGATCTTTTATCACTTTTAAATAAACGTTTTAATGGTTTATATATATTGCAGAAGTGGAAAGGTGGTGATTTTTTTCTTCCCCATCTTAAGGGTCCCAGGCAATACTACTATAACAGAAGACAGGTTAACAAGGGAAAAGCCAACAAATTTATTAATGTGCGTGAGCCTGGGATCCATTCAAAAAATACAAATAGTCAAAGAAAGACCAGATGGTTGAGGTTTAAAAACCCTCTTAATGGGGGAAGGAAGTAGGGATGTGGAAGTAAATTATTTTTAGTGGAAATGGATGATCCCAGGGAACGATGGTCTGGGATGAAATTTCTCTGAGCTCTGGGGAGATGGTGGTAAGGTGAGGGGTGGAAGTTTACTGTGAACAAAGATTATTTTATCATCCAGATAAAATGCCCCAGGTAACCTCCTGGAGCTGTTCTCAAAAGAATAGATAAAAATTTGTTGGGGCTTGGTGAAGTCCTCCAGTCTCTTCTTGAGCAGCTAATCTTTCCTGTTTATTTGATGAGATTCCAGGGATGAGGGGTTAAGACATTTGCATTCGTTCTGAAAAGAAATTTTCTGCCATGCATGGTGGCTCATGACTGTAATCCCAGCAGTTTGGAAAGCCACAGGACTGCTTAAGTCCAGGAGTTTGAAACCAGCTTAGGTAACATAGCTACACCCCTTCACTACAAAAATTAAAGATAAAAAAATAGCATGGTGTAGTGGGGTGCCCCTGTAGTCCCAGCTTCTTGGAAGACTGAGGTGGTATGATTGCTTGAACCCAGGAATTTGGGGCTGCATTGAGCTATGATTACAACACTGCACTCCAGTCTGGGCAACAGCACAAGACCCTGCCTGTCAAAAAAAAAGAAGAAGAAGAAAGAAAGAAAAAAAAGAAGAAAGAGAAAGAAAGAGAGAAGGAAAGAAAAAGGAAGAAAGAGAGAGAAAGAGAAAGGAAGGAAGGAAGAAAGGAAGGAAGGAAGGAAGGAAAAAGAAGGAAGGAAAGAGAAAGGAAGGAAGGAAAGAGGAAGGAAGGAAGGAGGGAGGGAGGGAAGGAAGGAAGGATTGTCTTAGTTAAATAAGGAAATTTCAGAAAGAGTCACTCCCAGAGCTTCAGGAAAGAAAGAATGTCTCAGAAACAGGGAGGTGGGAGAGGGTCAGAGGGAGACCTTGAAGCTGCTTCTTTCGTTCGGTATGCCAAAATGTCATATTTTGGGGTGTTTTTTGAGCCCAGCATTATACATACAAATGCATATATGTGTGTGTGTGTGTGTGTGTGTGTGTCTGTGTATCTGTGTCTGTGTATATGTGTATAAGTTTATATCCAGTATGGTAAAATATCGGATGAAGAAAAATAGTAATTGTTATCTCAGATTTAATATTATTATATTTAATAATATTTAATATTATTCTTTGTGAAAACTTTCTCAATTGTAAGAATATTTTATATTTGCTTAAAAAGGTGTTTTATTTTTTATTTTTCTTGAGACGGAGTCTCGCTCTGTCGCCCAGGCTGGAGTGCAGTGGCACGATCTCGGCTCACTGCAAGCGCCGCCTCCCGGGTTCACGCTATTCTCCTGCCTCAGCCTCCCGAGTAGCTGGGACTACTGGCACCCGCCACCAGGCCCGGCTAATTTTTTGTATTTTTAGTAGAGACGGGGTTTCACCATGTTAGCCAGGATGGTCTCGATCTCCTGACCTCGTGATCCGCCCACCTCGGCCTCCCAAAGTGCTGGTATTACAGGCGTGAGCCACTGTGCCCAGCCAAAACGTATTTTTATGAAGATACTGACTTAAGTTGAAAGGCCCCTTCTGAAAATGGACAGTGTATACCACTTCACACCATTTCTCTAAAGAAAATATATAAATGGCTAGTAAGTACATGGAAAGATGCTCAACATCACTAATCATCAGAAAAGTGGAAACGGGTGGATCACCTGGGGTCAGGAGTTCAAGACCAGCCTGGCTAACATGATGAAACCCCATCTCTACTAAAAATACAAAAAATTAGCCAGACTTTGTGGCACATGCCTGTAATCGTAGCTACTTGGGAGGCTGAGGCAGGAGAATCTCTTGAACCCAGGAGGCGGAGGTTTCAGTGAGCCGAGATTGCACTGCTGCACTCCAGCCCAGGCGACAGAGTGAGACTCCATTTCCATAAAAAAAGAAAAAAAAAAGGAAAGAAAAGTGAAAATTACATTTACTTTTTTTCATCAAGTAAGATAGCTATTATTAAGAAAACGAAAGGGAAATAACTTTTTGAGAGGATGTGGTGAAATTAGAATTGTGTCTTGCTGGTAGGAGCATAAAATGGTACAGCCACTATAGAAGCAGTAATACAGTTCTTGGAAAAAAATAATAATAGAATTACCATAAGATAAGCAATTATACATCCGGATATATACCCCCCAAAATGAAAGTAGAGATTCAAACAGATATTTTTACATTCATGCTCACAGAAGTCTTACTAACAGTAGCTAAAACATGGAAGCAATCAAGTATCAATTAACAGATGAAAGGTATATACCTAAAGTAGAATATGACTGAGCCTTAAAAAAAGGAATGAAATTTTAAAATATACAGTAAGAGGGATGGCCCTAGAAAACATATGCTTACGCAAATAAGCCAGACACTAAAGGAAAAATATTGTATAATTCTACTCAAATAAGGTACATAGACTAGGCAAAATCATAGAGACAGAAAGTACAAGAGAAGTTACTAGGGGGAGTGGGGAGGAGTGAGGTTATTGCTTAATGGGTAGGGAGTTACTGTTGGAGATAAGTTTTAGATACAAATGGTAGTGACGGTAACACAACACTGTGGCTATATCTAATGCCGCTAACAAATGGTTAAAGCACACTTAGGAGTGGTCAAAAGAAGTATTGTATATATTTTACCATAATAAAAAAGTTCCAAGCAAGGTATCCAACAAAGAGATACTTTCTATTTACCCATTAGATTAAAAATTAAGGAGAAAAAATGGAGAAGGAGAAACACGAGGACAAGAAGTGGTGATGGTAAAGGGTAATGGGTATGCCCACACACTCATAGTGTCAGTACAATTGTATATACCTTTTTTGGATAGTATTTAGAAGTATCTATCAAAATTTTAAATGTATATAACTTCTGACATAATCATTACATTGTTAAGGGTCTGTACTATAGAAATAGTCACACAGGTATGCAAATATGCAGATAAATATTCAGAGAGAGAGATACTCGTTACAGAATTCTTTTAATACTGAAAACTTACTGAATACTGAAATAATCTAAAGTTAATAGAGGACTATGAAGTAAACGTTGGTATGTTCACATAGTAGAATACTGAGATAAATTGATTAGCTTTTAACTTAACCCAAATATGTGTATCTAAACATTTTAGGGATAACCACGAAAAACAGAAAAAGAATGTAAGATTTCCAAATCAGTAGCAAAAAAAAGGAAGAAAAGAAATCATTCCACAAGAGTCAAGAAAAAGAGGAAGTTTTTCAGTTAAAAATACAAAATAATATTGTTAAAATAAATTCAAATATATCGGTAATTTTAATAAACATTAATCAAAATAAAAATGGGACAGTATACAAACATATTTGTATTTTAGGTATTTTTTTTTTTACAATTTCTCATGTTTTGTTTATTTTTATTATTATACTTTAAGTTGTAGGGTACATGTGCACAACGTGCAGGTTTGTTACATATGTATACATGTACCATGTTGGTGTGCTGCACCCATTAACTCGTCATTTACATTAGGTATTTCTCCCAATGCTAGCCCTCCCTGCTCCCCCCACCCCACGACAGGCCCTGGTGTGTGATGTTCCCCACCCTGCGTCCACGTGTTCTCATTGTTCAACTCCCACCCATGAGTGAGAACATACGGTGTTTGTTTTTCTGTCCTTGCGATAGTTTGCTCCTAGTTCTTTCCATTCCAACACAATTACTCTCTATTGTTGTATAACTTTTGGCTAGTCTTTTTTTTTTTTTTTTTTTTTTTTTTTTTTTTGAGTCGGAGTCTCGCTCTGTCGCCCAGGCCGGACTGCGGACTGCAGTGGCGCAATCTCGGCTCACTGCAAGCTCCGCTTCCCGGGTTCACGCCATTCTCCTGCCTCAGCCTCCCGAGTAGCTGGGACTACAGGCGCCCGCCACCGCGCCCGGCTAATTTTTTGTATTTTTAGTAGAGACGGGGTTTCACCTTGTTAGCCAGGATGGTCTCGATCTCCTGACCTCATGATCCACCCGCCTCGGCCTCCCAAAGTGCTGGGATTACAGGCGTGAGCCACCGCGCCCGGCCTTGGCTAGTCTTAAAACATACCTAGTGGTATGTTTTAAGGTTTGAACCTAGTGGTATGTTTTAAGACTAGCCAAAAGTTATACAACAATAGAGAGTAATTGTGTTGGAATGGAAAGAACTAGAGTTACTTAAAGACCAGCTATACATTTGTCATCTTACTATGTGTCCTTAGGCACAATCCATCACTTTTTAGAGCCTTCTCTTCCTACATGTACACTAGGCATAATATATACTTCACAGGTATTTGGGATGATTATTTACAGAGAATGAAATGTAGCTAGCACAGTGTCTCATTTATATGTTACTAGAATAAGAATATCTCTATAAAATTATGACTAAAATTTACTATTGGTATATGAACACAACCCAAATTAGTAAGTTCACTAATAGGGCTGTCCAATTTATGGAGGGTGCCCTTGGTTCTTTTTTTAGGCATAGCATGCATTTTCAAACACTGCCTTCAGTTTTATAATAGAAAAGGTTAGTATTACTTGGGTGAACATGAGATGTATTATCTTCAGCAATTAGATTCACAAGATTCTTTGCTATTGGCACCATTCTTTGAAAATAATTAAGGTGATAAAACACCCATTTGGATGTACTAGTAATAAGTTGGGAGGATTAGATATATAGTTGAGCTGGGATTAGGGGATTTTATCTCATTCTGTGTATATTATAGTACCTAGCATATTTTTGATAATGAATATTAATAATGAGAACTACAATAATTTCACTTTAGTGTTCTATGTAGAGTACAGATGTAGCAGAAATTTCTGCTGAACTTTTTCTCCTAATGCAAATTTTGAGTATTACTTCCAATTTACCCCTGCTATTGACTGAATCTATGTTCTTCAGCAAATTATTTAATATCTCTGTACCTATGATTCCATCTATAAAATGGGGATAATAATACAGACCTATTTAATTATTCAGTTCTCCAAACTGCTGATACACTTTATTCAAGTTAATTAAATAGAAGGTACTTCAAGTTCAGTCTATTATTAAATATATTTATATGGTTTTGTGCAGTATGACCTACCAATTATAGACACTAAATTGAACACAGAGAACAAAGATAAAATGAGTTTAAGATGGGTGTCTACTGCAGGCTAGCAATGGAGTTATAGGTTTTTTTTTTTAACATAGTACATAATAGATTATTCCAAGTTGCTAGATATGAGCATTTAAATATGAAAAAACTTCAAGATTGTTATCTTTTCCTTGATATAGTTTAAGTTTAGCTAAAATAAAAATAAAATGCTTTGTTTTAACATTTACATGTTTTACATGAATATTGATATAGTTTTCATATATTACAATATTTATTAAAACTAATGTATTAATAACTAATAATGATGCCTTGATGTTTATATTTATGTTTCACTTTAAAATACTATCTTGAAGAAATAAAATGTCTGCCATAGATACAAAACACAATAGAATTAATAAAAGTAATGGTGTTTTTCATCTTTAAAATGAAAATTAAAATGATGATTGAACTAGTATCTATTATATGTCAGACACTATGTTAGGCAGTTTAAACATATTACTTGTAATTCTTTGAAAAAAATGCTGTGAAGTAGGAATTTATAATTTAAATAAAGTAATTTGCCCCAAGTCACATAGCCAGTGATACAAGCCAGCTTTTTTGATCTTTGTGAATCCAGCCTAGGCTCATTCTTTAAAATATTCTTCATGTAATTGACCTCACTTTTTCTTCTATTTTTTACCTAACATATCTCCTCACTAATGCAGATATCCTCTCCACTTGTTTCTCTTTCTCTCTTTTTGATATACATCTTTCCTCAGGGAGAAATCTTTCCCAGTATGTCCAGTTTTGTGCCACCTTGCCACTCATTGATTCCTCCCAGTCTTTTATTTTTAATTTGCATGGTAGATGTAGCAAGTTATGTCCCAGTATCCACTTTTTTCTTTGATAAGGGAACCTATAAAATTTAGCTGGTCGTTAAAGATGTTGTATCCCAGCTTCGCTTGCATTGGTTGTATTTATATAACTAAATTCTGATTTACCATAGAAGGCAGAAGAATCTTGTCACATTCATCTTAAACTCACCAAAAGAGAAAGCATTGTGTGTTCTTTACCTTCATCTGTTTTGGCATTGTGTTTCATGTGAAGTTGATACCGCACCATTACGGTAAGGCCACAGATAATGCAGCAAAAGGATAGAAGAAAGTTGGGTTCCCGACACTGTGGGGCACCATATCAGTACTGGCAAGGCTGGCTTTGCAACTTGTGGGGCCCTGTGCAAAATGAAAACGTGGGATCGTCTTGTTAAAAAGAAAGGGAAAGGGCCAGGCTCGGTGGCTCATGCCTGTAATCCCAGCACTTTGGAAGGCCGAGGCCGGCGCATCACGAGGTCAGGAGATAAAGACCATCCTGGCGAACACAGGGAAACCCCGTCTCTACTTAAAACACAAAAAAAATTAGCCGGGCGTGGTGGCGGGCCCCTGTAGTCCCAGCTACTCGGGAGGCTGAGGCAAGAGAATGGGGTGAACCCGGGAGACGGAGCTTGCAGTGAGGAGAGATTGCGCCACTGCACTCCAGCCTGGGCGACAGAGAGAGACTCCATCTCAAAAAAAAAAAAAAAAAAAAAGCAAGGGAAAATGTCATTAGAAGTACATAAATACGAAACTTTTTCCTTTCTTCCTTCCTCTCTCTCTAGACTTGTTATGCTGTTTTTACTTACTATTTAATGTGATTGTAAGTAAAAAAAAAAAAAAAACCTAGTAAATTATTTGCATAAATTTTAGTGTCTACTTTTGTATTGTTTGGAATGCCGGTTTTAAATGAAAATATAAGAGAATTTAACTTATATGCATAATTACCGAAATGACACAATTTTTATTTAATATCTTATGCATCCTCATGCCAAAAGAGTGAAAATGCCAAATAAAACTAACACAATTATTTTTATTTCACTTCCGGGTAAGTTCACACTGTGCCAACACTATCCACATTGGCTTATTGATGAGTAAGAAGGGACTCAAAGGAAGAGGAACTCTTGCTTGCCATATCTTTCCTTTTCTTCTATACCATCCTTATCAGTGTAAGTGATAGCTAATACAGGTAAGTGACCTGTGTAAGAAAGAATTCAGTAGGGTTCCTTGGTAGTTCGCATATTTTAGAAAGTCATTGCCTTTTTTTTTTTCACATTTGAAGCAAGTTCTGCTTTGAGCAGAAAGCATGACCTCTGATGCGTGAGTACCTCCACCAAGTCTTAGAGATAACACTCTTATGTTGTACTTGCTTTGAGTTTCACTGAACGTAAACATACAGTGGATTTGCTTGGATTCTGTCCTTATTAGATATCATAAAGATTATATACAAATGAGACAAGGAATGGCAGGCAGTGCATGGATCTCCTCGGCTTATCCACGTCTGCCGTTTTCCCCTTGGACTTCACGTACCAAACATAAATTCCTTGAATCCTTGAATTTATGTTTGGTACATAAAATAAGAATTTTATTATGGCTCCTGAATAGTATGAAACTAAGCAGGACCTTGTGTGACTGCCCAGGCCACACACTTATCAAGCTGGCTGGCACTGATTCTAGTCTGCTCTCTCAGACCTTTACATTTCAGACTCTGTTTAAAGCTCTCTTATTTGAGGTCTTCTGTCAAACAGAGCTAAAAGGTTTTAGGTAGACAAAGCACCCACCTTAGATTATGACACTTAATAAAGACTCAATAACAGTTGTAGTTATTATTAACAGTAGTGGTATTAATTATTCCTATTTATAAAACATTCTCTTTCTCATGAATACCCTTTGTTTATAACTATTTTAGTGTTGTCAGCTATTTTAATTGCATACTCAAATGATGCACCAAAGTTCCATATGGATAAACTTACTTCTTGAATATAGTTAGGTTGACTGGGAAAATCCAATTCAAAACAACTGCATTGCTTTTTCATGAGATTTAGCCTAAATCTCAAGGCAAAAACAAAATCATTTGTTTTGAATCCTTGTGACCAAAAACTATTTTCACAATAAAAATGTTTTTACAGTTCTATTCTCATCAGTTTGAACAAATTACCTCATGTAGACCAAGATTAGAAGAGTTACTGATGACATTAAATTTGTTAGGAAAATGACATTAAATTTGGTGGGAAGAGCTCACCAGCCTCTTTGCTAAGTATTAGAGTAGATGGGATTGATGGCTTTGCTTAGTTAGAATGCTGGGTAGAAGACAGGGCACCAAATATGCCAGTAAGCCTGGTAAGAGGGAAGTAGGTTAAAAGGAGTCACACAGACTTATTCATCCTAACATAAAAATAGTGAATTTATAATTATAGAATTAAATAATTAGTACTAAGTGGAGGAGCAGAAATTCAAAAAGGATACAAGAGAGTTAATCTAAATTGTAGCGGTCAGTTTCTTAGACTCTATAAGAAATGTTGACAAATTCTATTCTCCTTTATTTGTCTGAGTTCTTTAAGAGGAGAAAACAAGTATTATATTGTCCCCCTGATGCTTAGCATAGTGACTTGCACCCAGTTGGCACTTCTTAGATGTTTGTTTTATTCTTTGCATAGGAAAATGCAAGACAAGATCAGGCAAAAATGAAATGAATTGAGAGCATACTGACACCCTCAAATAGCTGTCAAGGATTTAGAGGCCATGTCTTAAATGGTTTGGACATCTGGTGAAGTAATACAAAAATAGAAACCCCAGTAGGGTTTTTTGAAACTGAAGTAGAAAGCAAGAGATCTAGAAGCAGCCCTTGAAATCCCTGTAGGAACATAATAAAGAAAAGACTTTAAATAGAAGCCTTGAACAGAAAACTTCATATGCTACAGGAGTTTAAAAAGGTGGAAGGAGTTTGTACCTCTGATAATACGATGAAGGTCTTTATTCTATATAGATATAGGAATTACAAGATTCATAAGAATAACTACTCACTTGAAAATATATGCAGTCAAACCCTGACCATTTAGAAACTATTTTCTGCATCTTCCTTCAGTATTTTTACATTTGTCTATGGGTAGAATTGTCTGCTTAAGACCTGTAACACTCTATTCTTTAGGCATTTCAGAAACTAAGAATTTTTTGAAAAAAATCTGAAAATACAAATATGTATCAACAAGTACTATGCATTATATAGATATAAATTAATTCACAAAAAGTATAATTACAATATCTGCAGAAAGTTTTCAAACTAATTTGTCACAGAATGTAAATATAATGGTAATACTTATTAAGTCTTAGTCCTAATTAACCTTTTTGCAACTCCTTTGTTTTGCCACAAATCTTTTAAATACATGTTTTAAACAAAAACTATAAATGCTATATTTTAAGGAACCAAGGTGTTCTTAGAATTCAATTCTAGTCCGTTTAAAATCAAGAAGCGTAATATGCTTTAATTTCAGTGATAATAATTAGCAAAGGTGTTTTGCTTGTATTTCTCGTGCCTGAAAATCTAAAGCAAAAACAAAAAACAAAAATATCTGGTGTCAACAATTTGGTTAAAAACTAAGCAAAGGACCTAAATAAACATTTCTCTACATTCTTCAGCAAATAAATGCAGAGAAAGTTTGAAACTCACTGACCCATCCAGGACATTTCAGTTCAGAACTAATTCAGTTCTGTTTTTATTTCAGATGTTATTATTTTTTTTCTTTTTATACTTTGTCACATTTTTGGTGTCTTTGAGTTCCCAGTGCCTCCCAAGCAGTGAGTTGTGAAACCTTTTGAGGCTATTTGACAATGGACTATTGAACTGAAAAGAGAAAGTTTTACTGTATTCTCCTATGATGACATCCTCATCTTTTAGTGACTTCGTGTTCTGTTTACATAGGGGTTTTGACAAGTGTACCTTCTGAGGACAAGGAACTCAATGTGCTTTCTCAGCCATCTAATCAGCCAGGCGTCTGTACACATGAAAGCAGAACTGGCATTACAGTTAATGATCAAGCTCCCTGAGGTGAAGAGTGACTAGAAGATATTTTTAAAATGACATTTATCTATTTTTTTAAAATTCTATAAATGTTTGTGGAAAATATGGGGTGAAAAGTTACCAGTCACAGGGGGTAGAGTATTTTTTTTTAGTTAGCTCAGGTTGCTATAACAAATAACCTTAGACAGACTGGTTTAAATCATGAACATTTTTTCTCACAGCTCTGGAGGCTGGGAAGTCCAAGATCAAGGTGCCTACAGATCTGATGTCAGGGAAGGGCATACCCCCTGGATTGAAGTCAGCCATCTGCTTATTATATCCTCTTATGGCAGAGAGTAGAGAGCCATCACCTCTCTCATGTATCAACTTTATTTACTTTTAATTCATCTTATAACTGAAAATCTGTACTCTTTTGCCAGCATCTTCCTATTTCCCCCACACTTTAACACCTGGTAACCACCCTTCTACTCTCTGCTTCTATGAGTTCAATTTCTTTAGATTCCAAGCATAAGTGAGATCATGCAATATTTGCTTTTGTGTGTCTGGCTTATTATACATAACACAATGTCACTGAGGTTCACCCATGTTGTTGCAAATGGCAGGTTTTTCTTCTAAGGCTGAACAATATTCCACTGTGTATATATGACATTTTCTTTATCCATTGATCCATTGAAGGACCCTTAGATTGTTTCTACAATTTGTCTATTGTGAATAATGCTGCAGTGAACATGGGAGTGCAGATATCTCCTAGAGATAGTGATTTCTTTGGATATACACCCAGAAGTGGGATTTCTGGGTCATATGGTAGTTCTATTTTTAATTTTTTGAGGAAGCTCCATATTGTTTTCCATAATAGTTGTAACCAACTGACATTCCCACTAACAGTTTTCAAAGATTCCCTTTTTTCCACATCTTTGCCAACACTTTCTATTATTAGACTTTTTGTTAACGTCATCTAACTGTTGTAGGGTGATAGCCCATTGTTTTGATTTGTATTTCCCTGACGATTAGTAATGTTGAGCATTTTTTCATATACTAGTTGGCTATTTGTAAGTCTCCTTGGGAAAAATGTTTCTTTAGGTTCTTTTCTTATTTTTTAATTGGGTTATTTGTATGTGTGTTTCTTTATTTGATATTGAGTTTCTTAGGTATTTCGGATATTAACCCCTTATTGGATATATGGTTTCAAGATATTGTTTACCTTGCTATGCTGAAACCGTTCAGCTTGATATAATCCTATCTGTTTATTTATGATTTTGTTGCCTGTGCTTTGGTGTGGTATCCAAAAACCATAGACCAATAGCAAGGAGTTTTTCTCCTATGTTTTCTTTTGGGAGTTTTATTGGTTTCAGGTCTACGTGTAAGTCTTTAATCCACTTCGAGTTGATTTTTCTATATGGTTTAAGATAAAGATAGAATTTCTCTGTTTTCTTTTTTGCATTTGGATATCCAGTTTTCCTAACACAATTTATTGAAGAGAGGATTTTTTTCCTAATTGTGTGTTCTTGACAGTTTTGTCAAAAAAGTGTCAATTGTATATGTGTGAGTTTATTTCAGTAATTTCTATTCCGTTTCCTTGGTCTTCATGTCTGTTTTTATGCTAGTAGCATACTGTTTTAATTATTATAGTCTTCTGATATAATTTGATATCAGGAAGTATGATGCCTCCAGTTTTGTTCTTCTTGCTCAAAATTATTTTAGCTTTTTGGAGTCTTCTATGGTGCCATATAAATTTTAGGATTGTTTTTCTATTTCTGTGAAAAATATTTTTGACATTTTGATAGGGCTTGCATTGAATCTGTAGATAGGTTTAGGTAGTGTGGACATTTTAACAATGTTAATTTTACCAGTCCATGAACAGAGGATGTCTTTCCATTTATTAGTGTCTCCTTCAATTTTTTTCATCAGTGTTTTATAGTTTTCCATGTACACATCTTTCACCTCCTTGGTTAAATTGATTACTAAGGATTTTATTCATTTTGATGTTATTTGTAAATGAAATCATTTTCCTAATTTATTTTTTGTATAATTGGTTGTTAGCGTATGGAAATGCCCCTGATATGTTGATCTTGTATCCTGAACTTTGCTTAATTCAACTATTAGTCTGAAAAGATTTTTGGTGAAGTTCTTAATGGTTTTCTAGATTGTGTCATCTGCAAAAGAGACAGTTTTACTTCTTTCTCAATTTGTATGCCTTTTGTTTCTTTTTCTTACCTGATTTTTCTGCCTATAACTTCTAGTACTATGTTGAATAGAAGTGGTGAGAGTGGGCATCTTTGTTTTGTTTCTAATCTTAGAGGCAATATTTCAGGTTTTCATTGTTGTATATGATGTTAGCTGTGGGCTTGTCATATATGGCCTTTATTGTGCTGAGGTACCCTTCTATACTTAATTTGTTGAGAGTTTTAATTATGAAAGGATGTTGAATTTCATCAAATGATTTTCTACATCTAATGAGATGATCATACACTTTTTGTCCTTCATTCTGTTAATGTGATTTATCACATTTATTTATTTGCACATGTTGAATCATAAATCTCATTTGAGCATGGTGTACAATTTTTTAATTGCTGTTGAATTTGATTTGCGAGTGTTGTGTCGAGGATATTTGCATCTATGTTTATCATAGATGAGCTGTAATTTTCTTTTCTTGTAGTGTCTTGTTTGGTATCGGCATCAGGGTAATGTTGACCTTGCAAAATCAGTTTGAAATTGCTCCATGTTTTTCTACTTTTTGGAAGAGTTTAAGAATTGATGTTTGTTATTTAAATGTTTGGTAGAATTCAGCAGTGCACCCATCCCTCAGCTTTTCTTTAATGAGAGACTTTTTATTAGTGATTCAATCTCCTTACTCTTTATTAATCTGTTCAGATTATCCATTTCTTCACGACTCAGTTTTGGAAGGTGTTTTTTTGTTGTTGTTTTGTTTTTAAGAATACATTTCTTCTAGGCTATTCAATTTGTTAGAATATAGTTGTTCATAGTTGTCTCTTATGATCCTTTATATTTATCTGATATCCGTTGTCAGGTCTTCTGTTTCATTTATAATTTTATTTACTTGAATTTTATTCTTTTCTTCTTTGTCTAATCAAAGGTTTGTTAACTTTGTTTATCTTTTCAAAATGAACTCTTAGTTTCATTGATCTTCTAATTGTGTTTCCAGTGTGTATGTCATTTATTTCTGCTCTGATCTTTGTTATTTTCTTTTCTTCTACTAACTTTAGGCTTGGCTTTCTCTCTCCCTCTTTTTTTTTTCCAAATTCTTCAATATGTAAAGTGAGGTTGTTTATTTGAGATCTTTTTAATTTTTTTAAAGAAGTATGTATTTATTACTATAAACTTCCCTCCTAGAACTGCCTTTGCTGCATCTCGAAATTTTGGTATGTGTATTTACATTTTCATTTGTTTCAAGATAGTTTTGTTTCCCTTTCAATTTCTTCTTTGACCCATTGGTTGTCCCAGGAGTGTGTTATTTAATTTCCACGTAATTTTTCCAAAATTCACTTATTTCTGGTTTCATACCATTGTGGTTGAAAAATATACCTGATACCATTTTAATTTTCTTAAGTTTGTTAAGGCTATTTTGTGGCCTAACATATTATCTAATCTGAAGAATATGCCATGTGCACTTGTAAATAATGTACATTTTGCTGCTTTTGGATGGAATGTTCTGTGTATGTCTGTTAAGTTCATTTGACATAAAGTGTATTTTAAGACCTATATTTTCTTCTTGATTTTCTGCCTGGATGATCTATCCATTGCTGAAATTGGGGGTATTAAGTCCTCTACTATTATTGTATTGCTACAATAATAGTATTGAAGTGGGTTATTGAAGTTTCCTATTATTATTGTGTGTTTCTCCCTTCAGATCTGTTCATATATGCTTTATATATTTAAATGCTTTGATGTTAGGTTCATATATATTTTCAATTGTTATATTCCCTTGATGAATTGACCCTGTTATATCATGAGATTCATTGTCTATGTTTACAAGTTTTGACTTAAAATGTATTTTGTTTAATATATTTAGCCACTTCTGATCTCTTTTGATTACCAATTTCATGGCATATCTTTTTCCATCCCTTCACAGTCAGTCTTCACTATGTGTCCTTAAAGCTGAAGTGAGTCTTTTTAAAGCAGGACTTAGTTGGGTCTTGTTTTTTTAAGCAGTCAGCCACTGTATGTTTTTATATTGGATAATATAATCAATTTATGAGATTAATCCATTAATCTTGTGTCTCTTCTTATAAGAGCACTGATTCCATTTATGAGACCTCTGCCCTTATGACCTAGTTACTTCCCAAAAGCCCCACCTCCAAATACCATCACATTGGGTATTTAGACTTCCACATACGAATTTTGGGGGACACAAATAGTCTGTCGATAGCAGACTATTTTCATAAAAAGTATTCTATCAAGGCCTCAGATATTAGAATAAAAAACAATATATTATCTAGTCTTTAGTTCTTTAATTTTTAATCACAGTGGTCATACCCAATGTGGCCATATGCAAGCAAAAAGCAAACAAACAAACAAAAAAGAAGACTGTTTACTATTTTTTATGATTCCTTTGAACATTCCTAGTCATCCAAATATTTGAATCTCTAGTTTGAGAAATAAAGGAGAAATGTTTGTCATGTTTTTTAAAGAATGAATTTATTTAACACACTCATTGAATATTTATGATGTGCAAAGTTTCCTGCTGGGTACTCTGGGGAAGGTACATTGTGAATAATGCTTACTCTCTTAGTAGTTTAATTTCAATTGGAAGAAGACAGGGCCACAACAATCCAACATACAATATAAAAGTTCACAAAATAATATATAATTTGAGACAATGTGAATTCAGAGAAATAGAAAACTCTTAGAAATTTTAATTTATACATTTAAATACTTTACTCAGAAGAGAAGTATGGTTTTCATTTGACTGAATGGGTAAGTGAACCTGTGCTATATTCCCAGTGAAGTGAATGGTAACAGCAAAGATAAGAATGTTTGAATGGGAAGGAAATTTATTATAGCACAATGACTATGTGCACTGATTCCATTTAAATCATCTTGTACAAGGAAAGAAATTATCTTCATTTTATTACATCTTAATATTGTGTGCAAACTATTGCACTAGAAAATGTAAGCACTATAAATACATGCAAGACTCAATTCATGCCCTCAAACAGCATCTTTTATTGTAACTTTTGACACCAATAAATGTTTCATTTCAAATATATTGTTTTTAATTCTTAAGGTTCTCAGAGGATACAGTCAAATTGAAAACAAAAAGGATTGAAGAATGACAGAAGACAAGCTGTATGGAGAAATATGGATTTAGGGATCTAAGACCTTCTCAGAAAGTAAAGTTGATTTAAGCTTACAGTCTCAAAGTTTGAGAGCAGTCAAAGAGAGGGAAAGATCCATGCCTAAGAAACTACACAGGTTTTTTAAAGTTTTTTTTTTCTCCCCTTCTAAGTTCTCAGCTGAAGTCTGTGTAATGTTCCTGTCTCTATTGCCCTGTATTATTAAAGCTCAGACTTTCTATCTATGAAGAATTGGCTGGTGAGGAAATTAGAAATAGAGGTGGAATTAAAGTCATCTCCCTTGGAGATCATATTGTTGGCATTAATTGGGGATTGCAGGCTGAGTACAAAGTACCTTGTAATGGCCCAGAAAAAGAAATAGAAAAATTTTTTTCCCCTGGGAGAAAAATGACACTAAAAAAAAAAAAAAAAGAACAAGCACATAGTGATTGTCAGTTTCCCCAAATATTTTCTTCTCTGGCAACTCTTTCAATACTGTTCTATAAAATTGCTCTCATCTTCGAAACTACTAAAATGTGAACAATAGAGAAATAATTAGGCATTTACTTTTTTACTGATTAATTTAAAATAATTATATATTTATTTATTAAAATGTGCTGCTTAACTAATTTTTTATTACACAAATCTATTCCTTCATATATATTGAAATGGTTGTTTAGAATTTTTCTATTTTTTACTTAACTTTGACATTTGCTGAACTCAGAAGTAGGTAAGGATTTGTTTGACATAATAATACACAGTTAGATTATTTCCTTCAAGTTCTTAGATGCAAAAACAGAATAAAAGTTCAAAGTCACCTAATCAGCTTAATTCCCTAGCACTTAGACTTGTGTCCCTCCCTTCTAGGAGAATATATTGCTATTGCCCTCTTAGACATGAGTTAAGAACTGTGAATTATTTAAATTATTCATTTGTTTACTCATTTTTTTCAATCACTCAAATAACCAAGAAATTAAACATGAGTTTTAGTTAACTTTTTGGATTGTAGTAATTCCTTCTAGGTTGCCAGTAAATCATTTTTCTTACTCACTAACGATAGAAAAAATGTATCATGGACGTCAGAGTCCTCAGATACCATGCCACTAACCAGGGATTCTATCCTAAAACAAGGCCAAAAAGAATTAAAGCTGAAGAAAAATCTCTTCCAGAACAGAGAAATGGGTGGATAGCAGGACTGATGAGATATGGGCCAACTCTGTTCTGTCAGTGAGCACACAAGTCAGCCACTGTCCCAGTCTTCCTGCATTTAGTAGAAGTAATGAGACAAGTTCTCACTAATTGAGAGAAGTGAAGTGTTACTTCTGGGCCTAGAGCAGGGGTCTGCCCAAAGTCTATTGTGTTGATTAGTAAGCTAAGAATGTTTTCTATTGTGTGTGGTCAGTGAGCTGAGACTTTTTTTTTTTTTTGAGACAGAGTCTCGCTCTGTCGCCCAGGCTGGAGTGCAGTGGCACAATCTTGGCTCACTGCAACCTCTGTCTCCCAGGCTCAAGCAATTCTCCTGCCTCAGCCTCCCAAGTAGCTGGGATTACAGGCGTGTGCCACCACACTTGGCTAATTTTTGTATTTTTAGTAGAGACGGGGTTTCACCATGTTGGCCAGGCTGGTCTTGAACTCCTGACCTCAGTAATCTGCCCACCTCGGCCTCCCAAAGTGGTGGTATTACAGGAGTGAGCCACCGTGCCAGGCTGAGAATTTTTTTTAACCTTTTCAAAGGGTTGAAAAAATTTCTTATACATAATATATTAAATATACATATCAATATGTATATACGTATGTGTATATACACATATATACATCAGAAATAATACATAACTCACAAAGTCTAAATTTATTATTATTATTATTATTTTGAGACAGGGTATCACTGTGTCGCCCAGGCTGGAGTGCAGTGGTGCTATCTAGGCTCACCACAACCTCCTCCTCCTAGGCTCAAGCAATCCTCTTGCCTCAGCCCCCTCAAGTAGCTGAGACTTCAGGCGTGAGCCACCACGCCCGGCTAATTTTTGTATTTTTTGTAGAGATGGGGTTTCGTCATGTTGCCCAGGCTGGTCTTGAACTACTGAGGTCAAGTGATCCACCCACCTGGGCCTTCCAAAGTGCTGGGATTACTAGCACGAGCCACAGCACCAGGCCTATTAATTAATTATTTCCTATTTATCTGTACACATACACACACACAACACATGAAAAACTGTGAGTTTATACTGATACTTCTGAGTCCAAACTGATACCACGGAATTCATTTTAGCCTGCTAACTTTCTCTGATTTATATAGTTTTTCTCCAACTGCGACAATCCCTTCTCCCATTATCTACAATTGAGTTACTGATTTTCTCAAACCTAGTAAACACGTAAAATAATTTCAAAGTTGTTGGGCCGTTTTCTTGTGAGAAACACTTTGCTAACTATCGTACAGCCTGTCTTCCATCTCCAGTACTTTCTCGCTGACCTATTTTATTTTTTGTTAATGTTGTTTTCATTCTCTTGGTTTTTACCTGCCTTAGATGCTACTTACTAAATTTTTACTTGAGTTTATTCCCCCTTATAACTTACTCTTCATTTTTGAAATGATTTTCTTTTCTTCCATTTATTTTCTGATTTCAATAAACTATTTTCATTTCTTCCTGTTTTTTGTCCATTTCAGTTATTGGTTTTCGAGCTTCTGATTTAAAGTGTTCTTGTTATAGTCTCAGATGTTTGAGAATATCTAATTCTATTAGGGGTGTAGATTTATAGATTTCTTGTGCTTCATAGCTGTTTATTTTGTGGGAGCAGGGTATTCCTCAGTCAATTTGTGTGAAAGTTCATTTACTCTTTTTCTGCCATTGTTCTGTGTAGATTTAATTTCTGCTTGTTCATCATTATGGTAGTGTGGTGTTTTCCAAGATTCCTAGTTTAATGACATGCTTTTCTGTCAGCCTAATAAAATCCAGTACTTTTAGCAGGTTTGCTTGATTTGGGAGAGGCACATGGCCATTTATAAAATTTTCTTTGGCGTGTCAGGACCTTAAAACATTCTCTCTTTTCTTTTATTCTTTTTTTAATTTTATTTATTTATTTATTTATTTATTTATTTATTTATTTATTTATTTATTTTTTATTATACTTCAAGTTCTAGGGTACATGTGCACAACATGCAGGTTTGTTACATATGTATACATGTGCCATGTTGGTGCGCTGCACCCATTAACTCGTCATTTACATTAGGTAGATCTCCTAATGGTATCCCTCCCCCCTCCCCCCACCCCACAACAGGCCCCGATGTGTGATGTTCCCCTTCCTGTGTCCAAGTGTTCTCGTTGTTCAATTCCCACCTATGAGTGAGAACATGCGGAGTTTGGTTTTTTGTCCTTGCGATAGTTTGCTGAGAATGATGGTTTCCAGCTTCAGGGTATTCAGTTAGGAAAACAGGAAGTCAAACTGTCCCTGTTTGCAGATGACATGATTGTATATCTAGAAAACCCCATCGTCTTTTATTCTTTTTACCACCCGGTTGCTCATGGAGCCATCTTCCTTCCTTTTCCCCCTTTTTCTCTGCCAGAAGCTGCATGTTTGTATAAACGACTGTCCCTTTAAGATCATGCTTCTGCCTTTAAACAAAGTCTATCTTTTCCAGTGCTGAACTTGGCCCTTCAAGTGGCTCAGACTTTTAAATCCTTTTCAGTCGGCTGCTCCATTTGCCTGGTTACTTCTTAAGTGGTTCAGATTCAGGGTGGATTAACCTTTCTGGCGGTCGCTCCATCTCTTCCCCAGGACCCCTGGCCAGCCATCCTCCCCGGTCTACCCTGCAGATTTTCCATCTGCCTCAGTTCCCAGCAGGACAGGACAGTGGGACTGCGAGGGACTCACAGTTATTTCTTGGTCTGGGCATTGCTTGAGGCCTAGGGATGCCAAGGTTGTGGGTCTGCCAAGAAACTCCATAACTGAAGTTATTTCCTATCATTTGTGGAGAAGACATAGAAGGTTACTTACTTCACACTCCACATCCACCATTGTCTTCAGCTACTTCACAAATTATTATAATTATTTCTAGACCAACAATCTAGTAGGAAAAGAGCAAAAGGATAAAGGCACTATTCATATAAAAACCAGTAAAACAATAATAAACCATATCCATTAATAAATAAATACAAATGAGATACCATCTCATGCCAGTTAGAATGACAATCATTAAAAAGTCAGGAAACAACAGATGCTGGAGAGTTTGTGGAGAAATAGGAATGCTTTTACACTGTTGATGGGAGTGTAAATTAGTTCAACCATTGTGGGAGACAGTGTGGCGATACCGCAAGGATCTAGAACCACAAATACCATTTGACCCAGCAATCCAATTACTGGGCATATACCCAAAGGATTATAAATCATTCTACTATAAAGACACATGCATGTGTATGTTTATTGCAGCACTATTTTCAATGACAGGGACTTGGAACCAATCCAAATGCCCATCGGTGATTTACTGGATAAAGAAAATGTGGCACATATACACCATGGAATACTATGTGGCCATAAAAAAGAATGAGCTCATGTTCTTTGTGGGGACATGGATGAAGCTGGAAACCATCAGTCTCAGTAAACCATCATTCTCAGTTCCTGTGTTAGTTTGCTGAGAATGATGTTTGCTGAGAACAATTTTGTTTGCTGAGAACAAACACCGCATGTTCTCACTCAGAAATGGGAGCTGAACAATGAGAACACATAGACACAGGGAAGGGAACATCACATACCAGGGCCTGTTGGGGGGTGGAGGGCAAGTGGAGGGAGAGCATTAGGACAAATACCTAATGCATTCAGGGCTTAAAACCTAGATGATGGGTTGATGGGTGCAGCAAACCTCCTAGCACATGTATACCTATGTAACAATCCTGCACGTTCTGCACCTGTATCCCAGAATTTATAGCCAAATAAAAAATAAAAAAATAAAATAGAGATAGAGTTTTTTATTCCATTATATTGAGAAACATCAACAAAGTTGATACCAAATACTAACAAGGTGTGAGGAAACCTTCATGCATTACTGATGAGAGAATAAACTGGTGCGATATTTTTAGATGACACCTAAGCTGTGGCTTTGAAAATTAAAGTGACCCATAGCTTTTGGCACAACAATGGCAGGTCAAGATATTTACATTTTTAAAATTTATCTGCATATGTGCATAAAGACAGAAATGTGAGTTTATTGCAATATAGCAAAAGTCTGAAAATAAACTCAAGTTTAACAAAGTGAACTAATGTAGTTTGGTTTTAAAAAATGGAAGCTGCCTTAGGCACTTAGAGATGTTATTCCAGTATATGCTTAGAATTAAGTGTCTTAGAAATATTTATGAAAGAAATGTAGCAGCAGAAATTTCTAGTCTGCAAGAACCAAAGGTATCAACGGTTAAGCAACATAAGATAAAGATTTTACACATTAAACTTGGTTTGAGGCTCATTTTGTCTGTTAGAGATCATGGCATAGTTGTATGCTTAGTCTCAAGCATAAAGTGCATGAAGCAAAACAAGAATGATAAAGGCTTTGATATAATTAGATATTGTTTTTCAAAAAATCTTTAAAATAATAACATGGTTTTATTTTAAATATCAAATGCACATTATATTAAGAAGAAAACAGAAACAGCCTTGTAAGCTTATAATTTGGCGATTTTCCTAGCAGCCCTCTTTTTTCTTCTATTTTATATACACAGTGTGTGTAATTATGTCTCATATCACAGATACATTTTTATACTTTTTCACTTAACATTGACTGCATCATCATGACCTTTTTCCAATATCATTAAATGTTTTACAAATGCATAATTTTAAGAGCTGCTTATTTTTCAATATATATTTCAACACCAAATTGTATTTTGCACTTTGGTACATGTTGGACATATGAGTTGCTTCTGGCTTTTTTTCCTTTCTACATGCTATAGTACATGATGGAACAATATGCATCTCTGAGTATAAAGTCCCCATCTTTAAATGTTTGGTATGAATATGTGGTAAAGTCATAGGAATCTGATTCAAAAATTACAAATAATATTTCTGAGAAAGATTTCCAAACTGATTCCATAAAGATGACAGCAATTTGTAGTGTGTAGATCAGTGATGTTAGAGTAAACGTTATAGTAGGTGATGTTGCTTAACAGATCATAGTGGATAGAGTTTTGGTTTAAGCTAAAAACAGTGGCTGATAGTGTAGGGTAAAAACGATTGATTAGCTTTGGCATTTAGAAAGACTTGAACTATAATCAGACTTCAGTTATTGACTGTGTAACTCAAGATAAGAAAATAAACAACCGTTGTGGAAGACAGTGTGGCGATTCCTCAGGGATCTAGAACTAGAAATACCATTTTACCCAGCCATCCCATTACTGGGTACATACCCAAAGGATTATAAATCATGCTGCTATAAAGACACATGCACACGTATGTTTATTGCAGCACTATTCACAATAGCAAAGACTTGGAACCAACCCAAATGTCCATCAATGATAGACTGGATTAAGAAAACGTGGCACATATACACCATGGAATACTATGCAGCCATAGAAAATGATGAATTCATGTCCTTTGTAGGGACATGAATGAAGCTGCAAACCATCATTCTCAGCAAACTATCACAAGGACAAAAAACCAAACACCGCATGTTCTCACTCATAGGTAGGAATAGAACAATGAGAACACTTGGACACAGGAAGGGGAACATCACACATCGGGGCCTGTTGTGGGGTGGGGAACGGGGGGAGGGGGGAGGGAAAGCATTAGGAGATCTACCTAATGTAAATGAGGAGTTAATGGGTGCAGCACACCAACATGGCACATGTATACATATGTAACAAACCTGCACGTTGTGCACATGTACCCTAGAACTTAAAGTATAATAATTAAAAAAAATAAAATATAAACTTCTAAAAAAAAGAAAAAAAAATAAACATCTTTTAGCTTCCTTATATTTACTCAAACAATGATTCTAGTAATAATTACCTAAAATACGATTGTGAGAAATAAGTAGCAAACAAAGCACCATTCAGTTCCTGGACCATGCTTTGTGTTTAGTAGAAGACAAATTTTATTATCATTATAGTAGGTAGGTAGGTGGAAAAATTTATGAGGAGTGAACTTATTCCAATATCATGTATCTATTAACTACAATTTTAAAATATATTAATTTAAAAATGTTAAAGTCTATATTAAGTCTATTCAAGGCTGGCGGCAGTGGCTCACGCCTGTAATCCCAGCATTTTGAGATGCTGAAGCGGGCGGATCACTTGAGATCAGGAGTTCGAGACCAGCCTGGCCTACATGGTGAAACCCCGTCTTTACTAAAAATACAAAAATTAGCTGGACCGTGGTGGTAGGTGCCTATAATTCCAGCTTTTCGGGAGGCTGAGGCAAGAGAATCACTTGAACGTGGGAGGTGGAGGTTGCAATGAGCTGAGATTGTGCCACTGCACTCCAGCCTAGATGACAGAGTGAGACTCCATCTCAAATATATATACATTGAAACTGTAATGGAGATTGTGTCAGAGAAAGGAAAGGTCAGAGGGAAAATCCTCCCAGAGTTGTTGCTTGGAAATGTACAGATTCGGACTGTTTAGATTGATTCATCTGAAAAGCAATAGTGCTGCATAGAAAAAGCTGCAATGGGAGTAAAGTGGCAATGCTTGGACCACTGTATGAAGCAAAATAAATTGTTACTCAGTGAGAGGAGAAAGGTCTCCTCTAATGCATCCAAGAACTTCTGCTTTCACAGTTCCTTGTATGGAAAGAGCGCATTAGAGGACTAAAAACCTTGCCAGGTTACCTGCAATTTGACAATACCAGGCTGTTTGTGGAGCTGCTCTCTGAGGGGCTTTTAGCTTCCATATGAGGTTCGTGATGGCTTTTTAAAAAGAATTGTTTTAGCTTTAGTCTATCAGTCCAGGTAACCCAATGGTCTTCCATTCAAGGCTGAAAGTTCTGGAAATACAGCACCCCTTTGGCAATCATCAAAGAAGCTCCTAACAATATTAATATACTTAAAAATAGCAAAAATTTTCCCTTCCTATTTTTTTTTGAAACTCTACAGTGGCTCTGATTTATGAATATCTGATATATCTTCTTGCCAGATATCACTCATGGACTTGGATTATTATTTATTTCAGCATCTAAAAATATTCTAGGCTACAGTAATTAAGATAGAATTAAATATCAAGAATAACTTGACTAGAGCCAGAAAATTCAAAGTGAAGTAATTTTGTATCTTGGACCTGTCGTTTATTTTTTACTGTGAACTATTATAACTCATGAGGGTTTTTTTCAAAGAACAATTATTGTTGATTATTGTGTTCTCTTTTGGGAATTTTAGGGTGGAATTGTTTTATATGTTGATGAATTTTTTTATATGTTGATAAATTTTTGTTGTCTTAAATTGAAGCCAGAAACTTGTCTTATTTTTATTTATTTGTTAAAAATAGCCTTTCTGCTTTGTATTCGTCCTATTAGAAACATTGCTCCAACTGAAACGGCACAAACGTGCTGCTTTTGAAATTTTGAGGGTTGCCCTCTCCTGTATTTTAGGACTGGCCCAGATTCATTCTCACTCAGCAGTTCTGTGAAAAGAAAGAAAGAAAATAATCAGAATTCTTTAAAAATATAGAACCCAACAGATTCAGATTAGATTTAACCTATTGTCAAACAACTTTCATTTAAAATTTATTTTTAAAAAATCAAGCATGTTTTCAAAGACCAATACTTTAAGCAAGGATTTGCTATTGTATGAATTATGGACAGACAGTGTGTCTCTCATTTCTGCTGATTGTGGTGGTATCAAATAGAAGAATGCTCTGATGAAGTCAAGATCGAAATTGTGGTATAGATTGAGATAAAATGAAACCATCTATATATTGTTTCACTTTGGAAACATTAGGGAAATACTAAAGGGTTGGTACTGAAGGAGATAACAGGGGGAATAAAAAGGAAGAGCTTTAGGAAACTGTATTGATCCAACCTGGCTGTGAGGCAACGGATTTACCATTAGTGCCTGATTCTCCACAGCCCCTTGAGGGACCAAGGTAGGCCTCCTGACAAAGAATTCCTGTGGAAAAGGCTCAGAATTCTCAAAGTTAGTTCTCCTCTGCCTTGCTTCATGGTCTTTTGCCTCTTTTTGTTTTCTAGACTCTGTGTTGATGATTCTCTCCTAAATTCAGTGCAGTCTTTCCTCCTGCTAGGATGATTTGTACCAATTGACTATCCTAACTTTTGAACTATCACCCTATTCATTTGCTATTTTTACCAGCTTTTGGTAAAAGGATACCTGAAGAAGACCACTTAAAAAATGGCTTTTGGTTCCCAATCCTCGAAACCTCTTACCCTTAAACAGTGTTATGGAAACTGTCATTCACTTAGGTGAGATTAACGGTTAACACATCCTTTTCCACCCACTTTATTCTAGGGCAGCACTTTCAGGTAGTTAAAAAAAAGAAAAAAGAAACACAACTGACTTTTAAATCATCGTTATTCTGTTAACACATAAAGTTAAAGGCAATTACTTTTTCTATTTCTTTTTGTTTTCTTTTTAGAAAAATCTTAGGCATTAAGATGTGCTACATTAATGTAATTGTTTCAACTTACAGTTTATCAAATCAGCAAATGCAAGCTTTAAATCAGTGTCATTTTTTAGCCTTAAAATAAATTGTTCTCTGAATTTGGGCAGCTTATTTCTGGCAGTTTGCAGATGGACAGCCTCATGGCATTACTGAATGTATGCATTAGAACATAATTAGCTACATGTAAAGATAGGTTTAGCTCTTTCTAAATGGGTTAATCAGTTCTCACTGAATTCAGGGAAATATAAGGGAAATTCAATGCTCAATGTGTTTAGATTTGTTGGCTTAGGCTTTAAGTAAGCTGGATATAAATAAATACATACCCCAATGGGAACTAGTTCTGTCATCTTCAGCCTTTCTATCAAGTTATCAAAGCATGAGTATTGCTTGGTCATTTTCCAGGAAGCTCCTTTGTTTTGATTTAGTTTGTTTTCATTTGTAATCTGGAGTTTTCTGTTTGCATCATTAAGTAGATACCTTTTGTGGTGGACTGCCTTTGCAGGTGGGTTGTGAAAGGGCAGGGCTCATTTAGTTAGTTATTAGAATACCTTCAGTAAATGAGTTGTAAAATACAACACAATTAAAAACAAGAAAACTGGGCTGCATCTCTGCCTTTCATTTCATACCCCAGGTGACTGGGATTTTTTATTCCTTCTGCTCCAGGTGACATCTAAAGTTGCTGTTCCTCCAGGGCTCTGCCTGCGGTGTCTTTGTCTCTATCTTCTCTGTTAGATGTCCTTATCTAGTTCTATACCTTTAAACACTATCTATAGGTTGATGGGGTTCCTTAATGTGTATATCTTGGACTGATCTCTCCCTTGTGTTCTATCTTCATCTGGATGTGTAATAAATGTCTCAAACTGAAAATAACAGGGGAAATAAAAAGGAAGATCAAACAGAACTCCTGATTACCTCTAACCCCAAATTTTCATGTGACTATCCCTCACTTCCCAGTCTTCTCAATCTCAGTAGAAGACATCACTATCTACCTAGATATCAGAAATTCTGGGAGGTATTCTGGGTGACTCTTTTTTCTTCAACCCCAATCCAATCAATTAGAGGTACAGTTGATTCTACCATGTCTAAATAGATCGAATCCCTTCAGTTTAACTCTTCACCGCCAGACACCCAGTAGTCTAAACCTCCGTTCTCTCTCTCCTGCATCACTGCAGTAACCTAACCAGTCTTCCTGCTTTCACCTGTGCCTCTCTTCAAAATTTTCCAAAGGTAAGCAAGGTCTTCCCAGGTTCCTTATATCTTTTTGTCTTTCACAATGTAATTGTAAACATGTTTAAACATTCAAAAGTTTAAAGAGAGACTAGTACAATGAATCCCTATGTACCCATCATTTGGATTGAATAATTATCATTTACTCTATCTTCATGTGCCTTTCTCCCCAGACACACTCTTAAATACTCTCAGATGAATTCCAGATATCATATTACTTTATCGGTGAATACTTCAGTATATATTGATGAAAGATAAAAAATCCTTAACAAGTTTATAACTATAAATAACTATTATGTTCCAATTTCCGTGAAAACCTTAAAATATTATTTTATAGTTTCAAGCAAGTTTCATACAGGTATTTGGCTGCTTATTTCTTAAATCTCTTTTTAATTTATATATTCCCCTTTCCTCTCTCTTCTTTTATCTTCCAACTTATCTGTTGAAGAGATCTGCCATTCAATCTGCAATCTGTCATTCAGTTTACTTCTGTCCAATCTGCAGACCTCTTTCTGAATTTTCCTAATTGCATGCCTTCCAACATGGTGCCTTTTAACATTTTCCTCTGACCTAGTGATTTTCTGAAACCTAGTGGTTACATTAGGGACTAGATAACATTCACACTTATACTGTGGCAATAATAGTTCATAGGTGATGTTTGTATTTCCTAGCGTAACACATCAAAAGGCACGTAATTTTTGATTGCATCATTCTTTTTGAGACATTAAAACCAATTAGTAGGTTAAGGTATTGTTATCAGCCTGATGCATTCATAATAATGTTTCCGTCCATAACTCAATTAGGAATTGTAGGTACTGTTCATATTTGTAGCCTGAATCTGTTTTTTGTTGTTGTTGTTGAAGGTTGCAAATGCTTATATTCTAACTCTACATTCTTTCTTCACCTATTTTCTTGAAAATGTCTAAAGGAAAACACTTTCATCATCTAGTTGTTAATACTGAGATGAGTTTGTACAGGGAATACAGGATAAATGAGAAATTTTTCTCCTTATTTACAGATTTTAGAAGAACGAATTGGTTTTTTAACATCTTTCATGGAGATTGTATTTTTTCTTATTATTTCATAGATTTAAATCTATGAAATCCTAGATTTTAAGATATGTAAAGTATTTTAAACACTTATTCATTGCAACTATTATTATAGCTGTTCAAAATATTTTTTCTTTCTTTCTCCTTTTTTTTTTTAGCCACTGAGCTACTTCAACATGGCTTTGTTGATGTAACTCAAAGCCTTCCAACTCTCTCTGTTAAGATCTGTGCTCTTCTTATGTATTTCTTGTCCAACACCTGGAAGCAGCCAGTTTTCCAAAAACTCTGGCTTCTTTAAGAAGAATGTGATTTTTAAAGACCTTAATTTAAGGCTAGAGATGCTCATGTCTACTATATTGTATTGGTCAGTGTTTCCAGACTTTTTCACTGGAAGAGTTTGGAAAAAAAGTGAAGATAAAAATATACCATGAGTTGATATTGAGATTTGATTCCAATATTAATTTGACTTCATAAATACTACATTTCTGTATATTCTAGGGTGAAAACCTTGGATCCTAATAACAGTATATAAGTACTTTTTACTCATCCAATGTGTGTGTGTACAAATGGTTTGCTTGCCAATTACAGACACACATACATATACACTAGCTACAGAATAACAACACTATTAGAAAAAACAGTTTGAGATCTTTACAGCGTTTTTTGTCCTTACCTTGTATCCCATTGGATATGTAAAAATTACTATATTTTAAAATCATTTGATATAATGCCTGTTTGTGCGGTTTAGCCCCCTGATATGTAGTTTATTTCATTTGTTTTCTTTGGCTTTTATTTCATAAAGATTTATTTCTGCTTATATTTCATATAGTTTTTTTGTATGATTATAAGAGCATTTACATGATTCCAAAATCAAAACTATAAAATCAGGGGCAGTCAGAGAAGTCTCCCTTCTAAGCCAATCCCCTTCATTCTAGTCTTCTCTTCCCCTCTAGGTAACCTAATCTTCAAATTAGTTTTTGGTTTATTCTCTATTTTCAATATAAGAATATTCGTATGCAGGGGTGTGCTTTTGTGATTTATGCCCTTTTTAAAGATAGCATACAGTATACACTTTTTGCCACCTTCCTTTTTTACTTAATGATATATACTATGTATCACTCAATAGCAGTTACAGAACTGTTTCTCATTCCTTTTTATAGCTACATAACACTCTATTTTATGTATATGTCATAATTAATTAAACCAGTCACCTATTTATGGATCTTTGGGATGTTTCTAGTCTTTTGCTTTATAAATATTGCTCTCTTCCCACTTGAAACCTTTCTATGGCTTCCCATTGTTTTAAATAAAAATTTGAACAACTTTCCATAGCTTACATGGCCCTGCATATTGGGTTTCTCTGAATTCTCCAACCTCAACTCACACCATTTTCTGTCTGTCTAATTATATTCCAACTTCTCTAGACTTCTTTCCATTTGTCAAATACACTCCAAGATTTATCCATCTTTTAGAGTTTTGCGTTTGCTAGTCCCAGCTAATACTTTCTCAGCACCTATTTTCATGACTGACATATTACACCCTTCACATTAGGGGAATTCAAATGCTACTGGCTCAGAAATCTCTTCTGGAACAGCCCTACCTTAAGTGACACTACTAGTTATTCAAGCTAGTCACCTATTTATTTTTTTCACAACACGTACCACAATCTGTAGCAGCATATGACAGATCACATTGTTATTACTCTATAACATCCTATTGTGTTAGATTATTTGTTCATTTGATGTTTGTCCTCCTCGCCTAAATGTCTTTCTGACTATTGAATCTTTCACATGCTGTATAGTGTCTGACACTATATAGTATGGGCTCAAAAAGCATTTGTTGAACTAATGATTGAATCAATTAATAATATCAAACGTAAAATATGCTACAAATGAAAAAATACCTATAAAGCCTTAGCAGCTTAAAATTGAACAACCTAGCTCTTTTTGTGTACTTCTGTAATGTACCCAAAATTGTATGTCTTTCCCAGTATGCCACGTGTCATGGAATTAATGTTTTGCGACCTCACTTGAGTGTTGTCATACCAGACTGTAGGATCTAAATTTTTTATTGTTTTAGGGATCAAAGCAATAACATTTATCTGTGATGTGTAACTCCAGTAAGCTGTGAGGCCTTTACATTTGTTTTGAGATTCTAGCTAAAGTTTTAACCATAAACCGCAGATCGTCGCCCACAAGTGAGAGAAGATATCAGACATATGGTTGTCCTAACTAGAGAAGTAGTGTTATTTCAGTTTTAGAGATGAAGACTGGACCTCAGAATTGGTAAGCAAGCTGAAAATGTGACATATTAAGTGACTTTGCTGGAATTGAATCTTATGAGTCCTTAATTCCAAATCTGATGTTTTGTGTCTGTATACAGTGAATATGGAGACATAACTAAATAGGATTTTTATAATTTCTGGCCATGTAAAAATTTATAGCTTAATAAGAAACATTAAAAACTTTTATATAAAGTTATATTTGTATAGAGAAAAGTCATCCATTTTGGTGTATTTTCATCTACCTCTATTTACTTAGCCAGGAATGTTCTCAGACTCCATGACTCAGACACCTAAAATTTACTCATGTGATAAATTTTTGACACTCTCTACAGTGTTAAAAGTATTCATAAATACTCATAAGTTTTTGGCCTAGTTAAGCCTTATAACTAACTTAACTAGTTTTGAGATGTTTTCTTTGTTCTGTTACAAAACAGCCTACTCAGCACTACACCATCCTCACGCTTGCTACATCTGTCAATTTTCTTCTACAGTTTCTTGTCAAACTGCCATTTTCCTCAACAGCCTCTATTAGACTCTCCACACCCCACGCCTGCACTGCACAGAAATGGCCTAAAATTCTAAACTGACGGAACCTTTAAATGCTCAGGCACATATATTTTTCTTTATTGCATTTACAGCGAAAATATCCAAAGCATAAAGATTATTTTAACAAAAGGCTATAAAATTTACATCATTTTAAAAATCATAAATCCCATTTAGTTCTGCATAAGGGAATGATATAGCTACCATTATTTATTGACTTCATGACATCACTTATTCTTTTGCTTGGTTAGGACTTTGGTAGAGGCAAATGTTGAAAAATGTAGTCTGTATTTCACTTTATTTCTTAAACTTCTCTAATTGTCTACTATATGTCCACCTGGAAGATGTCATAAACATACAAATGCCCACGCTTCATGCTTGGAGGAGTTGACTGGCCACAGTTGGAATGGATTCTGGGAGTCTGTATTTATAACAAAGAGCATGTGATTCTGATGCCAGGGCCAATTTGGAGTTGTCACAGGTCTAAATGCTCTACTGTTTACTTTCAGAATTCCTTGAAGGTGGGAAATATATCTTTGTCAACTAAAGAATGTCCTAATACTTAATTGTGCATATGAGTCATCTGGGAATGGTGTTAAAATGTAGATTCTCATTCTGTAGGTCTAGGGCAGGGACTGGGAGTCTGCACTTCAGAAAAGCTCCCAGTTGATGCCAGTGTTGTTCATCTGTGGAACACAATTTGAGTGCCTCTTGCCTATATGGCTTTTAGAATAACCTTGAGACATATATATATATATATATGTAGTTCAATTAAATCAGGATCTTTAAGAGGGAGAAGTTAGGGCATAAGTTTATTTAAAACGATTCTCAGGTGATTCTAAATTCACAGGTGATTGCATGTGTAACCAGGGTTCAAAACCAATGTCCTAAATGAAAATGCAAGTGAGAAAGAAAACTAAAATTTCCCTTTTTTAGTTATCAGACTTTTAAAACTCATGCCACTTAAACTCCAGTGGTAGGCAAAGAAAACTTAGGCTGCCTAAATGCATATTTTTTATGCCAAGTAAAAATTTCTGTGAGTTCTTCTCTACTTTAAGTTCAGAGTCCAGGATTCAGGCATCTGCCTTTGTGTGTGTGTGTGTGTGTGTGTGTGTGTGTGTAAAACTACAATCAACTATAGTTATCATAATCCTCTTTTACATATCATTGGTAGGTGAGTAATAGGGCAGATGTCTAGGGGCAGAGCCTTAATATTTATTTTGTGTGACTACAAATACTCTGTGCTAGTGAATTACAAAGACTTGAATTGCTGTCCATGGTCCTGGTGCTGTGACCCACTTGTTTTCCTCAAATATAGTTGTTAACAGGTTGTCAAAGACTTTTATTTATTTATTTATTTTTTACCTTATTGGCTCTTTCTCCATGCCCCTTTCTTATCTATGTATGAAATAAGAGAATATTATATTGTATATATTCTTAAAAGTACCAAAAGAGAGGGAAAGAGAGCTAGAAATATCAGGATATCACGAAGGGTTCTTTAGAGTAAAAGCAAAATAGTACTACCATTTCTCCCTGTCAGCAGAGCATTTCATTATGTGGAAATTTATAGTGACATAGGTAAGCTTGAACATGTCATTGCATATTTTATTTTTCATAAGATTATTCATAAGATTATTCATAAGCTATTAACAGATATTTTTATAGCTGCCACTATTTATCAGAAAATTGCAGTTTTACTTTTTTTTCTATTCAAAAGCAAGTTCTTAAAACGAAATTCAGAATTCTATTTTTGGACATGGGAGTCCTGAACATGCCCTCCTACCACAAACCACTAGAAAACTGTAAAATAGAAGAAAGAACCATTCTCAAACATTGGAAACAGTTTAGGGCTGTTATCCATGATTTAAAAAAAAAAAGGAACATGATGGGCAATATGATATTCCCAGATTTCTCCCTGGAGACATAGTCTGGACCATGACCCGGAAAGGGGGCTCCCAAGCAGAGCACATCAGTCTTGCTAAAATGGGATGACAGCAGTCAAGAGCTTGGAGAGGCTAAGGTAGCTGGTATTTGTAGGACAGAATATGACAAGAAGAGAGAGAAATACAGAAAAGGAGCTTCATGGATCTGTATAGGAGTCACCTTGGGTCTACTGCTGAATATTAATCTGCACAGGCTAGCACAAAATTTTATCAGGCTGGTAAGGAATTACCAAACATATATAAGCTGAACACTTATCAGAGATTACATAGGACTGGGAGATATACAAGTTACAACAAGCCAGATTGGAGACACTTTGTAAGCATGCCTCAGGGCATTCAACAGAGATTCCTGAAGGATAATACTTTAGTATTGGAACAAAGTAACACTAGACGAAAGACATCTCTAGAACAACCACCACAAAGCAAAAATAAATAAATAAATGGCCTCAAAAATATGAGACTGATCCACAAATTACTTAACCGACTGCAAAATAAATTGCAATATTATTTAAAAGAAGGCAACATGCAAATATGTAATTTTACAATATCTGGCATCCAATAAATTATTAATTAAGATCCAAAGAGGCAAGAAGAATGTGCCCTATTTACCGGGAGAAAAATTCAACAATAAAAAGAGACTTATCAACAACAGTAATAATATTAGCAGACAATTTTACCCTAGTTATTATAAATATGCTCAATAATTTAAAAATATAAAAAATAATGTATAGATAAGTAAAAGATATAGAAAGCAAAATGAAAATTCTAGAGCTTACAAATGCAGTATCTCATTTTTTAAACAAAATTCAAATTATTTCCAATATTCTTTACATCCTCTCACCATCCCACCTTGGAGACTTCAACTGAATGTTTGAAATGGTCCCTCAGCTCACTGATGACGTTATCCATTACTTTCATCATTTTTTCTTTCTGCTTTTGATTTTGGTAGTTTCTAATGCTATGTAAGTCCACTACTTTTTCTTCTGTAATGCTTAATCTTCTGTTCATCTCATCCAGTGTACTTGTCATTTCAAACATTGTAATTTTCATATATTGATGTTTGATTTGAGTCTTTTAAGTATTTTCCATGTATCTACTTAACTTTCCAATCTTTCCTTGAATATATGGAATGCAGTTATAATTACCTTTTTAATGTTCTGATATACTAATTCTATCATGTATCATTTCTTGGTTAGTTTCAATTGAGTATTTTTTTCTCCTCGTTATAGGTCGTATTATTTTGTTTCTTATCATATCTTGATTGGATGACAGACATTGTGAATTTTACCCTATTGGTTGTTGGATGCTTTTGTATTTTTTTATTTTAAAATATTTAGTTGACAAGGATTAAATATATTCAAGGTGTACAATGTGATGATAAGGTATACATATATATGTGTAAGGATTACTACAATCAAATTAATTAATACATTAACCACCACTTATGCCTTACTTTAAATTCCCCAGAACTTGTTCATCTTATACCTGAAAGTTTGTACTTTTTGACCAACATCTCCCCATATCCTTTTCCTCCCATCCACTGAAAACCACCCTTCTACTGTCTGCTTCTATGAGTTCAACATTTTCAGAGTCACATATAAGTAATATCATACAGGATTTATCTTTCTATGTCTGGGTTCTTTCACTTCCTATAATGTCTTCCAGGTTCAGACGTGTGTTGCAAATGGTTAGGATATCCTTCTTTTTTATTATTGAATAATATTCCATTATGAATATGTACCACAATTTCTTTATCCACTGTACCATCAATCTTTATCTCTGGATGGAAAATTAGGTTGTTTCTATATTTTGGCTATTATGAATAATGCTGCAATAAACACCAGGATGCATACATCTCTTTGAGATCCTGATTTCATTTCCTGTGGATACATACCCAGAAGTGAGGTTTCTAGACCATGTTGTAGCACTATTTTTATTTTTTTGAGGAAGCGCCACACTGTTTTCCAAAATGGTTGTACCAATTTACCTTCCTACCCACAGAATAGAAAAGTTCCCTTTGTTCCACAACCTAATCAAAACTTGCCTTTTTCATAATAGCCAGCCTAATAGGTGTGGGGTGATATCTCACTGTGATTTTGATTTGCATTCCTCTCATGATTAGTGATATTGAGAAACTTTTCACATACATTTTTTCCATTTGTAGGTCTTTGGAAATATATCTACTGAAGTTATTTGCCCACATTGTAATTGAATTTTGGGTTTTGGTTTTTTTTGTTGTTGTTGTTATTGAGTTGTATGAGTTCTTCCTGTATTTTGGATATTAAATCCTACTAGGACATATGATTTGAAAATATTTTCTCCGATTTAATTGATGCCTTTTTATTTTGTTGATAGTTTCCTTTGCTATGTGGAAACTGTTTTAGTTTGATGTAGTCCCACTTGTTTGTTTTGGCTTCTGTCGCCTGTGCTTCTTTTTTGTCATATCCAAAACATCATTGCCAAGGCCAAAGGCAAAGGGCTTTTTCCCTATGTTGTCGTCTAAGAGTTTTGTAGTTTCAGACCTTACGTTTCTTTTATATGGTACAGGACAAAGTTCCAATTCTTTTCTTTTGCCTGTGGATATCCAGTTTCCTCAAAACCATTTATTGAAGAGACTTTCCTTTCCTCATTATGTATTATTGGTGCCTTGGTATTAGTTAAATATCATTTAACTCTGTTCCTGAATAGCTTAGAAACAGTTTACTTTTCAACTGTTAGGTGGAAATGGACCTGTTCAATCGGGAGCTAATTTTGCCCCATTAATGAGGTAAATGTCTTTTGGGAACGCTCTCCGATGCCTTTTGAGTTATCAGGTTATCTGGTGTGGTTGATGAGAATGGGAACTATTTCAAGTGTGAGTTTCAGGGCTTGATCTCTTTAACCCTTCGGGTGGTTCTATCCCCAGGCTTGGATAGTTCCCTCACATTTGTGCATTCAGCTGAAGACTCTAGAGGAACCCTTTGCAGATCTCTGAGACACTCCCTCTGCACAACTGTCTCCTGTCAGGTATATGCTCTGCAAAGTTTAGCTGTCTCTGCCTTTCTGAACTCCCAACGTCATCTTCTCAACTCATAGAGAAGGCTAGGCTCCTTTTGGGAATTTCCTTCCTTTGCCAAAGGCTGTAAACCCTATGGCAAAGAGTTAAGGTGGTATGCTGGGGCAACTGCAGGCTCACCTCCTTTATTTCTCATCTCTGAGATTGCCATACTTTGTTGCCTGATAGGCATTGTCTTAAACACTGTTGTTTTATATTTTTTGTTTTTCTCTCTCTCTCTCTCTTTTTTTTTTTGTAATAGTTTTGGGTGGAAGTGTATATCCAGTTCCTCTAGTTTCCTTAGGCTGAAAGTGGAAATTCCTTCCGCTCTAAAAAAAATCAGATTAAAGAAAAAAAATCCCACTCCTTTTTCTGTAACTTATCTTCTATCATTAACTTTACATCTTCTTTTCTCAATTTGAGAGTAACACATTATAAAAATGTAGCTTCAACAGGGAGACTTTTTCAAAGACTCTTATTGTCTATTGTTAACTATTGACATGAGTTTTCTATTCATTCACTTCATTTTATTCTAAAACAGAGTTTTGTTAGGCTAATATACTAATGGGTCCTTATGATAAAATATAGATAATACAGAAAGAAATTAAAAATAAATTTTAAAAATGTTTCTTGATAAATTGGTTTATAACATCTTTTCAAAATACAGCTTGGTCAAACATAAATATTCCTAGTCACCACACAAAATAATTAATTAAAAACAGACAATAAAATGTCTAATTGGTGCCTTATTACACAAAAAGTCTATACTAAAATATAGACATTGAAGCCAAAAAAGGATTTTTAAAGAATCAAAGCAGATTAAAAACCAAAATTTCTTAGAAAATTGTATTCTACATTAACAAAAAATCCAGTTAAAATTATTCTGATGTATACAAAACTTGGTATGTTAAATAGCATTAAAAAACTGAATTTTTAGAAAATATATTTTATATATTCCACTGAAAGCAAGAAGCTGAATAGTTATTTGTAATTATGAATTTAGAATCAAATAAAGCAAAGAAGGCTGAAGGTGGAAATAAACATGAAAAATATACTAAAAATGTCACATATGCCATGCAAGTGGTTGGATTGTTCTAAAACGATTCCCTGATTCACAGAAATCATCACTGTTGTGAAAAAATGTTAGAATGCTTTCAAGCACTTCATTGTTTTGGATACTGTGTCAGAATCAACTAGTTTGGGGCCAATTTTTATTTGTCTTTATTGTTTATTTCTAAAAATGCTTCACAATGTTTATCCCTGTGAGAATCTACTTTAATCATATTAATTCATTTTTTCTTTTTAAAAGAATTATAGGCAAATTATATAATATATAAATCATATTACATACAATTTATTTGGAACATGCACATTTTAGGAAAATATGATGACCATCCGTAATTTACCTGCCATTCTCCCTTCATTAGTAATTATTAAAAAATGTGTTATTGTAAATGCTTATTGAATCATTATTTGCAATTTAGGTTATGCCCTTTTTGTATTTCTTAAGTAGAACTTACTGGATTCAGTTTTAAGACAGTTTTTCATCTGCTTTTCACATGTTATAAAGTGGCTTTTCAAAATGTATGGACTGGACCCCAGTGAGCACATGTTTGTTTCACTGTTCTGTCTACAGAATGTCACTTCTTCAATGAATGCTAGTAGCTATCTTAAGTGTAGTTTCCCTTTGTACAAATAGCATTACCTGTCTTTGCCGTTGACCTTGTAGTTCACTTCTGTGCAAGTTACTCATACATTAGAAAAATTCCCTTATGAAGGTGACTTCATTGCTAAATCTTTCTAAATATGATCTACAAAATTTATAACACTGCAGAAAGTGATTGATAAGAGATAATCTTCTAAAGAATGTCATCCAAAGAAGGCTAGTTTGGGTATTGAAAGATAAATAGATTGATTTTTATTTTATATGTATTTCTTCACCATACCAAAATTTGTTGACTTCTTAACTGCCCAGTGAAAAAATAATATCACTCCTGTTTTATATTTCCAGGTAAGTGGCTCAAGGAAGTGAACTAATAGAGAATGCCACACCAGAGGATATTAAATGCTCCTAGAAGTTGTTGTGGAGGAGAAATACTGAGCATTTCTCTTATTAAAACCCTTGGTAAAATATTCTGAAAGAGAAAGCAGATAGAAGTAGATTTATTATCTTCATTTTAAAATAATTTCAGGAATTTCCTTGGAAGCTGCCTTTCGTGATGTTATTAAGGTCACTCATCGTATTTCCTGAAGTGCTGTTCTTCCTTCCTAGTTTCCTCTTTATTTCCTACTTTATGGCTTTTGTATATTGCTGGGCTACACTCTTTGGCCAAATTTTGTTTTTTAAAACAGAGAATTATAAAAGCAAAAGCTCACGTGAAAGTTAGTGATGTAATGGTTTTATGAATATTAACTAATTTTACCTTTAAACATTACTATGGGATGTGTACTGATATTTTACTTTAACAAAGAAGGAAATTTAGCTAGAAAATCTAAGTAACTTACTTAAGATTCCACATCTCTAACTGGTAGAGCCAGAAATTGAATTCATTGAGCCCTGACTCCAGAATTTATGTTCACTGCTACTATACTTTTCAGGCTTTATGATTGTTTTGATAGTTCTTAATTCCAAGAAAATAAGGGAGGGAGGGTGAAAAACAGGAATAAAGGAAATAAGAAAGGAAGAAAAGAAGAACAGGCAACTGATCTACACTTGTGATGGAAAATTGCTTTTTTTTTTTGCTCAACATCCCAGTTATCTATCATTTTAATGTCACAGGACACAAACTGATTCTTCAGTTTGTTAGAGTATTGATTTCTTTAAATTTCTGCTGTGGTTGTTTCCAAATAAGATATTAATATTTAACAGCCATCTAAAGGAAAAGAGGTAGACAGTTTGACAGAAATTAAACTAGTGAGTTTGGAGGTGGACTGCAGTGGCACCACAGTATTCAAACTGGTTCTTGTTTTGTTCTGTGTTTTTTTGCATTGTTGTTTGTTTTGTTTGTTTGTTTGTTTGTTTTTAACATTGACTTTCTTGCTTTATTTCAATATGCTTAGCGTGGGCTTACTGAAGAAATTTTGAAAAAAAATCATGCACACAGATTTTTTTTTAATTGTTGGCTTCTTCATTCCTACCTTTTCTGGGGGAGAAAAACAGTGTGGAATACATATTTGGAAATAAGTGTGTACACCTAGACTCAGTATGTGAGACATGGACATAATAAAGTTCCAGCCAATTATTAAGCATCAAGGTTACAGAGTTTCAGTTCCTAAAAGCAATGTGACGTTGGAAATAACGAATGCAGATTTCAGTAACTAACCTATTCAACCAAGGAGGAAAAATCCAGATTTTTTTGAATTATGGTGTATTCTAAGGAATGGTATTTTTAACTTTATTTTGAGATATTGTATTATTTTTCTTTCTATTAGGAAATACTCTTTTTACCTTTCCAGTGGAGCTTGTCTTCATTTAGCTTTAAAGCTAACTAGTTTTCTATTTGATATAAGATACTATTTCATTACTATTTTCAGTGCTGTTCAATGAATAGATTGCTTAGCTTACATAATATATTCTCTGTTAAATGATACACCTCAATTTTATTAAAACCTTGATTTACAAAAAGCTGCTTTTGTGGGTTACTTTTTCCTTTAAAGTGAAAAAAACCTAATTCTATTTTGGGAAAAGAATATAGAAGTAGTAGATTCTGATTTTGTAGAATGTTGAGGGATATCATCCAATAGCAATAATAATGTATCCTGTTAAGTATGTTTAAACAGTAGACTGTATGTTAACACTGCTCCTCTTGAAATTACAACTTTCTCTTTACATCACATGATTTATTATGTAAACTTGAGTACACTGACCATACAGATTTTTCTTATCTCTGTAGTAATTCACAAGAATGGCTTTTCTTTAATAATGATAGTGTATAGCATGCCTGTCAAATTTCTAAAATTGATTTACAATTATTCCCATTAATCCTCCAAGCTTACCAATAAGGTAGGTGATGTGAGCTACCTAGCCACTGGAGGTAAGTGAAACAGAAACATGA
Organism: Homo sapiens; assembly: GCF_000001405.40. Taxonomy (NCBI): domain Eukaryota; kingdom Metazoa; phylum Chordata; class Mammalia; order Primates; family Hominidae; genus Homo; species Homo sapiens. The sequence goes on from NC_000009.12 coordinate 73,356,458, forward strand.
AAAGTGGCTATTTCTAGTTTCTCCAGTAAGTGGCAAGAACTAGTAATGAAAATCTAAGCCCAAGGAACCAGTTAGTATCTGTGCCTTAACATATTCCTAACACAATAATCTTAGAGTATTTGGAAAACACAATTTGAGGACAATGTGAAGTAATAATAGAGCAAGACTCTTCTGACCTTCGAGGGCACCTTTTGTCTATTAAATTGTTATCCTTACAGAGCTTCTCCAACCCCATCCATTTCATAAAGATCAAGGCATGGTTTTCATAAAAACCGAGCTGGGTCAAAATACTCATGATTATTTAAAACTTTGAAACAATACTCACAGGCCATACTCATTTCTTACTTGATATATTTATAAATATACTTTGACATTGATTATTTTCTGCTTCTACCACTAAACATCTGACTTGTTTAAACTCACATTTGAGCATTTGGAAGCAAGAGCAGGCATGCAAAATATGTGATAGAATGTGATGTCCAAAATAACAAATTTTGAGGCTAATTTTTTTTTCTAAGTTATATATAACAATGCTTAACCTATTTGTGGTTAAGTATCACTGTAAGACTAATTAGATAATAAATTTAGGTAAGATAAATTTTACCAAGAAGTAGAGAGTAATATCTATGATAGAAGAAAAATACAACTTGTATTTATTTCTTAATGGTTGAGATCAATCTTTTACTATGAAATATATTATTTCAAAATATACTCATTCAAAATATGTTGTCATAGCCTTAATTACTTCCTATTTTGTTAAAGTAACTGGGAAATAATTTTGGGTCAGAGTTACAGAATAGTATTGAAATACTCTATCAGACTTTATATCTTTTATGCAATAATTTATGGAGATTTCCTTTCGAGAGAGCAAATTAGCATTCCTAAAAACAAGGGCTAGCTTTTCTTTTGTTATTAACACCTAACATTCACTCTTGAAATTTTATCATAGTTTTACAAGTTACAATTAATCAAACCACTTTGCCACTAACTGGCAGTTGTTGCTAAAGTTTTATGGCAAGTATTTCCATTTATTAAAGGATGTACACTTTCATTTCTCTTGAATATTTATTTATCTTATAATGTTCATCTAACAGCAATTCAACACCTCTCTGCTTCCCTTTTTTGCATAAAGTGGATTCCTGTGTAATCAATAATTTCTAAGAGTACAAAGACTTAAGAGAGCAATGAATTCTCAAAGCTGAGGTTATTCACAGCTCGGCTAACACACTTGTACTAACTGAACAAGTTCTCTTTCCACATTTTCAAATGTGTCTCTGTGTCTCTAACCACTCCTGTCCATTCACCCTCCCCCAATATTATTTATCTTTCCACTCCCACACCCTTTCTCATTGGCATCTTATCTATTCTTACAGTTCCAACCGCCATCTGTTGATATCTTCCTAATCTGTATCTTCAAAATAGACTTCTATTTCAGACTTGTATAATTTAATGGGAAGCAGATGTCTCACAGACACCTCAAGCTCAACGTCCTGTTCCCACCCTCTCACTTTCTATTGAAACTGTCTCTGCTGTCTGTACTCCCTTCCTTGTTCTTTTGCACGTAAGTACGATCATACAAAACCCTATTTAATAGACACGATAAGACCCTTTAATGTCTGTTACTGACCACATTTAATTAGTCACTAAGTTTTGATAAATTACATATCCCAAAATGTTTCTGTTTCTACTTTTTATGTCTTTGGGTCAGTCCCTTATTTGTGTGTGTGTGAACATTAATATAGGATTTCTTGACCTCGACAATATTGACGTTTTGGGCTGGATAATTCCCTGTGGTGTCAGGCTGTCCTGTGCATTGTAGTATGTTTATAGTATTACGGACCTCTACTCAATAGATGTCAGTAGCACTCCCATCTTTTTCAGTTGTGAAAATAAAAATATCTCTAGATGTTGATAATTGACCCCTGAGGGGCAAAATCACCCTTTACTGAGAATAACTAAAATATTATAATACAATTGCTTATTAACTTGTTCCTGCATTTTTTCCAGTCCATCTTCCACAAAAGTTAATTTTTCAAAATTAACTCCCCTGTTTAAAACCTGTCAGTGACTCCACATGGCCTAAAGCCATTGCCCAAATGTCCTTAAGCCATTTATTGCCTCACTGATCCATTTTCTTTTGACTTGTGAATGTTACTCAAAAAGACAAGAGTTAACTCTGAAATCTTTGTATTTAATACAATACATGGTACAGACATCCTAACAAACATTCTTACATTCTTAACGCTAATGTTTAACCATAACTTCTAGGTAGCTTTGACTAAATTTAGAAATATATTTAATTACCCCAAGTCTTTCTTTCCTTGATTTCTTGTATTATATTTCTGTATAGCTGGACTAGACAGAAGACTACAGTTCAATAAGAAGGAAACACATTCATTTTCAGTATTGTTAATAAAGAAGCTTACCTAAAAGAAGGAAATCAAAACAAGGTCTGTAAGCTGTAAATTTTAATTCCTATTCTCCTTTCCAAATTATGTTGAGAAAACAGAGAAACAAAAACAACTGCCCTACAGAAAGGACAGCATATATTTCAATGTACAATTCAGAAGCACCTGCATTAGTTAGAAATGCCATAGCAGTAACCTGACCTATTGTTAGAAATTTAGCAAGTACATTTTTCATTGTTCCCCAGTGGGACTTTATGCCAACCAGTATTGATTGTGAGAGTTTCAAACTTCTATTAGATTCTACTGTCACTTAGTTGGTAATTATTTCAGCCCAACAATAAGATGATTTAGAGTTGTGAAAATAAATGGACGGAGGCTATGCAGACTGGGTTAAACTGCCCAATACTTGGGCAAGCCTTATCTGAGTTCTCTTTCTCCTTTGATATCAGAGCATGAAATCTTCCCAATATAGATATTTCTGTAAGACTTTTGCATTCTTAACTTTTAGTTAGTCATGGAAACCATTGCTTTAATTTCTTTAAAGTATGATATGTTCAATTGCTATAAGAACTTAATGTAACTCAGTAGAGTTCAGAGGGATACCTAGAGTTTGCACAAACATAGACATAAAGTGATGTGAAGCAGGACCTAAGGTAAATGGGAAGGAATAAGTAGGCACTGGTAAAAAGGAGCATACACAGGAATAGAAATGGGATGTCACCTGGTTCCAATAAGTATATAGGATTTTACCTCTTTGAAATAGAGACTAGTAGAGATATTTTGTTTTGCTTCCTCTAACATAGCATTTCTACTAAGCTCCTGTAAGCCATCTATTTCTTCCTCAGTTGGCAAGTGCATTTACAACTTTCATCAATATAGTGTGTGTAAAAAGGGTGGGCTTTGGAGGCAGGCTGCTTATACTCAAATTCCAACTGTACCACTTGCTAACCGTGTGGTGTTGGGTAAGTCATTTAACTTCTCTGTGCCTAGGTTTTCTCATCTGAAAATTGTGGTGGTAATAATGCTACTGATCTCATAAGATTGTGATATTGAATTAATGACCCATGTAAAATGCTTATAACATTGCCTGCTAATGAGCAGCCATTCAATAAATGCCATCTATTACTATCCAGCACAGACTCATACAGCTAAATATTAATACAAAGACAAAGGCAGGTAGCACCTCAGTAGTCAGTCTCAGATGGCCAGGGCATTCCTGACACAAATGGGAACAACTTCAAATAACTCTTCTTTCTTTCTGTTCTACCTTCTTTCAGGTATCTGTTTCCTCTTCATGTGAAATTTGTAGTACTCAGTTGTCTCCTAGTTTACCTTATGGTTTTGATGCCTTCGACACTTGGCCTAAGTTCAGAACTTGAAATAAGAAAAAATAAAGTCAGTTACATCTTTTACTTGTAATTTTAAAAGGTCCTGGGTGATGGCTTTCAAATATGAATACTCCATATTGTGTCAAGATTTTTCTAGAAAAGTTTGGCCAAGGAGCATGGATTTGTCTGCTGTGTTCACTAGCTGTTAACAGATAATTTCTTCCTTTGATTTTTTCCATTCTATTTTGTTCTAAATCATCTTTTCCTCCCTTGTTTCCTAACATCTATTTTTTTTTCACTAACTTGACATTTTGCAACGCTTATTAGACAAACGTTATTCACAGAATTTGGAAGCTTTTGCCTGATACCCTATAGACTTCAGGAGAAAGGTATTATGGAAAATATTACTGTAGTTATTATTAACAATAGCGATAATAGCACACCACAGCTGTGAAAGAAATGGGAGGAAGTGCATCCAAGGGCTTTTGCAGACATTTTAAGGTTCACACAGCAGAAGCTTAGAAATAGATCTCCTCTTGTATTTTGGCCAAACCAAATCTATCTCTCGATTTATGTTAATTATAACTAAAAACCCAATCCCCAAGGTCTTGTTCTTTTCGTCTCCTCATTTAGAGCTCATTCTTTTTCACTGGCTAGTAATTACTGTCCAATGTCCTGACCACCCAGCTGTGCTCTGACAATGTTACCTAGTTTTAGCAATGCCATCTTCTGCTGAGGTGAGCACTCTTTCCTGCTGCTTAGTGACCATTAAATCACCCCACAAAGATGCAAATACCTGGCTCCTTAGTGCAAAAAGAGATGACAGTATAAGTCATCTATTTTTGCATGATGCAAGTAAAACTTACATATGAGGAGCAAATGAATTAGATTTTTCTGGATATTTGTTTCTCAAGATTGTATTTAAAGGTTTAGATCGTATGGCCAGGGAAGGCACCTCTGCAGCTTACCACAAATGGTTCTAAATAATTTTCCAAACAAGTGCTAAATTGCTAAAGGAAGAAATTTCATGTTTCTTAAAAAAGTATGAGAGGAAATAAAACCCTGATACGTGTCACTTTAATAATCATTTAAAGTAGAGTCTGGAGTTCTGTTTTTTAATTGACACCTTCTCTTCATTCTACCATTTGCAAAATGTACAAAAGAAGACAGTCATTACTTTTGGAGCCAACAAATCACTAACTTTCAGCATGACCTATTGACTCCAGGTAAAGCAGCCCCAAAAGTGTGATTTTTAATCATATATAAGTGAGCCCTCATAACCTTATTTCATTTTATCATATCTTTCTCATCTTCAAATTCTCCCCAAAAGAAAGTTAGTTTTCAGCTAGTCACATGATTAGGAATTTAGACACATGATTTAGCCCCTTAAAGAGGAAGATATAAATGACTAAAAATAAAGCTTAGGTATCCACATTTTGAGATGCGTTAGTGGAACCACTTACCATGAAATCACATTTTGGCATTGGTAAATATTATCATTTTTGAAACACTTGATGAGAAATTTGGGGTATAAAATCTGTTAAAGGATTCTACCCTTTAAAGGAAATTTCAGAACGATCAAGCTACTTCTTGTAGCTAAAGCTTTCTCTGTTTGATGGTTCTGGAAGCCTTGTCTTTAATATGTTTATGTTAATTATAGATATCAAAGGTAATTATACAAAGGTAAAAAAGTGAAATATCCATTTATCTGAAGAATGAAAGTTACATTAAGTGGTAGTAATTTACTGTTATTTTCCAAGAAATTGTTCAGCTATTTTCAATTTATGTAAGTTATAGTCTTGATGGAAGATTGTTTCAGCAACTACTTAGGTCAAATGGGGTTTTTGGCTCTTTAGAGCTGCATTGTCCAGTATAGTACCAGTAGCTGTACTTGACCGTTAAGCACTTGAAATGTGACCAGTCTGAATGGCAATTTGATGTCAGTGTAAAATAGACACTGGATTTCGAAGACTTAATACCAAAGAAATGTAAAATATCTTATTAATAATTTCTATATTGATTTCATCTTAAAATAATTATTTGGATACAATGGGTTAAATAAAATGTATTATAATTTCATGTGTTTCTCTTCATATTCTCAAGGAAAAATTAAAATTTTAAATGTATATCTAACTCATTATATTTCTATTAAATTATTCTGCTTTGGAGAATTAAACATTGTTGACAGCAAAGATCCCAGGAGAAAGAAGAGAAAAGAATGAAGAGGACAATATGGGTTTGTGTCCAAATGCATCTCTTTATTCTGGTATCTGAACAATATATAGAGAGAGCTACCAATAGGAGCAAAAAAAACAAACAAAAACAACAACAACAACAAAAATAAAACAAAAAAACCGTTTTCACGAGGAACTTTGAGGATACAATCATCTCTGCTTGGGAGCCACTGCCACAGAATACAAAAGAAATGAACATGAAGAGGTTTGCATTTTTCTTGCTGCACATTAGGCTATTAAACATCCTGCACACGTTCTGTGGCTTCTTTCAGATAATCTACACTGCAACTAGGGGAGGCTATTGAATGTGATGGTCCCCTCAGATGCCTAGAGGAAGATGAACAATGGTAATCAGATATCCTAAAGTTATCTTTAGGGCACTGGCAAAATAGCAGCAATGCCTGGTGGAAGCTGACTTTGTGCATACACATGAGAGCCCACAGAAAACTTCAAACTTCATGGTGAGCTGCAGAAACAATTTGGGAAGATAGTATGAAGAGCCAAATTCCTATTGCCATTATGTCACTCCATAGGTACCTATAAGCTAGGGAAACTTGGAAAAAAATTAGAGTCCCCAGATTTACTCTTCAGTGGTCAAAGTAAGAAGGAATATTGAGATTTGAATTTTAATCACTACCTTCTGTTTTCTTTCAAACAATAATTTTCAATTATCATTAGGTTTTTTTTTTGAGCTACTAGCTGCTATTTTAAAATAAAACATTACTTTTGGATAACTTATTTCTTTTCAACAATTGAAACTTTATTTTCCTATACAATATTTGGGAAAATTCATTTCTCCCTGTGGGTTTATTTTGTTCCATTTGTTCTCCAGTGCTGGGCCTGGTTAAGAAACTTTTCTTTGACCTTTTTGGACATTTATTTCTCTCAGCTCCTCTTACAATTATTTAAGGCCCAATTCTTAGTGTAAGTTCCTAATTGATGCAGGTAGTTGAATGAAAATCACCCATTGCCACTCCCCCAGTTCGCTTTCTGAATTGGAGAGAGAGGATAGCTGGAGGTGTTGTCCCTGTCTGTGGATGTGGTGGGGAGGAGTCAGAAAGTGGAAACATGGACATATTTTTGTTAGAGCTCTAAATCTAGTGATACATCATTGATTTTGTCTCTGCCAGGAAATAAAACCTTCAGCTGCAGCTAAGAATTTGGAGGTTACTGAAGGAGGTTACTTTTTCAAGAGCAGAAGTAAGGATTCCACTGAATTTGCTCACCAAAGATAAGTCAGCAAAGAAAACTTACTGAAGAATACAGGTTGTCTACTGTGTTTTTCTTATTTTTTTTGTGGAGGTTATTTGATCATGTTTATTTGAAAATTGACCCCTATATGACAACCCATTCTGTTGAGTTTATTGTTAAAAGAGCAGGAATGATTAATGACTATAGTGAAATTATGGATTCCTATTGTTGCTAAGCTAATATTGTAAGAACCAGCTAAATCTTATAATGTATGATACATTTACGTGTGGCATTCTTTGGTATAGAAATGATTGTGTAAATGCTGACGCTATGGGGTTTACCTTCTGCCTAAATCAACATCAGTGCTAAAAATACATATAAATAAGGTGAATATTTTGAATTTATTTAAGGCCCTTCTCCAAAAAAGAATAATAATTTAAATTTTTTTGTAGAACTATGAGAAAAGCTAACTAATTTGCATAAACTGAGGAGCACAATTGGAAATAGAGCAAAATTATTTATTATTTTTAAGTGAATGCAAGTTTATTAAGAAAGTAAAGGAATAAAAGAATGGCTACTCCATAGGCAGAGCAGCAAAAATTATTGAATTTTTAAGTGAATATAATCATATTGCTTTGACTTATTGTCATCTATTTATAAGAAATAGCTATTCCACAATCTTCTTAATGTTTAAATATTTTGTAATAAACATATTAATATTGTATATTATATGTTATTCATATATATTAATAATAACTAATAAATATATATTTCTTATGATGTACCTGATATTGGAGTAAGTATTGAGCCTGTGAGGTGAGTAACATTATTATGTGATTTAACAAATGAGGAAACTAAAGTCCTTAAAAATGGTGGCTTTTGTTGACATATGTTGTTTTGAATGCTTTCCTTCCTGTTCCCCATGATTTGGCAGGAGTTCCTTGGGAAACGACTCCTCCACTGAATGCAATCAAGTTAAAACTATCAAGCCATATACTTTTCTGCCTTCTACAAGAATAAATGATGGTCAAATGTTCTTTCTTTCAGGAACATAAATCTTAAGCAGGCTTACATAAGGAAGGGAAGTGGTTGAATCTGAGGTAATTCCATGGTGGACTTTGAAGAAAGCCTTCCATGAGTTCCCAGTCCATATCCTCCAAAAGGTTTCTTGGATATGCTTTATTTATGCCTAATTTTCCAGTTTTCTCTTTAATATTGTGTGCTCTAATATTTTATTCTCTCTCTTTTTTTTGCTTCACTTAGTTAGAATTTCTTTCAGCCAATGAAGAATTCTATTGAGAAGCATGAATCTGTAATTTTGCATATTCCAGAATAGTTATGATCTAAACATTACATCCTGCTGTATCCCTAAGTACTTGAAATCTGGATATTCCAGTTTCAACAACGAGATCTTAAAATTGTAATTCCCATATCATGTTATACATAAAGTACCAGGCGATCACTGTACTTTGGTAGCCTACTTGCAGGCTTTGAATTATTATGTTGGAAAATGTGGTCACTTTGAGTACATTGCCTTTGAATCATGAGTAGCTGGAGATTAATTATGTTCTTCCAACTTATTGGGCTTTGTGACCTTTACTTATTTATTCATTTATTTGGTACATTTCCTTTAATGATTTCAACTTCTGTTCCTGTGACCTGTACTGCAGTCTTTCCCTTTATATGCAAAGATTCTGCAATCATTGGATATTTTTCCATAAGATTTTTAAATTGAGATGCAATTCACATACCTTTGCATAATTTTTATTATTTTTAAAATGTACAATTCATTGTTTTTTAGTATAGTATATTCACAATGTTCTGCAACCATCATAACTGTCTAATTCCAGAATATTTTTATAACTTCAAAAAAACCCTATTCCCATTGACAATCACTTTCCATTCTTTTTTCCCCCAACCTCTACAAATCACTAATTTATTTTCAATCCAGTTACACTGTTTAAATATCTTAACATTTTTCCTTTTATAAGACAATTGTTCTTTTATTTCTTCAACTTATATTAAATGCTTAGGCATTCTCTACTTTTATCCACTGACAAAAAAATCAAGACATGTTTTCCTAATAGCAATTGAAAGAGATAAAATAACTGCAAAACATTTAATCCCATATTTTTTTTCAGACCTCCTTAATTCTCCTTTTAAAATTATTAATTTATTTATGAGCTTGGGAAATTGTATAACATTATGATTGAATTTTATCTGATTCTGGACAAATAAAAAATGACAACAGATTGAAAAGATATGAAAAGTCAGATTCAATAACCTTCCATATAGTCATTTGGGTTTTTTTCAGCTTCCAATCCCACACTTCCTTGACCTAAAATAGATAAGGAAAGTCTCATCTTTAATTAAACAACTTGAAGTAATTTGGATTTTTTTGAATATACACTATTTCTCATGATCTTTTTAAGGCCACTTCTGAAATAAAAATATTTTATTGCAAGCTTTGGATAAATATGCAGTTAAGAAGTATGACATAATTATGTCCATTTACCCATGTATAGTTATCAAGTAATAATTATTGTTTTCCCCTGCCTATTCTAGAAAAGATTTTAAGTAGCTGTGTTTTTAAATTTAGTAATTTTTAACTTGAATCTCCACTGTTCTCAGACAGCATATCAGCTCCTGCTTTCCAGACAAACTTCCTGGGTCTTGGGAAGAAGAAAGCCTCAGACTAAGAACTCTCTCTGGACTCAGACAGCCTGAATTCAAATCCCATCTCTATTCTTACTAGTCATATGAACACAGGCAAGTCATTTAACTTCTTTGTGTCTCACTTTTCTTATATATAAAATGGGAATAATATAACTTACCTAGAAAATTTGTTATCAGTATATGAATTAATAAGAGTAAAGTTATTAAAATTGTGAGCAATATATTCCAAGGGCTCAATTTATACTATCAATTGTGAATTAGAGCTATCCTTTCTTATCTCATCAACTCAATTATTGAGACAGCAACAGTTTAATTAAAATACATCTAAACCGACCCCACACCAAAAATTAGTTGTTCAACAATTTAGTTGAACAACTGTTAAGTGATGAGCATGTTGATATGTTCTTTCCTTGCTTTCTTTCCATTTCCTGACAACCCTGTAAGTTGGGTAGTATTTTCATTTTACCAGTGAATAAGCCATCTTTCCGAGTGGCTAAGTAACCTGCTCATGGCTTGGATATTCTTTACATTACTTTCTTTCCAAAAATTCCCCTGTTGAAGTGATTCCTAATGACTGCGAGAATTCCAAAAGCCCAAATAAATAAACTTTCTGGTGTTTTTAAAGTCTCATTCTTAATGTGATCTCAGATTTTGGTCCTATCATTTGGTCTTGTCATATCTTCTTTTTAGCAAAGTTTAAGTAGGAGAGCACTGTAGGACCACGTGTAGAAAGCATATAAAAACCAGAAAAACAATCATATAAAATTCATTTCAGGAAGCAAGAACCTATGTTTTTAAAAATCTGTCACACAGCCAGTGTTAGGGTTCTTAAGGTCTAAACTAAAGGTATCTCATTCAAAATTTTAATTCTATATTTATTTCTAAAAATGGAGAAGATAGTGAAGAATGAAAGAGAAGCAAAACAGATCCTGCAGGTTGTGCTCACCACGGTGAAAATCATTATTTGCAACTCCCACAGGAGAACCATATCCATTCAGCTCACTTTGGACCACCTGTGGAGCCTGATAACCAGGGAACAGAGAACCTGTTGAGATCCAAATTTGTGTGCCAGGTAATAAACTCCCCAGGATAAGCATCACACATCATCCTAAAGTAGCAATTTTACGAACTGTAAGCAATTTAGAACAGTCTTTATATTAAAATCTATTAAAGTCTTAAAGGAGCACATATATTGAATAATTTTAAAAAATATAACATCAGGGTCCCCGTTGGAAAGAGCTATTATACCTTGTATTAGTCCGTTCTCATGTTGCTAATAAAGCTACATCTGAGACTTGGTAATTTCTAAAGGAAAGAGGTTTAATTGACTCACAGTTCCACATGGCTGGGGAAGCCTCACAATCATGGCACAAGGCAAAGGAGGAGCAAAGTCACGTCTTACATGGCAGCAGTCAAAAGAGAGCTTGTGCAAGGGAACTCCCATTTATAAAACCATCAGGTCTTATGAGACTTATTCACTAACAAAGAAAAGTATAGGGGAAACTGCCCTCATGATTCAATTATCTCCACATGACCTCATGTGGAGATGGACATGTGGGGATTTTTACAACTCAAGGTGAGATTTGGGTGGGGACACAGCCAAATTATATCATACTCTGAAGTATTTAATTAAAAAATTAGTGAAGAGACTGTTTACAGAAATGGGTATAGAACAACAAAGGATGGTGAAACACCCAGGAACTGTCAACAGTAGGGAAGTCATTGCCAAATTCAGAGGGATTATTTCTCACTCATCTTTACATTAGTGTCTAGCACAGTTACCATCACATGATTGCTATTGTGATCATCATTATAATTGCTATCATTTAATAAATGCTTCCCATATCCTGGCCACTAAGCTAAACTCTACATATACCATTTCAAATGTTCTTAGCCACTTTGTGAATTGAGAACTATTGACTATATTTTATATAAGATGAACAATAAAACACAAGAACCAACTAATAGGTAGAAGGTCATATAGGTAATCTGAAACAGAATTAAAAATCAAGCTTCACTGACTCAGAGGTCTGTACTATCCACGTTATGATAAGTAAAATCCTGTTTTAGACATCAAATAAATGCTTTCTACTGTATTTACTGTTAAATTTTTACTATTCCAAAGACCAGTAGACCAGTAGTTTGCCATCTAAACTTCAGGAAATTGTTAATAATATATAACTCTGTCATTTCTCTTAGTGATTGTGAAAACACTGTTTATGTTTTGTCTCCCAAACAGATCACAAACTCATCTGAAGCAGATGCCACGTGTTACACTGTTATGTCTCTCAGAGACTCCAGCACTTTGAAAGTATTAGGCCTTGCTTATTGAGATGAATATTTTTTTCTAGGCATGTCCCAAAGTTCTCAGCATAGCTACAACCCTGATTTTCACAGGATTTTCATTAAAATTAGGTTCTAGAGCATTACTTCCCTAATGTGCAATGCAACTTACGTTTAGTTTTCAAATCAAAATTAGTTTTGTTTTTCCACTGTCTTTGTCTTTGAAAATATTGAACTTGGGATTTCCAAAATTATAATTAGCAATTATTTTTACATATCTTTTATATACATAACTTTTACAATGGCTGCCATTATCATGTAGGTTCTTAGGAAGTGTTTCTGATCCTTGTAAATAAAAGTGAAAGAAGAAATCTTTACTGCTTGCTGACCCATGTGACTAACCTTGAAATCAGAGAGGCAGATTCATTTAAAACAAACTTGCAAACTGTTAAGCAAAGTACTGAATCTCTGTGACTTGACCAAAAGTAATTCAGACTTGACTATTCCAGGCTCCCTTCTATCTCTGTAGCAACCCATGCATCATAGACTCCAGTTGCAATGGATGGTCAAGGAATCTGCTGTGCCTTTTGAGTCTCTCCATTTTATATTGCCAAATTTATCTTCCTTTAATACTTCACTTCACATAAGACACTAAGATAAACAAGGATGCAACTCACTTATATTTCAAAATAGTACCTAGTGGTTAAAAGTACTTGTTCTGAAAGCAACTCTATTTTTCTAGTTCTAACATGTCTCCAACTAGTTATCTCACCTTGAGCTTGGCACATAATCACTCCATCTTACTTTTGCATCTGTGACACAAGAAAAATACCACCCACCTCAACATAGATCTTATGAAGATTAAAATAAGATTATGAAAGTAAAATGCTCAGCACAATGTCTAAACGAAAATAAATGCTCAGCAAGTAGGAGCTACTATAATTATTATCCAGATCAAATATTTTCTCCTCTATGAAGCTTTCTTATTCTTCCCCAGCTGGAATTACTTATTTTCTTCCTTGCTTTCTACACCACACTTTAGTCACCACCATGCTGGCACTTGTCTCACCGCATTATAATTATTTATGTGCCTGTGTTCCATAACCAGAATATGGGACTTAAGCTTCTTTATACCTCCAGCATAATTGTTTCATGTGTGCTTTTAGGTAATGGAGTAAAATGGATGAATGAGTGAATGCGACTATAGTACTAAATGCTCTTAGATAAAGATGTAATTATTCTTAAGTGATAAAATTATTCGAACATGAGTAGTTCAGATAATGAGAGACTGTCATAGAATTACTTGATAAAATCTAGTCAATAAAATGGCTTGGCAATATAACCTTTATGATTTCTTTAAACAATCATTCATTTCTTTCTGAAGATGAGAAGAGGAGATTCCTTCTCCCATCTTTATATTTCAACAATGATTAGAAAACAAATTGATCTCTGGGATCAGTGCCCAATACCATTAAAGTGGTATACATCTTACAATTCTTAATTAATTTGTGGCATACATATACCAGTCTCCACAGCCAGCTTCATCTGCATACAGCAGCATAATCACTTTTTTCCTTATAGTAAAGACATATTATGAGTCATCAAAGTCTTCTCCGGGGGTTGTGGTTATCATCTGGTAATCACACCCTTGGGAGGTTAAAAACACTTATCTTTGGATCATGACTTGCAATGCCCCAGGGGTGTGATTATCTCAGGCAACTCACACTTTCTGTCATGCCTAATTGCTTAATTATTATAGCTGCAAGTTCACACCACCATACAGGAACTCATGTTGTGTCAGCATTTCCACTATAAATTCCTTTTTCAAGAGTCTATAACTCAGCCATAAAAAAAAAAAAAAAAAAAACCTATGGTCCATTGAAGCACTGCAGTAAGAGTCTTATTCCAGGAAACATTTCTGTAATAGGTTAATTGTATCTTAAAAATTGGGTCCTGATTCTCATAGTTAGTTCACCAAAGAAATAAATGCTAATTAAATGTCTCTAAATTATATATTTTTCTGTATGGCTGGGTAAATAATGTAAATCCTAAAGACATAAATATTATTTTTTAAATATAACAAGAATGGCTCATACAATTTCCAGTTTTTTGGAAATACACTTACACATATTTATAAAATATTATATAAGTAGAATGAGCTAAACCATAGTTAGAGAACATTGTCATATGCAATCATGTACTACATAATATTTCAGTCAGTGGACAGCATGTGGCAGTGGTCACATAAGATTATAACGCAGCTGAAAAATTCCTGTTGTCTAATGACATCATGGCTGTCATAACTGTCATGGCCGTCATGGCCATCTGAACATTGTAGTACAATGTATTCCTCATGTGTTTGTGGTGATGCTGATGTAAACAAGCATCTGCACTGCCAGTTGTATAAAAGTGTAGCACATACAATTATGTACATACAATTATGCACACACAATTATGTACAACACATAATATTTTATAATGACAATAAACAATTTTGTTACCGGTTTATGTATTCACTGTACTATACCTTTCATCATTATTTTAGAGTGTACTCTTTCTACTTATATATAAAAAAAAGTTAATTGTAAAACAGCCTCTAGCAGGTCCTTCAGGACATATTCCAGAAGAAGGCATTGTTATCATAGGAGATGACGGTTCCATGCGTGTTATTGCCCCTGAAGACCTTCCAGTGGGTCAAGATATGGAGGTGAAAGACAGTGATATTGATGATCCTGACCCTGCGTAGGCCAAGGTAATGTGTGTGTTTGTGTCTTAGTTTTTAACAAAAACAGTTTAAAAAGTTTTAAAAAATTAAATTTTAAAATTAGAAAAAAAGCTTATAAAATAAGGATATAAAGAAAAAATATTTTTGTACAGTTATACAATGTGTGTTTTAAGCAGAGTAACTATAAAAGAGTCAAAGAGTTAAAAATTTTGAAAGTTTATAGCATAAAAAATTATAGTAAGCTAAGATTAATTTATTATTGAAGAAAGGAAAATTTATAAATTTAGTGTAGCCTAAGTGTACAGTGCTTATAAAGTCTACAGTAGTGCACAGTAATGGCCTAGACCTTCATGTTCATTCACTACTCACTGATTAACCTAGAGCAACTTCCATTCCTTCAAGCTTCACTTCATTTTCAGTGCCTTATATAGGTGTACCATTTTTATCTTTTATACAGTATTTTTTTACTATCATTTTCTATGTTTAGATATGTTTAGATACACAAATATTTACCGTTGTGTTACAATTGCCTGCAGTATTCAAAACAGTAACATGCTGTATAGGTTTATAGCCTAGGAGCAATAGACTATACCATATAGCCTACGTTTGTAGTAGGCTAGACCATCTAGGTTTTGTAAATACACTCTATGATATTGGCACAATGACAGAATTGCTTAATGATGCATTTCTCAGAACATAATCCCATTGTTAAGTGATGCATGACTGTATATGTAAGTTCCAAACCTCAGCCAAGTATTTTCTTAGCTCATATACTGTTAATTATCTAGAGGATTGAGTAAAGAGCACAAAACTAGATAATGGGAAACAAAATGTAGCCCAAACACTGTGTAGTTGTATATGACCAGGTGCCTCAGACTGATGAATGTCTCAAAGCCTAGAAGAGGCAGACTCAGGCAGGTCAATTCACAAGAGCCCCAAGATTATAAACTACTCAACTAACGCACTAATATAAGAGGTATATTTACCCTGGTAGCTGTAATTCATCCATAGTAACACCATCCCAACAACAGCATTTTTGAGATGCTAATAAAATGTTTTGCTGTAAGTATGGAATCAGATCAAATAAAATGAGAATGTTGAGTGGTATTTCATACAGATTGTGCTGAGAGCTAAATCCTCTTGTTTTTTGCACTGGGGGATACCCCTCTTCTGTTACCGAGCAGTCACTAGAATTTCCAGAATTTGACCTTCAATTTTGTTATGCTACAGCCAATGTGACTCAATGTATGCATTTGAAAAACATATGACTTGGATTGAAATCTCCCAAGAAATTAAAAGAAAATAAGTTATTACTAATTCCTTAATTCCTCACTCATCCTTTCAGTTTATTTTTTTAAGTTTCTTAGTCATCTTTTTCTTTCAAGAGGTGCTGCAATTTCTTCATTAAATGCCACAGAGTTGATGAACACCTGACCCTCCAACAGAGACCATCTTTGCCAGACTATTACTTTTTATATCAGTCCTGTCTTAATCTATATTTTTTTCTTCAAAAAAACCCTGTGTAATGTTTTATAGAACTTAGAACAAAATACAAATATCACATTTTCTTATAAACAAAACTAAAATATCTCTGGATAGTAAAAGTATGTGTCCACTTTTCCTCACACAAAATGAAAATGGTTCTCCTCATATGTAATCAGACCATCTCACATTGTTGCATCCGAGATCAATAAATGCAAGTGAATTTCATGATTTTTCTTAAAAAGTTAAAATGTTGAATCCTGTCTTACTTTTCTTAACACATAAGCATATGCTCCAAATGTTTTGTTTTGTATTGTTTTTGTGATAATAAAGCACTAAGTAATCCATCGGGGAAACAGAAGAAAAAGAAAATCAAAATAGAAACTCAAAACTTTTTTCTTTTTTATTATTTGAAATATAAATTTTGCTGTAACTCCTACTTGGAAAAGTGTCTAATCACTTTACAGGTATATATGTTGGCAGCACCCACTACACAGTTATTAGTGATAAGGTAACAGCAGATGAAAACACAAAATGAAAACATTTTGTGACTGTGGAGATCAAAGATGGTTTCTTACAAGATGAAAGAATAACAGTTGCTAAATGTTAATCAGTATAGAAGCCAATGTGTATATGTGTTTATGTTAATGTTTTATTTTATGTTGTGTTATAAAACAAAAAGAAAAAAATAGATTCGCCAGTATTTGAAGATGATTTGGAAATATACAAATGAAAAAAAAATGAGGTATTGAGAGGAAAAATATGTGGCAAAATATTACACAACTATTCTGAAGCAAAAAAGTTATGACTTTATCTTGTTTAGTATTCTTATTTATGCACAAAAATATATCAAGAGTGTTGATGGTAGACATTTTTTAGGTTAAGTAAGAAGGAAAAATAGGTTATTTACTACTACTCTGTGAGGCTTTTAATAGGGTGAGAGACTTCCTAATAATATGTGGTTAAACATAAAATATAAAGTAGCCGGGATTTTTTAAATACAAAGAATTTATTTTTTAACGTTTTGGGGGGTCTGGAGGTCTGGCAAAAATAAGTATCTATATATGGATACACACAAAATTTAGCGTGTAATTTCAGAGGGCTCATAGATTCTTTAGCACTCATCCAGAGGCATAAGTTAAAAACCTCAACTACACAGAGAAAGCATACAATATATAGTTGTTACTGATGACTAATGTAGGCAAAATCTGTCCCCCCTGCTCCCCCACAAAGTGGTTCGGGAAGATAGTACTTACTTGAGTTTTGATAAATGTATACAGCTATTAAACTGCCACCACAAACATGATCTTGGACATCTTCATCACTCCAAAAACTTTCTTCATTCCCCTTTGCAAGCAATTTCCACCCCACCACCAGCCCTAGATAACCCAAGACCTACCTTCTGTTCTTGTTAATTAGATTTGGCTTTGTCTAGAGTTTCATATAAATGAATTCATACAGTTTGTACTCTTCTCTGTCAGCTTCTTTTGCTCAACATAATGTTTTTGAGATTCATCCATGTTGTTGTATATAACAGTAGTTTGCTCTTTTTGTTGATAGTAGTCCAATGTATGGATATACTATTGATGGATAATTGTGTTACTTTCAATTTTGGGCTATAACGAACAAACCTGCTATGAACATTTGTGTGTAAGTTTTTGTGTAAACAGATGTCCTCATTTTCTTGGGTAAAGATCCAGGATTACAATTGTTAGGTCATATGATAAAAGTAGATTTAACTTTAGGAGAAACTGCCAAAATGTTTTCCATAGTGGCTGTGCCATTTTACATTCCCACCAGCAATGTATGATAATTCCAGTTACTTCACATCCATGCCAATACTTGCTATTGCCGGTCTGTAAAATTCTAATGGCCAAAATTAAAAACGAAAGGGGACATATACTGCATCTCATTGTAGTTTAACTTTGTATTTCCTTGATGGCTAATGATGTTGAATGTCTTTTTATGTGCTTATTGGCCATTTGAATATTTATTTTTCATGAAGAGTCTGTTCAAATATTTTATTCATTTTAAAATTGGATTGTGTGTCTTATTTTTGAGATTTTAGAGTTCTTTATTCTGGGAAAGGATCCTTGGGAGATATCTATATCTATATCTATCTATATCTATCTGTATCTATCTATATAAAATTTTATTCCAATTTGAGACTTGCCTTTTCATATCGCCAATGATAAATTTTGAAGAGCAGTTTTTCATTTTATTTTATCAATTCATAAATTAGTCTAAATATTACTATTTTTCTTTATTTTACATGCATTTTATGTGCTTCCAATAAATTTTAGCTAACTCAAGGTCAGACAGATTTCCCCCTTTGAGAGAGATAGACAGAGAGACAAGAAGAGAGAGAGGTAAGTTAAGGTTTGAAGTTCATTTTTCATCTTATAGATATCCAAATGTTCCAGATCAATTTGTTGAAAAGACAGTCATTTCCCCATTGAGTTGACTTTACTCCTTTAGCAGAAGTCAATTGACAAAATATTCATGGATCTATACTGGCAGACCCTTGATTGTCTGCCATTAATCTGTTTGCTTAAACTTACATAAATATTATACATTTTAGTATACTCTTATCTTGATAGTAAATTTTAAAGTCTGGTAGTACATTCCTGAACTATGTTCTTTTTCAAAATTATTTGAATTTCTGTATGAACTTTAGAATTAACTCATTACTTTATAAAAAATGCTTTTTAGAGTTTCCATTGGAATTTTATTGAATCCATAGATGAATGTGGACTTTTGTTGAATTCATGGAATTGAATGAACTTCTATTGAATCCATAGATAAATGTGAATAGAATTGACATCTGACCGACAATAGTCCTCCAATTCATGGAGAGCATATATTTCACCATGTACTCAGGTCTTGAAGTTTCTACCAGGATTGTTTTATAGCTTGCAGTGTATAGGTCTTTCAAATGTTTTATTAAATCTATTCCTCAGTATTGCTTATTTTTTAAATGCTATTGTAAATAGTATTAAAGGTCCATGTCCATTTTTAATTGTTTGATACTAGTGTATAGAAATAACATTTGATTTTTGTATACTGATTTATTATCCTGTAACTTTGCTTTGCTAAACTCAGGTACTAAGTCTAGTAACTTTTGGTTTATACTTTTTTGTACTTTTTACATATAGAATCAAGTCATCTATGAATAAGTATATTTCATTTGTTTCTATCTGCTTTCTATTTATTTTTCTTGCTTTAGTGTAGTAGCTAGGAAGTTGCATAAAATATTTAAAGGAAGTAGTGAAAGGGAACATCTTTAATGTTTCCTTGACTTTTCAGGTAGGATATTCGTATTTTACCATTAAGTATGATATTAACTGTAGAACATATTTCATAGATGTCCTTTATTAGCTTGAGACTATTCCCTTTTTTCATAGTCTGTTCAGATTTTTCTGTCAAGAGTGCTGAATTTTTCAAATGCTTTTTCTGCATCTATTGAAAAAATACGTGTCTCTCCTTATTTCATTTACTATGATTAATTATGCTGATTAATTTTGAATATTAAACCAAATTTGTATTCTTAGAATAAACTTCATTTGTTCATGGCATGCTACTCTTTGCATACACTGATAGTATTGATGGATTCAATTTGCTAATATTTTGGTAAGATTCTTTTCTGTGTTCAGGAAGCATAGTCTGTAGCTTATAATTTAGCTTTGTTAATTTTTTGCTGTTTAGGTGTTTTTGGAATTTTTGGAATTTTTGCCTGGTTTTAGTATCAGGGTAATGTTGGTTTCATAAAACAGTTGGTATATGTGCTTCCCTCCTCTAATTTTTAAAAGTATTTTTGTAAGAGAGTTATTATCTTTTTTGAATTTATAGAATTTATTGTGAAGTCATTTTTCTTTGTGGGAAAGTGTTTCATTAGGAATATGTTTAACTGAAGTAGAAATATGCACATTCTACTTCTTCATAAATCAGTTTTTGTAATTTTTGTCTTTCAATGAATTTTCTCATTTCCTCTAAATTGCTGTGTTTACTGGCAATATACAAATATAATGTCCCCGTCTCTTTGTCCCTGCTCCCCCTGTGCCTTTTGCCACGAGTGAAAGCTTCTTGAGGCCTCACCGGAAGCCATTTATTTATATAAATTCTTACTATTTTACTATATGTAACAGGGCTCAGCAAACTTTTTCTATTAAAAGCCAATTAGTATATACCTTAGACATTGGAGGACATATGGTCTCTTACAGCTTCTTAAATCTGCTACTGTAGCATGGAAGAAGTCTTAATGAAACTGTATCTGTGAAGTGGTAGATAGGACAAGATTTTGCCCACGGGCCATAGTTTGTGATTCCTTCATCTGTAGGATCTGTCATGTGGTATATGCTTTATTCACTAATGTTGGTAATTTCTGTCTTCTCTCCCTCTTTTTTTTTTGATTACTCTAGTTTGAGGTTTATCAATTTTATTGAATTAAAGAAGCAAGCTCTAAATTTTATTGTTTAATTTTCATTAATTTTGTTATGTATTTGTAAATATCCATTTTATTGCATTAATTTCTGCTGTTTCTTGTTTTCTACATTCTAATTATTTTTAGTTGAATTTTCTCTTCTTTATCTAGTTTCTCAAGGTTGGTACTTAGACAAATTATCTTAAATATTTAATCTTTTCTAATACAACCATTTAAAACTGTAAATTTCATTCTAAGTACTGCCTTATGCAGTACTTACGCAGATTTGATGAGTTCATATTTCCCTGAATTTTCTTGATGTTTGTGGACATATGTTGATGGTTGGACAATAAAAAATTATATATTTATTCCAATCTTTGTAACAGTCTTTATTCAGAGGGCCTTCCAGGAATTCAAAGGAGACTGACTGTTGGGCGCCTGTAGTAACTGCAGCCATTCCAGCACAAGAGGACATCCTAAGGCCGAGTTCATGGTGACTCTGGCAGACTCTGAAGTTCCTGACCTGAATGGGCCTGGGGGAGATGAGGGAGGGTTTTCTGGGTTCCAAGGCAAAGTCTCTCATTCACTTTCCTCCCCTTTCCCCAAGGGAAAGAAGTCTGTTATTACAGTGTGCTGCCTAGAGTTTGAGGAGGGGTGATGCAGTCAATGCAAGACTGTTTTTTCTGTCCTCTTTGATGTGTCTTTTACCATTATGCTAAAACAAGGTCCTGTTTATTTAGTTCTCGTGAAGGTATTTTCTTCAGTGGTTGTTTCAAATTGATGTTTCTGTGGGGAGATGATCATTAGAGGTTTTTATTCTGCCATCTTCCAGTGGGAGAAGATCATTTGTTTAACAATTTGAGGAAATGCCAAACTGTTTTCCATAGCAGCTGCATCATTTTGCATAATTTCCAACAACATAGGATGTTTCTCATTGTTCCACATTCTTGCCGAAACTTTCTTTTATTGTTTTTTAATTATAGCCATCCTAGTGGATATAAAGTGGTATCTTCTTATGATTTATGTTTGCATTTTCCTGATGAAGATGCTGAGCATCTTTGTATTAGCTATGACCCTTTGCATCTCCCTTGGAGATATGTCTATTGAAGTCTTTGACTATTTTTTAAGTGGGAAGTTTGTCTTTTAGTTGTCGAGTTGTAAGAATTCTTCATACATTCTAGATACTAAACTCTTATCAAATATATGGCTTGCAAATATTTTCTCCCATTCTGTAGTTTGTCTTTTTCACTTTCTTGATAGTGTTCTTTTCTGCACAAAAGTTTTAAATTTTGATGAAGTTCAATTTAACTATTTATTTTGTTGCATGTATTTTTTATGACATTTCAAATAATCCACTGCCAATGCCAAGGCCATAAAATTTTATCGCTATATTTTCTTCTAAATTTTATAGTTTTAACTCTTTGATTTAGGCCTTTGATCCATTTTGAGTTCATTTCTGTATATGGTATGAGGTACGGATCCAACTTCATTCTTTTGTATGTGGATATTCAGTTGTGACAGTACCAGTTTTATGGAGAAATGATTTTTCTCCATTAAATGATTTTGGCACCTGATATGGTTTGGATATTTGTCCCCTTCAAATCTTTTTTTTTTTTTTTTTGAGACAGAGTCTCACACTGTCGCCCAGGCTGGAGTGCAGTAGCACAATCTCGGCTCACTGCCACCTCTGCCTCCCAGATTCAAACAATTCTCCTGCCTCAGCCTCCTGAGTAGCTGGGATTACAGGCACCCACCACCACACGTGGCTAATTTTTTTGTATTTTTAGTAGAGACAGGGTTTCACTATGTTGGCCAGGCTGCTCTCAAACTCCTGACCTTGTGATCCGCCCGCCTCTGCCTCCCAAAGTGCTGGGATTACAGACATAAGCCACTGTGTCTGGCCTTCAAATCTTATATTGAAACTTGATCCCCACTGTTGGAGGTATAGCCTGGTGGGAGGTTGGGTGTTGGGAGTGGATCCCTCATGAATGGCTTAGTGTCCTTCCCATGGTAATGAGTGACTTCTCTCTCCATAGTTCACATGAGAGTTTATTTTTTAAAAGATCCTGATACCTCCTCCTCTCTCTTTCTTGTTCCCGTCTCTCTGCAGAGCATGCCTGCTCCCCCTGTGCCTTCTGCCATGAGTAAAATCTTCTTGAGACCTCACTGGAAGCCAAGCAGATGTTTGTGCCATGGTTGGACAGCCTGCAGAACCATGAGCAAATAAGACTCCTTTCTTCATGTTACTATATTAGTCTATTTGCACATTGCTGTAAAGATACTACCTGAGATTGGGTAATTTATAAAGGAAAGAGGTTTAATTGACTCACAGTTCTACATGGCTCAGGAGGTCTCAGGGAACTTACAATCATGGCAGAAGGTGAAGGAAAACAAGGCACATTTTCTCATGGAGGCAGGAGATAGATAGAGAACCGAGAGGAAACTGCCACTTTAAAACCATCAGATCCTATGAGAACTCCTTCACTATCATGAGAACAGCATTAGGGAAACCATCCCCATGATCTGATTACCTCCCACTAGGTCCCTACCTCGATATTTGGGGATTACAATTCCAGATGAGATTTGGGTGAAGACACAGAGCCAAACCATATCATTCTGTCTCTGGCCTCTCCCAGAGCTCATGTCCTTTTCACATTTCAAAACCAATCATGCCTTCCCAACAGTCCCCCAGTCTTAATGCATTTCAGCATTAACTCAAAAGTCCAAGTCCAAAGACTCATCTAAGACAAGGGAAGTCCCTTCTGCCTATGAGCCTGTAAAATCAAAAGCAAGTTAGTTACTTCCTAGATACAATGGGGTTACAGGCATTGAGTAACTGTTCCAATTCCAAATTGGAGAAATTGGCCAAAACAAAGGGGCCATAGGCCTAACGCAAGTCTGAAACCTGGCCAGGCAGTGATTGAATCTTAAAGCTTCAAAATCTCCACTCCATGTCTCACATCCAGGGCACGTTCATGCAAGGAATGGGTTCCCACAGCTTTGGGCAGCTCCACTTTGGTGGCTCTGTGGGGTACAGCCCCTATGGCTTCTTTCACAGGCTGGCATTAAGTGCCTGTGGCTTTTCTAGTCACATGGTGCAAGCTATTGGTAGACCTATCTTTGTGGGGTCTGGAGGATGGTGGCCCTCATCTCATAGCTCCATTAGGCAGTGCCCCAGTGGGGACTCTGTGTGGAGGCTCCAACCCCACATTTCCGTTCTGCACTGCCCTGGCAGATGTTCTCCATGAGGGCTTCCACCCATACATCCTGTGAAATCTAGGCAGAGGTTCTCAAAGCTCAACTATTGTCTTCTGCACACATCCAGGACCAACACCATGTGGAAGCTGCCAAGACTTGGGGATTTCACCCTCTGAAGCAATGGCCCCTAGCTGCACCTTGGCCCCTTTTAGCCACTGCTGGAGCTGGAACACCTGAAATGCAGGGAACCAAGTCCTAAGGCTGCACAGAGCAGCCGGGCCCTGGGCCCAGCCCACAGAATCATTTTTCCCTTCTGGGCCCCCGAGCCTGTGATGGGAGGGGCTGCCATCAAGATCTCTGACATGCCCTGAAGACATTTTCCCATTGTCCTGGCCATTAAAATTAGGCTACTTATTACTTCTGCAGATTTCTGCAGCCAGCTTGAATTCCTCCCCAGAAAATGGGTTTCTCTTTTCTACTGCATGGTCAGGCTACAAAATTTCTAAGCCTTCATGCCCTGCTTCTCTTTTAAACATAAATTCCAATTTCAAAACATTTCTTTGTGAACACATATAACTGAATGCTTTCAGAATAAGCCAGGTGACATCTTGAATTTTTTGCTGCTTAAGACATTTCCTCCACCATTTCTCAAGTTCATCTCTCTCGAGTTCAAAGTTCCACAGATCTCTAGGGCAGGGGCAAAATGCCACAAGTCTCTTTGCTAAAGCACAGTTAAGAGTGACCTTTACTCCAGTTCCCAATAAGTTCCTCATCTCCATCTGAGACCACCTCAGCCTGTACTTCATTGTCCACATCACTATTAGCGTTTTGGTCAAAACCATTCAACAAGTCTCTAGGAATTTCCAAACTTTCCCACATCTTCCTGTCTTCTTCTGAGCCCTCAAAACTGTTACAACCACTGCCTGTTACCCAGTTCCAAAGTTGCTTTCACATTTTCAGGTTATTTTATAGCTGTACCCCACTCTGCTGGTACTAATTCTCTGTATTAGTCCATTTTCACACTGCTATAAAGATACTACTTGAGACTGGGTAATTTATAAAGGAAAAAAGTTTAATTGACTCATAGTTCCACATGGCTGAGGAGGCCTCAGGAAACTTACAATCATGGTGGAAGGCAAAGGGGAAGCAAGACATATCTTATGGCAGGAGAAGAAACAGAGAAGATGGGGAAAATTGTCACTTTTAAACAATGAGCTCTCTGAAGAACTCCCTCACTATCCGAAGAGCCAGGGGGAATCCTTCCCCATGATCCAATTGCCTCCCACCCAGACCCTCCCTCAACACATGGGGATTATAGTTATCCAGTCTCAGGTATTTCTTTGTAGCAAGACCAAATAGACTAACCCAGTGTCCTTAATGATAATCAATTGGTCATAGATATCTAGATTCATTTCTGTAGTTTTGATTATATTCCATTCCTTTATGTAACTATACTTATTCTAGTACTATACTATTTTGATATCACACTGTAGCTTGGTAAAACCTTGAAATAGGAAAGTGAGTACTCTAAACTTTTCTTCAAGTTTGCTTTGACTATATGTGGCCCTTTAAAATTCCGTGTGAAATCAAGGATAGGCTTTTCTATTTCTATAAAAAAAACGATTGTTTCAATTTTGATAAATATTGTGTTGAATTGCTTTGAGTAATAGTCTATTAAATTATTTTTTTAACCTTTGTGGGTACACAGTGGTGTATACATTCATGGAGTACCTGAAATATTTTGGTATAGATATGCATATCATGGAAAATTGGGTATACATTTCCTCAGGCATTTATCCTTTGTGTTACAAACAATTCAGTTATATATTTTTAGTTATCTTTAAATATGCTATTAAATTATTATTGACTATAGTCACCCTGTTAGGCTATCAAATACTGGTTCTTATTCATTCTTTCCATGTTTTGTTTTTGTCTTTTTCCCATTAACCACCCCTACTGCCATCCCATGTTTCCACTAACCTTCCCAGCCTCTGGTAACCATCTTTCTACTCTCTATCTCTCTATCTTCATGAGTTCAATTTTTTTGATTTTTGGACCCCATGAATAAGTGAGAATATGTGAAGTTCATCTTTTTGTGCCTGGCTTATTTCACTTAACATAAGGACTTCCAGTTCCATCCAGGTTGTTGCAAATGACAGAATCTCATTTTTTTTTCTTTATGGCTGAAGAGTACAACACTGTTTATATGTACCACATTTTCTTTATCCATTCATCTGCTGATGGACACTTAGGTTCCTTCTAAACCTTGGCTATTGGGAATGGTGCTGCAGCAAACATGGCAATGCCAATGTCTCTTTGATATACTGACTTTCTTTCTTTTGGGTATATACCCAGCAGTGGGATTGCTGGATCCTGTGATAGCTCTAATTTTAGCTTTTTGAGGAACCTCCAAACTTTTCTCTATAGTGGTCCTACTAATTTACATTCCCACCAACAGTGTACAAGGGCTCCCTTTTCTCCGCATCCTCATCAGCATTTGTTATTTTTATCTTTTTTATAATAAACATTTTAACTGGGGTGAGGTGATATCTCATTGTAGTTTTGATTTGCATTTCTCTGATGATCAATGATGTTGAGCACCTTTTCATATTCCTGTTTGCCATTTGTATGTCTTGTTTTGAGAAATGTCTATTCAAATCTTCTCCCTATTTTTAAATTGAATTATTAGATTTTTTTCCTCTAGAGTTGTTTGAGCTCCTTATATATTATAGTTATTAATCCATTGTCAGATGGGTAGTTTGCAAATATTTTTTTCTTATTCTATGGGTTGTCTCTTCACTTTGCTGATTGTTTTATTTGCTGTGCAGATGTTTTTTACTTGATGTTATCCCACTTGTCCATGTTTGCTTTGCTTGCCTGTGCTTACTGTGTATTACTCAAGAAATATTTCCCCAGATCAATGTCCTGGAGAGTTTCCCTAATGTTTTCTTGTAGTTGTTTCATAGTTTGAGGTCTTAGATTTAAGTCTTTAATCCACTTTGATTTGATTTTTGCATGTGACAAGAGATAGTGGTATTTCTGCATATGGATATTCAGTTTTCTCATCACCATTTATTGAAGAGACTGTCTTTTCTCCAATGTGTGTTCTTGGCACCTTTGTCAAAAATGACTTCACTGTACATGTGTGGAGTTAATTCTCAGTTCTCTATTATGTTTCACTAGCTTATGTATCTGTTTTTATACCTGTACCATGCTCTTTTGGTTGCTATAGCTCTGTAGTATAATTTGAAGTCAGGTAATGTGATTCCTCCAGTTTTGTTCTGTTTGCTTAAGATAGCTATGGCTATTCTGGGTCTTTTGTGGTTCTATGTAAATTTTACAATTATTTTTTCTTTTTCTGTGAAAAATATCATTGGTATTTTGATAGAGATTGCATTGAATGTACTCTGGGTAGTATGGGCATTTCAACAATATTGATTCTTCCAATCCATGAGTGTGGGATATCTTTCCCTCTTTTATTCCTCTTCCATTTCTTTCATCAGCATTTTATAGTTTTTATTGTAAAGATCTTTCACTTTTTTGGTTTATTTTTGTGTTTTAAATTTCATTTGTGGCTATGATAAATTTTTATGAAAGTTTTTACATTTCATTTTCAGATTGTTCACTTTTGGCATATAGAAATGCTACTAATTTTTGTATATTGATTTTGCATCCTGCAACTTTATTGAACTTTTTTTAGTCCTAATAGCTTTTTTGGTGGATTCTTTAGGTTTTTCTAAATATAAGATCCTATCATTTACAAACAAGGATAAATTTGACTTCTTCCTTTCCAGTTTGGATATCCTTTCTTTCTTTCTCTTGTCTGATTGCTCTAGCTAGGACTTCCAGTACTATGTTGAATAACAGTGCTGAAAGTGGGCTTCGTTGTCGTGTTCCAGATCTTAGAGAATGGTATTTTGTTTTTTTCCCATTCAGTATGATACTAGCTGTGGGCGTTTTATATATGGCTGTTATATGTTGAGGTATGTTTGTTCTGTACCCCATTTTTTTGAGGGTTTTAATCATGAAAGGATGTTGAATTTTAACAAATGTTTTTTCAGCATCAACTGAAATGATTATATGGTTTTTGTCCTTCATTCTGTTGATATGATGTAGCAAATTGATTGATTTATGTATGGTGAACCATCCTTGCATCCCCTGGATAAATTCCACTTGATCATGAGGAATGATCTTTCCAATGTATTTATTCAGTTTGCTAGTATTTTGTTGAAGATTTTTGCATCAATGTTCATTAGAGATATTGACCTATAGTTTTATTTTTATGATTTGTCTTTGGTTTTGGTTTCAGGGTAATACTGGCATCATAAAACCAGTTTGAGATTATTTCCTCCTCATCTTTTTTAGAACAGTTTGAGTAGGATTGGTGTTAGTTCTTTAAATATTTGATAGGATTCAGCAGTGAAGGCATTGAATCCTGAGCTTTTCTTTACTAGGAGACTTTTTATTAAAGCTTTGATCTCGTTGCTTGTTATTGGCCTGTTTAAGTTTTGGATTTCTTCATGGTTCAATATTGGTAGGTAGCATGTGTCTAGCAATTTATCTATTTCTTCTAGATTTTCCAATTTATTGGCATATAGTTGCTCATCACAGCCACTAATGATCCTTTACATTTCTGCAGTGTCAGTTGTAATATCTTCTGTTTCATCTTTGATTTTATTTGAGTCTTCTCTCTTTTTTCCTTCATTATTCTGGCTGAAGGTTTGTCAATTTGATCTTTTCAAAAAATCAGCTTTTTGTTTCATTGACCTTTTTATTGTTCTCTTCATTTCAAAGTCATTTATTTATGCTCTCATATTTATTATTATTTTTTCTACTAACTTTGGGTTTGTTTTTTCTCTTACTTTTCTGGTTCTTTAGGATGCATCATTAGGTTATTATTTGAAGTTTTTCTTCGTTTTTGATGTGGGCACTTCTAGCTATAAGTTTCTCTCTTGGTATAGCTTTCATTATACCCCATAGGTTTTGGTATGTTGTATTTTCATTGTCATTTATTAATGACATTTATTAATGAATAAATGTTTCAATTTATCTGATTTTTTCATTGACCCAGTAGTCATCCAGAAGCATATTGTTTAACTTCCATGTGTTTGTATACTTTCCCAAATTTCTCATATTATTGATTTCTAGTTTTATTCCATTATGGTAAGTGAAGATGCTTGATGTTATTTCAGTATTTTTGAATATTTTAACACTTGTTTTGTGACTTAACATATGGTCTATCTTTGAGAAGGATCCATGTACTAAGGAGAAGAATGTATATTCTGCAGCTGTTGGATGAAATATTCTGTAAATATCTATTAGGCCCATTTGTTCCATACTACAGATTAGGCCCAGTGTTTCCTTGTTGATTTTCTGTCTGGGAGATCTGTCCAATGCTGAAAGTGGGGTAATGAAGTCTCTAGCTGTTATTGCTATTATTGCATTGAGGTCTATCTCTCTCTTTAGCTCTAATAATGTTTGTTTTATATATCTGGGTGCTCCAGCATTGGGCATATATACATATATAATTGTTATAGCCTCTTGCTGAATTGATAACCTTTATTATTATAGAACGAACTTCTTTGTCTCTTCTAACAGTTTTTGTCTTGAAATCTATTTTTTCTGATATAAATACAGCTACTCCTACTCTTTTTTGGTTTCCATTGGTATGGCATATCTTTTCTCATCTCTTTATTTTCTGTCTATGTGTATCTTTATAGATGAAGTATATTTCCTGTAGGCTACAGACCATTGGGTCTTGTTTTTTCCATCCATTCAGCCACTCTGTGTCTTCTGATCAGAGCGTTTAGTCGATTTACATTAAATGTTATTATTATTATTATTATTATTTTTTTTTTTTTTTTTTTTTTTTTTTTGAGACGGAGTCTCGCTCTGTCGCCCAGGCTGGAGTGCAGTGGCGGGATCTCGGCTCACTGCAAGCTCCGCCTCCCGGGTTCACGCCATTCTCCTGCCTCAGCCTCCCAAGTAGCTGGGACTACAGGCGCCCGCCACTACGCCCGGCTAATTTTTTTGTATTTTTAGTAGAGACGGGGTTTCACCGTTTTAGCCGGGATGGTCTCGATCTCTTGACCTCGTGATCCGCCCGCCTCGGCCTCCCAAAGTGCTGGGATTACAGGCGTGAGCCACCGCGCCCAGCCTAAATGTTATTATTGATAAGTAGGGACTTACTCCTGTAATTTTGATAGTTGTTTCCTGGTTGTTTTGTGGTCTTCTCATCCCTCTTTTTTCCCTTCCTGTATTTCTTTTAGTGAAGGTGATTTTCTCTGATAGTATGCTTTAACTTCTTGCTTCTCATTTTTTGTGTATCCTTTGTTTTTTGATTTGAGGTTAGCATGGTGTTTTCAAATAATATCTTTTACCCCATTATTTTAAACAGATGACAACTTAACACTGATTTCATAGACAAACACAACAAACATGCAAAAATACAACTAACAATAACTCTACAGTTTAACTTTGTCCGCCTGCTTGTTTAACCATTTTAAATTTCTCATCATGTCTAATTGTACTGTCAAAACCCTGAAAAGTGGTGGTCGTTATTATTTTTGATAGGTTCATAGTTTAGTCTTTCTACATATCCTAAGAGTAGTTTACAGACCACAATTACAATGTTATACTATTCTGTGTTTTTCTGTGTGCTTACTATTACCAGTGAGGTTTGTACCTTCAGATGATTTTTTATTGATCATTGACATCCTTTTCTTCCAGACTGAAGAACTCTCTTTATCATTTCTTGTAGGACAAGCCTTGTGTTGATGAAATTCTTCAAGTTTTTGTTTGTCTGGGAAGGTCTTTATTTTTCTTTCATGCTTGAAGTATATTTTTGCCAGATATACTATTGTAAGGAGAAAGATATTTTTTCCCTTTAGCACTTTAAATAGGTCATGCCACTCTCTCCTGGCCTGTAAGGTTTTCACTGAAAAGTCTGCTGCCAGACATATTGGTGCTTCATTGTATGTTATTTGTTTATTTTCTCTTGCTGTTTTTAGGATCCTTTCTTTATCCTTGACCTTTGGGAGTTTGATTATTAAATGCTTTGAGGTAGTTTTCTTCTGGTTAAATTTACTTGGTGTCCTATAACCTTCCTGTACTTGAATGTTAATATCTTTCTTTAGGTTTGAGAAGTTCTCTGATGTTATTTTTTTCTTTATTAAACTTTCCACCTCTGTCTCCTTCTCTACCTCCTCTTTAAGGTCAATATCTCTTAGATTTGACCTTTTGAGGCTATATGCTAGATCTTGTAAGCATGCTTTACTATTTTTATTCTTTTTTTCCTGTCTCCTCTGTTTACTTTCAAGCTCACTAATTCTTCAAACTCACTAATTCTTCAAGTTCACTAATTCTTTCTTCTGCTTGATCAATTCTGCTATTAAGAGAGTGATGCATTCTTCAGCATGTCAACTGCATTTTTCAACTCCAGAATTTCTGCTTGATTCTTTTTAATTATTTTCATCTCTGTTAAATTTACCTGATAGAGTTCTAAATTCCTTCTCTGTATTATCTTAAATATCTTTGAATTTCACCAACACGGCTATTTTGAATTCTCTATCTGACAGATTATATATCTCTGTTTCTCCAGAATTGGTCACTGGTGACTTATTTAATTCATTTGGTGAGGTCATGTTTTCCTGGATGGTGTTGATACTTACAGATATTCATCAATGTCTTGGCATGGAAGAGTGGGGTATTTATTGTGGTCTTTACAGTTTGAACTTGTTTGTGCCTATCCTTCCTGGAAAGGTTTTCCAGGTATTCAAAGGGACTTGGGCCCTAAGCTCAATGAGGCTGTGGTTTTTGCAGACTCATAGAGGGACTACTTTAGTGGTCTTGGATAAGTTTAAGAAGAATTCTCTGGATTACCAGAGAGATGCTCTTGGTCTTTTCTCTTACTTTTTCCTGAACATAAGGGCCTCTCTCTTTCTGTGCTGAGCCATCTGGAACTGGGGATGTGGTGATGTAAGCATCCTGGGGCCACCATCACTGGGACTGCACTGGGTCAGACCTGAAGCCAGCATATCACTGGGTGTCGCCCCATGCCATTCCCTTCAGGGTAACGAGTTTTCCCAGGTCCCAGTCATGTCCAGAAATTCTGTTTGGAAGTGAGGTATTGTGATCAAAATCCTTGGTAATTTACCTGATATTCTCTTATACTGAGGCTAAGCTGGTACTCAAACTACAATACAAAGTTCTTCCCACTCTTCCCCCCAATTTCTACAGGTAGAGGAGACTTTCTATGTGGCCACCACCACCATCAGTCCCCAGAGGGGTTCTGTCAGGCCACTGCCAATGTTCACTTAAAACCTAAGGGCTCTTCCACTGGTGAATGTTGCCAGGCCTGGGACTCAACCTTCAGAACAGTGGGCTCCCTTCTGTCCCAGGGCAGGTCCAGGAATGCTGCCCAAGAGTCTAGTCTTGGACTTGGGGATCCCAAGAGCCTGCTTATTGCTCTACCCCACTGTGGCCAAGTTGATACTTAAGGTGCAAGACAAAATCCCCTTTACTTTTCCCTCTGCTTTTCTCAAACAGAAGAAGTATTTCATCATAGCCACCACAGCTGTGAAGGTGCTGGGTCACACCTGAAGCCAGCATTTCTCCGAGCCCAAGGCATGTGGCATACTCTCTGGGGACCACTGCTGGGCATTCATGGCCCAAGGACTCACAGGTGATGAATCTTGCCAGGACTGGTTACTTCGCTTTAAGGCAGTGGGTTCCCTTTTGGCCCAAGATGTATCTAGAAATGTTTTCCAGAAGCTAGGACCTGGAAAGGGGCCCTCCCAGCTCTGCCTGCTGCCCTATCCTACTGGGACTGAGCTGGTATCCAAGATGCAAGAAAAAGTCTTACTCTTCACTCTTCCCTCCCAATTTTTGGTTCTTGTGATGGTGCTTTCCTGTGTAAGGATAATTGTTAATATTTGGTGTTCAATTGAGGAGAGACAAACAGTGTAGGCTTCTATTCCACTATCTTGCTCTGTTTCTTTGGGTAACCTTAAAATCTTGATGATAACAAGTCTTCCAAGCCATGAACATATGATGTCTTTCTATTTATTTAGTCTTCTTCAACTTCTTTCAGCAATTTTTTTTTATTTTGTTTTTCAGTAATCAAAATACAAATCTTGCACATCCTTGTTTAAATGTATGCCTATGCATTTTACTCTTTGGGGTGTTATTGTGAATATAACTGTTTTTTGTAATTTTTGATTCAGATTTTTTATTACTGCTGTGTAGGAAAAAACTAATTTTTTTATTGGTCTTGCACTCTGCAAATTTGCTGAATTCATTGATATGTTGTAGTAAGTGTGTGTGTGTATGTGTGTTGTGTGTGTGTGTTCTTTGGGTATATATATAATCATATTGTAAATTGATGTATTTTTACTTCTTACTTTCCAATTTGAATGCTTTTTGTTTTTATACCTAATTTTTCTAGCTAGAATTTGTTATATAAGATTGCATAGAAGTGGTGAAAGCAGATATATTTGACTTGTTCCTGATCTTAGGTGTAAAACTTTTGGTCTTTCACCATTAAATGTAATATTACTATGGGCATTTCATAAATACATTTTAACATGTTGAAAAGTTCCCTTCTACTTCTTGTTTTTCTGAGTGTTTGTTTTTTTAAGTGTCCAATTTTGTCATTTTTTATGCTTCTATTGATATGATCATATTTTTAAAACTCTATTAATAAACTATGTCATATTGATTTTGTTATCATTTGGTAATGGTATGCTCTTGGATTTGGTTAACTAGCATTTTGTTGAAGGTTTTTATATTTGTATTAATAAGAATTGTTGGTATATAGTTTTTGTTTTTCTTGTGTGTCTTTGTCTGGCTTTGGTATCAAAATAGTGGTTACCTTATAGAAGGAGTTAGAAAGTTTTGCCTTCCCTTCTATGTTTTGTAAGAGTTTGAGAATAATACATGTTCTTTAAAAGTTTGCAGAATTTACCATTGAAGCTATCTGCTCCAGGTATTTTTTCTGTTGGGAGGTTTTTGATTGTTGATTAATCTTTTTAGTTGCTACAGATATTGTTAGAGAATCTACTTTTTTCTTCAGTCAGTTTAGGTAGTTTATGCATTTATGGAGATTTGTTCATATCATCTAAGTCATCTAATTTGTTGGTGTACAATTATCGATAGTATTACTTTACACTACTTTTATTCCGGTAAGATCTGTAGTAGTGTCACCACTTTCATTTCTGACTTTGATAATTTCAGCCTTTGGATCCTTTTTTGGTCAGCCTAGATAAAAGTTTGTGAATTTTGTTGATCCTTTAAATAATAAATTTTGTTAATTATCTATTAATTTTATTTGATCCATTTCATTAGTATCTACTAATTTTTATTATTTACTTGTTTCTACTAGCTTTAGGTTTAGTTTATTCTTTTCTATTTCTGAAAGCATAGATTTAGTTTGTTTATTTTAAATCTTTATTTTTTCCAATATAGGTATTTATAGCTGTACATTTTTCTTTGAAGAATACTTTTGTTACATCCTATAAGTGTTGGTATAATGATGTGTTTTCTTTTTTATTGATCTCAAAGTATTTTATATATTTTTTGACTTACAGGTTTGTTAAGAGTGTGTTGTTTAATTTTCACATATTCATGAACTTTCCACTTTTTCTTCTTTTATTAATTTCTAGCTTCTTTGTATTGTGGTTGAATAAATTTGAAAACTATGTTTTATGATTTCAACCTTTTAAGATTTATTGAGACTGGTAACATGACCTGATGTATAATCTATCCTGGGGAATATCCCATGTGTTTTTGAGTGTGGATCTCTTTTCATTTGTATTACTTGGAGACAACTGAATGTCTCAGACTTGTGGATTCATGAGTTTCATCAAATTTGGGAAATTTTCAGCCATTATTCTGAAGCCATTATTCTGTTTACCTCTTTCTTCTCCTTCTAAGACTCCCACAGTGTGTATGTTGGTTCACTTGATGGAGTCACAGAAGTCATTTAGGTTCTGTTCACATTCCTTTATTATTTTTTCTATCTGTTTTTCAGACTGGGTAATTTCAATTGTTGTATTTTTAAGTTTCCTGATTCTTTATTTTTCTGCTCAAATCTACTGTTGGGGCACATTGCATTCTAGATTCCACAGTATATGTAGTGAATCTTCCATGCTCTGTTTCCTCCAAAAAGTATTCCTCCTCACCCTCTACCTTTCCAGGCTTTGGGTCTGTATGCTGCTTGTCTTGCCCACCTTTTCTTTTCCTGCATGGATATAGATAGTATACTTCTTTAAATGCTTTTAACAGATGTCACTGAGAAAGTTGCTCCTGATAGGAGTGAAAGCAAGGTCAACTTTTGTACTTGTCCATTAGTGAATAATTCAAAAGGCCAAAACACACAACCACAATTTATTGGGAGCAAAGTTTATATTCTACCCCCCACCGCCTACCCCCAGCACCAGTAAGGCACACCCTGAATGATGATCACCTTTCCAATGGCCACCACAGCACTGGAGACTGGGGGTTGGTAAGCAGCTAAGCAAAAATGCCACAATGTTTTCTTACCAAAAATTCGCAGCCTTTTTCTTCAGTAAGTACTCATTTGGTTGATATAAGTTTCTGACTAGATTTTAAAGTTTCAAAATAGTTGATTTTGTCAGTTTTTGCCATTTAATTGTTGTTTCCAAGGAGGAAATAATTACTGGAGCATCCTGCTCCAGCATTCTTATGATATCATCCCTCCTGAATTACGAATTTTGGCACTGTATTTTCTTTTTTATTCATTAAAAATATTTTTCTAATTTTTCTTATGATTACTTTTTTTGACTTGTGGCTTATTTAGAATTGTGCTGTTTACATTTCAAATACTTTATCCACATTCTTTATACTACTAATTACTGTTTAATTGTATTTTGGTAAAAAATACTCTGTATTAGTCATTGTTTTAAATTTATTGGGACTTGTTTTATGGCCTTACTTATGGTTTATCTCAGTGAATATTTCCTATGCATTTGAAAAGAATGTGTATTCTGCTGTTTTGGGGCATTGTGTTCAATGATGCCAAATAGGTCAGGTGGGTTGAATGGGCTTTTATGTCTGTTTACTTCTAGATTTCTTTCTATTTGTTCCATCAATTACTGCAAGATAAGTGTTGAATTCTCCAAGTATAATTGTGGATTTATCTATTTCTCTTTCTCTTTTTGTAGGTAAAATTCTTTAATCAGATACAGACACCTTTAGAATTATCATGTCTTTTTTATAAATTGATCTTTTTATCGTTATGAGTTGTCCTTTCATTTTGGTAATCATTGTTATTCTGAGGTGTACTTTGTTTATTATTAATATAAATTTAATTTGGCTCCTTTAGTGTTTGCATGGTATGATATTTTCTATACTTTTACTGTTAATGTAGTCTGTGCCTTTATATTTAAAGCTTGCTTTCATAGACAATATGCTCAAATCTTTTAAATAAGGTGTTCTACAGTTTAGAGTTAATGCACTTATTGAAATGTTTGAGGTTTAGTCTACTATCTTGCTAGTTATTTTCTATATGTTCTATCTCTTCCTTCTTTTCTTTTAAATCTTCTTCCTTTGGATTAACTGCATAACTTATAGGATGCCATTTTATTTCTATTATTGACTATAGCATAAGCAGCGAGACAGTTACAGAGAATTTTCATTTTTTCTTTGTCACTTTTAAGCTTATTTATGACAGTTGTATAATAACCTTTCTTCTAGTGATATTTTAGTAGCATTATTAAGTCATGGCACACTTCTTGGGTCTCTATTGAATACTCCAGCTCATCAAAGAGAACTCTTCATTCTGGCTGGTTGGAACTCAAATGCCTCCTAGCCCTGTGTAAGCTTTTGGAATCAATCATCTTGGATTTTTAGTAACTCTTTGTTAGGCCCTGTGGTGTTTTGTCTTACACACACACTGCTCAATATTCAGCAAAGAATCAGGGTACCCAATGTATATTTCTGGAGCTGATTTTCTAAATGGCTTCTTTCTTTCTAGAATCCACAACCTTCAGTCACTTCAGCCTCCCTAAATTCTGATCTCTATTTCCTCAAATCAGTGAGATCCTCATCCTCCCCTTTGGGAACTTCCCTCGTACTAGCTTTGTTCAGAATGTTCCTTTGAGTGAAAAGTCAAATCAATCCCAGGGCTTATCTTACTTGTTTTCTTATTTGTCTAATTTCAGGTTCTCAGACCTGTATTTCCTCAAGTATAAAAATGCTTAACATTCTATAGGGCAAAATACTTAGCCAACAACTGTTTGATTTTTAAGAATAACCACCTTATGTGAGAAAGGAATAATACAAGTGGCTGCAGGAGAATAGAAAATTCCAGGCAGCAGTTTCACATGACTAGAATAAGGAAACTGCTGAAATAGCTACATAAACTTGGGACTGATAAGACCCTGAAAAACCAACGTGTGGGCTAAGTTAGCTAAGACCAATTGGACCCAACATGGCACTGGATTTGACCTAGGTTTCACCCAGGACCTCTTATATGCTCATTAACATACTAAATCACAGCCCACCAGTGCTGTAACAGTTCTACAAGCACCCACATTTGGTGTAAAATGGGTAGCACAACAGTTCTAAGCAATTGCTACTATTTTCCAGGAATCTTCATGAATATTTCACTCCTTGGCTAAAGAAACCCATAAAGGTAGAAGTCCCACAGCTCCGTGTGTGTGACTTTCTCTTAAGTGTGCCCATGCTCCCCTTTCTTGAGTGTACTTTTCACTTTGCAATATATTTCCATACTTTTACTATTTTCCAACTCATCCTTGAATTCCTTCTTGCAACAGTGTCAAGAGCCTAGACACCAGATGTGTCAAGATCCCACTGGCATTTGGGGACATCCCCTAGCCCACTGGTATCATATAGACTGAGAAACAGTTTAATTCATTCTGTAAGATACACACACACATACACACACACTATTTTGGGGGTGTAATGACATTTATTCATTTAATCTTATAGATCCTTCCTTTTTAGTTTATGGTTCATTGCTGATTTCATTAATAGAATTTTGCTCTTCTCCAGACATTCTTGGGTTTCTTTAAAATAATAGGATCACAGCTGAAAATAAAGTATGCACTGATCACTGATAAGTTTAGGGAATACCGATATACTTTTTAATATAATATGTAAAGAGGACTAAAATTTTTTTGGAATTATTTAATAGGAATTGTGAAGAGAATTGACATCTACTGAGTGCCTATTAATACTAACAACTTCTAAACTTTTTTTCAGAAATTACTATATATTAGGTACTATGCTAAGCAAGTTACATTTATTATCTCATTTGCTTTCCACAATAATTCAAAAACGAGTTTCCTAGATTTAGAGTTGATGAGATCAAGGCTCATAAAATGAGGAGTTGAAGGGCTCAAAAAAGATTGTCTAATCCTTGAACTTATGAGAGTTAGACAGCAAATTATTCACACAGCTAGAAATGGCAAAATCTGGCAAAATATCATGTCTTTCAATTTATTGCTTTTCTTCATAACTTATTTATCTTACATTGCTAATGTCAGAATATTGATATTGTAAATATATTCTCCCTTGTGTCATAATTTTGATAATTCTTCCAGAAAATGGAATCTATGATGGATTTTGTAACTTTGCTAAGACACTAGCTAAAGTAGAATTAGAATACATGATACATGATTCCTGATTCTCATGGGGCTTTCTCATCCCTTGACGACATAAGTTCATTTTCCAATTTTAGATACTTGGCCAATTCAAATGAAAATATTCCAAATTGCTAATCACCCTCTGAAACGACTGTCCAAGAGAAACAATAATATATCTGGTAACAAATTCAGCCTTGCTTCAAATGCATTTTCATGTAAACAAAACAATTTTTTGTGATGATTACAATAATTGTATTCATTATTTTCAGAACCGCTTTCCATTCACTAAGTATGTGAAAATTAATTGCTTACTTTATCAAAACTGCATGTCACTGGTACAGAGTTAACCCTGCTTTATAAACTCACTTGTCAGATATTTTGCAGGTTAGGTTCGATCTATGCTGAATGTACATTGTGCAATCAAACTAATTTACATTTTAAAATGCATTTTCTGCTTATTTTAATTTTCTTCTTAATGCCATATTTCCTATGGCTAATGTACTACAGGGAATGTAGAAACTACTAGTGTCAGTGAATGTTTAACAGAATATCTCTTCTTGGAAAATGGAGTCTCTTTTTAATACAACAAGTAAGGAATTAAATTTGTAGAAAGTTTTCTTTTGACATGTAAAGTTTGAGAGAGATGTTTCTTATCAATTTTAAACATCTTAATTCCTTTTATAATAATTAATTTTTATTTTTATTTCAATATTTTTTGGGGCACTGGTGGTTTTTGGTTACATGGATAAGTTCTTTAGTGGTGATTTCTAAGATTTTGGTGCACCCATCACCCAAGCAATGTACATATTACCCAATATGTGGTCTTTCATCCCTTACGCCCTTCATCCTTCCTGCTGAGTCCCCAAAGTCCATTATATCATTCTTATGCCTTTGCATCCTCATCGTTTAGCTCCCACTTATAAGTGAGAACATAATGATATTTGGTTTTCCATTCCTGAGTTACTTCACTTAGATTAATGGGCTCCAGCTCCAACCAAGTTGTCATGAAAGACATGATTTCATTCCTTTTTATGGCTGAGTAATATTCCATGGTGTATATATACCTCATTTTCTTTACCTGCTCACTGGTTGATGGGCACTTAGATTTGTTCCATATCTTTGCAATTGCAAATTGCATAGTTAAAAACAGGAGTGTGCATGTGTCTTTTTCATATAATGGCTTCTTTTCCTTTGGGTAGATACCCAGTAGTGTGATTGCTGGATCAGATGGTAGTTCAACTTTTAATTTTTTAAGGAATGTCTATACTGCTTTCCATAGTGGTTGTACTAATTTACATTCCCACCAGCAGATTAGTGGTGTTCCCTTTTCACCACATTCATGCCAACATCTATTTTGTTTTTTTGTTTTTTTTTTTTTACTTTTTAATTATGGCCATTCTTGCAGCAGTAAGGTGGTATCTCATTGTGGTTTTAATTTACATTTCCCTGATAATTAGTGATGTTGAGCATCTCTTCATCTTTGTTAGCTGTTTGTATATCTTCCTTTGAGAACTGTCTATTCATGCCCTTTGCCCGCTTTTGATGAGATTGTTTGTTTTTCCTTGCTGATTTGTTTGAGTTTCTTGTAGATTCTGGATATCAGTCCTTTCTTGGATGCATAGTTTGTGAATATATTCTCTCATGCTGTGGATTGTCTGTTTAATCTGCTGATTATTATTATTTGCTGGTCAGAAGCTTTGTAGTTTAATTAGGTCCCATGTATTTATTTTTGGTGTTGTTGCATTTGCTTTTGGGATCCTAGTCATGAATTTTTTGCCTAAGTCTATGTCTAGAAGACTTTTTCCAAAGCTGTCATCTAGAATTTTTATGGTTTCAGTTCTTATATTTAAGTCCTTGATCCATCTTGAGTTGATTTTTTTATAAGCCGAGCGATGAGGATCCAGGTCCATTCTTCTACATGTGGCTTGTTAGTTTTCCCAGCACCACTTATTGAATAGGGTGTCCTTTCCCCAATTTATGTTTTTGTATGCTTCATTGAAGATCAGTTGGCTTGAAGTATTTGGCTTTATTTTTGGGGTTCTCTATTCTGTTCCTTTGGTCTACATGCCTATTTTTATACCAATACCATGCTGTTTTGGTGACTATAGCCTTGCAGTATAATTTGAAGTCAGGTAACATGATGCCTCCAAATTTGTTTCTTTTGCTTAGTATTGCTATGGTTATGTGGGCTCTTTTTTGGTTCTGTATGAATTTTAGGATGGTTTTTTTCTAGTCCTATGAAGAATGATGGTGGTATTTTGGTGGGAATTGCATTGAATCTGTAGATTGCTTTTGGCAGTATGGTTATTTTCACAATATTGTTTCTACCCATCCATGACATGGGATGTGTTTCCATTTGTTTGTGTCATCTATGATTTCTTCCAGAAGTGTTTTGTAGTTTTACTTATAGATTTCTTTCACCGCTTGGTTAAGTATATTCCTAAAAAATTTATTTTATTTATTTATTTTTGCAGCTGTTGTAAAGGCATCGAATTCTTGATTTGATTTTCAGCTTGGTCATTGTTGTTGTATAGCAGTGCTACTGATTTGTGTACATTGATTTTATATCCTGAGTCTTTACAGAATTCACATATCAGATGTAGGAGCATTTTGGATGAATCCTTAGGGTTTTCTTGGTATACAATCCCATCATTGGCTAACAGTGACAGTTTGACTTCCTCTATTTCAATTTGGATGCTATTTATTTCTTTCTCTTGTCTGATTGCTCTGGCCAGAACTTCCAGTACTGTGTGGAATTGAAGTGGTAAAAGTGGGCATCCTTGTTTTGTTCCATTTCTCAGGGGGAATGCTTTTAGCTTTCCACCATTCACTATGATGTTGGCTGTGGGTTTCTCATATATCACTTTTATTAATTTGAGGTAAGACCTTTCTATACCTATTTTGTTGAGGGTTTTTATCATAAAGGGATTCTGGATTTTATCAAATGCTTTTTCTGCACCTATTGAGATGGTCATATGGTTTTTGTTTTAAATTCTGTTTATATGATGTATCACATGTATTGACTTGTGTATGATAAACCATCCCTGCATTCCTGGTATGAAACACACTTGATTATAATGTATTATATTTTTGACATGCTGTTGGATTCCGTTAGCTAGTATTTTGTTGTGGATTTTTGCATCTATGTTCATTAGAGATATTGGTCTGCATTTTTCTTTTTTGTTATGTCCTTTCCTGGTTTTGGTGTTAGAGTGATACTGGCTTCATAGAGTGATTTAGGGAGGATTCCTTTTTTTTTAATCTATGTTTTGGAATAGTTTCAGTCGGATTGGTACCAGTTCTTCTTTGAATGTCTGATAGCATTCAGCTGTGAATCCGTCTGGTCCTGGACTTCCTCCTTTGTTGTTGGCAATTTTTAAAATTATGGATCAAATTTCATTGCTTATTATTGGTCTGTTGGTTTCTATTTTTCCTGATTTAATCTAGGAGGGTTGTATACTATCAGAAATTTATCCATACCCTCCAGATTTCCTGGTTTGTGCATGTAAAGATGTTCATAGTAGCCTTGAGTGATGTTTTGTATTTACATGGTATCAGTTGTAATATCTCCGGTTTTATTTCTAATTGTGCTTAATTGGATCTTCTCTCTTCTTTTCTCAGTTAATGTTGCAATGGTCTATCAATTTTATTTATCTTTTCAAAGAACCAGCTTTTAGTTTCAGTTATCTTTTGTAATTTTTTTGTTTTAATTTTATTTAGTTCTGTTTTGTTCTTTGTTATTTATATTCTTCTGCTGGGTTTGAGTTTAGTTTGTTCTTGTTTCTCTAGTTTATTGAGGTGTGACATTAGGTTGTCTATTAGTGCTCTTTCAGACTTTTTGATGTAGCCATCTAATGCTATGAACTTTCCTCTTAGCACTGCTTTTGCTGTATTCCGGAGGTTTTGATAAGTTGTGTCACTATTGTCATTCATTACAATTTTTTTAACTTCTATCTTGATTTCATTGTTAACCCCAAAATCAAGAGCAGATTATTTAATTTCCATGTATTTGTATTATTTTGAGCATTCC
Source organism: Homo sapiens (assembly GCF_000001405.40). Taxonomy (NCBI): domain Eukaryota; kingdom Metazoa; phylum Chordata; class Mammalia; order Primates; family Hominidae; genus Homo; species Homo sapiens. The sequence continues at coordinate 73,399,060 of NC_000009.12, forward strand.
TTTTGAAGTTGATTTCTAGCTTTATTTCACTATGGCTTCAGAAGATACTTGATTTAATTTTTATTTTTTAAATTTATTGAGACTTGTTTTGTCATATGTCCTATTTTGGAGAATGTTTCATGTGCTGATGAGAAGAATGTATATTGTGCAGTTGTTGGGAATAATGTTCTGTGTATATATGCTAATTCCATTTATCCTACAGAATAGTTTATATCCATTTTTTCATTGACTTTCTATCCTGATGACCTCTCTAGTGCTTTCAGTGGAGCATTGAAGTTCCCCACTATCATTGTGTTACTGTCTGTCTCATTTCTTAGGTCTAGTAATAATGTTTTTATAAACCTAGGTACTCCAGTGTTAGGTGTGTATAAATTTAGGATTGTGTTATGTTCCTGTAGGATGAATCCTCTTATCATTATATAATGTTTGTCTTTGTCTTTTTTTTTTTGCTGTTGTTGCTTTAAAGCCTGTTTTGTCTGATATAAGATTAGCTACTCCTGCTTGTTTTTAGTTTCCATTTGTGTGAAATATCCTTTTCCACATAAGGACTCACATAAATTTAGGTTAACGTTTTTCACATAAACTTTACCCTAAGTTTACATGAGTCCTTATGTGTTAAGTGAGTCTCTTGAAGACAGCAGATATTTGGTTAGTGGTTTTTTTTATTCATTCTTCCATTCTGTATCTTTAAGTGGAGTATTTAGGCCATTTACATTCAATGTTAATATTGAGATGTGAGGTACTGTCCTATTCATCATGTCAGTTGTTGCCTAGATACTTTTTTTTCATTGTGTTACTGTTTTAAAGACTGTGAGATTTATGGTTTAAGGAGGTTCTGTTTTGATGTATTTCAAGCTCTTCTGTTTCAAGATTTAGAACTCCTTTTAGCATTTCTCGTTCTGCTGGTATGGTAGTGACAAATTCCCTCATGATTCATTTGTCTGAAAGACTTTATCTCTCCATAACTTGTGAAGCTTAGTTTTGCTGGATATAAAATTTTTGACCAAAATTATTTTATTTAAGGATGCTAAAGATAGGACCCCAATCCCTTTGGCTTGTAAGGTTTCTGCTGAGAAATCTGCTGTTAATCTGATAGGATTTCCTTTACAGGTTACCTGATGCTTCTGTCTCACAGCACTTAAGATTCTTTCCTTCATCTTGACTTTAGATAATAACCTGATGAATATGTGTCTTCGTGATGATCTTTTTGCAGTTAATTTCCCAGGTTTTCTTTGAGTTTCTTGTATTTGGATGTATAGATATCTAGCAAGTCCAGGGAAATTTTCCTTGATTATTCTCACAAATAAATTTTCCAAACTACTTTTAGACTTCTCTTCTCCCTTAGGAACACCAATTATTCTTATGTTTGGCCATTTTACATAATACCATATTTCTTGGAGACTTTGTTCATTATTTAAAATTCTTTTTTGTTTATGTCTGATTAGGTTAATTTAGAAGTCTGGTCTTTGGGCTCTGAAGTTCTGTCTTCTACTTATTCTAGTCTATTGAAACTTTTCACTGCATTTCATATTTCCCTGAGTGTGTCTTTCATATCCAGATGTTCTCATACTTTTTTTCCTTTATGATGTCTATTCTCTGGAAAATTTTTATTCATATCCTGAATTTTTTTAATGGCTTTCACCTTCCTCTGGTATCTCCTTCAGTAGATTAATAATCAACATTCTGAGTTCTTTATCTGGCATTTCAGAGACTTCTTCTTGGTTTGAATCCATACTGGAGAGCTATCTTTTGTGGATGTTACAGAAGGCTGTTTTGTCATAGTACTAGAATTGCTTTTCTGGTTCCTTCTCATTTGAGTAGACTATTTTTTCAAATTGTTTTAAAATTTATTTTTGACTGGACTGTATTTTTTTCCTCTTAAGAATTTAAATTTAATGTTTATAGTTTATTTTAGCCTAATTTGATTCTTGGTGCCTTTAGTGGTGAACACTCTGTATGAGTTCCTTATATATAAATTTTTTGTATGCTGGCTTTCCCAGATGCTGGCTGTAGTAGTTATGTAATTGATGGATAGGCTAGTTCACTGTCTCCTGTGGGGTTAGATTGGCAGGGATCTCTTGGAGCTTATTTCATTCTCTTGTGGTGTATACTTTATTTATTTTTCTCAGCATTTTATTTACTGAGTTGAGGATTCAGGTTTCAAGCCAACAGGGGAGGTATCCCTGGATAAGCACCATTTATAGCTAAGGCAGGTGAATAGATGGGCAGAGGCCCCAGCCTTGATGAAGGTGGCTGGGGGAGCTCTCAATTAGATATGCTGAGGTTTTATCAGGGTAAAAAGTGGGAGCTACCTCAGCTCCTCTTCCAGGCCAGCAGGAAAGCTATCCACCTCACAGCCTCACACCTGTCACACCCTTCCAGCTATTCAGATCAGACAGATTCATTTCATCTGTAGGAATGTTGATGTTCCAAGTAGGGAGGAATTGGGACTCTGCCTGTCATGCAGGCCTAGATCGGGGGAATGCTTCTCCCGTGGGGCTGCAATCACCCTGAATTGTTCCAAGAGGGCTGTCTATAGGTTCCTCTGCACTGCATTCCCTTGGGAGAAACCCCAACTGTGTCTGCAGTGGTGTATCAGGGGAACAAGGACCCCTTCTCCAAGGCCTTTCACAACCACAGAGGCTGCCTGCCTGTTGGGGTAGAGGTGCAGACTTTCCCTATTGTGCCCAGCACCACAATTGTGTCTCTTCCCACCAGCAGAGAGATCTGGGACTTAAGACCTGCCATTCAGATTTTTTTTTCCCCGCAGAGCGTACCCTTGATGTGGTGCTCCCCGACTTCCCTAGGAATGGGACTTCCCAAGAAGTCCTATACTGCAGTGGTTATTATTGCTCATTCTGGGTCTAGCCCCACAATGGGGCTATGAGGGTCTGGGCTGGTGCTGGGGAATGTCGGCAAAGAATCCAGTGATGTGACCTGTCTTCAAGTCTCCCAGCAGTGGATACCAGCACCTGCTCTGGTGGAAGTGGCAGGGGAGTGAGGTATAATCTGTGAGATTCCTTGGTTGTAGATAGGCTTAGTGTGCTGGGTTTCTCAAGTGTTGGTTATACTAGTAGTGAACTTGTCATGTGGACAGACTCAGGACTTCTGTTTAGCTAGGGTGTGGCAGGCAGTGGTGTTAGCTGAGATGACCAGCCATTTTCTTCTTCTTGGGAACAGTATTATTCTGCCAAGAGGAATTGTAATACTCTGAGTTGGTTGGCCTCCAGCCAGGATGTGGCACTTGCAAGACAGCCCCAGCTGCCATACTAGCAGTGGGATTTGAGCTTGCCCTAAGTTGTCCAGGGAAAGTATTCTGGTTCCTCACATGAATGGGCAGGGCCATAAAGTTCTCAAAAGTTTATGTCTTTTGTGTTAAGCTACCTGTGTGGGTGAAGAAATGCCACCAGGTAGGGGCAGGGTTAGGAGGATCTGAGCTCAGTCTCTCCTTGGGTGGGGCCGGCCCTGGCCACTGTGGGGAACCCAGTAGAGGTAGCCACTGGAGTAATGTTCCAGAGGGGAGTATGACTGCCTCTGTTGTGTAGATGAGTTCCCAAAAGGAATGGGGAGGAGTGGGCAGCAGTAAGCCTCACCCAACTCCCATGCAGTTGACAAGGCCAGTCTTGTTCCTGCATTTTCCCACTAACAGCACTGCGTTTAGATTCAGGCAGCCTGTGCACAAAACTCAGACCTGTCCCAGGCCATAAGCATCACCACAGAGATAGCAAGCCTGGCTTTCAGGCTATGCCCCTCCCAGTCCGCCTGCAAGGCCAGGCACCCAGTTTCTACCCTCTTGTCTGTGGCACACTTCCCACTCACCCCAGTGTTCTGTCCAAGGGAATTTGTTCCCACTTGAAATTATATCACAGCATTTAATTGGGAACTCCTTTAACCTTGCGACTCCTCCCTGAGTCTGTTGGCTGACTTCCCCCAAGGACCTCTGTGAGATACAGTTGGGAAGGGCTTCTCATAGTTCATGAGAGAGACTGGCAATGTCTGCGAGGCACATCCCATTGCTGCTTCTACTTCTACATTTCACAGCACTCCCTATGTTCATTCCAGCTCTGGGTAGGGATAAGGCCTTCTCCCGTGGTCTGGATTTTCATATTTCCCGGTGGGGTTGTGTGTTTGGAGGCCAGCCCTCCCACCTCACACTCTGGAAAATTACAGTTTTTCACCTACCACACAGAGTAGGCTGTGGCCTGCTGCTTCTTACAAAGGATCTGTGGATTTTTAAGGTTTTCTTAGTAAGTTCCTGTGGTGGTTCTTGAAAAAAAATCACAATGTGATTCTCTACTCACTATTTTGTCCTTCCAAGTAGGAGAGACATGCTAACACTGTCTCCTATGCACCGTCTTGAAAAACAAATAAAACAAAACATCTTAACTCTGCAAAGGGCACCTCACAAGAATCCAGGTCTCTGTGGAATATGAATTATAATCTTTGTCCTCATTTTTTATTGGGATAATCAAGAATCATAAAAGTTAGATGACTACTCCAAAGATGTACAAGAAGTGTTAGTGACTGAGAAGAGGGAAGAATACAGGTTTTCCATATTCTGGTATATTAATTTGTTATTTTTAAAAAATCAGATTATCATTAGTCCCAGTTATCTGGCCGTAGTATTTCTATTTAAGACTAAAGGAAGGGAGGAATAACTGTGGCTATTTCCACATTATTTTAAGCCTATCAGCAAATAGTGCATACTACATATTTAATTTTGAGACTGAATTGTTGAACACCAGATGGTTAGTATGATGTTATAATATGTATCTAAATATTATATTTTCAAATAATGAACATTTGACAAACCAAGAAAAGACATCATTTCTGTATGCCATGTATGCTAGATGAAACAACTGGATCCCCATCTATATCAAAATGTCTTTCTAGGGATAAAAATGATCTTAACTAAACATTGTAATCATAATTTCATGTGTCTGTAAAGCATATAAAAGGTTTTTATACGATGCTTTAAAAATTCAATTTTAAGTTTTCTGTTAGGCATCTTTACAGCCATTTGGTCCTTATAAACATCCCTTTGAATAGGTAGGACAGGTATTACCATCACTCCCACTTGAATGGTGAAAAGAAAAATAGAGGACAATTTAACTTAAATCACTTCCCAAAAGTTGCATTAGAAGTGATAGATTTGGAACTCCTTCCAGGTCTTAACTCAAATTATGTTAATGATCCACCATATTCTTACACTAAGACCCTTGTTATACTATGGCCTGCTCATAAGTCAGCTATTCATGATTAAGCCTCACTACCTGTAGCAGTAAAATAGAGAGAAATAAACTTCCCTCAAAAACATTGATGCTGAAACTTAGTAACAGTGAGTTTACAAAAATACTGTCACTGTGTAGTATTTGAGCCACCTGAACTCAAGCACATATAATTCTCAAGTAATTGTAATCATTTATATTCAGGCTGCATTAATTAAAAACAAAAATAAAAAAGAATAAATAAGCAAAACAAGTAAATGCATAAATATATAAAAATAGTGATGCAGTGCACTCAACATTAAGAAAGAATTGGTAAATACTACAATTAATTCACAATCTTGGTGAAGAAAATGGTGGGTTTAAATGGTGTGGAAAATGTCTAGAGAGTTTTGATCTATATGATGTTACTTAAAATAGCATAGCTATTTGGTATAATTTTAGGACAGTTGTGTTTCTAGTATGTTATCTTCTGACATTTTATAAAGGTTAAAATGCCAATTTTGCTTTTAACTAATAATTTTGAAATTTCACTCACATGTGGTGTCACTCCAAAATACCAAGTAGATTTTCTAATTATTTTCAACTTAGCTTTAGTTTCTTGGAAGTTAAGAAATACTGTGGAGGCTACAATAATATTTATTTCAAAAATAAATTATTACTCTATCTTCCAAGTGATTTATATACTGGCTCAGATTTTTTCACCGCAATATCAATAAAAATGTAGTGATTTGTGTTTTTGAGAAGCTTTGAAAATATTTTATTCTAAATTGAAGGAGCAATTATTGCTGTATTGACGCTCAGTGCCCTTGAATTTACTCTTCTTCCAAATGTAAACTGAATATCTGAATCTGTAACAGTTCTCCTTCTACTTGTTTGCTTTAGAAACACAAAGAACACATGGTGTATCACCTTAAAAATGCCATTAATTGAGTGAAGCTAGTATTTTCCTTCACAAAACTTGGTTTTTTACAAACTTGAACACTTCCCAGACTCTGGCAATCCATTATTTACATGCTTTGCCAGTTCTGTCTAGAATAGCAGAGGTGGCCACTTCAGTGAGAAGCTGTCACTATGACTATCTTATAGTGATGTGTTTCTCTTATTCTCAGTTTTCCAAACTACATTGCCATGAACTCAGTTGTGTTCCTCCAAAATTCATATGTTGAAACCCTAAATCCCAACGTAACTGTCTTTGGAAATAGAGCCTTTAAAGAGGTAATTAATCTTAAATAAGGTAATAAGGACACATACGACTCTAATCACACAAGACTAGTGTTATTTTAGGAAGAGGAAAAGACACCGGAGAACAAACGAACTCTCTTCAATCACACAGGACAGGACCTGTGAGGACACAGTGAGGAGATGACCACTGGCAAACCAGGAAGAGAGACCTCCTGAGAAACCAACCCTGAGGGCACTTTAATCTTGGACTTACAGCCTCTAGAACTATGAGAAAATAAACTTCTGTTTTTTTTAAGCCACCCACTCTGTGGTATTTAGTTATGGCACTTTAAGCAGACGAATCCACATGTCTATCCAACTTTTCATACCTTTCGTGACATAGACTAAGCCTTTGTTTTTCTCTTTATGCCATCCTTCTCAGAAGTGCTACTTCTTGCTGCTTGGCAGTGTCTTTAGCATTTTACCTCCCACAGAAAGATGTCATCCAAATTTAAAAAATTAGAAATGACTCTAAGTTCAAGAAACATTGTTAGAAAATAAAAAATACAATAACTATTCATTAAATAATAGATTTATGCAGTCCATATCAAATCTGTCTTTTTTTTTTTAAGAAAGAGAAAAAGCCATCCTAAAATGTATATGAAATCTCAAGGAACCCTGAACAGCCAAAACAATATTTAAAAATATTTAAAAAGGAGAACAAAGTTAGAGGTCTCACATTTCCTTATTTCAAAACTTATAAAGTTGAAGTAATCAAAACAGTGTGTTACTAGAATAAAGAAGAAATATAGGCAGTGAAGTGTAATAGAGAGTTCAGAAATACACCCTTACATATATGGTCGAAATATTTTCAACAAGGATGCCAAGGTTATTCAATGGGGAAAGGGCAGTCTTTTTAACAAATGATGCTGGGAAAACTGAATATCCACATGCAAAAGAATAAAGTTGGATCCATATCTTATACCACATATGAAAATTAACTCAAAATAGATCAAAGATCTAAATATAAGAATTAAAACTATAAAAGTCTTAGAAGAAAACATAGGTGAAAAGCTTTATAACCTTATATTTGGCAATATATTTTTGGATATGATACCAAAAACACTGGCAACAAAAGTTAAAATAGATAAATTGAACCGTATAACTTTTTTAAAAAATTGTGCATCAAAGGACACAATCAACAGAGTAAAAAGGCAGAATGAGAAAAAAAAATTTCATATCATATATATGATAAGGGGTGAATATCTAGAGAGAACTTCTACAATTCAACAACAACAACAAACAACCCAGTTTTAAAAAATGGGCAAAACACTTAAATAGACTTTTCTGCAAGGTTACACAAATGGCCAACAGATAGGTAAAGAGATACTCAGCATCATCAATTGTTAGAGGAATGAAAATCCAAACCACAGGCAGAAACAGCATCACACCTTTAGGATGGCTACCATAAAAAAGAAAGTAAAAAATGTTGACGATGTGGGGAAATTAGAACCTTTGTGTACTATTGGTGGTAATGAAAAGTGATTCAGCTGTTTTAAAAAAACAGTGTGTTAGTCTAAAAAATAAAAATATAATTACCAAATAATCCAGCAATTTCACTTCTGGGTATATACCTATTATGGGCTGATGTGTCTCCACAAAATTCGTATGTTGAAGTGTTAGCCCTAATACCTCAGAATATGATTGTATTTGGAGATAGGGAATTTAAAGAGGTAATTAAGTTACAATGAGGTCATTATGTTGAGCCCTAATCCAATATGACTGGTGTCCTTTTAACAAGATGAAATTAGGACAAAGATCTACATAGAGGGAAGACTATGTGAAGACACAGGGAGAAGATAGCTATCTATAAGCCAAGTAAAGAGGCCTCAGAAGACACCAATTCTGCCATTACCTTAATCTTGGACTTCTAGCCTCCAGAATTGTGAGAAAATAAATTTATGTTGGTTAACTCACCCAGTTTGGGGTCTTTGTCATAAAAGCCCTAGAAGACTAATACAATACCCCAAAGGATTGAAAACAGGCTTTGTAATAAATATGTGTACACCAATGTTCACAACAGCATTATTCATAATAACCTCACAATAAGTATCAACAAAGTGTCCATCAACAAACGATTGGATAAACAAAATATGGTATATACATGCAATGGAATATTATTCAGCCTTAAAAAGGAAGGAGATTCTACCACATGCTACAAAAATGGATTAACCTGGAGGACATTATGCTAAGCTAAGTAAACCCATCACAAAAAGACAAATACTATATTATTCCACATATATAAGGTACCTAGAGTAGTCATATTCATAGAGGCAGAAAGTAGAATTGTGGTTGCCAGGGACTGAGGGGAGGGAGAAATGGGGAGTTGTTATTTGATGGGTATATACAACAATGTGAATATACTTATCACTACTGAAAAGGTACACTTAAAATTGGTTAAGATGGCAAAATGTGTGTTGTGTGTATTTTTCCACAATTGAAAAAATATGTTTAAAATACAGTTAGAAGGAATACGTTCATTTAAGATTGGTGAAAAAGTCATTGCAATTTTCACCATAAAAGTAATGGCAAAATCCACAATTATTTTTGTACCAACCTAATAGTATTTGATAGTAAAATGGAGAAATTATAGTTAACAATGATTTATTATATATGTCAAAATATATCTGGAAAAGAAGAATTGTAATGTTCCCAACACAAAGAAAAATGTTTGAGATGATAACTATCCCAGTTGTCCTGACTTGATCATTACACATTGTAAACATGTATAAACATAACACGTGTACTTTCAAAATATACACAACCATGATATAACAATAAAAAACAGCAAAAATCAAAATCCAAATAAATGAAAAACAAGTTTATGCAATGTGATGGTCCTGTAGCTGTTAGTGGCTGCATGCTTTTAACATCAATATGAGTATTGATTTGGCTGTACCATTAATTATCAAAATTGGAGTTACCAGTTAGCTAAAGGATATCCAGCTAAATTTGAATTTCAGATAAACAATGAATAATTGTTAGTATCAGTGTGTGTCAAATGTTATGTGGCACATAACTATACTAAGATAAAATTTGTTATTTATCCAAAATTTATGTTTGAGTATTCTGTGTTTTTATTTGCTAAATGTGGCAAACTTAACACAAAGAAATGTGTATTTTATATTTATATATTATATTTTTCATGATACTTTACCAGAGGAAAGCTCATCTTATTCGATGTAAAAGAGATATAGTATCTTATATTTGAGTATTTGGAATTATAAAGGGAAGGATATCTGGAATGTCAAATTTCCCAGTGCCAGCCACATTTGAATGCCATAGGTGACCCTAGTAAAAAAGTACCTTCCACAAATATCTCTTTCCAGTTTTAACTCTAGTATCTTACTTACTCTCCTTTGGCACTTCAAATATTTCTATATTTAAACCTCTCCTACCTCTTTTTCAAATGTGATTTTTTGTTGGGGATAATATCTTAAAAGCATTTCTTCGGATGTAAGATAATTGTTTACACACACATACAGACATTCACAAACACACACACACGCCTTTATTTCTGGGATAAAATAAATCTATTAAATATTGAGTCAAATTTTTAAAAAGTGTGTTTAATTGACAACTAATCATTGTCACCTTAAATTAGTCAATCAAACAAAATAGTCAAGTACCAAAAAGGTGACAGTGGAAAGCACATGTAACTTATAATCAGAAAGTCTTTGCTATTTTATTGGTCTGGTGATCATGGACAAGTCATATAGCCTCTTTAGTAACATTGGCATCATAATAATAATACCTACTACTCAGGATTATTGTGAAAATTGAAAATGGATATAAAAATTATATATCAACTTGTTTCATATACAAAAATATGTAGAAAGCTATTAGTTTATGAGGGCTTTCAGAGGTGTAAATGAGAATGGGATTAATTAGAGTCTGAAGTGCTGCCCTTGTGGGGAGGGAAGAAATTGAGTTAGAGTACTCAGGAAGTGAAAAAGAGAAACAGACAAAAAAAGAGAAAAGAGGCAGACACAGTGGCTCATGCCGGTAATCCCAGCACTTTGGGAGGCTGAGGCAGCAGGATTGCTTGAGCCCTGGAGTTGGAGGTTATAGTCAGCTATAATCACACCACCACACTCCAGACCAGGTGACAGAGTGACACTGTTTCAAAAAAAAAAAAAAAAAAAAAAGAAAAGTTGAAAACTATTAAAGTAACAAGACAAATCACAAACTTTCTATGTATTTCTGGGTCTTTCTCACTTCGGATATGAGAAATTAACAGAGAAATAGAATCAGCTGTTTGGAGTAGAGAAATTAGAAAAGAGAAGGCAGCAGTTAGAGTATAGGAGAGATTCCCGATTATTTCCATTATCTCATTATACAGATTAATGTTAATACACAGAATATACTCTGGAACAGAGAAGAAGAAAATACCATATATTGAACAACTGGGAGTGAATTATTTCATTAAAATTTTCACATCAACACACTTAATACTTAAGAAGATATGGCAATTGTTATCTCTTTACTTATGAATCCCATCTTCATGCTAACAATTTGCATTAGTACATTACGAGATGGGCAATTTTAAATGAAAAGATAATTTTTTTTAAGTTTTAAAATTTTCCAACAATGTGTTTTTGGATGCTATATTATATTGAACACTTCATCAAAATAATGAAGTTAATCCAATAACTTTAGTAGATGTATTCAATGAGAAAAGGGTGACATTTTAATAAGCAGTGTATCTACGTGGAAGCAATTAAAAATGGATACCCATCTTACACTATTTATAAAAGTTAATACCAGTTGAGTTAAATAATTGATTATTTTCTTGCAACAATGCCAAAAAATCTAGGTAGCTGGTGTGTAATACTAGAAACCTACAGTATTTAAAAACTCAGAGGTAGCTAAATAAAATTTAAACCATTTTTAGAGCAAAAAAATGAGCAAAATTAATAAACACATGGTGTATCTGGAAAAAATGACAATGAAAATAGCAGGCAATGAGTTTGTTTTAGTAATACACAAAAAGTTCTTATAAACTGACAAGGAAAATGACAAAATATGCAGTATAAAAATGGAAAAAAGCTATACATACTCAATGTACAAAAAGCCAATTTAAATACCTAACACTTAGAAAAGGAAAATTCACTAGTTACTAGGAAAATGGAAATGTATATAACAATGATTTAATCTGAAAAACTATATAATGTTCTAAAACCTAATGCTAGTGTGGTTATGAAATAAAAGGATACTCTCTTAGATGGCTGGTTGAACTGTAAAGCAATTTAACCTTGTTTAGCCTCTGTTCCAGAGGGCTCAGTGAATTAATCTTTAAAATGAGAATCTGGCGGTATCTTTCCTAGAAAGCAAATTTTTTTTAAAAAAGCAATTCCTTTTCGTAGAAAGCTATTCTATAGAAGCAAATGTGCCAATTTGTAAGAGTCTGTATATAAAGGTATCTATCGCATAATTGTTTAGATTAATAAAAAATAAAACGATTCTATATATGTATGATTGCATATGTGCATACATAGTGTGTGTACATATATGCACGTACATATATATGTATATGTAAAGAGAGAAAACTTATAAAATGTTATTTAAAATATGGAGAAAAATACATATGGACAAAGCTAAGTTGTTAATATTGGGATATTTGAGGGCATGGGGATCGGGACAGGCTACCGTAATCAGGAAGAAGAAAGGCAATAAATCAGTATTTAGAAAATTCCTATGCATGATGTACAAACTAACTAAACATTGAATTAGTGAAACCACATTATAATTTTTTTTTAAATGTACCTACATGTAGAGGCAATAACCTTTTTTAAAAAAAGCTCATTGAAAATAAATGTAACAATACTGAATAAAATAAATAAAATAAAGTTTTGGAGATTAAGTTGGTCATACCTCTAATATAGTCTTTACATTATTTAAAATACGACAAAAGCCAGGAGACTGTTTCAGGCCAAGTATTAGCTAATTGATAGGAAATGATCTAGAAATCTGTTTATTTAAGCTAGGCTCTTACAAGTCTTAAAGGCAAATTAGAAATATTGAGTAAAATTGCTTTCAAAGTTAAACTGCCTTTATTATTTTTTTTTCTTGGTAGTTTTCTTGACTTCACTTAATCTGCTGGAAGCTGATCCTTTTCATGTCCATGTTTAAGGAAGCGTTGAAGGTCACGTCACTCAAAGCCAACATCAGCAGGCATCCTACCAAGATAATCTCTGAAGAGGTCAGAGGTGAGAATGACACAGAGAAGAGGCAGATTTTACCAGTCCAGTTCAAGGAATTTCTCACTCTTTCTTATAAGGGAACTCTTTTCAATAGAAAAGGAAAGGTTGCCAGTAAAAAGACAATGGAATTCCTTCCATTTTATGTAGATTTATTTTTTTTCATGAGAAAAAGGAATAAAGCATTTATTTTCTCAGTGTTTTAAGGGAAGATATAATGTTTTGTTGAAGGTAGGCTATTTATTTTGGGTTTACTAGTGCTGTGGACTAAATTGTATCCCCTCTCCAAACTTCACATGCTCAAACCCTAACCCCTAATGTGACCATACTTGGAAATAGGTCCTTAAGGATGTAATAAAGGCTAAATGCATTTATAAGGGTTGGACTCTAATCCAATAGGGCTGGTACCCTTAAAGAAGAGGAAGATATCCAAGAGCTTTCTTTAGGCAGTGTGAGGACACAGTAAGAAAGTGATCCATCTGCAATCAAGGAAGAGAGTCCTCCCCAGAAACCAAACCCTACTAGAATTTTTATCTTGAACTTACTGGCCTTCAGAACTGTGAGAAGATAAATCTCTTGATGTTTAAGTCACCTAGTCTATGTTATTTTAGTATGGCAGCCTAGAACCTACTAAGACAACTTGTAAAACAATGTGTCAATGTGCTTTCTATTTCATTTGTATTGGCCTCTATTCTTTTGATATCTAACAGGGGTTATGAATGCTCATTTGAGTTAGCAGTTCCATCATTACCATTATTTCTAATTTAATAAGTGTGTTTAATTTCAAATACATTCTGTTCGAAATCTCCTACGATTTTATATTGCAATTTATTTTTTATTTGTATTGAGTATTAGGAAAATAAGAATTTGGCATTTTCTACTGTTTCTACTTAAAAATCACATTCATACCATTTATGTAATGTGGAATTTGAAATGAAATAATGATGTTTAAAGCTTTGTTGATGCAAAATTCATCCTTCATGTATGATTGAAGGTGGATAATTAAAGGTTAATTTCTGGGATTCAGTATTTTAATCTTAGATGAATAAGGAGCTTTTTGAACATCAATTCCAAAAATTTTAATTTTACAAACAGAAACTTTGGCTCAAGGAAATTTAAATGACTTAACCTCAGTTATACTTTTGCTAGTGTTGATAAAGGGAAAATTTGTTGGCAGAGAGGTTGTGAAAGAATAATTGAGAATTGAAACAGAAACCACACTTACTGAATCACAGAGATAAATGGTATCAGAAAAAAAAATCATTATGTTTATCACAGACATTTCTAAACTCATGATTTTAGCACCAGTGGTTTGTTTAGATCCATGTGGTTTTGATAAGACCACACACAAACTGATTAACAGTGGTTCCACATGGTCTCATAAATTTTAAAGGTAAGGACCTCTGACAGTTCCAGCAATACACTGGTTTACACAATCTGACCCATTTCTCCAGAATCATCCAATGACTCCAGCACCCAAAACTCTGTAAGCAACTTTTCTTCAGTTTTATCCTACCCCTTTTGATGCATCCCATGATCTCTCATGCTGTGTTTTTTTGTGATTTGTTTTTTGTTTTTGCTGTAAGAAGCAATAACTTACCTTTGTTGATCACAGATGTGTTCCTGGTAGTCTTTGAATGATGGGAACAGAGACTGTCCAAATCGAGAATTAGAAAATGTATAATTTTTGGATTCTTTTCGAGAAAGACACCCTCCATTAACTCTTAGATCTTATCCTACCAAAGAAACTACGGTTTTTTTCAAATCTGATTTCTGTCTTTCCATTTCGGCCTTTATTTGTTTATTTTCATTTTGAAGACTATTAATTATGTCACTTAACGGGGGAACATCTTCAAGGATATTAGTTTCTGAATTCTGCACATATGGCAAAAATTGTAGTACAGTTGTCCCTTAGTATCCATGGAAGATTAGTCCCAGGACCTCCTGTGGATCTCAAAATCTGCAGATCCTCAAATCCCTGATATAAAATGGCACAGTATTTACATGTAATCTATGGACACCCTCCATATACTTTAGATCATCTCTAGATTATTTATAATACTTAGTACAATGTAAATGCTATGTAAATTGGTGTTGTACTGCACTGTTTAAGGCAGAATGACAAAAATAAAGACTATATATGTCAATGTAGAAGCTTTTTTTTTCAACATTTTTGGTCCAGAATTGGTTGAATCCACAGACGCAGAACCCAGATAGAGAGGTCAGACTGTAATCACAAAGCTCTAGAAAAATTATCCTGAATTCTTAATTTAAAATAGTATATATTGTTTTGGGTAGATATACATATTTAAAATAATAAATTATGTGCCAAATATAGTTATGATATATTTATGAACCAAAATATATATAAAATGATGCACCAAATATTACACATTGTACATACACATGTTATAATTTGATAGGTCAATTTAAATAATTATTTTTATTTTTCTGTTTTTCATGAGCTTCCATAGATAAGTGAAATTCACAAGCAATATAAATGTATGGTAATACAATCAGGTATTCCTTAACGATGGGGATACATTCTAAGAAATGTGTCATTAGGTGATTTTATTGTTTTGTGAACATCATGGAATGTACTTATACAAACCTGGATGGTATAGCCTACTGCACACCTAAGCTATGTGGCATAGCCTATTGCTCCCAGGCTACAAACCTGTACAGCATGTTACTGTTCTGAATAGTGTAGACAATAATGCATTAGGACAACTGTGACAGCTATAATGGCTGTGACATCACCAGGCAATAGGTATTTTTCAGCCCCGTTATATTCTTATAGGGTCACTGTTGTAAATGTGGTGCATGACTATATATATTTGTTTTATTTGAATGCATACTATTTCCTAGGCTATTTATTGCACCAATATACCCTAAAATGCTGCATTAGGAAAAATTTGAATTATTTATTAAATGGTCATGCTAAGAGGGAGTGTGGAAGATCTACAAAAGCTACAATGCTACTGTAGCTACTATCAACAACTAACCAGGTTATCCTCAAAAGACTCCAAACATGCATTTTCAAATTATCTTAGGAACACAAAATTTAGGAAGATTTAAAATAAAATATAGAATAATACTTACAATAAAATATAGAATAATTCCGTATGTGGGAGCATTAGATTTTTGTCAGAATTTAAATGTCAAAAGACCATATTAAAATATACTAGATTGTTCAGTGAAGATATGCAACAGTATAGTAGAAAAACTTTTGTTGTTTGAGTCTGAAAATAGTATTTAAATTTGACTATTTCAGATACTTGCAGTATCATCATGGACAAATTACATAAAATCTATAAGGTAACATTTGGTCCTCATGTTAATAGATGTCCTCTCTTCAGGATTATTGTAAGGGTCAGTGGGTATTCCAATTTTGTGAGCTATGATGTACTAGGAATCTATGCTTATATTCAATTAAAATTAGAAATTGTAAAATCATAGTGTAAAGTAAGCAATATATTTCAAAACTTAAATATTTCATGATAGAAGTATCTTTTTCATGAAAATAAATATTTTATATCATGTGTTAACTGTCATGTTCAATTAAATATTGGCTGCAAAGATGTAGTCAAAAACACAGCTCTACCACATTGCAGCTACATGACCTTAGTAAAATCACTTATCCTTTCTGAACTTCAGTGTTCTCATTTGCAAGTTTGGGATAAAAAAGAGAAAAGTGGAAAAATTACAATAAAATGAGGCTACTAGATATAAAGACTATATGAAAAAACTGTGCCTGATCCCTTCCACCCTTTCTTCAATTCCTTGGTATGTCAACATTTCCCCATTCTCTTTCTCAGCCTCCTGTTTCCTCCCCATGAGTAGTCCTCCACCTTTCATGTCATGGCTAGAAAACAAAACAAAACGAAAAGACTATTTCCCAGGTCTCTAGGCAAATTCCCCTCACTTTTCCAAAATAGTTCAGCCTAGACATACTTACGTTTTCATATAAGAGGTTCTGTTCCACCTGATAAAGAATTATCTTCAGCCTTTTCTTCCTATGCAAACAAATTAAAGGTATAAAAACAGAGAACATAAAGAGATGGCTTACTTTAAAAAAAAATTCTCTCCTAGATTTTTAATACATGCCTTCTCACTAAATATTCTTGTTTATTATTTGGAAGATTATAAGGCACTACAACTATATATTTTCACAATAAACTTTTTATCCGTTTTCATTCAAATGAGACTTCCTTGCAACTCAATGTAGTATTGACTTTTAGAAGCCAACCAAGAGCAATAAATCAAGGTTAGTGCACGTTATATTGTCCCTTAACCTGAGAGTCAAATGAATCTTCTGCATCATTGCTGATATAATAAATATATTTGAATGTGTTTTACTCAGAAATCAGATGCATTATTATCGCACGTAACAAAATGTCTTTTGCTACACCTCAACATTCAGTATGAGCTTACAAATTATAGAAACATTTTTAAGAAGATTTTAACCTAGTATGAATTACTTTCCATTTTCTTTTATAAATGTTGATAGGAAAGACTAACAAAAAATGTCTTAATAGCCTGTCAGTTGTAATAGGAACATATACTGAATTAAATACGGATTAAGAAGCATAAGCACTGAGTTGACATTAGTAACTAAAGACAGAGAATACTCAATTATGCAATGAATTCAGATTATGTAGGCAATATAGGAAATTATGAGAGAGAAATCCCAAAATATTTTTCCCCTTTTGGCAGCAGAATTTTTAAGTTGTAAATTAATGAGATTGGATTTTATGCTTTCCCCTTCATGTTGTCTTACTTTAAATATCCATAAATCATATCTAATTCTTTTCTAGCCAAAATGAATGAAATGACAAAAGCTTTTAATAATTCATAAAGCGGCAAAAGAAACAACCTAAAATTATATTCAGCAAACAAAGCAGAAATTCTATGATTTCTTCTTTTAATTTATACCAGCATTTTTATGGTAATTATAAAAACATATGTCTAGTTCACGTGATTTATTTAGCTTTAAGTATTTTACAGCGACTCTGACTTTGTGCAGACAGGTAGAACTAAAGTTCATATTTACATTGGGAAAAATCATATTATACCAAATGTTTCGATTGGGGTGAGTGCTTGAGTTTAAATAATAGTGGCTTATTTACATTCCATCACAAATGAATATTTCTTTGGGATTTATTTATTGCTTGGTCTTAAATGAAGCTTCATAGATGTTGGTATAAGCATTACATTTTAATCTTAACAGGCTATGACGCCTGCATTGAACTTTTTCTACTTTGAAGACTACTGTGAACTGAATTGTATCACACCCACCCTTTCCCAGAGTCCCCGAGAATTCACATGTTGAAGCCGTTACCCACCATGTGACTGTTTTGGGAGACAGAGCCTTAAAAGAGGTAATTAAGGTTAAATGAGGCTGTAAGGATTGGGCCCTAATCCCTTAAAACTGGTGTTCTCAAAAGAAGAGGAAGAGACATGAAGAAGCTTTTTCTGAACACTTGTGCATCGAGAAAGTCTTGGGTGGGCAGAGCAAGAAGGTACTGTCTGCAAGTCGAGGAGAAAGGCCTCATAATTACCAAGACTACTAGCACCTTGAGCTTGGACTTTCAGACTTCTAGCCTCCAGAATTGTGAGCAAATACATTTCTGTTGTTTAAGCCACCCTATCTGTGTGATTTTATTATGGCAGCCTGAACTGACGTATGCATGCACTTAGTCTCACTTTTGAGTCTCATCTCCCTCTCTTGTAATTACATTCATTTTAGTATCTTTCACTTACGACCTTGCTGCTTCTTATTTGTCTCTCATATTTACCTGCTAGAATTCTACCTAGGCTTTAAAGCCTATGTTAGATCCACCTTTAAATAGATTTACTTCCTCTTTCCCATGTATTCTCCTCCCCCAATAGTATGTAATCTTTCCTACTTGGAACCCCTTAACACTTTTGATATTTGTTACAATATATCAACTCACATTTTAGCTATTTGTCATTTATCTTATCATCTCTATTAGATTTGTTAAAAATACATTATATTAGTGAATTCTTTCTGCAGGCCTACCATATGCCAACTTATGATTACCTGCTGGGTGTCTTTGTTGCTATGGTTAGGTGGAAGTTAGAAAAAAATGTTATTATTACCATTAGGTAGAAATTAGAGAAAGGCAAATCTCAAGTCAATGTGAGGAAGTTCTTTCTTGCAGCCAAAAGTGCCAAAAAGTAATCAATAGTATTTCTCCATCACTGGAGGTTTTCAGACAAGATGTCAGAGATGGCAGTCAGTCTCTTATGAAGAACAATGAGATCTGATTACCTCCATGTTTCTTTTCAGTTATTGTATACACTGCTTTTAAAGAAAATATTCAGTAATATTTTGTTCTACTTACTTGAGTTGGTTGAGTAGCAGGGTAGCTAACTAGTATAATCCACATGCAATTATCAGCAAATTGCAAGATGTGTAACTAAACAAAGGTAAACAACACACACTAATTTATATCTGAC
This sequence comes from Homo sapiens, assembly GCF_000001405.40. Classification (NCBI taxonomy): domain Eukaryota; kingdom Metazoa; phylum Chordata; class Mammalia; order Primates; family Hominidae; genus Homo; species Homo sapiens. Next base: position 73,418,192 of record NC_000009.12, read on the forward strand.
TACACCGTATGACTTTCTTTATGCTGGATCCTTTATGTGGAACTCACGTGAGCTCACTAATGAATTTGCGGGGATAAGAATCAATTCTCTCATTTAGAAAGAAGAAGCTATGTAAAATTTTGCCCCAGATTCTTTACTTAAAATAGTTCCCAGTAGAGAACATTTTCTTTCTAATTTTTCTTCTCACTCCAGCTGCCTAAAAATCCTTTTTTTCCCTTGCTATCATTCTATGAATTATTCTGTGTCTGGCCTTAATATAAAATTTCATGAAACAATGGGATATATAGATATCTTTAGGGATATCTCTGTCTCTATAGATGTACCTACATTTTAATGGAGATTTAGGAATGCAAAGGAAAATATTAGTAGGCTGAAAAGAACTGGCCTGAAGATAACTTTTATGATATTTATATTAAAAAATTAAGCTGATAACTAATGTAAGTTTCAAGTGACCTACTTGACACATCATTTTAAGTTAATTACTAGTTATTCTAATCTTTCATAGCATGTGTGAAAAATGATACAATGGATCATAGAGCCATTACTTGGATGAGTTTTGCATCTTTAACAGAAAACATATTTTAATACAATGTTTACTAAATTAAATTCAGTTTCTTCCCAATTAATCTAGTTTGAGAATTTTATGATTATTGTAACATTCTAATCATTATGTAAAGATTTCACATTTATTCTCTCTCTTCTGAAGGAAGATTATACATCTATATACCCTTTACTATGCAATTTGTCTGCTTTCCATAAAATAAGTATATCCCTACACCCAACTGACTTTGGGCTTGGCTATGTGACTTTGCCTGGTCAATAAAATATGAGCAAAAGGGATAGTGCACCAGTTCTGCGGAAAAGCTTTACTAACCACTGCACATATCTGCCAGTTTCTATTTTGACTATTACTGTGAAGAATGGCATATACTGAGAGAGGCTGCCCCTTTAGCCTTTGCTCCACAATGAGAAAACATGTGGAGTGGGCCTACACTCTCAATCAGAAAACCCAAGTCTGACACACAGCCTTAAGTGGAATTGTAGCTGACTTGAAGACCATCTACTAAGAGAGACAGAAGTTTACTGTTCTAAGCCTCTGAGATTTGGAATTATTTGACTAACACAGAGAATTTAGATATTCTATTTCCTATAATTAAATGTCTAATAAACATAGTCTACTATTTAAGACCTGGCTGTTGACTGGGATTCAAGAGACTTCTAAATCTAGCTTAAATTAATGAATTTATCTGTTTAGAATATTTAAAAATTCAACAAATTATGTTTTTAGGCTACTATCCTTTAAAATGTGACCCTAGAGGCTTCCATTTCTAGGTAAATAGAGTAGATGTACTTAACTCTTTCTATTACGTACAACTACAAACCAGGACATTTTATGTAAAACAAGCATCAGAAGACTATGAAAGATATAGAGAAGAAGGCAGACTGTCCAGAGACCTGGGAAACAGAAGTAACAGTGATAACTACTCTGGGTTTTTATTTTGTCTCCTATATCTGAGACTTGAAGCTAAAGAAACTGGCAACACAGAAATACCAATGAACATAGACAAAAGCCTGCTCTCTCTAGCCAAAGTAAAATGAAAGGGGTAACCAGGCAGAACAAAAAACTTTTAGACAATCACTACTCTAGTCTAGCCAAATATCATAGAAGAAAAATGTCACCCCACCCCTACCACACTAGCCAAGGCCGAGTGAAGAATTTAGACTTCACTCTTGTAAGGTTGTAATGAGGGAATTCAATGTCTCCACTGGGTTTATGTAGGAGAAGGCCAAGTAGGAGTGGGAATTTCATCCCTGCTAGATAGAAACAAGGAGGCTTTCCCCTTTCCCCACTAGAATGGTGTCAAAGGCAACCTAGTGGAGAGTCATAACATTTACTACTGCCCAGTTGTAATGAGGCCACTCTTGCCACCATGTCAGTGGAGACCACATGAGGACCAGGAGCTTCCAATATTCCTGGCAATAAAGGTGAACTTTCCTTACCTTTGGGTGTCAATAGAAGCTAGATTTCTACCACTTTTTGTCAATAACGGGTCAATGTTTCTGTTCCCCCTTTTCCCTGCTAGAATAGAGTGGACAGAATATTCACAACAGAATAGAGTGGACAATGGAAAGGATGAGTAAACTGAAAAATAGTATAATAGAAATTATTCAATCTGAACATCAGAGAAAAGATACAATGGTAGGGGGAGGAATGCAACCTTAGGAACCTATGGGACTTTAACTTTCATATCACTGGAGTCTCAGAAAAAGAAGAGAAAGAGAGCAAGGCTGAAAATGTATAGGCTAATTGAAAATAAAATGATAAGAAAATGATATGCCATGCAAACATTTATCAAAGAAAAGTAGTAGTGGCTATAATACCATCAGATAAAGTAGACTACAGGGCAAAGAAAATTACCAGAGAGGGAGAGAGAGAAGAAAGAGACAGAGAGAGAGAGAGAGAGAGAGAGATTATTTAATGCTAAGTCAATCCACATCACCTAGAAGGAATAGCAGTTCTGATTGCAGCACTGAGCAACAGAGCTGCAAATTGAGACAACTGAAATAAAAAAATAAACAAATCCACATTGTAGTTTCAGACTTCAACACCACTTTCTCATCTATAACTAACAAGAAAATCAGCGATGGTTTAGAAGAACTCAATGACACCATTAATTAACAACATCTAATTGATATTTATACAACATTCCACCCAACGGCACCAAAAAACACATTGTTTTTAAGTACTCAAAAAACATATACCAAGATAAATAATATCTTGGATCATAAAATCAACAGATTTTTAAAATTTGAAATTATGCAGTGTTATCTAACCACAATGAAATTAAAATAATAATCAGTAACAGAAAAATAAAAAAAAATTTTCAAACTCTTAAAAATTAAAGCACATATTTCTAAATAATCCATATATCAAAAAAGAAAATCTTAAGTAAATAAAAGTACATTAAATTGAATAAAAAATATATCAAATTTTGTGGGTCATAGCTAAAGCAACAATGAGAGGGAAATTTGTAACACTAAATACCTACATTAGAAAAGAACAAAAGTCTCATTACAATAATCTAAGTAGCCACTTCAAGAATCTAGAAAAGGAAGAACAAAATAGATATGATGAAAACAAAGAAGGAAATAACAAAGATAAGGGAAGAAATCAATTAAATTGAAAATAGAAAAACAATAATCAATGAATCTAAGAGCTGGTTCTTTGTGAAGTCCAGTAAAATTGAGAAATCTTTAGCAACACTGACAAAGAAGAAAAGAGAGATGACACAAATTATAATATCAGAAACAAAGTGAGATATTACTATGGGTCCTGCAGAATAATCAGAACATACTACAAAGAACTCTATCGACATAAATATGACAACTTATGCAAAATGGACCGGTTCCTCAAATAACAAACTACTACAACTCACCCAATATGTGTATCAGATAAATTGAATAGCCTAATAGCTATTAAGAAAATTGAATGTATCACTTAGCAACTCCCAGAAAAGAAATCTCAAGACCCAGATGGTTTAACTTGGAAAAGTTTACCGCACGTTTAAGAAACAGTTAATGCCAATTCAATTCTACACAATCTCTTCTAGAAAACAGAAGAGGAGGAAACATTCTCCTATTGATTCTATGAAGATAGTCATAACCTGATAGTAAACTAGACAAGGAGAGCACTACCACCACCAAGAACAACAATATCAACAAAAAACAAAACTAAAGATCAATAGCTTTCATGAATATAGACACAAAAGCCTTTAGAAAATATTAACAAATAGACTTAAGCAACACAAAAAAAATTATGTCATGACCAAATGTGGTTTATTTCTAGGATGCAAACTTAATTTAATATTTGAAAATCAATGCTAATCACCATATTCATAGGCTAAAGAAGAAAAATCACATGATCATCCATTCGATCTAGGAAAAAAAATGACAAAATTCAATACCCATTCATGATAAAAGCTCTCAGAAAAGTAGAAATAAAGGAAAACATTTCTCAGTTGATCTAAAAAATAATTCAACTATCATTATACTTAATAATGACAGACAAAACATCTTTCTGCTAAGATTGGGTAGAAAGAAGGATTTGTGCTGTCATCACTCTTATCTGACATAGAGCTAGAAGTTCTAACAAATGCAATAAGGCAAGAAATGAAAATAAAAGGAATGAAAACCAAAAAGAAAGAAATTCAATTGACTCTGTGCAGATGACACGATTGTCTACATGGAAATCTTAAGGAATCTAACATTGGCCCCACATTGAACCCTTTATTGTTATTTTATTGGTCTTGTTTCCACAGAGTTCATGAGAACACGGTGTGAGAGTAAATACAAGATGTGACACTTCAGAGTTTTCAATTATCTGCATCTGTTTTGTTTATCTGCATCTGTTTAGCATATTTAACTCTATTTGAGACAGGATATATAGCATTATAATGTTTTGAAGTTATAATCAGAGATTACTTAGACCCCTCCACTGTTGCTGTTTATGATAGGGCCACAGTCAAGCCTCAAGGTGAGTTCTCTGGCCTAAGGGTAGCCAACTAGGAGTGACTGGTAGAGGGAGGGGAGGAGGCAGGGGAGATGGCATCTGAGGGAATTTCACAGATACATGTCAGGGGCCAAATTCTTAGAAATGGAAAAGTCATTTAATGAGAAGCATAAGAAAAAGTTGTATGTCTTCTGGAATCTGAGCAACTTTTAGAATCCAACCCTGTTTATGATCAGCTATAAAATTTATCTGTTATGGATTATCTTTCCATAACTTTCTAGATGCTGGTGAGAATAATGAAAGGTTATAAAAATAGAGCTTTAAGAAATGTTGAAATGGAGGGTTAAATTTTGCTGCTTCCTACCCTTTCATTTCAAAGAAATCTGTTATGCCATACCTTCAAACACCGACAACATGACGCAGCTTCTTTCCTTTTGACTAAAGCCATGGTGTTCTCTTGAAGTTGTATACCTGAAAAATGAGACTGGTATTCTTTCTTTCACATAAGCATGCTGGGCCACAGACATACTGTGTAAATAAAACAAGTTTTTGCTGTTAACATGTAAAGAGGGTTTTAAACAAAACTGTTCTGCTATTTCTGAAATGTCTATTTCCTTTTATTGTACATTTGCATCCTGACAGCAACTTAGATCTTTAGTATGATTTGGATATATTTACAAATAATATTATAAATCTTCAATGAAATTTATATGCCAGTTAACTTAGTGAAAGCCCAAGCTAGAGAACAAAATTATAGTTATATCAATTATCCAAGGCAAGTAAAAACATATGTTTGTGTTAGATAATGTTCAAAGTAATAGCTAAATGATTACTTGTTAACTGAAGTCCCCTTGGAGTCTTAAAAAATCCCCTTATTAAAGAGCTATTTTGAATGATACAAACACATTTATACATGGAGAGAGAGAGAGACAGAGAGAGAGAGCATTTTAAATGTAAAATGTTAACATTTAAGAAATCTTAGTGAAATCTTCGGGAAGGGTTTGGAAATTCCCTTGCACTACATTTGCAACTTTAAGTTTTAAGATTGAAATGATTTCCAAATTTTTAAGAAGAGCTATTTTGAAAATGAAACTTCATGAAAGGCCTTCCAAATTAAGATTTTTTTCAGGGGCAAAGGTGACAGTTGGTATCATCAGTGGTGTGCAGATACATAAGCAGAATAACGCTTATCTTATTAATGCTTATTAAAATTCAGAAATAGCTTTATGATTAGAATTTTCAGCATTTTAATGGTAGAAGCAGTTCTTTCATATCAGAAAGCAATAGAATTACTTAGCCAAGTGGAAACAATTTCATACTTAACATGTAACATAAGATCCATGTAACAAAGTATTGCATTGGCCTTCCATCTTTTCTCCTCCTTCCAAGAATAGAGGATACGTGAGTCACTCTGACAGCATCAGGTTGCTTTCTTTTCTGTGGTGACTTTCTCATGTGCACATAAGGAATACTATTTTTGAAGGGAGAAAATGGATATCCTGGTAAATAACAACAAGGTTATGAAATGTGTAATATATAACTGACATTGATTTAAAGTAACCAGGTTTCTGTGACATAAATTCTGATAATGAGAAGGCTCATTTCCTAAAACAAATAAGGCAAATTTGAAAGTTAAAGAAATGACTAATTCTGCTGGATTTTTGTCCATCCTAAAATTCAAATATAAGCCAAATAAGGAAAACTAAGATTTAAGAATTGGGTCTGCTTTGTAGCTTCTAGTTTTTAAGGAAAGTTTATGAACTAGCAAATGAACAGATTTAGATGCTGCTTTCCCAACTGAACATAAAGGCACTAACTTTGTCTTTGGACCATGAAGAGTGATAATTAAAAAAAAAAAAGAATGTTATTTATTTTATTTTTTTATTTTAGTTTTTACCACAATTTCTTACTGTATTCTGGATATGAAAACCATTGAACTTTGAGAAGTCTAAAAGTTATTAGAAACAAATGAATTGTTAGAATTAAATAAATGCTTTCCACAGAGCAGTTACTCCATTATGTAAAGTTTAGACATTGAATGGAACAGATAAAAATGCAAACTAAAATCTGTAAGTAAGAATCATTTTCATAGTGTTTCAGTGTCTTATTTATGGATTGAGTTTTGGGGACTTTGGTTAGATTTTTAACAATTTTCCTCTTTTTCTAGAATTTCTCTCACTGGCTACTAAATCTGCCTTTATCTTTATCAGAAGCCATTTCCCTTTTAAACGTGTTAAGTCATTTTTATTTTAGACTTTAACTCTAATATGTAGTTTTGTACCAAGCTTTAAAAATTTCCTAACCTAAAACAAACTGGACCACCACTCCAGCCTTGATTTATTTTCAGAGCTTTAAACAAAAGTTTGCATCTGTTACCCTTAAAGTCTATAATTAGTAGTTGAACCACACAAAGAATCAACATGATGTCATGTCTAGACAACATGTAAATTAATATGAAAGCAATTGATTTACAAACACTGTACTAATACAAATTAATCTGAATTAAGTTTAATCCCCAGTTACTAACTGATTAAGTGTGGCTGTTGGTAGCTGCAGAGTGGTGATTTCCATCTGTGATTTTTAAAGACACAACTTAATCATTGAATCTGTGTGGAGACATAGTTAAAACACATACCATATACAGTGATTCTCCATGTCTGCTCTCTGCACAGAAGAGCTAGAGAAGCAAAACTGAAATATACAATTTAAAAACATATAGGAAGCTCTTCTTAAGTGTCATAATTAACTTTTGGCAAAAGGGATGTTTCAGGCACGTTGACTTTGGCTGTGACTGGCACAGCATCCTTCTTAGAAAGTGCATTCATCTGTTCAGAAGAAGAACTTGCTCTTGCTTTGAGGAAACATGAAATCAAAATTGCCAATATATTCTCTCTTTTCAGGCACAATTATTACAATTTATTGTGGACAGGAAAACACATGGATGTTGAATACCAGTTCCTGTGAAAGATACTTGGGTTTCGGGATAACAACAGTCCCAAGTCTTCAGAACAAATCAACAGGTGCATACTCTCAAACCACAGTAGGTTATTATCCTACCACCTCATATGGGCTGAGAGTGCTAGAATAATGTTGTATTTGTCCCATTTACTAAAAATATATTTTTTTGTAAATATTATGGGTGTCCCCAATATTATGTTTGATTTGTTTTTGCCTTTTTGAGGAATGTTTGTTCAAGTAAAATTAGCTTGTATCCACTTTAAAGTGTTAAAAAACTCACCATTAATATCATCAAGATATTTAAAAAATGTTGGTTTCACTTCTATTAGCCAGTCCCCATAATTGCATTAATAATATTTTTCAGATAACTGGAAACCAAGAACAATCATACCAAATTATGAAAAATGTTTTACTCTTTTGATTTGGTAGGCATGTTCTGTTTGTCAAAAAACTCTATAGTTTATGTTGGAACAAAAATAAGGAGTGTTTTAGGAACATAATATACATAGGTTTGATAATTAAAAAGTAACTGTGATATCAAAATGAGGGTCATTGTATTTACATGGACTCTTTTATAGACATCCTACTCATTGTCATAATAACTGAGGCTGTCATGACCATGGACTCTGCTTCGCATGAAGCCCTAAACAATTCTGACAGGCTGCAGCTCATTAAGGGACAGTCATTTTGTTGAAATGTCTATCAGCTCGCAGGGATGCACCAAGATGAATAGACCCAAAACAATAGGCCCATTTGTTAGAGCAGTAGCTTCTCTAATACATGATGAGACAATCAAGCCAAGCTGCCTTCAGCACAAAGACATAATTAATCAAATGGACAAATGGTTCAAAAATTGCTCTAGTATATTCTGTAGTGGACAGAGGTTTCCATGGAAACATTGGCGTTTGCATCACAGTTAATGACCATTCTGTACAATGAAGTCTCCCCCTTCATACACACTTCTTTACTCTCTCCACTACGCCTGTTCTCTCCGCTCCTCCAACTATTAAAAAACACAACCTGGAGAAAAACAAACAAAACAGGGAGAACGAGGAAACATAAAGAAGGACCTTGAGAATCTGTATTTCCTATCAGAAAATCTAATAGCTCTATTTCAGCATTTATGAAACTGATTATGAATATTTTCTTGTTTTCAATACTTAAATACAAATGGGGAAAAACAGCCTGAAATTGTTACTTTTAATGCTATTAGATAATTACAGCAATTTCATCCAAGTATTTACAGATATAGCTTAACTCATTTTAATGATTTAAAATGTATTTGGAAAAAAATTAAATTGCAACACTTAATGCCTAAAATGTTAAATGAAATTTTAGTAAAGTCCTGAGAGAAAAGGAGACTTTAAATTTGACTTAAGTTCCTAGAAAACAGTTTATAAATATTTCTTAAGTTTGATTTTTACCTTGCATTCTGAAGTGTCATTGATCAATATTTAGTCAGGCTAAAGAAAATCTCTACTTTGACCCCTAATAAAACATATTTCCCATAGGTAACTGCATCTATACTTTGAAGGATAGTTTTTTGTTACTATACAATGGTATATGAGGTCTTAATCATTGCCTTCCACCTTCCTACCAAAGTGTAGCTTATTAAAATATTCTTTCCAATCACAGAAAGAACCCATTTTTAGAGATGTCCTGATAAATACAATATTCTCTATCTTGATAGTTTATGAACCACAAAAGTGACCAAGTTTGATGCCTATTTAGGGGTCTTGTGTAATACTTGAAATAAACAGTTTGATTCTTTAAAAACTACATGGCAGGGTAGTTTAATAAAATATTTATATGTGTTTTTTTCCCTCTAACTGTATTTTCCTTTTCTACTTTCTCTACACTTCATGTGTAACTGTATAGGTAGCTGGATTGCTTTGTAGTGTCTCTTAAAGACTTCTTCCCTTCCTGGTATTCCTGTCTTTATTTTTTAAAACCTGTGTCAATAAGAGTCTTTTGCGGGTCGGGGGAATGGGCAATGGAGGGAGAGAATTATAAGTTGGAGACCAAAGTAGCAAGGGAGCTAATGGTATTTTCTAAGACTGGAAAGGAACAAAGGGCTGTGAGCCCTGCACAAATAAAGAGTCCAGACCACTGTCCTGGGCAATACACGGAAAATATTTCCAAACACAGAGAAGATCAGCTACATAGTGCACTTAGGGAGTTTGGAACTCAGGCTTTCGGTCTGCACAGAGTTCTTTCCTCGGAGTTCATCTTGGGAGCCTGTTTTCAAAGAGCTGTACTAGCATGAACCACGAGGATGTCTGTAGTTACCAAGATGAATGGAAGGCCACAGAACACTACATCATTTTCCTTCACCAAATTTGTAGCCCATATTTGTATACCATCCTAGAGCTAACTGAGACTGAATTTCATTACTTAAAATTTAAAGCAATGGCCTGGTTCACTCAGTTCCACAAGGGCGAGACAGACTCTAAATGGATCCATCTTTTAATGATGTTAGTTATTTATTTGAGGAAGACACAGACTCTTCAGGACTCAATTCCTTTAGTCATGGAAATAATGATAACCATCATGATGCTATTAGAAAATTAGTAAAATAACACATGTCATGAAAGCACTTTGGAAGCTTTAAGAGCCCCAAAGTGAGACCATGAGTAAATAGAGACTCTATTATATTACTGGAGGGAACAAAAAATGATCCCTTCACTGTGAAAGAGAAGGTGGAAAAAGCAACCATAAATATAGCTATATTTTCTCTTTGACCTACCAGTGTTAATTCTGGAAATCTATCCTACAGAAACACTTGCCCATGAATGCAATAACTTATATATAGTATACAAAATTATTCACAGAATACTCTTTTTATTAAGGATTAGAAGCACTTAAGAGTGCAAATATAGAGGACTGTTTGAATAAACTATGGTATATCTACACAGTAGAATTCTATGCAATTGTGAGAATAAATGATGCGACCTCAATAGAAAATTTGCTGGGGTATATTTTGAGTGAACCGATCAGTGTGCAGGAGAGGCTAGGATAATGAGTATGCTTCTGACATGTAAGGAAGGAGATAAAGTACATATTCACATTTTTGTATTTGCATAAAGAAACACTGAAAGGATAAACATAAAGCTAATAAACATGCAGAATGATGGGAGAATAGATGTGATGGAAATGAAGCTAAGATAAAATTTCAGGGTGTACTTTTCAAAAATAATTTTTTATTATTGTTATTTTTGCAACAGTAGTATACAGAATCCTATGTATCTTTCATCAAGTTTCCACTAGTCTTAACATCTTACGTAACTAAAAAATTAATATGGGCAAATACTATTAATTAAACTGCAGATTTTATTGATACTGCACCAGTTTTTCCAATAATGTTTGTTTTCTGTTTTAGAATTCAATCAAGTATTTCCTTGCACTTACTTGTTATGACTTCTTAGTCTCTCCAGTCTGTGACAGTTACTCATTTTCTCCCTGATACAAGGACTACAACACTTTGGAAGGTGCTTGTCAGGTATGTACTGCAGTTTGGATTTGTCCTATATTTTCTCACAATCAAGCTTAAGGGTATGCATTTTGGGGAAAAATATCCCAAGATGGTGTGCCCTTCTTAGGGCATCTTAGGGCATCATATTAGGGGCACATGACGATGGGTCTTATTTCTAGGGATATTAATCTTAAACACTAAGTTAAGGTACTAACTGCAGGTTGTCCATTGTGAAGTTACTATTTTTCCTTTGTAAATACTAAGTATTTTAATGAATATAATTTGAGAAAAAAACTGTGTAAAACTCTGTTTCCTCTTATACTTTGTCAACCAATTTTGGCATTCACCAGTGGATTTTGACTACAGCAATTATTACCACTGTATTCTAATGGTGATTTTCCTATTCCCTCACTCATTCTAAATTTATTAATTTAAATTATTTTGTTAGGAAAAATCTTTCTCAATGTTTAATTTGTTTATAAAATCACTTGTTTATATCAGTATGGATGAATGGTTATTTTATAAGATTTTATTTTAGATCTTCTCTGGTAATATCATTTCTTCTTCATCTTTACCTCCTCTTCTTTTTTCCTTCTTTCCTTCCCCTTCTCCTTCCCTCTTGCTCTTCCTCTTCCTCCTTGTCTCCTTCTTTTTCCTCTTCTCCTGCTTCTGCTTCTTCTTCCTGTCTTTTTTCCTCCTGCTCCTCCTCCTCTTCTTCCTCCTCTTCCTCTTTCTTCCTCTTCCTTCTGATTAAGTTACTAAAAGTGGTTTTTCTAATATCCATTTAAAAATTAACCAAGCAGGCCAGGCCTGATGTCTCCTGCCTGTAATCCCAACACTTTGGGAGGCCAAGGCAGGAGGATTGCTTGAGCCCAGGAGTTCAAAGCTAGCTTGAGCAACATAGAGAGACTCTGTCTCTATTTAAAAAAGAAAATTACCGAAGCACATTTTCAAATAATAATATAGTGCTTTATGTGTAGCACAAGTGTCTTTTAACCTACTACCCAATTCTTTCTCTTGTGGCATTGCTGCTATGTATTTTACATCTAAAGTGTTACTATTACTGCTCCAATCAGTAGGTTTTTTTAGATCAATTAAGAATAAGGAAAATAAAAGAATTTACATTACCTTCATGAACTACTTCTCTGATGCTTTCTTTTTTCTTTATGTAGATTCAGACGAGATTGGGCACGTTCAGGGTGGTATGGCCATAGATTCTTTATGTAGATTCAAGCATCTGATCTACACATGATTTTCCTTCCGCCTAAAGACCTTCTTTTAACATGTCTTGCAGAGCAAGTCCACTGGGTGGGAATTTTTAGTTTTTGTTTGTCTAAGAAAGTTTTTATTTCTTCTTTTTGAAGAAATAATAATTTAAATGGATATAGAACTCATGGTTGTAGTCTTTTTCTTTGAGCATTTTAATGATTTCATTTCATTCTCTTCTTGTTTGCATTATTTTTCATGAGAAGTCTCTGGTAATTTGTATTCTTTTACCTCAGTATGGAAAGTGTTCTCCAATCCTAGATTCATTAAATTTTTTTTTCTTTATTTTTGTTTTTTGCAGTTTGAATGTGGTGTGTCTCCGTGTGGAGTCTTTGGTGTTTATTCTGCTGATATTGTCTAAGCTTCCTGGTTCTGTGGCTTGATATCTGTTCTTAATTTGAGAACTTCTCAGTCATTATTTCTGCAAATGTTTCTTCTGCTCCATTTTCTTCTTCTTCTCTTTTTGATATTCCAATTATATACATGTTGCAACTTTTGATATAACTCCACAGTTCTTGTCTGTTCTGTTACAGTCTATTCTATTCTATTCTATTCTATTCTATTCTATTCTATTCTATTCTATTCTATTCTATTCTATTCTATTCTATTCTATTATCTCCTCCTCCTTTTTTTCTTCTTTGTATTTCATTTCAAATATTTCTATTTACCTATGCTGAAATTTACAGATTCTCCCCTCAGCCTCAGTCTATGGATTAACTCATCAAAGGTGGTCTTTATTTCTGACACTATGTTTTTTCACTTCTAGCATTTCCTTTTGATTCCTATAGTTTCCATCTCTCTACCAACATTTCATCTGGTCTTGCATGTTGTCTACTTTTTCCAGGAGAGCCTTTACCATTGTAATCACAGTTATTTTAAATTTCCTATTAGATAATTCCAATATCTTTTTAATATCTGAGTTGGATTCTGATGCTCGCTTTGTTTCTTCAGACGCTTATTCTTGTCTTTTGACATACCTTGTAAATTTTGTTGAAATCAGATATGTTGTATAGGGAAATAGTTACTGAAGTAAATAGGCCTTTAGTATGAGGATTTATGTTAATCTAGCTAGGAGTTGGAGTGCATTTAATGTTTATTTTAGCTACAGACACCAGAGGCTTCCAATTATTGTAGTAAGCTTAGTTTTTTTTCTCCATACTTGGCTTTGTTTCCCTTTGTACTGCTCTTTAGAGAGAGCCTGTGTCTTGTAGCTCTTTAAGTTGTAATCCACTGCTATTATTCCTGAAAGCTTGTTAGAGCTATGATGGGTTGTGGAGGAGAGGGAGTCTGCTGGAATCTTCTGAATAAATCTCAGTGTTTTAATGGTCATATGTCTTGGGAATCTGGTTAATGTAGTGTTTCTGCTTCTCCTCCAGGGATAGAGCTTTTGCCCTTCTTGTTTTCTAGTCCTTCTCCAGCACTAGTGTTTCCAGTACGGTAGTCCCCCTCCTCACCACCTTATCCAAAAGGGGTATATTCCAAGACCCCCATTAGATTCCTGAAACCATAGGTAATACCAAATCCTATATATACTATGTGCTTTGCTATATATACATATCTATGATAAAATTTAATTCATATATTAATTATAGTAAGATATTAATAACAATAATAAACTAGAACAATTATAACAATACGTCAGCATCATTATTGCGTGAGGGGGCCATCATGAAGTAAAATAAGGGTTACTTGGATATAAACACTGCAATACCATGACAGTCCATCTGATAACTGAGATGGCTACTACTAAGTGACTAACGGGCCGATAACCTACACAGCGTGGGTATGCTGGTTAAAGGGATGATCATGTATTGAGCAGGAACTAGTGGAACAGTAAAGATTTCATTACGCTACTCAGAATGACTTGCAATTTAACTTACGAATTGTTTATTTCTGGAATTTTTTGTTTAATATTTTTGAACTGCAGTTTAGTGCAGTTGTCCGCAGGTAACTGAAAATCAGAAAGCAAAATTGCGGATAAAGGAAAATGACCACATAGTTCCTTGAAGCCCTCTTTCTTGTTGATTGATTATGACTTTTTTCGGCTTAGGTGAGACAGAAAGACAGAAGCAGACTATAGGTGTAGTGGATTTCCTTTCACTAAACTGGGCTGAAGTTTCAGAATTGCCCCCTAGTGATGCCCTTCATCCTGGAAATTAGTCTGTGTTAGAGAGAAGGGTCTGGAAGTCTTCCTGATAGCTACTCATCCCTTCCCCCTATCAGGGCCATGCAGGAGCTTTTTCAGATCCTCCAATATAATGTTGGTGGTGTTCCTTTAGGAAAAGCTTGTGAGAATGTAGGGACGGCATTTGATGGCTGCCTTTAGGAGCTTCTTTCCCTCTGCAGTTCATAGGCAGCACCAGCAATTCTTCATCCTTACTAGCTAAGTGATGATTGACTGGCTATTTCTGCTCCAGGTAAACAGGTCTCAGGTGCTTCATATCTCTGAATGTGCCTGACTCCAGATTTTGGGAACGCAGTTTGCCCTGAGACCTCAGTTCTCTGACAGACCAAGAGAAGTCCCCAGTTTTCAGTTTGATTAGCTTTTGTCTATAGTAATGACTTTCAACCACGTCACATGTTGAAGCTGAAACCTGAGGTCCTCAGACTCACAGATATTAATTTTATTCTTTGGGTTACACTATTTATTTTGATGCTCAAATTGTTTTAGTTTTGGTCATTGTGAGCTCTTCTTAAATCTAGCCCTTGTTTTGTTTTAACATGCCTCCCTTTTTTCTTCAACAGTGAGAGATCTGACTCTCATTATCTACAATTTATTTATATATTTGTTCAAGTCTAGTATACATATAAAGCAGTTTGAGAATATCTGTCCCACATATATGTGAAACAAATTTACCAGCTAGACTACAGTGTTTCTGTATGGCTCTTTGTGTCTTTCTCAAGTCTTACATTACCAGGCGAAACACAGTTTTCCAGAGTTATTTAGGTTAACTCTTCTCCACTCACTTCAGTGTGATTTCCAGTGATTTCTGTAGGCCTATTTTCAAGTATATGGAGTCTTTCCTTGACTCTGTCTAGCTCACCACTAAGTCCTTTGAAGTCATTCTTCCTCTCTGTCACTGTGTTTTGTATTTTTAGTGTTTCTATATTTTTCCTATAATTTCTGTATCTTTATTAAATGTAACTACCTGTCATGCATGTTGTTTATTTTTTCCTTTAGAGCCTTTAACATATTAATTATAGTAGTTTCAGATCCCTCTCATATAGTCTCAACGCTGTCATAACTGAGTTTAGTTCTGATAATTGCTCAGTTTCTTAGTACTGTCTTATTTTTCTTGACTTTTTTTAATGCTTCCTAATGTATTCTTAAAAGGTGAACATCTTGTATAGAACATGAGAGAGTGAAGTAAATAGTTTATATGCCTGGGAATGGGCATGCCTTTCTTCCTGCTAAGACCCTAGTGTGTGGGGATTGAGAAAAATTAATCTGTTAAACCTGGTTTGGGGTTTGTTGTTGCTTTAGTTAACTTTGGTGTCCTACAGCTTCAAAATTCTAGTGATACTTTATGTTTAGGGTAGGGGTTCTCAGAAGGCATTTTATTTATTTACTTTGCTTTTTTTTTTTTTAAATCCAGATCCTTCACTAGGCTTTTTATTTTCATATCTGCTCCTTCCTTGTCTTTTGGTCTTCCCTCTTTGCTTGGCCTCAGGGAGGATTTGTATTTTGCAAATTACTTATTACCTGATGCTGCTTCTGCTTTTCTTCCTCCTCCTCCTCCCCCTCTCCCTCTCCCTCTCCCTCTCCTTCTTCTTCTCCTTCTCCTTCTTCTTCTTCCTTGAGATGGAGTTTTGCTCTTGTTGCCCAGGCTGGAGTGCAATGGCACGATCTTGGCTCACTACAACTTCCTCCCAAGTTCAAGCGACTCTTCTGCCTCAGCCTCCCGAGTAGCTGAGATTTCAGGTGCCCACCACCATACATGGCTAATTTTTTGTATTTTTAGTAGAGAGGGACAGGGTTTCAACATGTTGGCCAGGCTGGTCTCGAACTCCTGACCTCAGGTGATCCACCTGCTGGCCCCACTTGATGCTTCTTATTTTGGGAAGAGAGAGAGAGAGAAGAGAGAGAGAGAGAGGAGAGAGAGAGAGAAAGAGAGAGAGAAAAAAGAGAGAGAGAAAAAAGAAAGAGAGAGTTGTGTGTGTTTGGTGGGAAGGAGTAGGGTTGCTATGGGTTGCTATTGTTCTAATTAAGTCTGTGTATTAGGCATTATTTTCCTTTTTGCCAATGATGTAGGTTGCACAGCAATTCTGAGTCCAGTACATATTTATGTTAACCCTTTCCAGAGTTGAGATTTTGTTTCTCCAGTTTTCTTCCCCTGGCTGCAGTGAGTTTTCACCAGTGCTCTAAGAGCCCCAATGTATGCTGACATTCTTCTAATAGGTTAAGATTTCAGCTTGGTTAGGGAAGATAGAGAAGAAATGTCTCAGATGAGATTTGAGATGGCCCCTTCCCCATAATGGCTTCTGTTTTTTCTGCCAGTTTTGCGACACAAAGAAAATTCCTAGGAGTCTACCAAAATTTTCCAATCATCCTCAGTTGGCAGACTCCCCAGGTTTGGGTCCCCAGGGACTTTGCTTTCTCTTGCCAGGGTACACATTCACCATCCATAAATTTGCTATAGCCCTGGCTGAACCCTTCTTGTTTTCCAGCTGTATTTTGCCCTAGTAAAGCCCCTGCTTGTGCCATGTGTTTCCCTGCAGGCTCTAGATTTTTCTTAGATGTTTAGACCAAATGTCTGTGCTATTGCTTCAGCACTCCAACTTTGAGTTCTAGAAAAGTTGTGAACTTGCCGTTTTGTGTTTACCTTTCCATATCACTGTGAATTTTGAACCATATAAATGTATTTCTTACTCATAAATTTTAAAAAGAAAGAAATATAGAGCAAAATGGTATCTACTAAAACTTTTGCATGTGAGAAGTGTTCTGTTCAAAGAGGCATAGTAAAAATAGTTCTTGATAGGTTGTTAATATATGTACCTTTTTGTTTAACTATATGGGAAAAGCTAATACTAAAATTTCCATGATTAAACTTAAACTCTAAAAACCTTCCTTTTTCTAAAAATAAAAATAATAAATAATTGGAAGAGTGCACATTCAGATTAAAAGGGATGCAGCAATACAATTGTTTCCGAGTGCTAATGGAATTTAATGATGCCCTTTGCTTTCAAAATTTGAATTAAGCTGCACTTCTGTACTAAAACTTCATTTTTATTTATGACATAGTTATGCACTAATAGCCTTCCTACCTTTGGTAGTGCTCTTATGTATCTGGCCATATACATTGTTGTCTATTTTTCCATTTTTATTACTTCAAAGATTATTTCATTGGACTTTGTTTTTATTTATAACAACTTTTCTTTCCTTCTAGAAATTTATTCTCCTTATATACATTCCTACACACATGTGGATGCTTTTATTGAAACCAGTTCATAGGTATGTTTGTATAATCTTTATACACATAAAATATATTTTTTTCTCATGATACATTTTAGCCATTCTAAAATTATCCTTTATCTTTTATATATTCTACATATTTCATATGTAAAACTTATGTTTTTATGTATATGTAATATATGCATATCTTTTAATAAAATGTATTATGCATACAACTTCATAGTTGATCCTATAACTTGCAGAGTCTCTGGTTTTACAAATAAGAAATGTAAATAAACAATGCTAGGCATAAAGGAAGTGCTTAGTTTCCCATTTACCCATTGGATTGGTTGAGAGCTAGAATTAGAATGTAAACATTCAATAACAGACTTTTCTGCAGCTTTCTTCTTCACAGGGACGAAGTGACATGTACCTTGAAAAGTATCCTCCTCTCAGATATACCTATGACCTTCTGGCATAGACTAAAGTATTTAATTTGGAAGGAAATAATTTTTGTTAGCATTTGCCACATCCAGAATCCTTTTATGTACCGAGATAAATTTTTGCCATTACTTTTTTTTTTTTTTTTTAGACGGAGTCTCACTCTGTTGCTAGGCTGGAGTACAGTGGCACCATCTCGGCTCACTGCAACCTCTGCCTCCTCGGTTCAAGCGATTCTCTTGCCTCAGCCTCCCAAGTAGCTGGGACTACAGGCGCCGGCCACCACGCCCAGTTAATTTTTGTATTTTTAGTAAAAACAGAGCTTCACCATGTTGGCCAGGATGATCTCGACCTCTTGACCTCGTGATCCGCCTGCCTTGGCCTCCCAAAATGCTGGGATTACAGGTGTGAGCCACTGCGCCAGGCCTAATTTTTGCCATTACTTTTAATGAGAAAAACTGCAATAACTTTTGCATCAGCCTAATAAATAAAGGCTCAGGATAGAATAATTACCAGTCCTTGGCTGCCAAGAGCTTAGTCTTCAAGAGAACCAAGCTTACAATAGCCAAGACTTTAATCAGACCTGTTGATGATTTACTGAATGCACAAATTGCCTAGAGTACTGCGAGATTCCTTTCAATGGACTGAAGACACTGTATTCTTTGGCAGTTAAGAGTTGGTGAAATTTGCATTCTTTTCACTATGAAGGGGAGCCTATCTATTTCTAGATGCCACGGATCACTCTGGTTTCATTCACCCTGGCTCTCAGACATAGACATAGACCAGTCACAGAACTCACTAAATGATGAGTAAACAGCCATCTAGAGCCTTTCAAGATGGGATTTCTTTTCTTCCAAGCTAGGAACTCATACTTAAACTTAGTGTAAAGAGAAAATTTAAAAAAACGAGCATTTAGCTTGATCAAATACTTATATTTTATGAGGTATAATACAACAACAACAACAAAAACAGAAGGCATATTCACAGAGGGGTAGAAAGAGGACAAAACCAGCTCAAAGGTGTCAAGAAAGAAAAAATACTAATTAGAAAACAATATTTAGTATGGCAAATAGAGCAGAAGGGTTGGAATAGAAAATAATGAAGTATTAAAAAGGGCCTCTACATTTTACTGAGTTGGTATATATTCCAAATCTTAAATGAGAGTATAGAGGGTTTTTTTTCCAATTAAATGAAAGGGTTGAAAGTGCAGTTATCTTAGGGTGAATATGGTCAAATGTATTTTTTTTTTCACAGTAAAAAAATATGAGAAACATTAGAATGGAGAGGCAGTATTGGTTAGAGATACAAACTTTGAATCCATGCTGCCTGAGTTAAACATCCACAAGCTGTGTGATCTTAGGATTAGGTTATTAAGCTTCTCTGCCATTCAGTCTTCTCATTTCTTACTTGAGAATCATAAAAATATCAAAGTAGAACTATGTAGGATTTAAAGTAGAAACATACCTATGTAAAAAGAAGAAATCATAAAGTGTAGAAAGATAGGTATAAACCAAAAACTAAGTGGCCTCCAACAAAATTTCTAAGATCCTTTAAAAAGATTTTAAAAACAGCCATTCTTTAAATGAATCAAAAAGAGGAAATGGACTAGTAGTGGTGCAGAGGATACATGCAGTAGTTTCCCTTGTCCATGGTTTTGGTTTCAGTGGTTTTAGTTACCCATAGTCAACCATGGGCCAAAAATACTAAATGGAAAATTCCAGAAGTAAACAATTCATAGGTTTTAAATTGCTTGCCATTCAGAGTAGTCTGATGAAATCTCATGCCAGCCACTTTGTCCTGTGAATCATCCTTTTGTCCAACATAGCCACACTGTGATGCTCTCCTGCCCTTTAGTCACGTAGTAGCCAACTCAGTTATCAGATTGCCTGTCATGGTATCTCTGTGCTTGGGTTCAAGTCACTCTTATTTTACTCAGTAAGGACCCCAAAGCACAAGAGTAGTTTGGCTATGCCAAAGAAAAGCCATAAAGTGCTTCCTTTAAATGAAAAGGAGAAAGTTCTCAAAAAGGAAAAAAAATGCTAAAATCTGCAGGAAGAACTAATCTATCTATGAAATTGTGAAGAAAAAGGAAATTCATGCTAGTTTTGCAGTCCTGCCCCAAATTGCAAAAGTTGCGACTACAGTGCGTAATGAGTGCTTGCTTAAGATAAAAAAAACAAAGTCATTAGATTTGTGGGTGGAAGACATAAACGGAATCATATTCTGATTGAGGGCAATTAGGGTGGTTCTACTAGTGGCTTCAGGCATCTGTGGGAGTCTTAGCATGTATTCCCTGATCATAAGGGAGAACTACTGTGGTTGAGTTCAATAGACTGTAACTGCGGGTGAACTTGTGTACCCACAGTACAATAAAGACATGGTTTCTGTCTTCAAAGAGACAGGAATAAGAGTGAGACCCTGAGAAGGTCTCTCATTTGTTTAAGGTTTTTCAGAGAGTAAGAGGCTGAATTGATTTGGGGACAGAATTCTCTGGTTCCAAAGTTTTTTCCAGAACTCCCACAACCCTCTGAGACTGAACAGGACTCTTCCAGATGGGCCTACTGAACACTCATCTAAGCAATCAGCCAATTAAGGAAAGTCTACAAGGGTTTTGCAAAAGGAAATAATGCATCAGGTGTTTGGAGGGTGTAAAATATGTATATGTATAAAGCAGAAGTAGTGAGATGTTTAAAAGTCTTTTAATAGATACCATAGCAAGAAAAGAAAATGCTTTTTATAAAACTGAATTTTTTATGGTAGAATTTCAACTTATAAATGTAGGAAAAATGATGGAATTAGAAAACTGCCACTTGACAACCATATGAATGATAATTGTTTCAGGAAGAATCATCAATGGATGCTAAAACTAATTGGTGAAAATATAATGAGAAAAAGGATATTTACACAGATCTTCCCTCACAAGATATCATAACTAATTATTGTAGTGGAAATCTTTGTATACGCTGCTTCATTCAAGGGAGTACAATTGATATTAACAGCAATGGGATAAACAGACCCCATGATGTGATGCACTGAGGACACAAAATCCCTTCTGTGATGCTCCTGCCAAACTCCATAAGTGTAATGATGAGGAAACAACAGGCAAACCCTAACCAAGCGACATTCTACAAAATAACATATCAGTACCTTCAAAAATGTCATCAAGGACAAGGAAAAACTGAGGAATAGGAATTGTTCCAGATTAAAAGTGACTAAAGTGACATGACAAATAAATGCAACTTGTAATAAAGGTTTGAATCCCTGGACAAGAAAAGAAGTTTTGTTTTTCCGTAGAAGGATGTCAAAGGAAAAATTGACAAAATTCAAAATTCAAATAAAGTCTCTATGTAAGGACAAAAACTGGGAATAATAATAGTATCTATATCAGTACCATTGTAAAGATTATATGATAAAACATATTATCAATAAGTGTTTGTGTTAACAGGTCATATACATGATACCCTCAGGGTAATATGTCCCATGGAATTAAAAATTTGGGTAACAGAATCATATATGATATATTACATAATATCTCTCATGATTTCTGGGAAGCCCACATAAATATGAGGCAAATTAGATTAGCTTTCATACAAAATAGAATAAAGAATATAAATAGCTTCATATGAGTTTCATTTCAGGTGTTAGTGACAAAAAAGATCTGGTCAGGAGAGGATTTTACTACCAACTGAAATTCCACACACATATACACACAATTTCAGTCTTCAGAAATTTTTGGCACATGATTTGTCTATGAAAGGGGTGATGATGATGATGATGATGATGATGATGATGGTAATGATAATGATGACTATTTGTCCATAAAAGATGATGATGGGCTGGGCGTGGTGGCTCATGCTTGTAATCCCAGCACTTTAGGAGGGCAAGGAGGGCAGATCACGAGGTCAAGAGATCGAGACCATCCTGGCCAACATGGTGAAACCCCATCTCCACTAAAAATACAAAAATTAGCCGGGTGTGGTGGCGTGCGCCTGTAGTCCCAGCTACTCAGGAGGCTGAGGCAGGAGAATCGCTTGAACCCAGGAGGCGGAGGTTGCAGTGAGCCGAGATGGCACCACCGCACTCCAGCCTGATGACAGAATGAGACTCTATCTCAAAAAAAAAAAAAAAAGGTGATGATGATGATAGTGATCACCATCATTGTCATCATCTTAAGCTAGATCTGAAGGGTCAACATCAGGTGCTAAGTTTACTCTTGACAAGTGGAAGAGCTATTTCTTACTTAGACACTTGGAAGCATTTTGAGCAGTCACCGATGCACAGAACCCTTCTTTTTGTATTTTCTTATCCTGTAGTAAGATCTCTCATACGAGGTTAATAATTATTTGTAATAGAAGCATCTTTTATTACAGATTTTAAAGGGAATATGTGTAAATTTCTTTGCTAGATGTATACACATAATATAGCAGAGTAATTTTCCTGTTAAAAGTACCAGAAAACCTGATGAAAATTCAGTGTATTAGTTAATTTATCTTGTATGAGTCACAAAATATTCATTCAAATACCTTTTTTCTACTAGTGGCTTTATATGTTTGATAAGCTACACAGGATGTCAGAGTTTTCTGTGTAAGAAACTAAGCAAAGATTTTTATAGCAGGACTTTAATGAAATACAAAATGGAAATGAATACATTGATGTATAAGTATTGCATATGTATATGTGTGTATTCCTCCCTGATAGTGTAAACTTTTTTAGCACCTATAAGATTAATAAAGTGCAGGAAGACATTTATTATTCATTAGCTTATTTACTCATTAATTCAACAAGTACTTGTTGAGCATCTACTCAACCTGTGTCAGGTGTAGTTTCGGTGCAGAGAATATA
The DNA here is from genome assembly GCF_000001405.40 of Homo sapiens. Taxonomy (NCBI): domain Eukaryota; kingdom Metazoa; phylum Chordata; class Mammalia; order Primates; family Hominidae; genus Homo; species Homo sapiens. The sequence continues at coordinate 73,441,073 of NC_000009.12, forward strand.
GCAGCAAAGAGACACTGTTACTGATTTCATAAAACTTATATTCTAGTGGAGAAGGACATAAGTAAACAGGCAAATGAATTATATAACTTTAGGTGTGTCAAGAAACAAAATTACAACAAATTTAGTTAAAGATTGAGTTGCCTTTTATTCACAATTCATGAATTGAAGTAGCCTCCATTTTGCTAAATAGAATGAGAGCATCCACTGGGAAATGGCTGAAGCGTGGTTTTTTTTGTTAAGAGGTAACAAGGAAGCAAAATAGAAAAAAAAGCTGATTGGTTAGCATCAGCTTACTTTAGCTTACTTATAGGCATTAAAGCAGAGGGAACTTCTTTATTATGCTGACTCAGGTACAGTGGGCACTCTGATGGGTTGTTGGGAATCTTCTATTTTCAAGAAAAATTGGTGAGTTTGGGAATCTACCTGGTAATTTAATGTTTCAATTTGATTATGTGTCACTTAGCATGAGTGCCTCCATTTTGGTTTAGTATGATCTGTTAGGGTCTAGTTCAGGAGCTCAGTCTAAAACAAATGCTTCCCATAAATTATTTTTATCAAGTGCTGATAATTTTCTGAAAAAACAAACTGTTTTTTCTTCTATACTCACACACTTCTATGCTTCACCTTAGATCACCAAAATGTGTGATGTATTTTCCCCCACACCAGTCAATTCTCTAACACCAGTTGGTGGTCCTACAATTCAATTCAATTCTAACACTATCTTCCTGGAATTACCATCAGATCTTACAAGTAAAAGGGCTCAGTCCCACAAGACTGGACCCACTTTAGATGCCAGTCACAAGTCAGGGTCTCCTATGCTTCTGACCAACTGGCTACAAATTGGGGGTTCCCACAACCATACTTCGGGTTTAATAATCTGCTAGAATGGCTTACAGAACTCAGGAAAACACTTTACTCATGTTTGTCAGCTTATTATAACAGATATTTTAAAGAATCCAGAGGAACAGCTCGATGAAGGGGTACATAGGGTAAGGTCTGGAGGGGTCCCCAGCACAGGGGTATGAGTCCCTGTGGAGGTGGGGAGCGCCACTCTCCAAGAATGTGGATACCTTCACCAATCCAAAAGCTCATCAAATCTCTTTGTTCAAGAATTTTACAGCTTTACCACCAGCAGCTTTCTGGGAAGTAAGTGAATAGGGATAAAAAGTATAGGATTCTGATCACTTCACTTGTCTTTCTGGTGAGCAGCCCCAATCTGATGCTCTCTATGGGCCCCATCCTAAGCCACCTCATTAGCAAAACGTCATGTGTGATCCAGAGGGCTTCATGATGAATAACAAAAGACAATCCTGTGACTCAGGAAATTCCAAGGGTTTCAGAACCTTAATGCCTGAAACTGGAGACAAAAACCAAATATATTTCTTATTATACCACAAATTTCAATGAGGAAAAATAAGTTAGGTAAAAAAAATGAGACATGAAATAAATTGTGTTAACTATGTGGTTTTGCTGCTTAGATGTCTTCTTATGAGGGGTTGAGGTGAAATTACTCAGGGTTTGCAGTAATATCTTAGAGAGTTCTATAGTGGCCTAAAAAGCCAGGTCCTAAGACAGAGGACATTGAAACATAAGGAAAAAAAGTGCTTACGTCAAGTATATTGTCATAGTGATGAAAAAAGTCTAAGTTCTCCCATCCCTCAAAACACACACACACACACACACACACACATACACACACACATTTTTAAAAAAATTTTTATGAATCACATGTATAAAGTTACCAATAACAATATACATACCAGTGGTTAGATTCATTGAGATTTCTTCTAGAGATTTACAAAGTACTATGCATGATAAATAGGAGATCTGGTTTTTAACTTTATTAATTAGAATTTTTAAGTTAATATATTTTCAAAATGTAAAGGTCAAACATAAACTAATGAAAAAATAAAACCGTACAAAACTGAATGAACACCTATTGAACAACTAATTTATTTTAGACACTGAGTAAAGCATGTTTTTATATATTATCTCAGTTAATGTAAATAACAAAAAAAAGGTACATAGTGACAAATGTGCATTTTTATGAATCTAAACATTTCTTCCATTTTGTGGTTTTCAATAATAAAATGCAGGCAAACTCTGAATATTTGTAAGTGATCTTTATCTCCAGAAATGTATCCTGCTGGCGGAGAGAACCATGGGATACAATTCCTAGTCCTAGGGCTTGCGACCGCTTTTAAGTTCTCACACACTTTTCCTTTGTACTGAATCTTATTTTTTATTGAATAAAAACACATTTTATCTTGAAAAACCTGAGGTTAAAGAAAAAAAAAAAAGAGATAACATACAGTATCAATAGGAAGGGTGGAGAATGAAAAATTCATTGCAAATCTTTAGCATTATCTTGGACACATTTCTGTAATCATATAAACCCCCAAGACAGATATAAAGACTGGATCAGATCGGGATATAATGTGCTGAATTTTGGTTGCAGAAATAAGGGGTAAAATATTTGTCTCCATGGGGACAGATCCATTACTGCACTTTTCAAAATGTCAAGGTTACATTTGAAAAGTAGTTGCAATTTTCTTCCATTTTATAAAGATAATTCACTGTTTGTACTTCACACATAAAAATGTGTGACTTAATGAAAATTTGTCTTCACAGTGTTAGGATAATAATCCCAACCTAACATACCTTAAAGTATAGTGTATTTTTTCAAATCTCTGGGAAAGAAAAAACAGCACCATTAATGATTTAGTAACATTTTGTCATTTTGACCACCTCCTCACTTTTGAGGAAGGATACATTGTCGAATAAGAAATCTGTTTTGGTAATGTGAATCCATAGAAAAAAAAAAACAGCATTTTTCCATATATTTGCCTTTAATGTTACAGAAAACATTTTTTTGTTTTTCATTTTTTATGTCAAAATATAACCAAAAAAATTGTTATCAGTCTACCTCTACTAAGTTTAATTTGACTAGACAAAAAAGTACACATTTGTGTGTATTTGTAAATTCTGTTAATATATGTAATGGTAGTAGAGCTAAACATTGTAACCTATCTTTAAAACTATTAAGTTACCAAAATTTATTGTGGTGCAAATGTTAAAAACTCTAGCAATAATTTCTTTTTTTATTTTTTTTCTTTTTTGAAGATAATTTAGTAGAGACAGGGTTTCTCCATGTTGGCCAGGCTGGTCTTGAACTTCTGACCTCAAGTGATCCGCCTGCCTTGGCCTCCCAAAGTGCTGGGATTACAGACATGAGCCACCATGTCCGGCCTACTAGTAGCAATTTGAAGTTACATATTAGATAGTAATGTTTTAAGAGTTGAAATGGTAAATACAAAATAAAATTATCATGTGTGAAAAAAATTTTTTAATTTCAATTCATTTATTAGAAACCTTAATACAACAGATTTTTTATAAGTTGGTCCATTTAAAGAAAGTCTAGCAGATGGTCAGTTGTAAAAACTTAAGAAGTAGAAGCATTAAACTAAAATTTTCATCACCTTGCTGGGGATTGAGAAGGTGTATGGACAAAATTTTCATCATTTTGCAGATGCCAATAAGTTATTTGTCTTTACAACAGGAAACTCTTTATAGTTCACATGACATTTGCATGCAAAACAGCACGTCAAATATGGCCTTCTCTCACAGAAATTAAGCAGTGTAGTAAACCTCCATGAAGAAATACTTAACAACATAAAATCTCACTAAGAAATATTTAGAATCAACTAAATTGTACAATATATCTTCTTTGTGTTAAAACCCAGGCATTTTTGCATGGGCTGTCTTATGCAATGTTCACAATAACTTTATGGAGTAATTATTCAGTTTTAAAGATGAGGAGATGAGACTTACAGAAACTAAGGAATTTACTCAGAATCACTTAGCTAGTTGAAGGTAGATGTGAACTTCAAATGAAGCTCTTTTACCCCAACTCTAGTGCTGTTTACACTACCTATGCTGACTCAACATATAAGTTTTGCTTTATTTGCACATCTCAAGAAATCTTTTATATACTCAGTAAATATTTACTAAGTACCTAATATGGCTTAAGCTCCGTGTTACATAGTGGAAATATAACAGTTACCTTCACTGAACCTAACCATATTTTGGTCTTCTATAGGTTATGTGTTGTTTTTCTCTGGCTGCTTTCAAGACTATTATTGATTTTCAGCAGTTTAGTAATTAGACGTGGTTTTCTTTGTGTTTGTCATCCTTGAGTTTCAGTGAGCCTTTTAAATCTATAAATGCATGTTTTTTACCAAATTAAATAAATTTTAAGCTAAATTTCTTTATATATTTTGTCCCTTTATATTTTCCTGTTGTGACTTCAATTATTCTTAATTACATACTTTTATATTGTTGCACAAGTCCTTGAGTCTCTGTTCATTTTCCCCATTGACAGAGTAGGAGCATCACCATCTTGGACAAGCACTGCTATCTTAAAGTTCCTCTTGATCAAAAATAGCCCCAAAGGGCATCAGCCTAATGGCTAATGTCAGCATGACCATAAACCACAAATAACATCTCTGACAAGAAACATTCCAACCCTAAGATAAACCCCTCCCTGACCAGAGACATGCCAGCCCTGAGATAACCTCCCCTCTGGCCAGAGACATTCCAACCCCCGCAATAAACTTCTCCTCCACACAGAAACATTCCAAGCCTGTGGTAAGTTCTCTTGCCCTGAACCTTTAAATACTCTTAGTCTGTAAGAGAGAATGCTCCTGACCAAAATCAGCTAGAAGTCCCTCTCTGGTTTATTCTCCAAAATAAACCTGTTTTTGACTGTTGAGTGACTTTTCATGTTTTTTTCCTCTTTCTTTAACTCTTACACCCAATTTATTATCTCTGTTATTCAGTGTAGGTTATTCCTATTGATCTATTTTTAATTTTGTTCACTGTATCTTTGGTCATCTCCAATATGTTGTTAATTTTTATTTCAGATATTGTATTTTTTAGTTTTTAATTCTCGTTTGTTCTTTTATAGTTTCTATTTCTTTGCTGAAGTTCACTATCTTTTCATTCATTATCAATATATTTCCATAGGTCTTTGAAGATAATTACAACAGCTGGTTTAAAATCGGTGCTGTAATTCCAACATCTTCAACACCTTCAGTTTTGCCTCCATTGATTGTTTTTCTCTTGAGTGTGGCATTTTTAGAAATTTCTAGTTTCTTAGAAATCTGAGTACTTTGGATTTATATTCTAGATATTGTGAATTACATATTGCAGAGATTCTGGATTCTATTATATTCTTTTGTTTGTAGTCTTATCCATGTATTTTGGTTAGACTTAAGCCAGATATTTAGGTATAACATAGTGTTTCTACCTTATCTCTCATTTTGGAGATAGCCTCACAACCCTACCCTTCTTCTGATTGTAAAATATTCTGCCTCTGCCCTCTGGTTCATCACTCCAATAAGAAAGTTTCCTCACTTCCATATTTTAGCTGCATCAGGATCTACCTTCAGGCTAAAAGTGGTGAAACCAGGGTGCCTACTCAGTACTGTTCCTTTCTAGAAAGTGTTGTCACCTTCAACATCTACCTGCTTTTGGTCAGTCTCTGATAACTTCAAATAGTTTTTTGTTTGTTTGTTTGTTTGTTTTAGAGTATCTCCTGTTGTTTACAATTATCTGTGTAAAAATTGGTTCAATAAGAGCTAATCAGCCATTAGCAAAGGAGGAATCCAAGAACATCGATATTAGATGCTTCTTATTTTGTCCTGTGAGAATTTCAAGCTTTAATTACATCACACATGTTCTGTTTTGGCAGGTTTTTATATTCATTCCATTCAAAATATTTTCTAATATGTCTTGTTATTGCTTCTTGACACATCTTTGTAAGTTATTTAGAAGTATTTTGTTTAATTTTCAAATATTTGGAGATTTTCCAAATATCTTCATTTTTTTTTTCAAATTTAATTTCACTGGAGTCAGGTAACCCTCTCTGATTTTAATATATTTAAATTTATTCCCAGTATGGCCCTTCTTAATAAATATTCTATGTTCCTATGTTCAGTTAATAGAATGCATAAATTGTTGTTCTTAGGCATAATACTCTAAAATACCAATTTAGTTAGTAGTGTTGCTCAAGTCTTCAATATTCCTAATATTTCAAAAAATTAAGAGGTGTGTTAAAATCTCATAATTATGAATTTATCTATTTTTCAAGTCCTTCAATTTTTTTAAATGAATATCTTTTGAACCTCTCATATAAAATGCATATATTTCAGTATTATTTTTCCCTTTTTTATTTTGAAATGTTTCTGATAATATTCTTTGTACTGAAGTACTTTGATATTATCATAACCACCTCAGTTTTTGTTGTTTTTTAATATTGTTTACAGGGTATCTTTTTCCATCCTTTAGATTTTAACTTATCTATACCTCTCCCTAGAGAGTGTATAGCTATAAACAGCATTAACAGTTGACCCCTAAACAACATGAGATTGAACTGTGGAGGTCCGCTTGTAAGTGAATATTTTTTCAACCAAATGCGGGTCTAAAACACAGTATTTATGGGACAAGAAATCCATACATAGGTAGGGCAGACTTTTTGTATACATGGTTCCACAGGGCCTACTGTAGGACTTAAGTATGGGTGGATTTTGGTATATGCAAAAATCCTGGAACCAATCCCCACATATACCAAGGGATGGTTGTAGTTGGGTTGTTTTTTTTTTTTTATTTAATGATAATCTCTGCCTTTTAAAGGACAAATTTAGATAATTCACATGTAATTTATCAATAAGTTTAGATTTAAGCATTTCATTTTGTTGTTGGTTTTTCTATTTTCCCTATCTCTATGTGCTCCTTTTTTTGTCTTTCTCAGCTTCATTTGGGCTGAGAAATTTTTTAGTTTTCCATTTTATCTCCACTATTGGCACTAGTGGAAGCTGTAAGGACTTACAAAATTTATCTTTGACTCATCACAGTCTACCTTTAAATAATATTATAAAACTTAATGAAAAATATAAGACTTTTGGTACAGTATACTTTTTTTCTATTCCATTCATTGTGTTACTGTTGTCATATATTTTACTTCTTCATGTATTATAATCATCAAGTAAATAGCTATTACCTTTGCTTTAAACAAATAAGTATCTTTGGAAGAAGCGAATAAAATAATTTATATTTATATATATATTTACCGTTTATACTTACCACTTACATTTACCATGAATAAACATTAAATGCTTTTCATTCTTCTGTGTAAGCCCGGATGTCCATTTATTATCATTTTTATTTTGCCTGAAAAACTTTCCACAACATTTCTTGCAGTGCAGTTCTCCAGAAGAGAATTAGCTCAGCTTTTATTTATTTTAAAACATCTGTATTTTCTATTGGGGGAGCTAGCTTTATTGAAGTATAATTTATATGCAATAAAATTCACCAATTTTAATTGCATAGTTTGATGAGTTTTGACAAGTGTCTACAGTTGCATAACCACCACCACAAATGTCATAGACCATATTCCCGTCACTGAAAAAGTTCTTTTGTGCTCCTTTGTAGTCAATACTCTCTTCCCGTCTGCTTTCCCCGGCAACAATTAATCTTCTTTTCATCACTCAAATTTTATCTTTCCTAGTTTGTCATATAAATGGAATAATATAATATCTAGTCTTTTGTACTTGGATTTCTTTACTTAACATAATGCTTTGAAATTTATTTGCTATATTGTATATGTCATTCCTTTATACCTTTACTTTTTTTTAACTGAGTTAATAATGGACTATTATTTATTGTATGGATATGCCACATTTGTTTATCCATTAACCAATTGATGTAACATTTGACTTATTTCCAGTTTTTGACTATTACAAATGAAGTTCTTAAAAATTCAGGTACAAGATGTTGGGTAGATAAGCTTTTATATTTCTTGGACTTGTTTGGTCATATTTCTTGGAATTTGTAGTTTTATATATAACTTAAGCTGTCATAATAGTTTTCAAAGTGGTAGAACCACTTTACACTCTGACCTACAATGTTTGTGAGTTCCTGTAGACCCACATTCTCGCAGATACTTGGTACTATCAGTCTTTTTAACCTTAGTCATTCTAACGATTATATAGTATTATTACATTGTGATTTCAATTTGCATTTCCCTAATGACTAATGCTGGTGAACATATTTTTATGTACCTATTTATCATCTGTATATCTTTCTGTTGACGTGTCATTAAAATCTTTTGACTATTTTAAGTTTGCATATCTTAATATTGTATTGGAAAGATTCTTTATATGTTCTGGTTACATGTTCTTTTTGGGTTGTATGTTTTGTAAATATTTTCTCCCAGACTATGCACTGTTTTTAATTTTTATTTCTTTTTTTTTTTTAAGAAAAGGTCTTGCTCTGTTGCCCAGGCTGGAATGCCATGGCACGATCTCAGCTCCTTGCAGCCTTGACCTCCCAGGCTCAAGCAATCCTCCTGCCTCAGCCTCCTGAGGAAACTACAGGTGTGCACCACCACACCCGGCTAATTTTGTTCATTTTTTGTAGACGTGAGGTCTCAATATGTTGCCCAGACTTAATTTTTTTATCAGTGTATTTTTCAGGATAACGATTTCTAATGTTGTCATTTTTTTTGTATTTGTGGGTTTTTAAATCCAATTTACAAAATATTTACCCAACAGAAAGCAAATAAGATTCACTTGTTTTATTCTAAAAGTTTATAGTTTTCGCCTTTGTATTTAGATCTAAGACACATTTTCAGTAAGATTTGTGTATGATCTGAGGTAAAGGTTGATATTCATTTTAAATTGTATGCATGTGCCTATCCCATATTTCCAGCACAGTTTGTTGAAAAGATTCTCTTTACCATCATTGAATTGCCTTGGTAATTGTGTCAAAAGTCAGCTGGCTATATGTATGTGTTTCTATTTCTAGACTCCCTAGTCTATTTCATTCACTAATATGTCTACTTTTATGCCAATGCTACACTGCCGTGATTATTGACCTTTATAATACATTTTGACATTAAGTGGTGCAAATCCTCCAAATTCACTCTTTTTTTTTCAAAGTTATTTTTGCTATTCTAAGTTCTTTGCATTTCCACATGTATTTAGAATGTACTTTTCAGTTTCTGCAAATATCTTCTGGGAATTTGACTGAGATTGATTTAATCAGTAGAGTTTGTGGGATAAAGTACATTTTAACCTTGAATGCTGTAATCCATTTGACACTTCTTTTTAAGCCTTGTTAGGGCAGATGTAGAGTAGCCTTTACTCTAGGTTAGTTCAGCCCTGCTTCTAAAACCTTTTTGTGCCTCTCCTGAATACCTCAGTTATCTGACAAGATTCTTTCACTTTGAGTGTTTGGAACTCAAATGACTCCCATGCCGCTGTGATCTCTGAATTTACTCAGTTTAGAGTGCCCCAGAATTTTTTTTTTTTAATCTTATATGTGCACAGTTTAATATGTAGCCAAAGATTCAAAGGTATCCCTATGCAGATTATTGTTGCTCATTCACTGCCTGACTCCATTCTCTGTAGTACTCTGCTGTCCATATACTAGCCGGTTTAGGGAATTCCCAACACGATTTCGGTTTTCTCAATCCAGTGAGACAACTCTATTCTCCTTCGATTTATCTTCCCAGTGCCATAATCCAGAAAGTGCTTTCAGACAAAAGATGGAGATCCCCATAGCTGTAACCTCTAGTTTTCTGGATTCAGGTATCACCATCCCATGCTGCCTCTTTTCTAATTTCTGAAAATGACTGTTTCACTTATGTTGTCCAGTTTTCAACTTGTTTATAGCTTGAGGAACTGCCTGGTACCAGTTTCTCCAATATAGCCAGAATTTTAACCTGAAAATCTTTTTAAACAGAATTTTCTTCTCTGCTTTTTACCCTTACAATAACACATACAAACATTGGTTTCCATGGTGGCTTTGTACAAGACTTATCTGCAGAGCATTTTTCTCATTTGCTCTGTTTCTAAAACATTTTTCTCATAGAAACAAATTATATTTAATCATATTCTTTATTTCATGTCACACCATCATCACTCTGTTAGTCAGAGTGATTAGCATGAGCTACTCTAACAAAACATCTCATTAGCTTAACAACCTAAATGATTAATTTTCACCCATGTCACAGACCATTGTAAGCCAAGTAGGCTCTACTTGGTGACTTTTCTCTGACTGATGACTCAGGTATCCAGGATCTTTTCATCTTGTGATGCGGCTGAATGGACAAGAAAAGAAAGAAAGAATGACAGAGTGATCACACATAAGGTGTACTCATCAGGCCCAAAAGTATTGTGTTTCACTTCTACCACTCTCCATTGTCCAAAACTCACTCACGTGACTCCAGCATACTTGCACAGAGTCTATAATCTTCATTTGTGTCCAATAAAAGAATATGGTTTTGGTGAACTAGTCAGTCTTTACCACAAATTTAAATTCATGCAAGATTTCTCTATGTTTTATTTTATATCAGTCTTTATCTCTAATTCCCAGGCCCATTCTCAACCCATCATCACAATCACCTACTGTTATATTTATCTTGATATGAACTTTATTTAAAAATTCAGAGTTGTTTATGTAGATATTTATACTTTAGAATAAATAGTTCATGCTGTGCCTAAGATTTTATTTTGCTTAACAATTTATATTTTTACACCTATTTCTGTGGTTATATATATCTTAACAGAATACTAGAAATTCTTAACAATTTTCATGACTTAGGATCAAAAGTAATTCTGAGATTGTGAGATTCTCATTCAGTTATTACAGCGTGAGGTAGGAACACCCAACAGAAAAAGAAAAAGAAAAATCAAAGGAAGGCATTCAAACACTAAAACAAACAAAATTAAACAAAAATCATTAAAAGAAAACCCCAAAAATAAATTTAAAAAAAGGCTTCTAATAGTAACTATGATGCATAGCCCTGGCTGAGAACCACTGGTCTGTTTATCACACCTGAGTTATGGGAAACTACATAAAGAATTGTTACTGTTATTTTGTAATCTCAAGGACCCCAAATTCTGCTGTTTTTTTTCCATTTGTATCTTTCTCTTCTCTAAATTACTCTATAGATATATATCTGATCATGGTCAGAGATCAATACTTTATGTTGGAAATATAAAATGTATATTCTTAACACCTCCAGTGATGTTCTGACAATAAAAGTAAAACAAAGTGCTCATAAGCATAATTTTAGAATCATATACATTTATTGTTGAGAAATGTCTAGATATTTTCTTGTGCACACAATAAGTGCATACACATACATCAAATATTCATATTCTTGTAAAAACAGGAACATAAAATCCTTATGCAAACTGAGAAACAAACCATGAAGACAGTTTATAAATGAGGATTTGTTTGAATCTTTTAAAAGTTAAAATTTTCATGAATATTTAGTTGATCCATTAACAAATTGGAGTTTCTTTTATTGCCAATCTTCTTATAAGGCATATAAAGGCTAGCCTCAAAAAGAGAAAGACATTATCAACAGACAGAATATTATTAGTTGGGTGATGTCAATGAGTCCTGAGTTCAAATCTTGAATAACAAACTAGAGAAAATGTTCCAGATTTGGAATTCCTGACAACCCAGGGAAACAATATGGTTTATATTTGGGTCTCCAACCCAATCTCATGTGGAATTGTAATCCCCAGTGTTGGAGGAGGGTCTGGTGGGAGGTGACTGGATCATGGGGGTGGATTTCTCCCCTACTGTTCTCACGATAGAGAGTGAGTTCTCATGAGATCTGATTGTTTAACAGGGTGCAGCACCTCGCCCTGCTCTCGCTTCTTCCTTCTCCAGCCATGTACGACATGCCTGCTTCCCCTTTGCCTTCTGCCATGATTATGTTTCCTGAGGCCTCCCCAGCCATGCTTCCTGTACAGCCTGCATAACTGTGAGTCAATTAAACCTCTTTTAAAAAAAAAAATTACCCAATCTCAGATAGTTCTTTATAACAGTGTGAGAATGTACTAATACAGGAAACAAACAAGACAAAAGAACAACTGGGAAGGGATGGAATGTCCAAAAGTTTCTCCATCACATATGATGGCTGTAAGTATGAAGGCTCTATTGTGTTAAGGAAATTGCTTCTATGCCTAGTGTTGAAATTTTGTGATCATAAAAGGTATTGAACTTCATAAATACATTTAGGACATCTATCAACATACTGTACTGACATATTTTTTCCTTTTTTAACATTAAAAAATATTTATTTATTTATTTGACACAGAGTCTTGCTCTATCACCCAGGCTGGAATGCAGTGACATGATCTTGGCTCACTGCAACCTTCACTTCCTGGGTTCAAGCAATTCTCATGCCTCAGCCTCCCAAGTAGCTGGGATTACAGGCATGTGCTACCACTCCTCGATAATTTTTGTATTTTTAGTAGAGACAGGGTTTTTCCATGTTGGACTGGCTGGTCTCAAACTCCTGACCTCAAGTGATCACTCACCTTGGCCTCCCAAAGTGCTGGGATTACAGGCGTGATCTCTCTGCCCAGCCATAATTTTTTCTTTAGTGTAGTGATGCATTGCCTGATATTCTAATGATAATTCATCCTTGAATATTTGGATTAAATATTTATGTAGTGTAATGTATTGTCATGTATTTTACATAGCAAGTACACTATAAAATTTATACTATTTTACTAATTTTACCTTTACTTTAGTCCAGTTTCTTCAGACTACCTTTATATTGCTGGACTGAATTTATTGTAGAGGCCACCTCAAATCATTTTTTCAGAATCAGGTGGGGTGTAAATAATCATATACTTTCAGCACTGAAATATAAACAGAAGAGAAATACTGATCATTGTGCTTGTCTCATTCAGATGATAGTTAATAATTGCATCCACATGATATATTACTATCACTATATCAAACAGTGATTCTCAACCATTCCTTGGGGCATGCTTCCCTATCCTGCTGATGTGACTGATGAATACATATTAAGCATGTGAAAGGCAAGCAGGCATCAAACAAAGTTCAAAAGCTTTGCCATAAAAAGAATTGCTCTTCAGTATAGATTGGAGTGTCAGGAAGACTTCCTTATTTAGTCCAAAGGAGGTGGAAGTTAACTGGCTAAGCTCTTCAGTTCTCTCTAATGATATATGCAATGGAGTTTGCTTCAGATTTAGCTTCTAAAGCTATCTATTCAAATATCAAATAATCAGAGAAACACAAAAGAAACATCCCAGGTACCAAGCTATATTTTGTACTTTTATACACATATATTTCTGCCAATGAAGGCCTAGGCTATATTTCTTCAATTTATGAAAAGGGATAGAATAAGCCTTGGGAACATAAATTATAACATCAGAATCAGAAAGTAGCAATACTATCAAGCTAAAAGGTTGAGGATTAATCTTAATTGAGAATATCTTCTGCCCTTCTACTGCTGGGGCCTCCAACTCTTCATCTAATATCTTGAGCACAAAACCACTGGGTGCATAACATCAAGTAAATTTGGTTATTATATAATTTTTGTATTTTTAAATGGCTGTTAACCAGGAAAATACTTCCCTAGCCTATCTGTAAATCTTAATACAGATTACATTTTTGGCCTGGGGGTGAGGAAAATGATTGGCTCAACTGACTCAAGAGTAGTATCAGTTTTTTATGACAATATCCATAGACTTTGTGTGTGTGTGTGTGTGTATGTGTATGTTTCAGGGCAGTGTCTAATTAAATTATTCTATACTTTTTGTTATGGGTTGCATACTATCCCTCAAAATATGATTGTATAATTCCTAGTACCCTCAGATTGTGACATTATTTGGAGACTGGGTCTTTATAGAGGTAATCAAATTAAAATGAGATCATTAGAGTGGTCCCTAATCCAATATAACTACTGTCTTTATGTAAAGGGGCAACTTAGACAGATACAGACGCACATAGAAGAAACATGATGTGACGACTAGACAAACATAGAAAGTAGACGACTATCTATAAACCCATAAAAGAGACCTGGAATAGATTATTTACTCACGGCCTTCAGAAGAAATCAATCCTGATGACACAGTGATTTCAGACTTCTAGCTTTCAAAATTGTGAATCAATAAACTTCTAATTTTTCAGCTGTACAATTTGTGGCATTTTGTTATGGTAATCTGAGCAAACTAATACAGCCTCATGTTAACACAAAATGGGGTTATTAAACAGTACAGTACAGTAGAGAAAGTCGAAAGTGAGTCCATCCAGTCCTTCCTATTCTTTTTTAATACCAGAAAAATGGTCTTTTTCCCTTCCCTTCCTTTCCCTTGCCTTCCCTTCCCTTCCCTTCCCTCCCTCCCCTACTCTCCCTTCCCCTCCCTTCCTTTGCCTTCCCTTTCTTTCTTTTCTCTCTTTCTCTTTTTTTTTGCTTCCTCTCTTTCTCTTTCTCTCTCTCTTTCTTTCATCTTTCCGTCCCTTCCTCCCTCCCTCCCCCTCTCTTTTTTTTTCTTATGCAAGCCCCTGATGTGTTTCTTAGGGAAAGTTACTAATGCCAATTGTTCCCATGTTCCTGTGTCCATCTTATACGTGTTTTCTCCCACCTTAGGGGTTCTATGTACTTTTAACAGGAAAACACCTTTTATTGTAACTAGGTCTTTTTGGTTTTGTTTTAACTGGGTCCTGGCTAGAATCTTGGTTCCTCAAGTCAAGGGCCATAACTAATTCATTTTAATATTCCTGTACCAGGTAGGAAGAGTGCATGAAATATAGTGGCTAGTAAATACTGCTCAATGAATACATAAATAATTAAATAAATACCTTAATTCATATTAACTGTTTCTATTGTTAAGCCTTGAGGTCCTGTTTGTGTCCATTATAATTTAACAGATATTTTTGTTGTTTTCCTATTTTTCTGATGTATTTAGATCCTACTATTTTCTTATTATTTTTAGAAATTATTCTGTTCATTAGATATTGATATGTGTGCACGGATGGGGAGGTGTTCATGTTAAAGTGCATACTCGAGAAATTTTTATACGAGATAATATAATTCTTTTAGCCTTATAGTGTATTACGTAGGCTAATTTTTCTCACATATCTTTACTCATTCATGTATTGGTTTTATTACCATTTGACTTGTTCCTATTGTCTAAGACCTTTATTGTGTATGTTACCAAGGTTTCTGTATCTCTGAAGATATCAACATTCATTTTCAAACTCACCTATCTACTTATTTTAGTTAGGACCTCTGGTGAATGTACGTTTTCAAGGGATCGATCTGAAATGTACAGAAATACACTTTTAATGTTCTCTCAGAATCCTAAGTGGAAATACAAAAATAGTAAAAGTCTCAAATTAATTAAAACTGTATAAATAACTACTCCAGTGTTACCTGCTGGATACAAATTAAGAAGAGTAAATGAATAATTTAAATAATTGTTCAGGCTATTAGGTGGGCAAAAACCCAATGGTTATGGCATCAAGCATACATGCAGAAAGCTAAGATCTTTATTTTGTTATTACTCAGAATAAATCAATATTTTTGTGGATAATTACCAGTTTAGGGCCAAATAATATCCTAAACTTAGGCTTTCTGTAAAGAACATTAAATGAACTGAGAAAGCATACATCTTTAGCATTTGTTTTTGAAAGTGTGACAATTTGCTATAGTTTTGGTCCCTAAAAGACACCTGTATGAGCTTAGTGCTATTTTATATTAATTTGAAGATTGGTATGGTTTTACTGTCTGTGCTTGAAGGTTATTTTTATTGCTCAGGTATTATTTTGACATCTACAAATGCCCAAGATTTTGAGGAAAGCAAATTTGCACAATCTGTTTGGGAAAAAAAATAGATCCACTAACATATGAAGCAAATTCTTAACTTCATTTTTTTCAAGTCACTTCACAGATTTGTGCCTTGAGTTTTTAATTTGCCTCTTTAAAATACTGATATTGCTTCTTATCTGCCATCTTCACAAGGTCGTTCTAAGATTCATGCAAGATGGGCATTTCCACTTTGAAAAATGTACATCTTAAAATTAAGAACTTCAATGCTAAAGAGTACTCTAACACTTTCAAGAGTTGATATAATTAAACCGAGTGCTAAATTTTCAAATTCATGGCAATATCCATACAAAGAATAAGTACAATGCAGACTGTACAGTGCTGACTTTTTACAGGGCAACTGGAAGGAGAAGTAGCAATTTTCTATGTTACTAGAGGTTTCCATTTTATTTCAACATATTAAAATTAATCAGTACCTATATATTGTTTTAGTTGAATTTTTCTTGGTGTTTCTTTAGTTTGGAGAAATTTCTGTCTTATCTCCAATGAGCTGTTTGTTTGTTTGTAATTTGGGAAATGGCTTTTCATCAATTTTATGAATAGTCTAGGAAACAAAGATTATTTTTCTGAGTGGAATATAATGTACTTAGTAATATTTGTTTTCAAAAATGCATTTTAGCTAAATCATATGCACCTTACCATTTAAGATTCATGGTTCAAAGAGTGATAAAGCTAGTTCAGGCAACATTAATGAATACATGAGTCATTCAAATGTATATCTACATGTACTATGTGGAAAGATATATATAGAGAGGGATGCAACTTATATGTGTACATGTCCAGAGACTTCCACTTGTTAATGTAGTGTCAAAAAAGTGTCTAAAAAAAAAAAGTAAAGTTGCTTTGTTGAAATGTATTCTTAAAACTACACTGATCATTCATGACTAATAATATAAAGCCTAGTGACTTCATCTTGTCATCTTGCAGAGCCATGGAGATATTGAACTTGCATAGATTTTTATCATTTGACTGTCTTTGCCTGCTAGTCTTCTATCATTTTTTGGCATGAATAGCTAAATGTGCACCTCTCTTTCCCTGAGTTATACCTTTGAGGGCACATTACTGGGCTCTCTGGTGTATGTAAAAGGCATCTAATGCAAAGACTGCTCTCAGAATGTTAAAAAGAATCTGCTACTTCAATAAAAATATTCTATATCCTTTCCCTTTTCTTTCCCTTGAGATTAAGGGAGTAACATGGTGTAATGGAAGGAGCATGAAATATATATATATATATATACCTTTAAATTTGAATATCAATTTATTATTTATCTGTCTGTATAGATGGAAATTATAATACCTGTCTGAGATCACAAGCAATCTGATCGATCCAGAATTCCTATTTGCAACATGTATTATCTTCCGACAGAAAATGATCCTGGCTTGATGAAGTCAGTGCAGTGACTTACCACTTATGTCTTAGCTAAAGAGGTAAATCCATGATCTTCCAGCTCAAAATATATACTGACTATCTGCTTTTGAATATCTGAGATTTTACCGTAAGAGCAATGCATACTCATAGAACTTGAAAACTTCAGATCTCTTTCATATTCTGTGTTCTTTTAATTATACAAATCTCTAAGGAATTTAGTTATGAGTCATTAACACTTTAGTAAAAATTTACTCAGTAAGCATTTAATGGATAACTCTTACATACCAGGCACCATGTGACACAAATGGTATCTTGGAAATAGATTTCTTAAAGTCTTCATTTTTTTAAAGCTATTTAGGTTTGAGATAGATATCAAAAATGAGAAAACAGGATAAAGAGCAGGGTTTTTTTATACAGATCTTGTAAGCAGTACTGTCCACCTTTCACAACTGTTGATCAGCAGGTAAACTTTGCCAATGAATTTCTAAACCATCAAAACAAACTCCATTCTGCAAGTCGGCTATTCTCTCACATCCTATCCACAAACTCTATTACCATTTATTCTTTTTAAATCTATGTTTTGTTTTTCTAATTTGATGCACATCATTAACTTCCCACTTATGACTTTGACTTTTTATTGACTAATTTTGCTACCTGATAGGCAGCACCTCCCCACATCACTTGGAAAAAAACCCTTCTACGTCTAACCTTACATTTGAAAACTTAGACTTACTAAACCTCTTCTCTACTCTGAATACACAGGTACCATTGACACTGCCTATAGAAAGCTACAGAACTGGGATCCTGGGGTGGCTAGGTTTAGAATTTTCAGGGAAGGTGACTTGGTCTGCCTCACTTTGCCATCATCACAAAGCTGTACCATAGGGAACTCAAGGGCACCATCTCGTACCCAAGATAAGGAGACTATGGCATTTATATTACAGTTCTCAGTATTATATTGCCTTTTATAACAAATAGATTTCAGAACACTCGAGAAACTGGATTTCATACACGACAGGCCTTTCGACTCCGAAATTCAAATATAAAAATGAAATCTGTTGGTAAGAAAGATAATACTGGCCAAACGCAGTGGCTCACACCTGTAATCCCAGCACTTCGGGAAGCCGAGGTGGGCAGATCACAAGGTCAGGAGATTGAGACTATCCTGGCCAACATGGTGAAACCCCATCTCTACTAAAAATACAAAAATCAGCTGGGTGTGGTGGCACGTGCCTGTAATCCCAGCTACTCGGGAGGCTGAAGCACAAGAATCGCTTGAACGCAGGAGGTGGGGGGTTGCAGTGAGCCAAGATCGTGCCACTGCACTCCAGCCTGGCGACAGAGCAAGACTCCGTCTCAAAAAACAAAACAAAACAAAAAAACAAAGAAAAAAAGAAAAGAAAGATAATATGGTGATAAGAGTTCTGCATGTAGAACTTTATCCATGATATGATAGTTCTAGTTTCAATTTGTAGTAAATTTATATCTTGGAAGATGTTCATTTACAAATTTGAAACTTATTCTATTTTTTTAACTCAATTTTTATTTTACTTTGAAATGTCACCATCTTAAACTGCATTCTTTGAGCTATGCAATTCCTAATTATCTAAGATTATTTTAGTTTTTTTAAATCCTAGCTATAATATACTTCTCTAATTTTAAAATCATGTTTTTTGAAAATTATTTTCATCTTTTACACAATAATATTTGGAGAAAGAGATGACATAAGTGATATCCATAAAACCTCATACTGAGTCTTAACAGCATAAGAATACAGATCTTGGTGAAAAAGAAACTATAACTTTTTGCAAGCCAAAGCAAATGTTTGCAATGCAAAGATCTTCTGGACTAGACATTCCTTGGTAGATGGTCACAAAAGGGGGAAAATCTTGAGTCCTCCCAGAAAAACATCTGGCTTCTACTTTGCTCTGGGAGAGTTGAAACACAGAAAGCATTACTGAAATTGAATTATTCCATGTTAGCCATTTTGAAACTTTAAACATACCATATCCAAACTTTAAACTGTACATTGGATTAGTTAAATCATAATGAAGATTTAAAATTGACAATGAAAAGCTGAAAAACCTAATAAACTCATTAGAAATTGTGTTATTCTGTCTAATACTCAAAGAAAGAAACATTGTATAATGATGTTTAATTCCGTATTTGGGGCTTTTAGATACATAATCCTTGACCATACTAATATACTACGTATTTGGCAAAATGAGACTACACAAATGATAAAAAGGATTTTATAAACTAATTTTGAGATGACATGTGTATTTGTTAACTTAGTGGCTACAGTGAGGCATTCATGAAAACCCTGGACATAGAGGAAGTAAAGTAGTCTCCTTAAAATTAAGCCTTGAAACCAGTATTTTGGAGCAGAGATGTGCAAAATCATTTTGAAGAGACAGAATGCCTGCAAAGTAATTAGTATTGGTTGTAAAATGATTGATTAATATGAATCAATAAGAATGTTTGAAAAGAATAGGGCCAGAAAGAAACACGAGGATGAGGATCAAAAGTGGACGTTAGAAAAAAAAAAAAAAGAGCTTAAGGCCAGGGTCCCACCAGGAGCTTCGCAGGGTAAAGGATACGTTTAAATAGGAAAAAAAAAATCCAGATACTGGAAGACAAATCTGTTATTAGGGATGTTATTGCTAACAAGACTGATGCCATTAAACATCAGATTCCTATTGTAACTTTTCCTGCTTCATTCTGTAGTTATGAAGCAAATTCTACCTATGGTTCTGTTTAGCTTTAGAGTTTTTCTAAAGAGATAAGTCACTGGTTATGTCAAACATTATAGGTTTCATTGAAAATTTAAAAATTGCTGATACCAGTTCTGAGCAATGATTAGATCAACCTTCTGAACCTATACAAATGTTAAGGCTATGTTCTTGGTGATAGCCAAGGTAATCTCTTGTTGACCCTGGTGAAGCTGGGCACAGCGGGTTTTAAGTAAATGTTCTTTAAATTCCTGTAATATGCAATAATATTTCCTCATAAAACAAGTATAAATTTTTTACCTAAACTCCATTGTAAAATAAATGTTATCTTCCAAAAATCAAACAGCATCCAAGTTTGAGCTTACATCTTACTGAGCTGACCAAGATTTTAATCTCAGCCTTTATTAGGATTCACTCCCACGCCTGTGGTTGTGCAAAGATCCAAGGGCTTTAAGCAGAGTAGACCATTTGGTGAAGCTCTCAGATCTCTACTATTATGACTGTTGTCTAAACCTGAGTGGTCTCTAAAGGTGAATAATTCCATTGCTTCTGTGCCTCACTTAGCCATGAGGTTTTTGTTAAGGCTGAGAGCCCCGAGTGCCTGGACTCAATCTCCCTAGAAGTGTCATGTACTGATTTCAGGCTCTAAGTTACTGTGGTCTCCCTTTAATTTTGTCAGGGCATAGGAATTTAAAAGGATTCATAATTTTTTATGTTTATACTACCCTTTTTCTTGGCACTAGCCACTTTTCCAAGAAAAAAAAATAGTCATAAGTTTCTGAAGTCAATTCCTGGATTTAGCCATGGAGCTAAAATCAAGCACGTGAAAAAGAATACAAAGCTTGATTACTTCTGGGAAATTAGAAGATAAGTAAAAATCCAATTCAGAGTGAATAAAACCAATGTTAATATAACAAAGCATAACCCTATATCATCAACAGTTATTAAAATGACCTAACAGGCATTATTTTCAACAACCGTTACAAGTACTTTATATTCTTCTTTTTTAATAATTAAAAAAATGACTACGGACATTAATTGACCTGTGAGGGTCAATATGAGTATGAGGTGCACATGACATTTGAAATTAGTTATTTTTGCTTCAAATTCAATGTTACTTTCAACTAGCTTTCATATAGAAATATTAACTTTTATTTTTTTCTAAAATTAATTTAAAAATTCAAAAAAAACATATGATCTTCTTTCCTAGTTCAAAATTAATCTATGACTCTTCTTAATTCCAGCAGTTGTGACCATAGATGTGGAGGCTTAAATACTTGTTCTCAGTTTTCAAGTCTTCCTTCTTCCAGCTGAAATTCTCATCAAAATAATGTTTATGCCACACACTTTCTCCCAAATATTACTTCATTAATTTAGCCATGTGATCAGGGTATCCTTAAATTAATGAAGAATAACTATAAAAAAACTTTGTTGAAAAGCTTGCTAACAGGAATGAACAGAGATGTGGGTGTGGAAAGTTTTCAAAAGTACTTTAGCATGAAGGATGCTGTATGTATGCTGTTGTCAACACTTGGAACACAGTGACTAAAGTTGCCCATGCCTGGCACAACCTATGGCCCGCGAGCATGTTCCATAGTGATGATGCACAGAGTGGTGACTTTGAAAGATTGGGTATGTCACGTGAGAAAAAATATATATGTACCGTCAGAGTCCATCTGTAAGCTGAAAGAAGTGGATATGGAAGACATTTTTAACATCGATAATGATGCTCCAGTTGTTCTTTCATTGGCCAATGGTAAAATAGTTAAAATGGTTCTGAATCAAGGTGATGTTGAAAATAATGATGATGAAGATGACATTGTTAACACTGCAGAAAAAGTGCCTATAGATGACATGGTGAAAATGTGATGCACATATTGAAGGACTAGAACAGCATGTATTCATAACAGAAAAAGAAATCATTATAGTTTATAAAATCAAACTGAGAGTTCTAAGACAAAAGCTATTGTTAATGAGGCAGATGAATCTGGAAGAAACATTTAAAAATAACAATTGATACAGGTATTCTGATAATGCTACTCTGCTGCTTAGTTACTCTGAACACATTAATTTTTCACTGTATCAATGGAATTTCATATTTTGTAATGTTAAGTACTTATATGTAACTAAGTATAAGAAAATGATTGCTTATTGGTAGGATATAAATTCAGAGTCAGGAATGACGTTGATGTCAAGCAACCAGATTGTCCACAGGGTTGTCTAAAATAGTGACACCTTTGCTTCCTGATGGTTCAATGCACACAAACTTTTTTCCTGCACAAAATTATTTGAAACATTGTATAAAATAATCTTTAGTCTATGTATATAAGGTGTATGTGAAACATAAATATATGTTTTTATTTAGACTTGGGTCCCATTTCCAAGATATTTCACTATGTATATACAAAGATTTCAAAATCTGAGGAAAAAAAAGCTGAAATCTGAAACACTTTTGGTTCCAAGCTTTCAGATAAGGGACACTCGACGTGTATACTATTATGGGAAGAGCGTATATGTTTGTTCTCTTGATGTTGCCCTTAGACATCTGATTTGTATTGATCAGTAGATTAGATGTGAAGAACAGAGGTCTTAAATGTGCTTAAACATTGTGTCCTTCAAGCTTGTGATCCTCTAGGAGAAGAGCATGCTCAAACATAACTTTGGCCTTTTCAGCCAGTGTTCCGAAACAGACATAAATGGAGAGAGACCTGAACCATTCCTACAATCTGGATTTAAGTCTAGACAACATAAAGCCTGAGGCACAGCCACCAGTTTCCATGAACATGGGAATAATGCTGATGTAACCTACTGAATTATGAGATATTTTGTCAACAGCAGTGTGGTGGAAATAGCTGATGAATAGAGTCTACATATACTTCAGAAGCAAACAAATAATTTTAATTCATGCACCTGGATAGTCATGGTTTGTATACATGACAGTCATTGAATGTCTGTCAAGAGAATAAGGGGTATTTGTACATTATGAACATAAAAATGTTGACACTATCATTAGTAAATAAGAAGACATGCAATACTGTTAATGTGTTATATATTACAATGTCATTTATGTAAATAGATGTAATTTTATACACATTGTATTAGTCAACACTATCCAAAGGAACAGAGCCAATATTGTTTGTGTTTGTGTGTGTGTGTGTGTGTGAGAGAGATGTATACACAAAATCTCTCTCTCCCACTCTCTCTCTACAGAAAGAAGGTGAGATAAAGAGATTTTAAGAAGTTGAGTCACAATTATGGGGTCTGTCACATCAAAAATCCACAGAGCCGAAAATCCATATAATTAATCATCACAATATATATACATAAGCATATATTTGCTCTATGCTATACTCTGGAATACATTTTCTTTCTCCTGTGGTGTTATTCCCTATGGCCCTGGATCACTATTTAGATGTTTAAAAAAGATTGTTTATTGCCCTGGCCTGAACTTTGGGGAAAGATTTTGGGAGAAGGAGGTCTTTTCTTTCAATTCTGTCACTTTCTATATATTTTTTAATTTCCTATCCAAGTGCATGTCAGAAATTACCAAGGGCATTTACTGTTTTATGATGATTCAAAATAGAATTCTTGACCAGGAGTAGTGGCTTGTACCTGTAATCCTAGCATTTTGGGAGGCCACTGCAGGAGGAGATTGCTTAAGACCAGGAGTTCAAGACCAGCCTGGGCAATATAGTGAGACCTCCTTGTATTAGACCATTCTTTTTTTATATTTTAAGTTTCACACTCTCTATTTTTGTTTTGTTGGCTCGATTTCTCATTCCTCTTTTTATTTTCATTTTTTACTTCAATAGGTTTTTGGGAAACAGGTGGTGTTTGGTTTCCTGGATAGGTTCTTTAGTGGTAATTTCTGAAAATTTGGTGCACCCTTCACCCACGCAGTGTACTGTACCCAATGTGTAGTCTTTTATCCCTGAACCCCCTTCTACCTTTTCCCACAAGTCCCCAAAGTCCAAATTATCATACTAATGCCTTTGCATCCACATAGCTTAGCTCCTACTTATGAGTGAGAACATACAATGTTTGGTTTTCCATTCCTGAGTTATTTCACTTAGAATAATGGTCTCCAATTCCATGCAGGTTGCATTATTTCATTTTTTTAATGTCTGTGTAGTATTCCATGGTGTGTGTGTGTATATATATACGTATGTATATACATATATGTATATACATACATACATATATGTATATACATATATATATACATACATACATATATGTATATACATATATATATACATACATACATATATATATCACATTTTTTTCTCTATCCACACATTGATTGATGGGCATTTGGGTTGATTTCATATTTTCATAATTGTGAATTGTGCTGCTATAAACATGCATATACAAGTGTCTTTTTTGTATGACTTCTTTTCCTCTGGGTAGATACTCAAGAGAGGGACTGCTGTATCAAAAGGTATATCTACTTTTATTTAATAATTCTTTAAGGAATTTCCACACTGTTTTCCATAGTGTTTGTACTAGTTTACATTCCCACCAGCAATGTAAAAGTATTCCATTTCACCACATCCACGCTAACATCTATTATTTTTTTATTGTGGCCATTCTTGCGGGAGTAGGGTGGTATCACATTGTGGTTTTGATTTGCATTTCCCTGATAATTAGTGATGTTGAGCATTTTTTCATATGTTTGTTGGCAATTTGTACATCTTCTTTTGAGAATTGTCTATTCATGTCCTTAGTCCAATTTGTTATGGAATTGTTTTTTTTTTCTTGCTGATTTGTTTGAGTTCCCTGTAGATTCTGGATATTAGACCTTTGTCAGATGTGTAGTTCATAAAGATTTTCTTCTACTTTGTGGGTTGTCTGTTTGCTAATTATTTCTTTAGTTGTACAGAAGCTTTTTAATTTAATTAAGTCCTATCTATTTATCTTTGTTTTGTTGAATTTGCTTTTAGGTTCTTGGGCATGAAGACTTTGCCTCAGCCTAAGTTTGTTGTAGATTCTGGATATTAGTCTTTGTCAGATGTATAGATTGTGAAGATTATCTCCCACTCTGTGGGATGTCTGTTTACTCTGCTGACTGTTCCTTTTGCCCTGCGAAAACTCTTTGGTGTAATTAAGTCCCACCTATTTATCTTTGTTTTCACTGCATTTGCTTTAGGGTTCTTTGTCATAAAATCCTTGCCTAAGACAATGTCTAGAAGGGTTTTTCCAATGTTATCTTCTAGAATTTTTATAGTTTCATTTCTTAAATTTAAGTCCCTGATTCATCTTGAGTTGATTTTTGTATAAGGTGAGAGATGAGGATCTAGTTTCATTCTCCTACACGTGGCTTGCCAATTATTCCATCACCATTTGTTGAAGAAGGTGTCTTTTCCCCACTTTATGTTTTTGTTTGCTTTGTCAAAGATCAGTTGGCTGTAAGCATTTGGGTTTATTTCTGGGTTCTTTATTCTGTTCCATTGGTCTATGTGCCCATTTTTATACCAGTATCATGCTGTTCTGGTGACTGTGACCTTATAGAATACTTTGAAATCAGGTAATGAGATGCCTCCAGATTTGTTATTTTTGTTTAGTCTTGCTTTGGCTATGCAGGCTATATGTTTGGTTCCATACGAATTTTAGGATTGTTTTTTCTAGTTCTGTGAAGAATGATGATGGTATTTTGATGGGAATTGCATTGAATTTGTAGATCACTTTTGGCAGTATGGTCATTTTCACAATATTGATCCTATGCATCCATGAGCATGAGATGTGTTTCCATTTTTTTGTGTCGTCTATGATTTCTTTCAGCAGTGTTTTGTAGTTTTACTTGTAGAGGTCTTTCAGCTCATTGGTTAGGTATATTCCTAAGTATTTTATTTTTTTGCAACTATTATAAAGTGGGGTTGAGTTCGACTTTCAGCTTTGTCACTGTTGGTTTACAGGAAAGCTACTGATTTGTGTACATTAATTTTTTATCTGAAACTTTGCTTAATTCATTTATCAGTTCTAGGAGCTTTTTGGAGTAGTCTTTAGTGTTTTCTAGGTATATAATCATATCATCAGCAAACAGCAACAGTTTGATTTCCTCTTTACTGATTTAGATGCCTTAATTTCTTTCCCTTGTCAGATAGTACTAGCTAGGACTTCCAGTACTATGTTGAGTAGAAGTGGGCATCCTTTTCTCTTTCCACTTTTCAGGGGGAACACTTTGAACTTTTCCCTGTTCAGTATAATGTTAGCTATGGGTTTGTCATAGATGGCTTTTATTACCTTAAGGAATGTTTCTTTTGTGCCAATTTTTCTGTGGGTTTTAATCATCAAAGGTTCCTGGAGTTTGTGAAATGCTTTTTCTGCATCTATTGAGATGATCATGTGATTTTTGTTTTTAATTCTGTTTATGAGCTGTATCACATTTATTGACTTGCATATGTTAAACCCTCCCTGCATTCCTGGTATGAAACTCACTTGATCATGGTGGATTTTTTTTTATATGTTGTTGAATTTGGTTCACTAGTATTTTGTTGAGGATTTTTGCACCTGTGTTCATCAGAGATACTGGTCTGTAGTTTTCTTCTCTTTTCTTTTTTGTTTTGTCCTTTCCTGGTTGTGGTATTACGGTGATACTAGCTTCATAGAATGGTTTAGGGAGGATTTCCTCTTTCTCTATCTTTTGAATAGTGTCAATAGGATTGGTACCAATTCTTCTTTGAATGTCTGATAGAATTCAGCTGTGAATCTGTCCGGTGCTGACTTTTTTTATTGGCAATTTTTAAATTACCATTTTAATTTTGCTGCTTGTTATTAATCTGTTCAGTTTCTATTTCTTCCTGGTTTAATCCAGGAGGGTTGTATAGTTCCAGGAATTTAGCCATCTCCTCTAGGTTTTCTAGCTTGGGCGTGTAAAGATGTTCATAGTAGCCTTGAATGGTCCTCTGTATTTCTGTGGTATCAGTTGTGATAACTCCCATTTCATTTCTGATTGAGGTTGCTTGGATCTTTTTTCCTTGGTTAATCTTGCTAATGATCTATCAATTTTGTTTATCTTTTCAAAGAACCAGCTTTTTGTTTCATTTATCTTCTGTATTTTTTTGTTTGCTTCAATTCCATTTAGTTCTTCTCTGATCTTTGTTACTCATTTTCTTCTGTTGGGTTTAGGTTTGATTTTTTCTTGTTTCTCTGGTTTCTTGAGGTGTGACCTTCATTGTCTATTTGCACTTTTTCCGACTTTTTGATGTAGGCAGTCAATGCTATAAACTTTTCTCTTAGCACTGCTTTTGCTGTATCGCAGAGGATTTGATAGGTTGTGTCACTATTATCATCCAGTTCAAAGAATTTTTAAATTTCCACCTTGATTTCATTGTTGACCCAACAATCATTTAAGAGCAGGTTATTTAATTTCCATGTATGTGCCTGGGTTTGATGGTTCCTTTTGGAGTTGATTTACAATTTTATTCCACTGTGGTCTGAGAGAGTACTTGATATAATTTTGATTTTCTTAAATTTCTTGAGACTTGTTCTGTGGCCTACCGTATGGTCTATCTTGGATGATGTTTCATGTGCTGATAAATAAAATGTATATTCTGCAGTTGTTGGGTAGAATGTTCTGTAAATAGTTGTTAAGTCCATTTGTTCTAGTATATACTTTAAAACTATTGTTTCTTTGTTGACTTTCTGTCTTGATAACCTGTCTAGTGCTGTCAATGGAGTATTCAAATTCCCTGCTATTACTTTGTTGCTGGCTATCTTATTTCTTAGATCTAGTAGTAACTGTTTTATAAATTTGGGGGCTCCAGTGTTAGGTGCATGTATGTGTAGGATTAGATGTTTTGCTGTTGGACTAGTTCTTTATTCATTATATAATGTCTTTGTCTTTTTTTTAACTGTTGTTGCCTTAAAGTCTCTTTTGTTTGATGTAAGAGTGGCTACTCCTGCTCTCTTTTGGTGTCCATTTGCATGGAATACCTTTTTCCACCCCTTTACTCTAAGTTTATGTGAATACTTATGTGTTAGATGAGTCTCATAAATGCAGCAGATATTTGGCTAGTGAATCACTATTCATTCTGCCATTCTGTATTTTTTAGGTGGAGCATTTAGGTCATTTACATTCAGCATTAGTATTGAGAATTGAAGTACTATTCTATTCATTGTGCTAGTTGTTGCCGGAATACCTTGTGTTTTTTTCATTGTGTTATTGTTTTATAAGTTCTGTGAAATTTATGCCTTAAGGAGGTTGTATTTTGATGTATTTTTAGGATCTGTTTCAATATTTAGAGCTTCTTTTAGCAGTTTTGGTAGTGCTGTGTTGCTAGTAGCAAATTTTCTCAGCATTTGTTTATTTGAAAAAGACTATTTTTCTTTCATTATGAAGCTTAGTTTGATTGGATACAAAACTCTTGACTGATAATTCTTTTTTTAAGGAGGCTAAAGATAGGACCCCAATCCCTTCTAGCTTGCAGAGTTTCTTCTGAGAAATCTACTGTTAATATGATAGGTTTTCTTTTAAAGGTTACTTGATGCTTTTGCCTCACAGCTCTTACGATTTTTTTCCTTCATCTTGCCTTTAGATAACCTGATGATTATGTGCCTAGGTGATAATCATTTTGCAATGAATTTCCTGGGTGTTCTTTGAGCTTTTTGTATTTGGATGTCTACATCTCTAGCAAAGCCAAGGAAGTTTTCCTCAATTATTCCCTCAAGGATGTTTTCCAAACTTTCAGATTTCTCTTTTTCCTCAGGATCACCAATATTCTTAGGTTTGGTCATTTAACATAATCCCAAACTTGTTGGAGATTTTGTTCATTTTTTCTTTGTCTTTGTCTTTTTCAGATCGGGTTCTTTTTATTTTGTCTCTGTTGGATTCAGTTAATCCAAAAGCTTTGTCTTCAAGCTCTGAAGTTCTTTCTCCTACTTATTCGTTTCTATTGCTGAGACATTCCAGTGTATTTTGCAATTCTCCAATGTGTGTCCTTCATTTCCAGAAGTTGTGATTGTTTTATATTCATGCTATTTGTCTGGAGTGTTTTTTTGTCCATATCTTGTATTTTTTTATTTCTTTAAGTTGGTATTCACCTTTCTCTGGTGCTTTTTGAGTAGTTTAATAGATTTTCTGAATTCTTTTTCTGAAAATTCAGGGAGTTCTTCTTGGTTTGAATCCATTGCTGGTGAGCTAGTGTAATATTTTCTATGTGTTACAGAACCTTGCTTTGTCATATTACCATAATTGCTTTTCTGGTTCCTTCTCATTTGGATAGAGTATGTCAGAGGGAAGATCTGGGGCTCAAGGGCTATTGTTCAGATTCCTTTGTCACATGGGGTGCTCCCTTGATGTAATGCTCTCCCCCTTCCCCTAAGGATGGGGTTTCCTAAAATCTGAACTGCAGTGATCGTTATTTCTCTTCTGGGTCTAGCCACTCAGGCAGGCTAAAGGACTTCTTGTGGGTACTGGGGAGTGCCTGCAGAGTCCTGCGATGTGATGCTTCTTCAGGTCTCTCAGCCATGGATACCAGTACCTGCTGCAGTTGAGGTAGCAGGGGAGTGAAGTGGACTCTGTGGAGGTCCTTGGTTTTATGTTTACTTAGTGAGCTAGTTTTGTGTTGGTTGGCCTCCAGCCAGGAGGTGGTGCTTTCAAGAGAGCATCAGCTATGGTAATGTAGAGAGGACACAAGCTTGCCCTAAGATCACCTGGATAAGTATTCTGGTTTCTCAGGCAGTGGACAGTGCCATAGAGCTCCCAAGAGATTATGTCCTTTATTTCCAGCTACCAGGATGAGTAGAGAAAGACCATCAGATGGGGGCAGAGTTAGGCATGTTTGAGCTCAGACTCTCCTTTGGTGGGGCTTGCTGTGGATGCTGTGAGGGATGGGGGTGTGGTTCTGAGGCCAAGGGAGTTATGTTCCCAGGGACCCATGGCTGCTTCTGCTGCTTCATGCAGGTCACCAGGGAAATGGGGGAAAGCCACCAATTATAGGCCTCACCCGTCTACCATGCAGCCCAAAAGGCTAGTTTCACTGCCATCGTGTCCCCACAGCAGCACCTAGTTTATTTCCAGGCAGCCAGTGAGCAGGACTGAAAACTTGCCCCAGGATACAAGCCTCCCCTCTGAGAAAGCAAGCAGGGCTTTCAGGTTTCATGCCTCCCTGCCTGCTGCAGTTTCTGTGCTTGTGTCTGCACTCCCTGTTTACTTCCTCCCCTGGATTCTGTCTAGAAAACTTTATGTTTGGTCGAAGTTGTTACAAACTTTAGCTGGAAGTTTTCTTCTCCCTGTGGTCTTTCCTCAATTTCACTGGCTGGAAGCCCTCTCTAAGGAACCCTGTGAGACAAAGTCAGGAATGGCTTCCCTTGGGATTGAAAGTGCCCACAGGGCTCTTCCTGTGCTTCCTCTACCCCCATATTTCACTTGGCTCTCTAAATTTATCTCAGCTTCAGGCAAGGCCAAATACTTCTCCTGTGATCTGGATATTCAGGTTCCCCAGTGAGGATGTGTGCTGGGGGGTGGACATTCCCCCTCACACTTTGCACACTCACAGTTTTTCAGAGGTCTCACAGAGCCTGCAGTGGCAAGCTGCTTCCTTTGAAAGGTCTGTGATTCTCTTGGCTTTTCTGGCATGATCCTGTGGTAGTTCTTGGAGCAAAAGTTCATGATGTGAATCCCCATATGCTGCTCTGTCCATCCCAGTGGGAGAGCAAGTTAGTCCTATTTCCTATCCACCATTTTTCCAGAGAAGGTTCTAGTGGCCATTCTTGCACTCCTAGAAAGAAATACCTGGTATCAGATAATTTATAAAGAAAAGAGGTTTAGTTGGCTCACAGTTCTGCATGCTGTACAGGAAGCGTAGCGGCATCTGCTTCTGGGGAAGTTTCAGGAAGCTTCCAATCATGGTGGAAGGCAGAGTGGGAGCAGGCATGTCACATGGGGAGAAAGAGAGATAGCAAGATGCCATAGACTTTAAAACAGTCAGACCTCATGATAAGTTAACACTATCGCAAGAACAGCACCAAAAGGATGGTGGTAAACTATTCATGAGAAATCCACACCCATGATTTGATCATTTCCCACCAGGCCCAACCTCCAATACTGGAGATTACAATGAGATTTGAGTGAGAACACATATCCAAACTATATCACCCTATCTCTACGAAAAATGTCTTAAATAAAAATAAAATAAAATAAGATTCTTTAAAAAGGCTATTTGACACTGGATTGTTTTGCTTACTTATACGTATATATAGTTCTAAATAAAAAACAAAATTCGATGTATATTTTTTAAAGTACACATAAGTCTTTTCCAAAAAGCTAAGGTGTATACTTTCCTTCCTTTTTTTTTTTTTTTTTTTTGAGGCAGAGTTTTACTCCATCACCCAGGCTAGATAACAGTGGCAAGATCACAGCTCACTGCAGCCTTGATGTCCCAAGCTCAGGTGATCCTCAACCTTCCTGGTATCTGGGGTTACAAAAGTGTAATAATTTTTGGAGGTTTTTTTTTTTTTTTTTTTTTTTTTTTTTTTGTAGAGGTGGAATTTCACCTTGTTGCCCAGACTGGTCTCAGACTCCTGGGCTCAAGCAATCCACCCTTCTTGGCCTCCTTAAGTGCTGGGATTACAGACGTGAGCCACTGTACCCAGCACATTTAAATGTTTTTTGTTGTTAATTTTTGAAAATTTTACTTTTCTGGACAACATATTTTGGCTCATTTGCTAAAGTATAATAATTTCTCAACAGAATATTTTACAGAATCTATGTCAATTAAATGCCATTTTGGTCTGAGTTGTAGTATATAAAATCATTTTTATAGTCTGACATGATTAATTTCACATTTACTAATTATCCTTTCCTCTTTCTGCATCCTCCATCTGCATCTTTCTTGCTACATCTTCCTATCCCTGTGTCTCTCTTATCACCCTCTTTTATAGCACAACATACACACATATTTTTATGGCATTTGAAAACTAAGTTAAAGTCCTATGTTAATATTATTATATATTATAAAAAGAGTTTTCTTTGTTAAAAAAGTATCAAAACTGATTAACACTAATAGATTCTATTCATAAAAATATCCCTTATGTGTTGGAAGGCAGATTCATGTTTTTTTTTATTGCTGCATAACAAATTGTCTCAAACTTAGCAGCTTATAGCATTATCTCCTCATTTCCATGGGTCAGGAGTAGAGGCACAGCTTAGCTTGGCCTTCTTCTCAGAGTCTCACAAGGTTGCAATAAAAATGAAAGCCAACATGTATGCTCATCTGAAGGCTCAACTGAGGAAGAATGAACTTCCTCCCTCATTTGGGTTATTAGTAGAAGGTAGCATGATGCAATTTAGGGCCCTGTCTTTACTGGTTGCCATATGGGGACCACTCTCAGGTCCAAGAATTGCCCATGATTAGTAGACTCCACTGAAATTACTTGTTATGTGGGCTTCTTCAACATAACCATAAATTCATTAAGCCCACAAGGGAAGACTTTGTTTCTAGTCTGCTAAGACAGGATCTTATAAAATACAGTGTAATCACAGGAGTGACATGTTATCACCTTTCCCATGTTCTCTCAGTCAGAATTAAGATACAAGTCTCTCCCATGCCCAAGGGGAGTTTATTAGTCAATGCTCTCCAGAGAAATAGAACCAATAAAACAGACACGAGATTTACCTTAAGGATTAGCTCAAAAAATGGTGTGGGTTTCTAAACCTGAAACCCATAGGTAGTTTGGTGAGCTGGAAACTCAGGCAGAAGTTGAAGCTTCAGTTTTGAAGTAGAATTTTTTTCTTCTCTGAGACATCTCAGCTTTTTGTTCTCAACACATTCAGCTGATTGAACAAAACCAACCCATGCTGTCCACAGTAATCTCCTTTACTCAAAGGCAACTTATTATAAACATTAATCACATCTACAAAATACGTTTATGGCATATCTAGATTGATGTTTGGTTAAGTAATGGGGCACTATATCCTAGACACATATATTTAATCATTCACAGGGAGGGAATTACAAGAAGCAGTGAACACTAGGACAAGGAGATCACTGGGATCTCCTTGGAGCTTTCCCACCATGGAAGGTATTTAGTTTTTTTATTTAATTTATTTTTAATTTTTTTTGGTGGTTGTCTCTAATATTTATTTGCCAGGTTATAAAATTAATACGTGAAGAGCATTGGATTTGGTGAGAACGTTTTGAACCCTAGCTGTCACATGTCATCTACAGGATCTAGACCGTGATTTCTCAGAACTGCCATTTCCTCATCTGGTAGACGGGATGGTGAGCACGGTCTTGCTCACTCCACATATGGCAGTGCATATGAAATGAGTTCACAGAGGGGAAGCACTTGGCACGCTGGAAGGTGCTGACAAATGGAAGGGGTTAGTGTCACCACCCTCAGCTGAGGTAGTACCAAGGTCCAAGCTCCTGCCCCTCCCCCTCCCCCTCCCCAGCCCCTAAATACAACACGAATGGAGGGCCACTTGCAGCCTTGGTTTGATGCAGTTGGGGGAGAGGCCACACACTTCTTCCACAAGCCTGGCCAGATGGGGCCTCACTGGGGCCCTTTCAGAATTGGGCATCGGCTGTTGCCAGCTGTGTTAGGATGTCCTCCAACTCGAGTCCATCCTCTGGGAAATGCTCAGAGAAGGATCTGATGAGGCCAGCAGCTGAGACCTCGTATTCCAGAAGCTGCACGTCTGAGCCTTCAAGGCGAATGTTGGGCTGAACGATGAGCTTCCAAGATTCCTTACGCAGCAGCACCCTGTCCCTGAGGGTGAGAAAGCCCTCAGGGGGCGCATCAGCGACTGCTGCATACCTCTCGTACAGGGTCCACCCTCCGGCCACATCCCCTGTGGACCAGCACCTCCGCAGGAAGCGCTCTAGGGCAGGGTTGCCCACAGACTGGATCTTGCTGCGGTCGAGACGGACCTGGGCTTCCGGGCGCCCATCGGAGCCTGCGGTGGGAGTGATGGTACCGAGTCCCTCGCCAGCCTCTGGTAAGACTCTCAGGATCACAATCCGGGCCCGTATATGGGCCTGCTGCCAGTTGGAGGCCTCAGGTGTGTAGAACTCCAGAGCGAGCAGCCCAGCCCCAACCATGTTGAGCCAGTTCACGGAGATCACCTCCTCTGCATCAGCCCCCTCAAAGCCAAAGGTCTCCAGCACTTGCGGGTGGAGACAGAGGTAGAGGCCCACGCTCTCAGCCCGGCACTCTTCGTAGCTGGAGACAATGGTGCTGAACTTGCTGTCCCAGGTCTTCATGCTCCGATACCAGCTCTGAATCTGCTCTCTCATCTCTGGATTGATGGGTCTCCTGGTCAAAGTTGAATGCTCCTTTTTCATCCTGCTCGATGAGCTTGCCGCTGCCATAGCCCAGCAGTTCGTGCAGGCCCACCTGTACATCGAAGGAGGGCCCCATCAGGACGATGTACAAGTCCTTGTCACTCTCCTCCAGAACGGTGAGCTTCTCCCACTGCGTGGCTTAGACCACAGCCAGGACGTTCCCCAGTGACACGTTCTTAAAGCCTTCCGTCTGCTTCAGGTCATTGTAGTTGGAGATGTTGATGCCGGCAGCGATGCCAGAGCCAGCGAAGGTAAGAACATCCACGGAGGTGAAGTCAGGGGTGAGGAACTTGTCTTTCTCAAAGGCTGGGGACCAGGGCAACTCCTTCAGCAGCTGCTCTGCGCTCACCACCAGCCACTCAAACTTGGCACTCATGGCCTTGTTCACCACGGCTACGAAGCCTTCACATACTCCTCGGGAACCAAAGGAGTCACGGTAGCTCTGGATGAACTCGATGTAACTCTCCACGATGGGGCCTTTGTCCTAGATCCAGAAGCGGGACCCCTTCTTGTGGGCCTCTGTGGAGCCCTGGGTGAAGCTCTCTATGTACTGGGCCAGCATTTGCTCCTGGTGGCTGTTGGCTGCATACGTCTTGGCTTTCTCCAGCTGCTCCACCACCTTCTGGAGGATGGGCATGTAGTTCCCCCAAGTCACCTGGAAAGGGCTTCCCCGGAATTCCTAGCTCTTCAGCTTGGAATCACCTCGGAGTCCAGGGAAGGCTCTGTGCCGAGCACAGAAGCCAGCTGCACCTCGTAGTGGGGCTTCCCTTCTCCATCGACCTCTTTGAAGAGCCAGGTGTTGTACACGCACTGAGGTTCTGTGAGTCCAGAAAGTCTTGGGCCAGTTTGCCATCTTCCATGGTACAATTACCAAAGAAATAGGTGGTGATTCACTGTTAGGGAAGAGAGGGGACATGGGAAAGAGGAGTTGCTGAGGTCAGGGCTGCAGGGACGTCATCTTCCCAGCCTCCTTTTTTTTTGTCAGATAAGTAATGTATAGATATAATGTCCACTGACGGACAACATTTTTTCTCAGTCAATTTCTACAAAAAAATTAGGATGTACTTCTTTTAAATAATGAACTGGTAATTCTGAGGATAAACAAGAAATCCATGAATAAGCTCTTTTTTTAATTATTATTTTAACAAGCAGATCTCGAATCAGAATGTTAGAAGTAGTCTACCTCCACACCACCATCTCTCATACCAATGAGCAAAAGCACAAAAGTAACAGAAGAAGATTATTTCATGTGACATCTATTTCCCAAAGAATTTTTTCTGTCTATTTTCTTTCTCTCTATATATATTTTTACTTCTGAGAATAATTTGGGTGTGTTTACATTTGTGTGTATAGACCAGTGTCCTTATGACAGAAAAGGAGCTTACATAGTGGCAGGTGAAATGATTTGCAACAGTGTGTCAGCCTGAAGTCAAAGTCAGCGAGGAAACCCCCAAATCCTTGGTCTCAGTGCAATGTCAAAGCCTGTAGCTCAAGATCACAAAATATGAGTAAGGCTCCAAGATCACAGAAAAATTTTCCCTTAGATTAATGGCAGGGCTGTGCCAAAGATGACTGAAGGGGCACCCTCTGACATGCTCATTTATCAGGGATTTACTTGTTGGCTAATGATAGCAATAACAGTTTGTATCTGACAGACACAACTAGATATATGCAGTGAGAAACTATATTTGAACACAGATTATACTGGATCTATATAATTTCCTCTTCTATTGCTTGACCTGTCATCACAGTCTCTCTCAGTGAAGTTTATGTTTTATTTTTTAAAGAAAAAACAATTGTTTTTGAAAAAAATGGTTACACAATTGAAAACTATATCAAATTAGCTGTTTTAATTCTTCTACATTCTTTAGAAGATATTTTCATATGTATATGTAATTTCTAGTTTGCTGTAATCATAGCAGAGATACTAGAATTAATTTTTTCATTTAAATTCTTACTGTAAACACTGTGTTCTGAATTTTCTAGTGATATTGTTCTATGTTCCTGTTGATACAAAAATTTCATTTGAATTATATAAAATACTGATGAACAAAATAAATTTGCTTTTACTTATAATCTCACCACCATGTTATAATTACTATTAGCAATATTTTATATGATCTTTTTGTGACAAATGCATATATACTCAAGTATATTCACATATTCATATATATATGTGCATGTGCATACACATACAATGATATTTTATTGGGTTTTTCCTTTTCTTTTTTGCTTAATGCTGCATTGTGAAAGTAGTTATAACATTAATTTCTCTCTTGAAGTATTACTTT
Organism: Homo sapiens; assembly: GCF_000001405.40. Lineage (NCBI taxonomy): Eukaryota > Metazoa > Chordata > Mammalia > Primates > Hominidae > Homo > Homo sapiens. Next base: position 73,477,477 of record NC_000009.12, read on the forward strand.
AAATGACTGTAGATTACTTTATTACATAGTTTTATTTACAACCAACAACCTGATGTTGAATATTTAATTTTTTTCAATTTTTTAGCATATTGAAGAGTATCATGATGAAGATTTTATTGTACCTCTGTTCTTAATTCTGAAAATAAATTCTTAATAGTAACATTTCTGGGTCAAAGCATATGTACATTTGATAATTTAATTATGTGTATTGCAATTTCAAGGATCATCACTAAAATAAAAGGAATAAAATATATAAATTCTGCACAAGAAAAGGAAAATGAGATGATTAAAATAATCAGCATAAAAGTTAAAAAATAAGAGAAAAGCAGGCTAGAATATGTATATCAACAAATACCAAGAGGCAGATGTAAGTCTAAATATATTAAAACTTACATTGAATATGAAAGGCCTAAATTCTCCAGTTAAATGACAATATTAGCAGATTAAAAAAAAAAACTAAATGTATGATACTTATGTAAGTCATTTAAAATAGAATGGTTGAAAGTAAAAACACAGAAGAATATATACCATGTAAACCCTAATAAAATAATGCTACTGCAAATATTTTAATACAAAAAATTTAAATTTAAAAAACTAGATATAAAAGGATTACTCTTTAATTATAAAAGGTTCCATATGTCACATAGCCATACAATTTTACCTGTGTATGCTGCTTAATAGCATTGCCTAAAATACTTACAAAAGAAAATAATTATACAAAATTATACTACCTTTCTCAGGAAGTGTTAGGAGAGGCAACAACAACAGCATCAATAGACATTCGTTGATCAACCTAAGTAACAAAATTGGTCTAATGGAAGACCAAGATCCCTGTATTTAACATTTATAAATAGGCATTTTTTCAATATACACAGATTATTTACAACTATTGATAATATAGTGGCCATAAAGGATATCTCCATTAATTTTAATGAACAGATTTCATTATAAAATATATCCTCTGATCACAATTCAACTAAGCTAATACAAATAGATAACTAAAAATATCCCAGTATATTTGAGAATTAAGAAATAAATATTTTATTACTTTTAAAAAGCACCTTGTAATAAAATTGATTTTTTCCTCCTGTGGCATCACAGTTTTTTGTTTAATACATGTGTGTACCATCATATTTAAATACAAAACAATTTAATCTCCCTCCAAAGTCCCCCTGTTCCATCTCTCATAACTCCTGACAACCACTGACTGCTTCTGAGTTCCTATAGATTTGGCTCTTCAAGAATGACATATAAATGGAATCACATAGTATGTAACGTCTTGAGATTGACTTCTTTTACACAGCATAATGCTTTTAAGATTCATCCAAAGTCTTGTGTATTTCAAAAGCACATTTCTTTTCCTTGCTGAATAGTATTCTATTGTATGAATACACAAGCCACAATTTGTTTATCTGCCCTTCGAGGACATTTTAATTATTTCTAGTTTTTGGCAATTATGAATAGTGGACATTTGTATAGAGGTTGTTTTGTAAACATAATTTTTCAACTCTTAGGGTAGATATCCAGAAGATGGAATGCTGTGTCATATGGTAATTATATGTTTGCCAGTCTAGGAAATTAGAAAACCTTTCCAGAAAGATTGTACCATTTTGCATTCCTATCAGCAATATTTTGAGAGCTACAATTGTTCTGCATCTTTGATAGCACTTTATATTTTTAGTATTTTTTTTTAATGTAAGCCATTCTAATGGTTGTACAATGGAATCTCATCATGGTTTCATTTTACATTTATCTAATGGCTATTAATGTTGAATGCCTTCTTTGTTATCCTTATTTCTTCTTTGCTGAAGTAGTTGCTCATGTCTTTTGCTAATTTTTAAATTGGATTGTGTATTTGGATTGTGTATTTTCTTATTGTTGAGTTTTGAATGTTCTTTCTATAAAGTAAATTTCAATTCTTTGTGCATAAGTAAAATAAAAATATTTTCTCTCATTCTGTGTCTTGCCATTTAAATTTTTTATCAGAGTCTTTCACAGTGCAATAGTTTAGAAAAATTGGTGAAGTTCAATTGATCATTTTAATCTTTTATGAATTATGGTTTTGATTTTATGTCTAAGAACTCATCAACCAAACTCAAGGTCACATAGGTATTCTCCCATGTCCCTTCCAAACATTTTACATTTTTGCAATTTACTTTTAGATTTTTGAATTAATTTCTTTTAAAATTTTTGAGATAATTTCTGTACATGGTGTAAAGTTTAGAATGAGATTCATTTCTTTTGCCTATGGATGTCTATTGTTCCAATACCAGTTGTTGAAAAGACTAGCCTTTATTCATTGAATGGCTTTTTTAACTTTGTCAGATTAATCAGTCACATTTGTGTGGCTCTATTTCTTTAATCGCCATTCTTTCTTTTATCTGTATGTTTATTCCTTCACCAATACCACACTGTGAACCCTGAATATCTGAGAGAGATCTCAGTCAATTTATGAAGTTTATTTTGCCAAAGTTAAGGATGCACACCCGGGACACTGCCTCAGGAGGTCCTGACATGTGCCCAAGGTGGTCTGAGCACAGCTTGGTTTTAAACCTTTTAAGGAGACATGAGACATCAATCAAAACATGTAAGATGAACATTGGTTCAGTCCGGAAATGTGGGACAACTTGAAGTGGTGAGGGGGCTTTCAAGTCATAGGTAGACAAGGGACAAACGGTTGCATTCTTCTGAGTTTCCGATTTGCCTTTCCAAAGTACGCATTCAGATAAGCATTTATCTCAGTGAGCACAGGGATGACTTGGAATAGAATTAAAGGGAGGTTTACCCTATGCAGTTCCCAGCTTGAACTTGACTTGTCCCTTTAGTTTAGTGATTTTGGGGCCCCACGATTTATTTTCTTTTCACAACACTGACTTGATTATTGCAGATTTTTAGTAAGTCTTAAAATGGGCAGTATGATTCCTTCAACTTTATTCTTATCTTTCTGAATTCATTTAGCTATTCTAGTTCTTTTGCCTTTCCTTATAAATTTAGAATCAGCTTGTCTATATCTGAAAAAAAAATTTGCTTAAATTTTGATAGATATTACATTAAATCCATAAAACATTTTGAAAAGAATTAGTATCTTTAACAAATTCAGTCTTCAATCAATTAAAATGGTAGGGCTCCTTATATTTAGATATTCATTTGTTTCTTTCATAAGCATTTTGTAATTTTCAGCATCCAGATAGCATACACGTTTTGTGAGAATTATAACTACACATTTTTTGGAGGTTATTGTATTTATATGAAATTGTGTGATATTTCATTATTTAAGTAATTTTTAGATTCTAATTTTACATATGTAGTGCATAAAATAAGACTGGTTTTCATGTATTGACCTTGTACTTAAGAACTAGCTAAACTGACTAGTTCTAGGAATTCATTTCTTTATAGATTCTTTGGGATTTTCTACATAGATAATCATGTTGTCTGTGGATGGGCAGTTTTCTTTCTTTATTTCTTTTTTTTTCCTAACAAGCATGCTTTTTATTTATTTATTTTTTCTGGGCTTATTTTCCTGGCTAACACAAGAAATACATTTTATAAACAAATGTATGTGGACTTTCAGTTCCAGAAAAAAATAGAGTGGATGAACTTTTCTTTATTCTTTCTACTAAGTCCAACTAAAAACTAGGGACATGATATGTAAAACAAACATAAGGACACTCTGAAAGGTGAAAAAAAGAATGCAGGTTATTATTACTATTTTTTTTTTGGTTGAATATATCCCAGACTATCTGCTGTAGCATGTGGAAACCTGCAAACACAAAAGGGTGCAAACAAAGCCCCAAGGAAAGTCTGTTCTCTCTAGCCAAAGGTCCAGGAAAATAAAAACCTTAACAAGACAGAAAACTTTTAGATAGTAACTGCCCTGCTTTAACCAAATTCCACGGACTCCATCCCCACCTCCACTAGTAAAGGCCAAGTAGAGAGCTGAGATTTTTATGTTTATCTCATAGTAATGTGGTACCTACCTTTTTTCTTCAAGGTGATCATAAAAGGCAAAGATAAAAAATCCCCGGCTGGAATTAAGAAGCTCCCCATCTCTTACACACATACACACTGTGGTATCAATAAACACTGGGAACAGTAATGAAGTGCTTTTTCATTCCATGATGGACAGTTTCTGTATCTTGATTGCCAGGGTGGTTACACTAATCAACATCTGGGATAAGAAGGCATAGAAGTAATTTTATGAATTGTATCAACATCAATTTTCTAGTTTTCATATGGTACTAGAGTTACATTAGATATAATCCTTGAGAGAAATTGAGTGAAAGGTACATGTTCCTCTGCCTATTCTCTTTGCAATTTCCCTAATCTAAAAGTGTTTTAAAATAGAAAGTTAAAAAATCAAACAAAGAGAGAAACAATTGTCTTAATGCATTTTCTGTTGCTATAACAGAATACCACAGATCAGGTAATTTATTTTTTTAAAAAAAGTTATTCAGCTTATAGTTCTGGAGGCTGGGGAGTCCAAGTGCATACTGCTAGAATCTGGTGAAAGTCTTCCTACTGGGTCATAATATAGAGGATGGCATCACCTGATGAGAGGAATAACTTGCCAGCTCCAGTCTCTATTTCTCGTCTTAGAAGGCCACCAATGTTATCATCGTGGCTTTACACTCTAAACTTTACAGAAATTATCTCAAAAAATACAAAAGAAGGGCCAGACACAGTGGCCCCTCATGCCTGTAATCCCAGCACTTTGGGAGGCCAAGGCGGGTGGATCACGAGGTCAAGAGATTGAGACCATCCCGGCCAACATGGTGAAACCTCGTCTCTACTAAAAATGCAAAAATTAGCTGGGCGTGGTGGCGGGTGCCTGCAGTCCCAGCTACTCAGGAGACTGAGGCAGGAGAATCACTTGAACCCAGGAGGTGGAGGTTGTAGTGAGCCGAGATTGCACCACTGCGCTCTAGCCTGGTGACAGAGAGAGACTCCGTCTCAAAAAAAAAGAAATAAAATAAAACAAACAAAAGAAACCCCATCCTTATGACCTTATCTAATCCTAATTAACTTCCAAACGTTCCACCTCCAAATGCCAGTTACATATGAATTTACGGATTAAGTGTCCAACTTAAACCATAGAAAAATGTATCTAGGAAGAGATGATAATAGATAACAGAAAATAATTTGAAGTGAATTATAATAAAAACTATTTAAAATTGTTTACTACAGGTAAAGCAGTATATAAAAGATAACCCATACACTTAAATGCATACGAAAGAAAAGAAGAATTGTTGATTAAAGTGAGCTCAGCATTTATCTTAATACGTTAGAAAAAGATGTGCAAAATAAGTCCAAAAAAGAGCTGAAGAAAGATGATAATAAAGATAACATAATAAACCAACGAAGTAAAATATATATACAGTAGAAAAAGATTAACAATGCCAAACACTGGTACTTCTAAATAAATATTAAAATTAAGAAAATTCTGGAGAGATTGGGAAAGATAAAGAAAGACAGAAAGAAAAAAAAAAGGAAGAAAGAAAGAGTGCAAATAAAAGCCACAAGAATAATTTAAAAATCAAATATTGCTATAGATATTACAGTTTTTGTATATATTTAACAGATAATAAAATGTTGTCATATAAAAGGTTTTACAAAACTTTTGAAGATTTGAATAAAATCAAAAACGTATAATTTACCAAATCTAACTCTAGAAAATTAGAAAACTTAAATCGTTCAAAAGCATTTAAAAATACATAATACAACAAGTACAGTAATATTTTAAGTGATAGAAGCGTAGTCACTGTAAGAATTTTCAACTCTGTATGCTTGAAATTTATAATAATTAAAGTGTCAGCATGAAATTTTTGTACATAAGCACATACACAGATGTGCACACACACACCCTGAAGTTGCTTTTTAGTGAAATTAACCAAGCATTAAGGAAAGCATATTTCCAGTCTTACTCAGGGTTTCATAGTTTTCCAAAGAATAGAAACACAGAGCACATTCCTCAACTAATATTTATTTTACCTGCATATCCTTGAAACAAAAACCTGTCAAAGATAACATTTGAAAAAGTAACTGTCGGCCAAATTTTTTTATTCATGAGTTTCTGTGCATTTCTTTGAGCAATACAATAGTCAGCTATATCTAATTGTGTATTTGTGCACATGTGTATTCAAATTTAATTATGAAGATGAGTTCAACATCAAAAGATCAACAAAAGTTTTCCACTGCTTTAATAGATTACCAGATAAAAATTATTGTATTAATAGGTGAAAAATAGAAAAAAATCAATTATCAATTCATAGTTCAAAAAATAATTGGTTAAAAACCAGAACTAAAATTTACTTTCTTGGCCTAAAAGAAAAGGTATCTACAAACAAACAGAGACAAACACACTATTGTAATCATCATACTTAATGGTGAAACATGTATATTGTTTCATGATATGATATCACTATAAAGCAGTACAAATAAATGAATGCAAACACAACAATACAGCAACAAGACTAGACTGTCTGCAATAATCATTTCTATTCAACATTTTATTGAATATTGAAGTTAGTCCAACAAAGAGAAAAAATGTGTAAATGATGAAAAAAAAAATCCAAAATGCCATTATCCACAGATGATATAGTTGGCATGTTAGAAATATTTAAAAATTTATGATAAATGAATTAAAATTAATAACAGTGTAACAAGGTTGGTGGATACAAAATCAATATAAAAATAAAGCAATTATTTTTCTATATACCCTTAGAAAACAGAATATTAAACTTAAAAGCTGCCACCATCTACAATTGCATTAAAAGTGTCAACTATCTAAAAATAAACTCAACAACACGTGTGCAATATAATTACAGAATTTATTGTGCTACATTAAAGATAAGCTAAATAAATGGAGCCTCATTGTATGAGGCGGTTCACACAGAATCAGCATTACTAGGAAACTTCTTAGAAATACAGATTTTTGGGGTTTCACTCCAGAGCTACTTAAACAGAAATTGTGAGGGTTTGGCCTAGCAATGAGTTAAGTCCTCCTGGTGATTCCTATATGCTAGAGTTTGAGAATTACTGATCTAGAGATGTGAATACTCTTGTGCATGATACAAGCAGCATTGCTTGTTATCCCAAACTAAAAACCACACAGAAGCTAGTCAACAGCAAATTGTAGCCAACAATGGTAGGCTATAAAGCAATACAAATAAATGAAAGTGAACACATAACAATATGGATGAATATTACAACATGTTATTAAGTAAATAAAGGAAAAAACAAGATGATATATTCCATTTGTTTCTATTTATATAAAGTGCAGAAAGAGGAAAAATTAAGCTATCCCGTTTAGGAATGCACACATGGGTGACAGAACTAAATAAAAAGCAAGGACATGAGTTCTTCTTACTTTTTCTTGTATGTTATATTTAACAATAAAATTGTCTAAAATTAAAGTTAAGAGATATGGAAATTATATAAGGGAATTCTGACACGTACTGAAGAAACGTTCTACAAGGAAAGAATAAAACAAATGGAGGAGAAACAATATTTAAAGAAACAGTAGATAATATGGTAGTATGACAGATGGAAGAAAGCAAACTGAGTCCTCATACTGAAACTAGTCGCTGAGAGCTCAACGGGATAAAAAGTCTCACTGACAGAAAAATAATAGTAAAAACTAAAATCAAGAAAAGTAGAAAATCCTATAATCTTCCAGAAAGAGGGAAAAAAGATAGCTACAAATGGATAAGAATCAGATTGATATATCATATTTCTTATTGACAGCCCAGATGCACAAAGACAAGGGAACAATGTCCTCAAGTGTTTTAAGGAAAAATGACTTTGAGTCTGGATATAACAAAATTGTTATCCGAATCTGAATGAGAAATAAGATAGTGTCAGACATGCAAGGACACGGAATATTCGCTGCCCACAGACCTTCGCTTTTAGAATCATTACAGGATGTATGCCAGAGACAGGGAAGATGCCTGAAACAATTACTAAACTTAGACTTCCTCTTAAAAAGAAAAAAAAAACTCTCAAAAAAGACCAGAATAAATGAATGAATGAATGAATAATTTCAGAGCTTGAGCTTTAACCATTAAGCTGCAAGCACTCTCAGAAGGATCCATTTGTTTAAAATGGGGTTTCCAATGAATTTCTGCAAAATTTGTTGTTGAACATTCTGTTCATTGTACTTATTTACCATGAGCTTTCTGTTCTTATTGGTACAGTTGGCTTCTGCATGTTTTTAGCTATGTTATTCTCTGATCTGATTATTGTCCCTCTATGTTTTCTATCTTATAAGAATTTCTCTAAATTTCTAGTGTGTTGATGTTGCTTTTATATTTTCCATTACTTTTCATGTATACTTACATTTTTATATTCTTTTCTGGGATTTTGAGAGAGAGAGAGAAAGTAGATACATGTATCTGGTCCATCATCTTAAGCACTATCCAAACTGAATGTAGTAAGCTTCTACAGAAGATCTTATTTAAAAAAATTATTCAGCTGCTAATCCAAACTTATTCAATGTAAATATAAGGAAATTGGAGGCCAGACTACTTAAATGGTTTGACTTGGTAGATGCAGTAAGCTGGGACAGAATTGATATCAAATTTTAGTTCTTCCCAATGACAAAATGTTTCCACTTGATCATGCTGAACATTTGATCAAATTATATTTATACAAAGTGTTTATCAAAGTAAAAAATAGCTACGAAAGAAATAAAGAATTCAATATTAGGAAAGCAAATGTTAGTCTTCTATAAATATGAAAACACTACTTTCCATAATTTTCTCAGCATGCAACTGAGTTCTACCTCTAATTTGGATGCTAAGACATAATTATATGTAAAAAAATTGAATTTTGAAAAATTGAATTTGTCTATTTTGCTGAATCTCTTAAACATAAAACTAACTCACTCCAACACAGTCCATTCTGTTATTCATTTCTGCCTCTCGTGGTTGATAGTGATTACAATTAGCATTCATTGGTCACTTTATGTTCCAATAGAGACACAGTGTTAAGTGCTGCCAAGAGACCTCTAAACCATTTTACAGATGAAGAAACTGAGGCCCCTAAAAGTTTAAAGAAAAATGTACAAGAGCACACAAATTTGGAGGCCTGTATTGTGAGCCATTAAGCTACATTTCCTTACATTCAGAGTTATCAGTGATGTGTTGATAAATGTTTCACAAGAGACAGCTGGAACTGGGGATAGGAGACACAAATTGTAGTTGATTTTTGTGCTGTAAATATACCCACTGTGGTTAATTTGAAGACATCAACTGATGTCCATGAAAGAGATATTGGGAAGATTGGACAGAAGCACACCATTATATAGGGTTTCCGCTATGCAGGTAAAATAGACATTAATAACCACAAGCACTAAGCAACAGTAAATGGTAGCAAAATAATTAGAAAGTATGAGTTCTGAGCATTCCTTCTTGTGTTTTTAATGTTATTTAATTGTAAGTTTCTATAATTTGATTTTTAATAATATCTGTGTTTAGAAACAGGCTCCCCAAATTTCTCAAAATATGACAATCACCTCGTATAATCTGGTATGAGTTGGCTTTAGTACACTACAGGAGTTAGTCATGAGTGTTTTTGCTCTACCTGTAGTTTGGGGATGTAAAAAATACTCATAGCTATAAGTTGGTTTTGCCTATTAAAATACCTGCAGAGTAGGCCAAGTGCAGTGGTTCATGCCTGCAATCCATGCCTTTTGGGAGGGAAGCCAAGTTGGGAGGCTTGTTTGAGGCCAGGAGTTCGAGACTAGCCTGGGCAACATAACAAGACCCCTGTCTCTACAATGAATGAAAATGTTAACCAGGTGTGGTGGCGAGTGCCTGTGGTCCCAGCTACTCAGGAGGCTGAGGAATGATGTTTGCTTGAGCCCAGGCTGCAGTGAGCTATGATTGAGCCATTACACTACAGTCTGGGAGACAGAGTAAGACCCTGTCTCAAAAAATAATAATAAAAAAAAGAAAAGAAAAAAGAGAGAAAGAAAACCCTTGCGCATTACATTGCTTTATCATTTTGAAGAAGATAGCTTTTTGTTTGTTTGCTTGTTTTGAGGTATGGTGAATTACTTTGCTCATTTTTAAAGTCAGAACCATAGCCCATTGTAGTACATAGGCTAGTACAGTGAATTTATAATATTTAAGTATTATGTATCATCACATATACCCATGCACACACACATACATGAAAAGAGCATTTCTATCAATTGATCTACATGTGTGTATTTATGTTTAGATACAGAAAAAATAAATTTAGGAGAATAAGTTAAAATTTAAAAAAGTATTGCCATAAAAGGTAATATTAGAAAGTATTTGAAGGCTTTGTATTTATGATACTGTATGTGTCAGTACTAACTAAAGGGTGAAATCTGATTCACTCGAAGTTAAATCCGACTCTGCATCCATGGAAAGTTTAGTGGTGACAATAGACAAATAATGGTCTTCGGTTGAAGCTTCTGCTAAAAACATTTTTCTTTCAAACACGGAATTCAAGACAAGGTCATTGATTGTGTTCCATAAACAACCTGTTCTATTATGTATGGCTTCTGCATTTTTGCCTTGAGATGGTTTTCATTCACGCTAACACTTATCGTGCTCATCTGTCTGTAACTTCTATAGAATGCCTTATTTCACCATTGAACAGATCAAGATAAATGATGCTTTACTGGGAGGTAAATAAGACTCTTGAATTTTTCTTACACTGAAGTAATTATTATTTGGTCCAAAACTATTAAAGGTAAGTGACATCGTACATTAGAAAAGAACTTCAGCTTTAGCTCTAAATTCTACTGATGCTGTGAAATGCTTATTTAATTTGATTGCATACATATATATCTCCACAAATATATCTGTTTCAAGGCTATCATGTAAGACTAATAGAATGTCTAATGGAATTGCTGTACTTAAAAGTTAAAAACAAAGTTTAGTTTGCGTTTTGGGTTTGCATGTTTTATCATAAAGGATAATAAATTATTTGTCCTTATATCTGATTTTGGCATATTTTCCTATGACAGAAGGAGTAAAAAAATCTAAACATTAAGTGGTTATCTCCATTTCACATTACATAACCTACAGGTTTGTTGCTGCAAGGAAAGAACTTGCAAGGAAATTGATTTGGGTTGTCAGATGGAAATACATGTCTGCAAAAAACATTAAGTTCTCCATCACCAGAGGTATTCAAGTATAACTTCAATGACTACATATTCATTTTATAGTAGAAGGGATCCAAACGTCAGATGAGTGGGGAACAAGGAATGGGGGAGCTTAGTGATTTAAGTTACCTTTATAATCTCTCTTACCTGTTTGATAACCTAAACTGTCTTTTCTCCCTTCTTTTATACTATAAAACAGCTTAATCATTCAGTATCCTTCTCTCATAAAAAAGTGGTGTGATGTGTCTATTTGGCAATCATATATTTATAACATCTGCCTTAATTATATTAGATTAGGGTCTGAAACAGAAGAGCTTGATGTGGTGAAAAACCCATAGGATCAGCAATTGAAACACCTGAATTGTTGCCCCAACTCTACCATTAGAAATGCTATGATGCTGAGAAAGCTATCAGTCTTCAGGGTATTCTATAGTAAGTAGGAGAGTACTGGTCTTTTGATATCTAAGTTTGCTAGAAGCTCTAAAACTATATGAGGCTAATATCTGCTCTCTATCTCAATTATCTCCAAAATGTGAGATGGGTTATACTTTCTCAACTTTTGCCACTTACTATCAAAATTCACATAAAGAAAAGTGTTCCCTGTGTGAACCTCATTTGCTGATTTTTAGATTGAAGTTAAAAATCTGTTTATTGATTTAGTGCACCAGCCAATTTGAACACTAGAATCAGCTTCTTGGAAAATATTGCCAAGAAAAGCTGAAAACCAAGTATATCCGGCTAATCTGTGTTACAAAGTATTAGAAATGTAGTTGTAAGGAAAATGTTTTGTGGATTGTGCTATCCATCTTTTCTATTTTGCTGATGTCACACTGAGGTGTCAATTAAAGATGATATGTGCAAATCATTTAAAGCCCTAAAGAGAAAAAGGAAAATGTTACCAAATATAAGGTTATGCCCAGGCAATTAAGGAAGCAATAACTGGAAATTATAAATGGCAGGCAAACCAAGCCTATAAGAAATAATTCGGGCTTCAAATCTTAGAGACTCTTTTTTAAGTGGGCTGCTTGGATCCCAGCCTTCATGCAGAACATGTCATTAATTGAACAGTGTCTTTTAGAAACACAAGCATCAGATTCTTGGTGGGTGTCCTGCTATATTGTTTGGTATTGATAGAACTTGTTAGTCTAGAAGTGTCATTTTCAAAATGTCTTATTATAGAAAAAATATGAAATGTTTACTTATTTCAAGAATCAAGCGTAGTATACAGGATATGTCAAAAATATAAATGTATACTTTAAATAAATAATCATGCACTCATATGTAACACTAACTTTCTGAGCTGTATTAGTGATGCTGAAACACAGTACACGTACATATGTTTAAAGGAATAATATCAGAATATAAGTTCATGTTGTTTCAAAGCAAAACTTTGCCTAACTTCACGTTATAAGAACCTCACTTTCTTCACGTTATAAGAACCTCAAATATGTTAATATTGGTTTATTAGTTTGCTGCCTCCAGATATCTTACATATGAAAAAGAGACACGGGTGAAAAATATCGGGTACACTATTTTCAGAGAGCCAGAGGAAATCAGAATCTAGGTGATTACTCAACCTCTACTGTGTTTTACATTGTCATCAGTCTCAGAATGTAGCCTTTGTCAGAGTAAAACCAGATGGTCCTGACAATATCATGAGTTAGTTTGATTTTCTTGCTACACTTGTCATTTCTGCCATAACAGTGCGATGTCTGAAGGGGTTTAGCATGTTTAGAGTAGCTTAAAGGTTGGTATTGCCTGTTGGTATAGTGGTGTGATGGTAGTGGTGAACTGTAAACTTTGAAATGAGAAGCAATTTGCCTTTATTGCAGTTTCACAGGCAAGTCAGAATGTAAAGACCATATCACCTAAAGAGACAAGAGAACAGAATAGTGGATATATCGAAAGCTGTACCATTTGGGAACTGGGAGATTTAAGTGTGCCATACATATCTCTATCTGCCCGGAATATGTCCCCTTTCATTCCCACAGGTCATCCTTCTGTTCCCAGTTTTCACGTCACTTTCGATAACTCTTCTAATTCACTGTCTAGGCTAACTCTTCCCTCTATGGAATCTCACTGCACCCTGTTTTTCCCTGCCATATTGCTTATAACACTCTTTTATTGTATATCTATTTTTCTATTTCCTTATTAAACTCAAGTTTCCAAGATGGCATGGATTTGATCCATGTATCTTTTTTGCTTGTTAAAACGCCTGGTTTATTGTAGGTATGGTGCAAATGTTAGTCACTGCTTCCCTTTTCCAACTCTAAATGAATAGCCAAAACCACACGTTTGTTAGCACGCGTGGAATGTCATCAGTTGGTCTGCCATAAATAGTTACGGTTGAGATACTGGGAAATGGAAAGGAATACTATGAATATAACATGATTTTAAATTCCAAGTTTGGACCTAGAAAAACACAGGTGATAATGAAAATAATATTTTATATTTGTGTACATTTTGCAGTTTGTGAGCACATATATAAATGGTGAGGCACTCAGATATGCACATATCCTTGCTCAGGGACCATTTTGGGCAGTGGTGGATGAGAGGGCTTTGAAAGTCTTGAAAGCCTTCAGTGGGATTAAGGACCTCTGAAGGGTCTGGTTCAAGGCTTAGGTACATAAAAAAGCAGTGATGTAGAGTTGAGATCAGGAGAAATGGGATCAATCCTGGTTCTGCTGTTTCCTACTTGTGTGATTTTGGACATCTCCTGACTGCAGTCCATAGTTGGGTCTAGTTGGTTCAGATAACTCCCTTCAACAACAGCTTAGATGTTTATTGAAACTCAACAATTTATAGACACAAAGGACTAGTTGAGATGAATCAAATTTACACAAAAGATGAAAATCTTACAGTATTGTACATATTATAAGATTTTAAATTATGTACAATATTATAAGATTTTAAATTAAGTATAAAAAATGTTTACAGCAGCAAAATGAAATGATAAGGTTTGATTGTGGTATTAATTTATTTTTGAGTAGAAGTTTGAAAAAATAATTGGTTATAAAGTTTACAGAGGATCATTAGAGAAGGGAATAATTAATCTAAAATAATGCATATCTAACGTTGCATTTTAGAATTTGTAAAATAGCATAAAAATGTTGGAAGTACAGTTCACCCTTGAATAATGTGGGAGGTAGGGGTGCTAAGCCCATTACCATGCTCACAGTAAAAAATCTTCTTATAACTTTTGATTCCGCCAAAACTTAACTACTAATATGCTACTGTTGACCAGAAGCCTTACCAATAACATAACTAGCTGATTAACACGTATTTTGTTTTATATATAATATATACTGTATTCTAACAGTAGAATAAGCTACGGAAAAAGAAAATGTTATTTAAAAAATCATGAGGAAGAGAAAATATATTTTGAATTCATTAAGGGGAAGTGGATTACTATAAAGATTTTTATCTTCATCATCTTCACATTGAATAGACTGAGGAAGAGGAGGAAGAGGAGGGATTAGTCTTGTCTCAGGTGTGGCAGAGCTGAAAGAGGTGGAGAAGATGAAAGGGGAGGCAGGAGAGGCAGACACATTTGGTGTAATTTTAACAGAAATGTGTTGTAATTTCTGTCTGACTTTTTGCTTTTTCATTTCTCTAAAAATGTTTCTATATGGTACCAATCCCTGTTTTACCATTTGTTTTAGTTTCAATGCCTGTATCATAGAAGAGACCATGATGGAAAAGAAGTCAAAAGCAGTCTTGAATAACAGGAATCCTTCTGACAGACTGTCTAATGTCAGTTTGTTTTCTGGCACTGCTTCTTATACACCTTCTTTCTCATCGTCTGGCACTGGTTCAAATACATTCATCTTCATCAGTACCTCTTCTGTTAATTCCTATGGTGTGATGATGTCTTTAGTTCTTGAATTTCTATAGGATCCATATCCTAAAGCCCTTTACCTCCCACCTTTTTTGCCACGTTCATAATCTCTTTCATGATTCCCTTGATTGGCTCTGTCATAATCCTGTAAAGTCATGCACAACATCTGGACACAGTTTCTCCAGTAGGAATTTATTGTTTTGGGCTTGATGGCATTCACAGTTTTTTCAGTAACAATGATGGTATCTTCAATGGTATAATCTCTATCAAGGTTTTCTTTCATAGCATTGACAACCCTTTTTATAGAGTACCATGTACAATGAGCTTTAGAGATCCTTATGATCATCTAATCAAGGGCCTGAATTAGAGACGTTGTGTTTGGAGGTATGACCACTTCAAAACATGTTTGGTGTTGAATTCATTGGTTCTGGGTGGCCAGGGGCATTGTCCAATATCAAAAGAACTTTAAAGGCCAGTCCCTTACTGACAAGGTACTTCCTGACTTCAGAGACAAAGCATCAATGGAACCAATCCAGAAAAAGGTTCTCATTGTCCAGATCTACTTGTTGTACAACCACAAGACTGGCAGCTTGTGTTTATCTTTGCCCTTCAAGGCTTAGAACTTAGCAGATTTATAGATAAGGGCAGTCCTGATTACAAACCCAACTGCATCTTCACAAAACAATAGAGTTAGCCTATCCCTTCCTGCCTTAAATCCTGGTGCTAGCTTCTCTTCCTTAATAATAAATGTGTCTTTTGTGTCTTTTTTTTTTCCAGAATAGGGCACTTTCATCTGCATTAAAAACTTATTCAGGCAGACATCCTTTCTCCTCCATGTTTTTCTAAATCAGGAAACTCATCCTCTGCCTCTTGGTCAGCAGAGGCTGCTTCTCCTTTCATCTTGACTTTTTAAAGCCAAACTTCCTTCTAAAATTATCAAACCATCCTTTGCTGGCATTAAATTCTCCAGCTTTAGATCTTTTGCCTTCTTTATGCTTTAAGTTGTTATACAATGAGTTCACTTTTTCTTAAACCATATTAGAGTTTATGGGAATGCCTCCCTTATAGCAATCCCATGCTCCCCACCCCAAAAAAGCTGCATTTTCAATAATAAAAGGGTACTTTGTAAAAAGTGCAAGGTTTTGTGCCTGCTAGCATAGCTACAGTGACAACTTTATGAATGTTCTTGTTTTACAGTGGTCCTTATGCTGGATTCATTTATCTTGAAATGGCAGGCAACCACAACTGCAGACCTCAATCTGTGGTACATATCAAGCAACTCAACTTTTTCTTGCAAGATCATGACTTTTCTCTGCTTTTTTGGGAGTACTTCCATCATCACTAGTGGCACTTCATATAGGTCCCATGGTGTTATTCAAGATATATGGCATTGCACTAAACGTAATGAAAAATACACAATAGCCAAGAGAGATCTTTTGTTTGTTTGTTTGTTTGTTTTTGAGACAGGATCTCGCTCTGTCACACAGACTAGAGTGCAGTGACATGATCGTGGCTCACTGCAGCCTTGAACCCTTGGGCTCAAGTAATCCTCCTACAACAGCCTCCCAAGTAGTTGGGACTACAGTCATGAGCCATCAGGCCTGGCTAATTTTGTTTATTTTTGGCAGAGACTGAGTCTCTCTATGTTGCCCAGGCTGGTCGAGAACTCCTGGACTCAAGTGGTTCTCCCACCTCAGCCTCCCAAAGGGCTGGGATTACAGGCATAAGCCACCATGCTTGGCTGAGAGATCACATTTTGCTGTGATAAGTAACTTACTGAAGAGACAAACTGCTCATGTGGAGATCATTTGCACCACATGGTGTTTTAAGCAGATACCCGCAACACTTGAACTCACTGCCATAGCAACCAAATGTGGCTGTGAAATTATTACAGCAGTATAGTGTGTTCTATGGTTAATTTTATAAAGCTATGATTTAATATTGCATCTTTACTTTGTTTACATTTCTCTTGATGGGGATTGGCACCTGTATAGTACATAGATGTGTGCATAAGTTTTGGTAAATTTTAAACTATTAGAATAGATTTGTGTATAATTTATGGTAGTAAATTATAAAATAGACTAGTGTTTACATGTATTTTATGCAGTCATACATACCTTAATTTTTCTTTTTTAAAATACTTCTAGGTTACATGATGTGCAAGTTTTTCAAATTGTCACAAAGCTTCAAACAATTTCCAATATATTTATTGAAAAAATACATTTATAAGTGGACCTGCATAGTTCAAACCTGTATTGTTCATGAATCAAAACTTATTCAATTGATTTATTGCCTTTTGGCAAACTTGCCAAGATATATTGCTATTGCGGCCTTTTGGCTAGGGTCTGGAATGGTAGGTTTGCGATTTTATTGTTAACATTCAATGTTATAAATCAGTTTGAACCTGAGATATAATGAGAGATTCTTCTTCAGGTATAATGTTAAATGTACACTAATCAATTTTCCAAATTCTTCAAAATTCCTTCTGAAAGAAATCTTTTAACTTTTTTTAAAAAGAATTTTTTTTCCCACAAAACTTCTGCCGACCACTGTAACCAGGTATAACCAGGTATGACCATCCAATGTCTATTGGGAGAAGTCAGAATTGTCCCTGGCCAATAGTACTGTTTAACCCATTTATCTCTAGTGTTCCATTATTAGAACATTAAGCTTGCGGGAGTTATTTATATCCTACTGCTCAAAGTCATCGCCAAGCTCTGATTTTTCACACAACAAATTCGCGACCTGTGGCATAAATGGGTTAAGTTTGCTTGAATAAATGTCAGAGTTCCATCTGGGAATATTATACACAACCAAAAAGAGGTATAGGCTTGTTGTTTGTTTTGCTTTTAACCCCACCATGTGTATGAAGGTGGCTCAGATGCTTGAGTATGTTTCAGTCACCTGTATAGTCTTGAAAGTATTGAGTGGGATTAAGGAACTCTAAAGGGTCTTGTTTAATCCTTAGGTACGTGAAAAGACAGTGGTGCAGAGCTAGAATCAGGAGAACTATAATCAGTCTTGGTTTTGCATTTTCCTACTTATGTGTCTTTGGAAAATCACTTACATTTCTTAGCTTCTGCTTTTTCCTTTGCAAAATGATTATAAAATAGTTGTTCTATAAAGATCAAGTGCCACATCTATTAAATGCTTTTGGCTGTTGCAAGTGGAATACACATTTAAGGCTAATTATTGTCATTGCAATGGAAAAGTAAAAAAAACTGGCGTAGGAACAAAGAAAGAGAAAAAAAACAAAGGAAGTGAGAAACAATGAGAGAAGGAAAAATGATAGATGTTTAACTTGAGAAACGGTAGAATGAAATGTCAAAATTTTCAATGTGAGGGCTGGTTCATCTCTTGGCTTGCCTTAAATCCTTGGTTGCTTGGACAGTGACCATTGGAGTCCGTCACATTGAAATGTGGGAAATAAATTTCTTAGAGATTTGCAGGCTCCTGAAATCATTAGCTGAAACTTTGAGTTACAGCAGCCCCAGAAATGTGGCTTAAAAACGGGGAAAAACAACAGTGACCAAAAATAAAAATAAGACCAGGTGTACCACTGTTGGATATATCCAAATTCCCTCTTTTGGCACAATTCAAAATACAAAATTTTCTTAGTCAGATCTAGTTGAAAAACCTTGGTCAAATTATACAATCTTATTAAGTACCAATTTTCTCAACTTTTAAGTGAATCTAGTATCCACACTTACAGAACTGATGGAGAATTAAACAATATACCTAGCTTCTAGCGTGATTCCACTGTAGCAAATATTCTCAATTTTGTGTTTTCCCTGTCACAAAGACCCATTACTTACTAGTCTTGTCATCTACCAGGGGAAAATAAAAGACCTACTCCTATTCTCATGGTTTCTCTCTCCAGCCTTTTTCTATCATCTTTCTTCTATTTTTTTTTATTCTTAAAGAATCCTGCATATCCTTCTATCCCTCTCTTCTTAATGAATCTTCTGTTAATACATCTTCCATATATCTCAACTCCTGAAACTTAAACTCTGTATTTACTAGTGAAAGAGAGAAGGATGTTTAACCTTAGTCAATGAAGTTTACAACCTACTATTTGCAAAATATCGTTTCCCCATAAATTATTTTTTTCTTTTTCTTTTTCTTTTCTTTCTTTCTTTTTTTTTTTTTTTTTTTTTTTTTTTTTTTGAGATAGAGTCTCTCTCTGTAGCCCAGGCTGGAGTGCAGTTGCATAATCTCGGCTCACTGCAACCTCTGCCTCCCGGGTCCTCGTTCAAGCAATTCTCTTCCCTCAGCCTCCCAAGTAGCTGGGATTACAGGAACACGCCAGCATGCTCAGCTAATTTTTGTATTTTTAGTAGAGATGGGGTTTCACCATGTTGTCCAGCCTGGTCTTGAACTCCTGACATCGTGATATCTGCCCTCCTCGGCCTCCCAAAGTTCTGGGATTACAGGTGTGAGCCACTGTACCTGGACTTCCCCAGAATACTTTAAACTCCAATTTAAAGATGGATTAGAAAACTTCCTATGCAACAATACCCTCTCAGGCACAAAATCCAAGCTTTCATTTGTTATTAAATTGTTGACTGAAAGTTCAATGTCTGCCTCTTTTTTCAAAATTCTTTCAGGCTACAGACTATTTTAGTGGAAGAATGTTCTCAGATCAAGAATGCCCCAAAACAAACATAAAAAGAATGTCTAGCTTCTTCCCCAGTAGAATGTTTACTCTTTTCCACCGAAAGTTTGCAAAGTGAAAAATCTATTGTATTAAAATTGATCTTTAGTGTTCATCTGTCAAGAGTTTTAATATTTTTTAGACCTGTATGCTGAAGACAGAGTTACTGAATAACAATAACCTGTAAACATATACATAATGTTGGAAGACTATGACGTGGACAAAGAAATGATGATCTATACCTATTAGGAAGAAATACCAGGGTGGATGGATCGATTTCTTAATATAGCACTCTGGAACTAGTAATTTAAAATAGGATGATGGATCATTGATTTATCTAATGTGACTTTCATCACTAGAAAATGTTCAGCACTCTTGCTGCAGGGGAAAAAAAGGTCATATTGTTTACATCTCCCTACAACACTCCATGCCCAGCAATTATTAAGTTGCATTTTTTATGATGCTTTATGGAACCAAGATACTCCATTCAACTATTTCTCCCCAGGCTTTTTGTTCATGTATTTCTTTATCCCCTTGATCAACAACATACTTGTTCATTAAATAATTATGTGTTATGGTCTTTGCATGGCAGGTTAATTCAATAATTATGTGTTGGGGTCTTTGCATAGCACATGATCTAATAGTAGTCCTGTCCCTAGACCCAGAAAGAAGGGACCCCTGCTCCTAGTACATTAAGAGGCAAGGTGTCCATGGGGCAAAGAAAATGTGTCTTCCCCTCCTAGACCACGATATAGGTACCCAGAAGCCTAAATCCCTGTCCAAACAGTTCTGAGCCTACTTCCAGGGCCTGAATAGTTGGCTTTGACCTTCTGAGATCTGACAGGGCAGCAGCAGTCGGCCTATCTTTAGGCCTTAGAATTGGCCAAGTCCTAGCTATTTGTAAGGGGTAGGTGCCATGGAAAAGCTTGGACATGCATGCTGGGCTGTCCACAGTCCCCACATGCAGGCAGAATGATGAGGGATGGAGACCAAAAGGGAAAGAAAAGAGAAGCAAGAGACAGGCCAGAAACCACCATTTCTAACCCTAGTTCCTGTCAATATTAGGAATAGGCCTGGAAGAAGATGCAAGACAAAGGTGGACTGAATATACTTTGCTGTATTAACAGATTATAACTTGTGAGGAATCTCTTTCCTTTTCATATCTTAACATTATTGAAAGGATGCTCTAAAAATGAGCCTAAGATGGCCTCTGTGTTGGCCTTATGTTGTTTATTTCTTCAAAGCAGTCTGAGACACTGAGACCTGCCATAGTCAAACTCAATTTTCTACACATCCAAAAGTTTTAAATATAGCCAAACATACAGATTTTTAGGCATTTATAATCTTCCTGTTTTGTATACCTCTGGAAACTATGCCCAACATCTGCTAGCTATAGATAAAACTCTGAGACTATTAAAACAATAACAACAACAATAAAGGCCACTGATATGGTTTGGCTGTGTCCCCAACCAAATCTCAACTTGAATTGTAGTTCCCAAAATTCCCACATGTTATGGGAGGGACCTGGTGGGAGGTAATTGAATCATCGGGGCAGTTACCCCCTGCTGTTCTCGTGATAGTGAGTTCTCATAAGATCTGATGATTTTATAGGGGGCTGTTCCCCCTTTGCTTGGCACTTCTCCTTCCTGCTGCCCTGTGAAGAAAGTGCCTTTCTTCCCCTCTGCCTTACACCATGATTGTAAGTTTCTTGAGGTCTTCCCAGCCATGCAGAACTGTGAGTCCATTAAACTTCTTTTCTCTATAAATTACCCAGTCTCAGCTATTTCTTCGTAGCAGTGTGAGGACAGACTAATACAGTCACCAAGCTGCTGCTGCCTTTCAGAGCTTTCTGACCCAGAGTGTTCCCCACTATGCTGCTGAGTGACATTATCTACACAGGTAACTCCCCTCTCCAATCCCCTTTTTCTTGGCAGTTCTCTTGCCCTCCTCCCTTCTGCATGGAGGCCCCATGCTGTGAGGGACATCCTCTACATTCATTCAAACTTATCAAAGCAAATAAACCTATCACCCAAATAAAGTTTTTGTGTGCTCCCGCCACCACTTGGTCCTGTCTTTTTCCTTAACTAGCCCCTAAATTCTCAACCTCATTCTTTACAAGGGAAAAAAAAACACACACACTATATTTTTAGGTATAGAAAAGCATTTGGAAGACTAGGACCTGTGAGCCAAACCTGTCCACCTGCCTTTTTGATCCAACCTGGAAGACCCAAGAATGGTTTTTACATTTTTAAATGGGTGAAAAATCAGAAGACTATTTTGTGACCTACAAAAATTACATGCAATTCAATTTCAATGTTTGTAAACAAAGTTTCACTGAACCATAGCCAGGCTCATGCATTTACATGTTGTCTGTGGCTGCTTGACACTGCATTGACAGAGTCCAGTAGTTGCAAGGAGGACCACATAGCCTGTAAAGCCTAAAGTGTTTATTACCATGCCATTTACACAAAAAAGTTTTACCTAACTCATGAAATAAAACAATAGCTTCTAGGCCACTATTTTCTCATCTGCCATGTTTAAATTCCATAGTGAAAAAAAGAAGAAATATCATGTATACCTTGGTGAATATTTTTCTTAAGGAATACAAAGTACCAGGCCAGGCATGGTGACTCATGCCTAGAAATTTATCCTAGAAATTTAAGAGGCCATGAAAGAATGATCACTTGAGCCTAGGAGTTAGAGACCAGCCTGGACAACATGGCAAGACTCTGTCTCTACAAAAAATAAAACATTTAGCCAGGCATGATGGTGCACACTTGTGGTCCCAGCTACTTGAGAAACTGAAGCAGGTGGACCACTTGAGCCTGGGAGGTTGAGGCTGCAGTGAGCTGTGATTGCACCACTGCACTCTGGCAGGTGTGACAGAGCAAGACCCTGTCTCCAAATAGAATAGAATAGAATAGAATAGAATAGAATAGAATAGAATAGAATAGAATAGAATAGAATAGAATCATGCAGAATATTTGAAGGAAAAATGGTGTGCACAGTCTTCAACTGATTAAAATCTATGAATTCTACGAGAGGAATCCGTTATGTCTGCAAATCTTAGAGAAAGATGTGATATTCTTAACTCACCAAGGCAATTGCCAGAAAAGTGGCTGAACCTCTATTTGAATTTTGTAAAATAGGATTTTGTTTGAGGAGAATTTAAAACTAAGTTCCAAAAGAGAAATATAAATAGTAGCTGGCTGGATAAATAAGGTATTATTAAAACTGTCTAATTTTCCCTGGGAAAATTTAAGAAAATAGGTCTAATTCTATAGAGGATGTTTGTAAATCAACAGTTTAACTCCTATTTTGGCTTAACATACATTTATCTTAACATCCATATTTTAGATCATATTTTTAAAAATGACTTTCAATCTGTTTAAAACCTCTGTGTACAAAAGTAGGAATATTTGACTGGAGATTTAGTAGACAAAATAGGAACTTACATATAAAACCTTATTAGACTCATTTAAAAATCAAATATAAATAAACTTGCCTGAAGCAAATTATACAACTACTTTAAAGCAGAGGTGCCACAATCTCTTTGAACTTTTGGTATTCCTATGAGAAGCTTTGTTTTGAGTCACCGTATGGGAGACTAGAGGAAGCTGTTTTTAGATACCTCAGAGTAAGATAGCACTGTCTTCATTGTCTGAAAAGATTCATATGGTTCACTCATATGGTTTATCCTTTCAATTATTTATCTTGTTAATAAGCCTTGAGGGAGCTCCTAAGTCTGCCAAGAACCGGATAGGAGCTGAGAATATAGGGAAATGGAAGATTATTATGGTCCTTGAGGATTCAGCAATTTTTCTAAAATGTTTTTGTTTTTTTTTTCATCTTTGCTATAGCAGATATCGGTTTTCCTAGAATATGATTATTCCATCAAAAGGATTTTCTCTTCCATTTTACTCTGGGAAAAAAAAGTTGGCAGTGGGTTTGTAACACATTCTCCTCTTCTCTGGGCACTTGAGCTCTTACAGACCTCTACTAGACATCTTTGTGAAATGTCATTGGCAGTTACTGACAAGAAGATAACCAGGGGAGTTCTTATTTAAATATGTTTTTTTCCAAAATATACTTGTTGTGATTAGGGTGTTTATTATGAATAACTAGAAATGTGTAATATATAAAATGCAACTGGCTGGAGAGTAGAAGTTGGTAATATACATTCTCTATCTACATAACAAATGGAGTGTAAAAATTAATATGCTTCAGACTTAAAGTGTGTCCTCTGAGATGACATTGAACACATACTTTGTAAACTCTTCTTTGTTACTCCTAAACCAAAATATGTTCCAGTAGGAAAAAGGCCCAGGCATGACCCACTTTTGTTTTATTGAATTAATCAATTGTTGTTTTTCCTACTTGATGTCTACCAGTTTTCTCTATATTTGGAATAATTATCCTTTTTTAGGTATAAGTGTTGCAAACATCTTCTCCCAATCTGTCCCTTTAAGCATAACTTTAATGTATTTTGATCAACAAAGGTTCTTATCTATAATCAAGTTAGTCAAATTAATGCACCTTTTATTTTATGTTTAGTATTTTCTTTGTAATCTGATAATCATATATTTTATTCTAAGAGCTTTAAAGTTTTATTTTCTTCTCCACTGACTTTTTATTTTTGAAATATTTATGTCTATAAAAATATCTCAGAAAGCATTACGGGGACCATCCATATACTCTTGACTTACTTCTAAAATTTATACCAAAGAAGAAACCCCAAAAACACTTTACTTACAAATAAGTTTTGTCATAACTTGTTGACACCTGGTGTGGAACAACTACAAAAATATTTCTTGTCTTCCATTCACGGACTTTTTTAAAGATTCCAGACTTTCTTCTGTCATGTACCACAAGCCAAGTGCCTCTGATTAAATTTTCTATTAGATCTTATCCAGAGGCAGGTGTTGTTTCATCATTGGGAATACTCAGCTTTATCATTTGGTGAAGTTGGTGTCTGTTCAGTCTCTACACTGTAATTGTATCTTCCACACTTAAGAAATTAATAATAAATTTGAAGTAATTATTTTAATTAATAAATAAGCTTGAAGTAATAATTTTAAACTGTATAAATCTTGTGACCAACATTTCATCAAATGGCTTAGACATTCATCAATGATACTTACCTAAACCAACAATTACACTGGTTTCAACAAGATGATGCTATCTCATTCTATTATTTCTTTGATATTTATTAATTGGCAATTTTCTTGAAGGAAGAGTTTTCCCTTCCTCTTTCTCTCCCCACTTTGTGTAACATCACAGCAAACTCATTTATTTTTAAAAAATTAGTATTGCATAATCCATTAGAACCATCATCCCTTTTGTTAGCCAAAATTGTTCCAAATTTGGCTAGTGGCAGACCTTTGAAATTGGCTTCAGTGTCCTTTTGACATGATACTATTAGTCTTGCTTTTTTGGTCACACACCAAGAAAAGGTATATTAGGCTCACTTTGCATTTCTCTTGCCTAAGATTTGGAACAAAACATTTGTTTAACAAACCTTACTAAAAAGTGGTATTTAGAAACAAATACATTGGATAGGTATATCACCACTTCTAAGCCCTTTAGGTGGGAAGAGCAGGAATTTTGAAAAATATATTATTTGGGGTGAATTTTTTTAAGAAGGCATCCAATAATCTCTGCCCATTGATATTTATACCTTTGTTTAATCCTTTCCTCTTGAGTATGAGCTTGATTTAGTAACTCATTTCTAGGAAATAGAGCATGGCAAAGGTGATGCTATGCCACTTCTAAGAGAGCAGGTTATGGAAAGGCCATGGCTTCTGTCTTGGGTGCTCTTTCTTGCTCTCTTACCCTGCTCACATTGAGGTAAACCAGCTGCCACGTTGTGAATTATTTTATGGAAAGGCCCCCATGTCAAGGAAGGAGGGCAGAACTTCAGCCAACAACCAGTGAGTAACTGAGAACTTCAGGATAATAGCCTGTGATGAGGCACAAGAGTGAGCTTTGAAGCAGATTCTCTCATAAAGCCTTTAGATGAGATCGCAGTTCTGGCTGATAGCTCTACCGTAATGTTGGGAGAGGCCTTAAGCCAGAGATATCAAGTGGCACTTGGATTACATGCAGACTATAGAAAAATGTAGTAATTTTTTATACTTTAATACAATAATTAATTCAGGAATTCTGAGTACCCATAAGATAACGGTGACCCCTAAAGTAAAATTTGTTCATATATTCTCAAAGAAAGAAAAAAGAAAACCCATCATACAGATTAACAAAGAGATAAAATAAAACCATGCATAACCTATGTCTGTAACTAAGAGTCAAGAAATACCACAAACGTCAACTTTTATCTAAGTAGAAAAATGAACACTCATTCCAGTAGAACTCACTTCAGAACCCTCTTTGACATAAAGAGTTGGAAGATGATGCAGCAAAGAAGTCAGGAAAGCAGAGAGGTTATGCATGATGAAATAAGTAGGCAAATGTTTCAAGAAGGGGAGAATGGGACTCTAGTGACAAAATATTCATATGAGATCACTAGCTACTTGTGAATTGAAATAAACAAGCTTGACAGTGCATGGGACTGAAACAGTTCTTGGAGAGGCATGGTATTGAGAGACAACCATTTTTGCAGAAAGCGGTTGTACTTCTTGGACACTTGTTGGTAAAGCAGGGGATACGATGTGGATGGGGAGCAAAAAGTGAAAGTTAATCATGCTACAGAAATAAAAGACTGTCAAATAATCAGAAAATGCTATAATCTTTAATTCATGAAAAATAGCATTGTAGATTAAAGAAACTGCAGTTCATTATGCTAAGAAAAGTGAGGGCACAGCACACATCTGCAGGAGATACAAGAAGCAATTAAAAGGAGTATACTAATAATATTAAATTCTAACACTGTAACCAACCCAATAATCCCATAGATAGTTTTATTTTATTTATTTTATTTTTTTTTTTTGGAAAAACATAGAAATTGACCTTTCTGGTCTTAAATCTTGAACCTTACATTTGTTTTATCTGAGTTTCTTCCTCAAAAAATCGACCTTCAGGCCTCTAAAAAAAAAGTGTCAAATAACTGAAACTCACCAGATTGCCACATCCAGACAATGAGATGCCGAACTCCTCATTCATCATGACTGCTTCCTTGCCCCTTCTTAGTTCCTGTCTTCTTCCACACTGTTACAGTTCTTCCCTACTATATAAACCCTAAGTTTTAGTCAGTCAGGGAGATGAATTTGAGACTAAACTCCCATCTCCTCAGCAGCAGCACCCAATTAAAGCCTTCTCTATTAAAGCCTTCTTTTTTGGTAATACTCATTGTCTCAGTGATTGGCTTTCCATAAAGTGAGCAGCAGGATGGGAGATACAAGAAGCAATTAAAAGGAGTGTACTAATAACAGTAAATTCTAACACTGAAACTGACTCAATAGTTCCATATATAGTTTATTTTTTATTTTTTATTTGGAAAAACATAGAAATTGACCTTCTGGTCTTAAATATTGAATCTTACATTTGTTTTATCTGAGTTTCTTCCTCAAAAAATTGACCCTCAGGCCTCATAAAACAGTATCAAAGAACTGAAACTCACCAGATCGCCACATCCAGACAATGAGATGCCAGGGTCCTCATTCATCCTGATTGCTTCCTTGCCCCTTCTTAGTTCCTGTCTTCTTACACACTGTTACAGTTCTTCCATGCTATATAAACCCTGAGTTTTAGTCAGTCAGGGAGATGAATTTGAGACTGAACTCCTATCTCCTCAACTGTAGCACCCAATTAAAGCCTTCTCGATTAAAGCCTTCTTTCCTGGCAATACTCATTGTCTCAGTGATTGGCTTTCTGTGCAGTGAGCAGCAGGACCTATACCAAACCCCTGGTTTTTCAGTAACAACAAAACAAGACAGATCTGGAAAAGGCAAAGGACCAAAAATAGGTGAGTAGATAAAAAGCTGAAAAAAAGATATACAAATGTAGACTTATAATATTTTGAGCTCTAGCCATTTGATAGAAAATATGCCTTTTTTTAAATGCATGATGACATTCACAAAAGTCACCTACATATTAGTCACAAAGAAAGAAAATATTAATTGCCATCTAGTAAAAATTTTACAGTTATGCAGACAAAACTATATTTCATAATATAATCAAGCTAGATATTAAGAAAATTAAAAAATGACTTTTATCCCTGGGAATTTTACACAATTTTTTGATGACAGAAGATACAAATCAAAATAAGAGAAATATTAACAATATCATCATGAAGTTGTAGAAATGAAGAGGATCGCTTTCGCTTTCCCTTCTGAAAGCTTAATAATTTGAGTCTATAAAGCAAACTGACAATAGACAGATTAACAGGGACAAAAAGGCATACAAATTTACTAATGTGCATAAACATGGGAGTCATATACAATGTATAAGACTCAAAGAAGGGCCAGATGGTTGAAGCTTAAATACCCTCTTAATAAGAGGGAGAGAAGAAAGGGGACATAGGCAATTTTAGGGGGTAATAACTGATTTGAAAAGAGATATATGCACCTTGGAGACAGGAATTTGCTTGTGAATATGAATAATTCTCTTTGTAAACTGAATAGGACTGGAGGATAAATAGTACCTTTGGACAAAGTTTCTTTGTGCTCTAGGTATAGTGTTTAATTTTCAGTTTCTTCCTCTCTGATATGAGTTTTAATATTCTCTGGTTAATAAAATTTCATGGAAGTGATTAAAGGCAATTGTGTTGCTCTTTGGCATATCTGGTTTCTAAAGAACAGCTTTACTCTGTGCTTTGGGAGAGACAGAGGATCAGAAAACCTTGAGGCAGCTTCTTTAGTTCAGTATGCCAAAGTGCGATATTTTAGGGTACTGTGTTCCAAGCCCCAATAATATATATATGTTATTATATATAATAAATTATATAATTTATTTATCATATAAAATATAATATGAGAAAAGACTATTTACTAAATTAACCAGCTTCAGATATATAAAACACTATACAAATAACTTCAAAGTATATATTATTTTAATGTTCACATAGTATTTTTATCAGACTAGACAATGTTTTGTCATAAAATGAATCTCAATAAATTGAAAATGATTACAAGGTATATTCTATGATAATGATACATTTTAACTAGCATTCAATAACAAAAAGATAACTTAAACCATCTCCATTTATAGGCATACCTCATGTTATTGCACTTTGCTTTATTGTGCATCACAGATAATGCATTTTTTACAAATTGAGCGGTTGTGGCAATTGTGCATCAAGCAAGTCTGTTAGCACCATTTTACAGATCACATGTGCTCCTATTATGTCTCTGTGTCAAATTTTGGTAATGATCTCAATATTGCAAACATTTTAATCACTCATATTTGTTATGGTGATCTGTGGTCAGTGATCTTTGGTGTTGCTATTGTAATTGTTTGGGGCACACAAACTGAACCCATATAAGTTGCTGAATTTAATCAATAAATGTTATATGTGTTCTGCCTGCTTCACTGACTGACCATTCCCCATCTCTTTCTGACTCCTCAAGCATTCCTATTCCTTGAGACACAATAATATTGAAATTAGACCAATTAATAACCCTACAATGTCCTTGAAGTGTTCAAGTGAAAGAAAGAGTCACACATCTCTCACTTTAAATCAAAAGCTAAAAGTGATTAAGCTTAGTTAAGAGGGCACATCAAAAGCTGACATAGATTGAAAAGTAGCTAGCCTAGTTGTGAATGCAAAAAGAAATTCTTGATGGAAATTGAAAGTGCTACTCCAGTAAAGACATGAATGATAAGAAAGAAAAACAGCCTATTGCTGATAGCAAGAAAGTTCTAGTGGTCAAGAGAGAAGATCAAACCAGGCACCACATTTCCTTAAACCAAAGCCTAAGTCAGAGCAAGGCCCTAACTCTCTTCAATTCTGTGAAGGCTGAGAGACATAAGGAAGCTGCAGAAGAAAAGTTTGCATCTAGCAGAGCTTAGCTCATAAGGTTCAAGGAAAGAAGCTATCTCCATAACAGAAAACTGCAACATGAAGCAGCAAGTGCTGATGTGGAAGCTGCAGTGTTATCCAGAAGTTCTAGCTAAGACGATTGATGAGGCTGGCTATACTAAACAATAGACTTTAGTTGACAAAACAACCTTACTTTGGAAGAAGATAATATCTAGGACTTTCATAGCTAAAGAGAAGTCAATGGCTGGCTTCAAAGCTTCAAAAGACTGGTTGACTATTATTAGGGACTAATGCAGATGGTGATTGTAAGGGGAACTAGTGCTCATTTACCATTCCAAAAGTCCTAGAGTTCTTAAGATTTCTGCTAATCTACTCTGCTTATGCTCTGGAAATGGAACAAGGAAGCCTAGATGATGTAATATGTTACAGCATTGTTTACTGAATATTCTAAGCCTACTGTTGAGACCTACTGTTCAGAAAAAAAATTCCTTTCAAAATATTGCTGCTCATAGACAATGCACCTGGTCACCCAGTAGCTCTGATGGAGATATACAAGGAAATTAATGTTTTCTTAATGCCTTCAAACAATCTGCAGCTCATGGATCAAGTAATTTTGACTGTTGAGTCTCATTACTTAAGAAATACGTGTTATAAGGCTATAGCTGTCATACATGTTAATTCCTTTGCTGGATCTGGGAAAAGAAAGTTGAAAATCTTCCGGAAAGTATTTAGCATTCTATATGCCATTAAGAACATTTGTGATTCACGGAAGGTCAAAATACCAACATTAATAGGAGTTTGGGAGAAGTTGATTTCAACCTTCATGGATGATTTTAGGGGTTCAAAACTTCAATGGAGAAAGCAATTGCAGGTATAGTGGAAACAAGATAACTTGAAGTGACCCTGAAGATGTTATTGAATTGTTCCAATCTCTTGATAAAACTTAAAAAAATGAGGTGCTTTTTATTAATGAGCCAAAAAAGTGGTTTTATTCTTGAAATGGAATCTACTCCTGGTGAAGATGCTATAAACATTGTTGTAATGACAACAAAGGACTTAGAATATTACATAAATTAGCTCGGTGCAGTGGCTTATGCCTGTAATCCCAGTAACTGGGAGGCCAAGATAGGTGGATCACCTGAGGTCCGGAGTTTGAGACCAGCCTGGCAACCTGGTGAAATCCCATCACTACTAAAAATACAAAAATTAGCTGGACATCGTGGTGCACACCTGTAGTCCCACCTACTTGGGAGGCTGAGACAGGAGAATCACTTGAACCCGGGAAGTGGAGATTGCAGTGGGCAAAGATCGCCCCACTGAACTCCAGACTGGGTGACAGAGTAAGACTCCATCTCAAAAAATATATATATATAAATTTAGTTGATAAGGCAGGTTTGAGCAAAGTGATTCCAAATTTCAAGGAAATTCTACGGTGGGTGAGTAAAACGCTATCAAACAGCATTACATGCTACAGAGAAAATTTTTTATGAAACAAAAAGTCAATCAATGCAACAAACTTCTTTGTTGTCTTATTTTAAGAAATTGCCACAGCCACTCCAACCTTCAGCAATCACCACCCTGATAAGCCAGCAACCATCAACATCAAAACAGGACCCTCCACCAGCATGAGGATTACAATTTGCTGAAGGCTCAGATTATAAGATTTTTTTAAACAATACTGTTTAAATTAAGGTATATGAATTGTTTTTGTAGACATAATGCTATTGCACACCTAAAAGACTACAGTATACTGTAAACATAACTCTTATACGCACTGGGAAGCCAAAAAATTTGTGTGACTCACTTTATTGTGATATTTATCTACTCTATTGCTGTGGTCTGGAACAAAACTCACAATATTTCTGAGGTATGCCTGTATTTGGAAACTAAACAATATAGCTCTGCATTAGCCAAGGATAAAAGAAAAACATACAATGAATATAGAAAATACTTAGAACCAAACATTAATAAAAATACAACATATAAATTTATGTTGGATGCATCTAAAATAATACTGAAAGAAGTGTATACTCTAGATACATATATCACAAAAGAGAACACATTTAAAATCAATAAACAGTTTTCAAATCAGAAGAGCAACTTAAAGCTAAAAAATATAAAACAAAAATAAGTAATTAAAATATTACTAGAAATCAATGAAATAAAAAG
The DNA here is from genome assembly GCF_000001405.40 of Homo sapiens. NCBI lineage: Eukaryota > Metazoa > Chordata > Mammalia > Primates > Hominidae > Homo > Homo sapiens. Next base: position 73,509,209 of record NC_000009.12, read on the forward strand.
CTAATAAGTAATAGAAAAAGTGAACAATAAAAATTTGCTTTTCTAAAAAAAATTAATAAAATTGATAAACGTCTACCAAGACTAAGCACATGAAAGTGGAATTTGACAACAGCAGAAGTGAAAAAAGAAACACAATTACAGTTCATGCATATATTAGGAGAAAAATAAGTCAACATAATAAACACATTTTTGCCAAAAATTTAATGAATTAGAGAAAATGTATAAATTCCTTGAAACGCACAACTTTCTCAGACTGAACAAAATGTGATAAAATATCTTAATAGCCTTTTATCTGCTAAAAATTTTAATCACTATTTTAAAATCTCATGTGCAAAATTTTATTCTCAGATGATTTAAATAATATATTCTGTTAAATGCCTGAGGAAAAAACAAAAGTAACTCTTACATAGAGAGTAAATGCTTCTTGAATTGTGTTATGATGCAAATATAACACAGATAATGCAACATGAAAAAGATTGAAGAAAGAAAATGTTAAATCAATGTCAGTGATGAAGGTAGATGCAAAGCTCATAAATCGTAAGTTTTAAAAAATAAATCCAGCAATATATAAAAGAATATAGATTGAATGATTGTGGTCATCTCAGTTTAACCTTAGAAAAAAAAATTGATATAATTCACAATGTTAAGAGAAAATGTGAAATAAGTTAAATCTTTATGGCATATAGAAGAAAAGATATGAGAACATCTTCATCTTCCAGGTTCATAGAAGAACCCTGTGTAGGTAACATTTTCTTAGGTAACACGCGCAGAACTGTTTGAAAAAGAAAAAAAAATTGATAAATTGGATTTCATTAAAATTTAACATTTATCATCAAAATAAACTGTAGAAGGTCAAAGGGGCAAGAAGGAAGTATCTCCTTGTCATCATATCAGTCTTTTATCTTGCTTCATAAATCATTACACAAGATTATACATTTGCCAAAATTTACAAAGGTGAACACTTTTGTTTGCGCAACTTTTTGCTATGTAAATTATAATTCATTAAAATGATGTTAGCACAAAGTAAATTTTAAATATCCTTCATATTCGAAAGAACCTTTAGAAAACATAATGGCAGAGAAAATCTGATTTTTAGTAGTATTGAAAATAGGTAAAATTAATTAACCAGTATATGCAAATTCTAGGTTTGGAATATTTTTGAATAAATGGAAATAGTCTTGCTCTTAGATAGGCTGCTTCAATCATTAAGTTTCTGTTTTATTCTAAGTTAAGTTATAAATTTTAAGTAAGCTCAAGAAATATTAAAATCATTTTTAAGAGGGGTGAGATAGATGACTTACTATTAAGTAGATATAGAAAAATAAACATTTCAGAATTAGTATAACAACCCTCAGGGGGATAAAAAGACTCATGAGGTGGGATTAGTTCTACTAGATGTTTAATCATAGTAATAACCTTCTTTAGTTACAATAGTGTCACACGGGTGCATAAACATATATACTAATCAGCAAAACAGGATAGTAGCTCTAGCAATAGATTTGGGCACATGAAAATATTTGTTCCATGATATGAGACACAAGTGAAATCATTGTATAAAAAATGATATAAATAGTATATAGCATTTGAATAGCAAAATCTGCTTGGGGAAATACACATGTCAACCCACAGAGTACACTAAAATGAACTCCAAATTAATATCTAAATTTTATTTATTTATCTATTTTTAACTTTAAGTTTAGGGTACATGTGCACATTTGTTACATAGGTAAATTGTGTGTCGGGGGGGTTTATATACAGATTATTTCATCACCTAGGTAATAAACATAGGGCCTCATAGGTAGTTTTTTGATCCTCATCCTCCTCCTACCCTTCATCCTCAAGTAGGCCTTGGTATCTGTTACTCTCTTGTGTTCACACGTACTTGATGTTAGTTCCCACATGTAAGTGAGAACATGCAGTATTTGGTTTTCTGTTCTTGTATTAGTTTGCAAAGGATAATGATCTCTAGCTCCATACACATTGATGCAAAGGACATGATTTCATTCTTTTTATGGCTGCATAATAGTCCATGGTGTATATGTACCACATTTTGATTGGCATTTGGTTGACGGGCATTTGGGTTGATTCCATATATTTGCTATTGTGAATATTGCCGCAATGAACATATACATGCACACATCTTTATGGTAGAATAATTTATATTCCTTTGGGATTGCTGGGTCAAATGGTAATTCTATTTTAAATTCTTGCAGAAAGCGTTAAACTACTTTCCACAATGGTTGAACTAATTTACACTCCCACCAACAGTATATAAGCATTCCCTTTTCTCCACAACCACACTAGCATTTGTTGTTTTTTGACTTTTTAGTAATAGCCATTCTGACCGGTGTGACATAATATCGCATTGTGGTTTTGATTTGCATTTCTCTGATGATTTGTGATATTAAGCATTTTTATATGCTTGTTGGCCATGTGTTTGTCTTCTTTTGAAAAGTGTCTGTTATTGTTCTTTGCCTAATTTTTAATGAGATGGTTTGTTTTTGCTTATAAATTTGTTTAGTTTTTTTAATAGATTCTGGATATTAAATCTTATAGATTCTGGATATTAGACCTTCATCAGATGCATAATTTGTTCTCTCATTCTATAGGTTGACAGTCTACTCTGTTGATAATTCCTTTTTCCATGCAGTAGCTCTTTCATTTAGTTAGGTCCTACTTATCAATTTTTGGTTTTGTTGCAATTGCTTTTGGTCACTTTGTCATGAAATCTTTGCCTGTTCCTATGTCCAAAATGGTATTTCCTAGGTTATCTTCTAGAATTTTGTAGTTTTCAGTTTTATATTTAAGTCTTTAATCCACCTTGAGTTGATTTTTGTATATGGTGAAAGGAAGGGGTCTAGTTTCAATCTTTTGCATATGGCTAGCCAGTTATTCCAGCACCATTTATTGAATAGAGAGTGCTTTTCCTATTGCTTATTTTTGTTGACTTAATAAATGTTTAGATGCCTGTAGGTATATGACATTATTTCTGGGTTCTCTATTCTGTTCCATTGGTTTATATGTCTGTTTTTGTACCAGTACCATGCTGTTTTGGTTGTTGTGGCCCTATAGTATGGTTTGAAATCAGGTAATGTGATGCTTCTAGTTTTGTTCCTTTTGCTTAGAATTGCTTTGGCTATTTGAGCTCTTTTATTGTTCCTTATGAATTTTAAATAGTTTTTTTCTAATTCTGTGAAGAATGTCATTGGTAGTTTGGTAGGAATAGTATTGAATCTGTAAATTGCTTTGAGTAGTAGGCAATTTTAACAATATTGATTCTTCATACCAATGAGCATGGAATGTTTTTCCATTTGTTTGTGTCATCTCTGATTTCTTTGGTCAGTGTTTCATAATTCTCCTTCCAGAGATCTTTTAGCTCCCCAGTTAGCTGTATTTTTTATTTGTGTATATTGAACCACAAAAATTGGACTAATTCCACAAACATTTTTAAGAGTCACAAAAATTGGTAAAAAATTAGATAATTGAAAAAACACTCAAGAATATATACATACACATATATTTTTTTCAATTGCACATGGTATGTACTGAGCCACAGTAATAAGGAAAATAATGTTAAAACTTCCTTTTTTGAAAATGCCTGTCTCATTGATCAAATTTCAGTAAGTTTACAATAATTGAAATTATACAGAATGTGTTGTCTAATGACAACCCAATTAAGTTGAAACTGATACCATAACCCATCAAAGAAACCCCAAATACTTAGAAATTATTATAACACCATTTTAAGTAGGACAAGAAGAAATCACAATGAAATTAGACAATATTTTCAGTGGAATGATAAGACTATGAAACAAAACAAAATTTGTGGGATACAGCTAAAACTGTTCTTAGAAAGATATTTGTAACTTTAAATACTTACATTAAAACAGAAGAAAAAATGAATATAAGTGACCTGAGATTTCATGTCAAAAAGCTAGCTAAAAATAAAGTAAACCAACTGTAAGTAGAAGAAAGAAAACATTCAGATTAGAAAAATATGAGTAAAAAAGTGAATGGAGTCAAATAATGGAGAAAATTCACAAAGCCAAAAAGTGGTTTTTTAAAAAGATGTTTTTAGAATGGATAAACCTTTGCTAAACAGACCAAGAAAAGAAAGAGAACACAGTTTATGAATATTAGGAAAGAAAGAAGGTTAATAACTACTCATACTGCAAACATTAAAATGTTAATAAGAGAATATCATAGACAATTTTATATCTGCGTATCTGAGAATTTAGAGCAAAGGAAATTCCTTCAAAGACACAAACTACAAAACTTTAAAAGAAATAGATAACCTGAATTGCCCTATAGCTATTAAATGTGTTTGATTTATAATTAAAAATTTCCTGAATTAAAGAGAATTCTAGAGCTGGTGAATTTTACTAGATATTTAAAAGAGAAATAACAGAAATACTATGCAAAGTATTTTTGAAAACAGATGAGGAGAAAACATTTCCCTACTCAATTTGTGAGGTTAGCATTGTACCAATACTGTTTATGCTAATGCAGTTTATTGTATAAAATTATACTTCAATAAAATTGATACAAAAAGTATAATTAGAATATATATTAATACACACTTTATATAAATATTTATATACTAAAAATTCATCTAGCCCAAGGGGAAAAAAAATGTGGCTCTCAACCATTCCTTGCACCAATATTCTCCTCTTCTCACATCCAACATCACAAACCCAACAAGGCATCTATCATTATTTCTTGTGAAGTCTAAATTTTTTCATGGAACTTATATAATTGAACCTCCAACATGGTGGATGCTACATTCAGGTGACAGCTTCCTTGAAATGATTTTTAAATTCTGGCTTGGACTCAGAAGTTTCTAAAATTAAAGGATTCTTTCTGGTAAAAATGTTGTACTTTGTGTGCAAATATATCACTTGTTAGTACTTTAAAATATTATCATGTGTCCATGTGAGTTATTATTTTAGACTTTTTAGAAATAAAACACAAAAGGTATGTTTTTATTGTCAATGGTTTAGAAAGAGCTCCTTGGATGAGGGCAAGACAGGATGCCCTTCTTCAGACATTCCAGACAGACATTTAGTCACTTACCCCATCAGCACTGGCATCACTTAGGGGCAGAAGCTCAGGTCTCAGTCCTGACCTAATGAATAAAAATCCAATTTTAAGAAAATATCCAGGTAAGTAATGTACAATAATTTTGAAAAGCACAGATTTAGTTCACCAGGATAGAAAGAAAATGACAGAAAGGAGAAAACCTAACTTCTGAGTGTTCTTAGTTGCCAAGGCCTGTTATTTACCTTTCACATTGAGTCTCCTCTCTACTTCAGTTCTTCTTTACAAGACAGCCTGTACTCATTCTTGCCAGAAATCTTGCAATACTTTCTTAACTGTTCATGTTTTTCCGTCTTTTCCAACTCTTGGATTTAAAAATCAACCAATTTTAACTTAGCCTGACTAGGAATGGAGAATGTGTAAAGGGGAGTTGTATTTGATTTACTTTAAAAAAATGTAGAGGCTTGGAATGTGTCAATTATTGTTAAGTGAAAAATAAAAATTAATGGATCAAGAAGAGACCTAATATTTCTGAATGCTATAAATGACATGTATCTGTGATAAACATAAATAGTGTTATTTCAGGGATGAAGTATAGAAATGAAGGAAAATTATAGCAGCTGTAGGAAGGATCAATGAAATCCAAGTTATAAAAATACAAATAATGAGATAGGCCTTTTAGTAAAAAGGAAATCTCAGGAAAAATATATAAAAAAGAAAAGAAAATGTTAATAATATCCAAAGGGGTTTACAAAGCAATAAATAAGGATTATGTGTATACTAATTAATGAGAAGATAATGAAATCCACTAAGACTTTGAAATGACTAAGATATTGACCTGCTTTCTAAAATCATCTTTAACAACAAGCAAAAACAAACAAACAAACAAAAGACAAGGTAGGAAGTTGAAGCTGAAGCAATTAGCATGTAATAAAGATCTTGTTAAACACATGGAGGAGAGGGTCGTTTTAAAAATCCAGCGTTTTGCTTTTCTACCATACAATTTAGAATGTTTAGGAATAAAAACATATATATTGACTTTGTGCCACAATTTTAAGACAGAATAGGGAGACATAATCTATTCAGTGAGGTTGCTTCCCAATGACGAACGCTGCTTTGTTTATTTTCATAGGTAACTTGAGGCTATAAAAGAGAAAAGCTATGAGCAAACAAGCCTCTGTTTTCTTAAAAGGAGAGCACTAGTCATCTCAACTCTTAGTAAAATACGAAGACAAATCCTAAGATAAATATTGGAAGACATCTAGAGGATAAATGAATTATGAAAAGCAAGCAGTAGGATTTTACAAAGAAAAAAATCATGCCAGGCAAATTTAATTGCTTTTTTTTCCTTGTGGATCAAGTTATGAGATTAATAGATGAAAGCAGCAATAGATGTGGTATATCTTGATTTCAGCAAAGCAAAAGGATAGCATGTCTTATAAAATTTTACTCAAAGTGTAAGTTTAAATTAGCTTGGATACGAACACTTTCTCATAGACTAAAAATTGGTTGAAGTATCAAATAAAAGGGCTCAAAATAAATGGCAATTATTCTAGAAGGGAGGGGGTATCTAGAGGACCACTACAAGCGCTAGTGGTAGGTCCAGTTCTTTTAAACAGTCTTATTAACGACGGCATTGAGGAAGTAAACAGCATGCTAATTAGATTCACAGACCTTGCTAAGTTGGGAAATATTGCATACATACCCAGGTGGAGAAGCAATAATAAGCCCTGGGGAGGTTTAATATATGGTCGAAACCTCATTTTGATTCATCCAAATTGAAAATTCACTGAGGAAAATATTGTAGGCCACATATGATCTCAAGAGAAAGATGCCCCCCAAAAGGGTAGTACGAATTGATACTTATTTAAGAAGCGACCAAATTTCAGAGGCCTTGTCATTTTAGCATAGGTATCACAAACCCCAGCTGGTTTGAAAATGCATTACCTAAATGGCTATGCTTAAAATAATGTTTAGTATGAATACAGAGATTTGTTTTAGGCACCTCATTTCTAGGAAAAGGTTAATGAAAAATAAAGGTGTTTGAGAAAACAATAACAAAGATATTGATAAAGGCTTAGGCATGAAAAGCCCCATTAGGATGGTTTATTTAACATGATGTGTCTATTTTGAAATAAGCTTCATTTGTTGATAAAACTTCATTTCTTCCAATTGTCTAATTTCATGTGTAGTAATATCCTTTAAGCAAATATTAAGATATTTATGACTGAAGTGGATAAACCAAATTATTACTTATAATTGCAAAAAAATAGAAATAATATAAAAATAAATAGCATTGCAACAATAGAATAATTTTGCAACCGTAGGAAATACTTTCAAAGCATTTCTACAACATTGAATGAAAATAAAGACACCAATAAATAGGATGCAAAACTGTACATATAGTATATTCCTGATTTTGTAACAGTATGTAAAAAAAACATAAAGGGAGAGTCACCAAAGTTTTTAAAAACTGGTTTCCTCTAGGTAGTTGTCAATAATTACTGGGCATTTTTCATTTATTTATATATTTCTCTGAAATTTTCAAAGGCTATATTACTTTATTACTATACCTGTTATTTTAATGGGTACATTTTTATAATTAATCATGTAAAAGATACAAATGTAAATGATTGGATGTAGACATGTAAACAAAGAAAAAAAAGGAAGTCAACAAGGATCATGCATTACGTTAGTCAAGGAAGCTAGTCATAGAAACCCCTCTCTCCTGGTTATTTTTAAACCAGACTTAAAGGCTAGAATAGAACTATGGATGTACTAAGAGTCCATTATGTAAGACCACTTGATGGCATGCAACAACATGCAGACACATACTTTTAGTGTTCTGAATTTACTTACTGGGAACAATAACTTTATAATTTAAAAAAATATGAAAACTGATAGCAGCTTAGACTTGTTACACTGTCCTCTTGAACTACCATTAAAAATTTGAAATTTCCTCCAAATCATGGACCTCGTTTTTTTTCCCTAAGTACACAGCAGTGTTTCCATGCTTGCTACTTAAAATAAATGAGTATTTCTGAAATTAAAGCATTTATGGCCAAATATATCAAAGCATTCTTTCTTAATGTTGCAAGCTATGAAGATTAAAAATAAAAGTAAGAAATTTAAAATTTCCCAGTGTTCCAAACCAAACATAAGCTTAAAGTTTAAGTTAGTTTTCTGTTAATATAGAGAATGCCTTCCTAACCTATTTGATTTTATACAATTTGATTTATCTTTCAAAGGTGAGATATTGTTCATGATTGGTATAAAGGCACTATATTTAAATGTGCAGGATACATTATCTATAGGTAAATTACAAATTTGAATCTGGAGATCAAAAGTTCTTTGTACTTTATAATCCTTTGTTTATCAAGAAGTACAAAACTATGCTGTGCACTTACTACAGAGTGACGGATGTTCATCTTGTTTTTAGCAAAAGGCATCTTGATCATTAATTCCTCCAGTTTGTCCACATGTCTTATAAGAATGTCAGCAGGAACTTTACTGTTTCTAGAATAATGGCATAGGAAATAGAAATATTACAGCTCCTAATCTGCACGTGGTAATCATTTTGAAATACGGCAGTTAAATACTCACATTGAGCTGTCATTGCAGTACTCACTGTATCAAATAATAAGTTTATCTGCAGAAGTGCATTCACTTTTCAAAAAAAACCACAACTAGTTCTAGTAAAAATAAAGGAAATAGATGACTTATTTTCTTTTTAAACATATTACAAATGGACAATTTATAATTTTGATTTATTTTCTTATATTAGGAGCTATGAAGGATACAAAATAGATTTTATTCTCATATTTAATCTATTTATTAATAGATATAACAGTCTTAGCTCCAAATATCCTGAAGCTATTGTTTATGCCTTTTGTAGATTTCTCCAGATTTTTAGTATTTTACTATTATGATCTATGACTCACCTACTTTGGTTTCATTTATTTAACAACTAATAGCATAAAGGCACTTGATCAATTTTTTAAATACAGAGATCAGATTGTTTTAGGAAATTTCCAGTGTTCTCTTGCCATAATGGCTCTCTCAAGGCCACCTGAAATTACTTGCTCATTAGCTTCTTTGATATGTTATTATAGAAACTATCCATTTAGGCCTACAAAGACTTTTTCTTTTAAATTTCCGATTACTCTGTTTATGTACATAGATTCTAAAATAAATTAGTTTCAGCTCTGGCAATGTTTGATGTTTTGATACAAAGCGTAAATAATTTCATGTCAGAGCATCTTAATTCCATTTTCAAAATTCTACTTACTTACTACAGTGTAAGATTATTGTAATCCTGGAACTCATTTTAATAAAAACAGAAAATGACATTTTTAAATGATTGTTCATGATACAAGAAAAGTAATTTAGAAAAATACAATAGCATTAAATGCTGAACGGCTAAATTCAGCTTCTTTTTCTTAAAAACTAAAACTACAAGTGAATGAAGTAAATAAAATCATTCATATTTTTAGCCACATGATAAATGGAACTATCTAGTAGAATTATGCTTTATACATTAGACTAAAGGTTAGGATGGAGATAAATGTCACTTTTAGCTTCCATTAATAATTATCAATGATAATTTTTAAATGTACATGAAAATGCTAATATTAGTATACACACACACTTACATACAGGTATTTATGCATTTATTTATTATAAAGAATGACCAATACTTAAATTCCAGATTGATGTCTGATAACTTATTCCAATGGAACACATTGTTTCTTTTCTTAAAGCAGAAAGCTTTTCTTAGACTGCATTTCCAGTTGGATGTTTTATATAGACGTGGTAATGGAATGCATAATGAATAACTTCTATAGTCTGCTATTCCCTAAACTCTTCTCATATTTTTTTGTAGTGAGTAATGTCATACTTTGAACAAATTTTAGCATTTTAATTTAACACCACCTTTTGTTTCTTTAGTGCCAGCTCATTAACAAATTATGTAATTTTGACCCACACCACATTTTTCTGAGTTAAACCCTTAATATATACACACCACCAATTATAATTACAATTTTCTTCTTTTACAGCGAAGTTGCTTTAGTAGAATACCCTCTGCAGGGTAAGTAGAAGCAACCCACTATAATTGGCAGACCAACAACTTGTTCTAAAGCCTTGGAATAATATAATTTTGATAATCATCCTCAATATTTTTACTAATGCTTAGTGAGCATTTACTATCATCCAGAAATTGTCATAATTGTTTAAGATGCTTTATCTCGTTAGATTCTCACAGTAATATGTGAAGCAATTGCTGTAATTGTCTTCAATTATAAAATTAAAGAGAGGAGTAAATAGGATCAAATAAATGATCATTTGTCATCAATGATTATGGTCACTTGGAGAATATTTTGTAGGCTAAGACTTTAGAAAAACCCATACTATTTACTGCTAGGATATTCTGACTGGTAATCAGATGATCTATACTAGAATTTCTTCAAATAAAGGTACTAAATTAGATGATCATGACATACCCTTCCATAATGAATTATGAGTTTTGGAAGTTTAACAAAGGTGTATCTCATTTGTATCTTCATTGTACTAAAGCTGTAATCAGAAAAAGGCCAAAGACATCAAGTGTATAAAAGGATTTGTACACACATAATCATTCACTAAGATACAGGCCCAAAAGAAAACAGACTGAAGGAAAAATTAACAACAAAATAAGCCACTTTATTTCTTTACAATCATAGCAATAATTAAAATTATCTAAAATTTGTGATGAAGTTATTTCTCTAATGAAGTAATAATTTCTAGTCATTTAAAAATCCAGTAAAAATTATCTTCCACTATCACGACATTTAAATACTTATACACTGCCATGGACAGTTTTTCCTACATTATAAATGATAACATTTATTGTAACTCTATTTAACTGAATTCATTAAAAATCTATTTAATATGATACAAAATAAAGAATTCTTCAGAAAACTATGATCCCCAAATAATTTGCTTGTAATTATTTAAGGATAGTTGTTAATAGTCCATACAAGTTATTTCTCTACTTTTTAAGCAGGACGATGTTTGCTTTAATCTAAATAGTTTTAGATTCAATTTGATTATTGTCTCTGCATACTACAATGACAACTATGAAACTAATATTTAATTGTAAATATATGAAATTGAGGATATTTTACATTTATAAAATACTACAATATACAAATTAAAGTTTTATTAATTTTTTCAAAGTTGTCTATCATAACTGCCACACTTTGCACTGAGCTGGGATCTAATATAGAACCATACTTTGCCATTACTTTTTGTATCTCTTTATTCTTCTTCTATCTGGAACAGTTTATAACATCAACATTTTTGAAAAGTACAGGCAATTTTTTTTAATGTTCCTCAATTTTGATTTTTCCTCATGAGGAGTTCAAATTATCTATTTTCGGCGAGAATGCTCCTTAAGTGATATGATGTCCTTCTTAGCGTATCATATCAAGGGGTACTGATGTCAATTTGCAATGTTCTTTGTCATGTTTACCTTTATCAATTAGAACATAGGCTATGGGAGACGCAGACAAAGAACATAGAAAGAAACTGGACCTCAGAATGTTCCTGTGGAGCAAAGCCACTCAGTAGCCTGAAACAGTTCCCACATCAGAAGGTCTCTTTATCACTGCAGCCTAGCTTTACTATAACTATGCTAAATGAAAAGTCATGCCAGAGAGAAGCTATACTGGTCGGAGAACCTCTTTTTTTTTTTTTTCCACTCTGTCACCCAGGCTGGAGTGCAGTGGTGCAATCTCGGCTCACTGCAGCTTCTGCTTCCCAGGTTCAAGCAATTCTTGCGCATCAGCCTCCCAAGTAGCTCGGATTACAGGCGCGCACCACCATGCCTCGCTAATTTTTTTTTTTTTTTTTTGTATTTTTAGTAGAGACGCGGTTTCACCATGTTGGTTAGGCCTGTCTCAAACCCCTGACCTCGTGATCTGCCTGCGTCAGCCTCCTAAAGTGCTGGGATTACAGGTGTGAGCCACCGCACCCGGCCCTGAGAACCTCTTAAAAAAAAAAATCCCAAAACTTTATACCATAACATTTCTCATTTTTAATGGAAAATTCCTAAAGATTTGGTAAATGTACCAGGTTGTGTAACTATAAGCACTGTCTACTTTTGAACATTTTATTACTCCAAAAATATCTCTTGTGCACATTTACACTCATTCCATTTTTCTATCACCATCCACAGACAATTGTTAATCCAGTTTTTGTCTCTCTTTTCTAGGCTTTTAATATAATGGAATCATTAAATACATGGCCTTTTGTATCTGGCTTCATTTAGTTGACATAATATGTTGGGGATTCATCCATATTGTAGCATGCATTTTTAAAAATATTTTTGAGTGATATTTTATTATATAGATATACCATATTGTGTTTGTTTATTCACCAGTTGAAGACCATTCAGATTTATTTCTACTTTTATGCCTATTATGAATAATGCTGCTCTGAAAATTCAAATACATGTTTTTGTGTGGACATGCATTTTCATCAGTCTTGTGTAGAAACTTAAGAGTTGAATTGTGAGGTTATGTGGTAAATTTGTTTTTAACATTTTAAGAACTACAAACTGTTCCAACTTGCCTACATCGTCTTACAACTCTACCAACAATCTATGAATGTTCCAATTTGTCCACATTCTTACCAGTATTTGTTATTGTCTATCTTTTAAATTTTAGCCATTCTAATGGGTGTAAAGTGATATCTCAGTGTGGTGGTAGTTGCATTTACCTAATGACTAATTCTGTTGAGCACCTTTTCATGTGCTTATTGGCATTCATATATTTCCTTTACTAATATGAGTATTGTTGATGCATTCTGGATGCAAGTGCTTTATCAGCCACATAATTTGCGAACATTTTGTTAGCCTGATTTGCAAACCTTTTTTGTCTCAGTCTGTAGCTTTTCACCTTCTTAATGGTGCCTTTAAAACAAAATAGCTTTTAATTTTGATGAGACTAATTTATTATTATTTTTGGCTTGCTTTGTGTTTAGTTTGCTCTTGTTTATCTAATGTTTTAAGACAAAAAACGTTATTGCTTAGAGATTTTCTTTCCTAGTATAGGCATTTAAAGGTATATATTTTTTCAAAACAAAATAAGCTGCTTTAGCATAAGTTTGCAAATGTTTTGTTATGTGTTTCTGTCTTCAGTCAGTTAAAATATTTCTAATTTTCCTTTGTAATTTTGTTTTGACTTGTAGGTCATTTAGAAATGTGTTGTTTAATAATATTCACAAATATCCTAATTTTCTTTCTGCCACTGGTTTTTAGTTTACTTTAGTTGTGGTCAGAGAAACTTACTTTGTATTATTTCAATTCTTTTATATTTCTTGTAACTTGTTTTATGATGTAGCCTATTGTTTATCCTGGAGAATATCTCGTGTGTTCTTAAGAAATGTGTATTCTATTATTGTTGAATGGAATATTCTATAAATGTCATTAGCTCAACGTGGTTGACAGTATTGAGTCTGCTACATATTTTTTATTGTGAAGCTATTATTGAAAGTGAGGTATTATCCCATTTGACCCAGCAATCCTATTACTGGGTATACACCCAAAGGATTATAAATCATTCTGCTATGTAGACACATGCACATGTATGTTTATTGCAGCACTGTTCACAATAGCAAAGACTTGGAACCAACCCAAATGCCCATCAGTGACAGACTGGATAAAGAAAATGTGGCACATATACGCCATGGAATACTATGCAGCCATAAAAAAGGATGAGTTCATGTCCTTCGCAGGGACATGGATGAAGCTGGAAACCATCATTCTCTGCAAACTAACACAAGAACAGAAAACCAAACACTGCATGTTCTCACTCATAAGTGGGAGTTGAACAATGAAAACACATGGACATAGGGAGGCGAACATCCCATACCCGGGCCTGTCAGCGGGTGGGGGGCTAGGGGAGGAACAGCATTAGGAGAAATACCTAATGTAGGTGACAGATTGATGGGTGCAGCTAACCACCATGGCATATGTATGCCTATGTAACAAATCTGCACGTTCTGCACATGTATCCCAGAACTTAAAGTATAATAAAAAATTTTAAAAAAGAAAGTGAGGTATTATCTTCAAGTATTATTGTGGAAATTATCTATTTCTTCCCTTAATACTGTCAGTTTGTGCTTTGTATATTTTCAAGGGCTCTGGTACATTTCTGTTTATAGTTATGTCTTCCTAATGAATTGATACTTTCCTTATATAGATACCTCTTTGTTTATAATAACATTTTTGTTTTAAAGTTCCTTTTGTCTGTGGCTGCTGCCTGACAATCTTCCTTTTGATTGATGTGTTTAATAGTGACGTCACTTTTAACTGACAAATTGCACTACTTTCTTCCATTAACAAGAGTAGATTCAATCAAAAGAGATAATCACAGTGAACTTATATTTTCATGCACTTGAATAGTTATTGGAGCCAACTGATTGACAGGGCAAAAATACAAATAAAAATAGCCTATAAAATTCAAGAATATTATGTCGGGAGGCCAAGATGGGTGGATCACTTGATGTCAGGAGTTCAGGACCAGCCTGGCCCACATGGTAAAACCCTGTTTCTACTAAAAATACAATAATTAGCAGGGCGTAGTGGCAGGAGCCTGTAAGCTCAGCTACTCAGGAGGCTGAGGCAGGAGAATCGCTTGAACCTGGGAGGTGGAGGTTGCAGTGAGCTGAGATCATGCCATTCATTGTACTCCACCCTGGGTGACAGAGCAAGACTCTATTAAAAAAAGAAATCAAAAATATTTAAAATTTTCCATCATTGGCCAGGCGCATTGGCTCATGCCTGTATCCCAGCACTTTAGGAGGTGGAGGCAGACGGATCACGAGGTCAGGAGTTCGAGACCAGCCTGCCAGTATGGCGAAACCCCTTTTCTACCAAAAACACAAAAAATTAGCTGGGCATGGTGGTGTGCACCTGTAGTCCCAGCTACTTGGGAGGCTGAGGCAGGAGAATTGCTTGAACCTGGCAGGCTGAGGTTGCAGTGAATGGAGATCGCGCCACTGCACTCCAGCCTGGGTGACAGAGCGAGACTCTATTTCAAAAAAAAAAAAAAAATCCATTATTTAGTTAATGTAGGCCCTTAGAGGACATTGAAAATAGCAAGTAGTAGAAAAATATAAAAGCTGAAAAATCATCCTTAGTCCTTTACTATTAATATTATGATATATCTATTTCCAGTTATTTTATGCCATTCTACTTTTTACTTAGTAGTATTCGCTTTGCAATTCATATAAAATTGTCGTTATAAACAATTCTGCCAGAAATTTTTCAATTATATAGTCTTTGTACATATTATTTATTGACATGATATTTTATTATGCATAATATTCCAGCTTGCAACCTGGAATATGTAACTATAACTCTGTAAGTTGAGTTTTCATTTATTCAATGTTTATTTTCCACATAATAAGAAAAATTGGGGCATAAATGTTGTATTTATTTATTTTTTTGTTAGAGACCAGGTCTTGCTGTATTGCCCAGGCTGCTCTTGAACTCCTGGCCTCAAGCAATCCTCCCACCTTGGCCTCCCAAAGTTCTGGGATTACAGGGGTGAGGCACGGTATCCAGCCAATGTTTTATATATTTAGAGTCTTTTCTAAAATTCCTTGTGCAGAATTCATGGTTCTTCATTTTATTTTTCTACAATATATACTACAGTTTGATAGTACTCAAAATTTAGAACGTTAGGAACAAGAAATCAACTTTTCAGCCTATACATAATAGATTTTATATTTTAAAATATATGCAGGCTACCCTGGGAGGTGTTTCTGTAGATAGGCAGGAGTCAAAACATATGATTCAATAAGTTATCCTGAAATACACAAAACTATTGACAAATAAAATGTACATTGTGAATCTTAAAATGCATTGTCATTAAAACATAATTACTTTGTCTTTGAAATTCTGTACTAAGTCTCTTTTAGATAAACCTTTTAATAGGACACATGTTTACAAGTTGACATGTGAGTTTTAATACAAGTAAATGATAGTGTGGGTGATTTTTTTCCCCTTCTTGGGAAGTCTGTTTAGACTTCCCAATATCCTTTGACGTATGATATTAGAAGAGTGAAAATATTTTTAATATTTGTGAGTGACAATCTTTTGGATATTAATATACTCTCCATGTAATGCTCATTAGAAGATATACATTATTTCACTCATGATTTCAAATATTATGTTTATGTATTACTCCCCTGTGTTAAAAATAATATATGAAAGAAGAAATAGGAAAAAGAATAAGCAGAATTTTTAAATAAAATGCTGAATCAGACAAAATGTCTCTGGAATATAGCATGCTATGAAAGAAGATTTACAGAAAGATACTTTTTTTCCCCTGTGTAAAATCCAACACTCACACTTACATATGCGATTGTTAATGCTGGGTGCCTTATAATAGAAATATTAAAGAGTGATTACTGAGAAAGTATTGTGAAGATGAACAGCATGATTGAAAAATAAGTGAACAATGTGTCTACACAGTAAGGAAAAGTAAAATCATATGATTTTAGTATAATTGGGACATTTTAAAAGGTCAGATGATGAAACAAATAGTTGAATAATTATCCAAGGGGCTCACCAATCACTCATCAAAAGTTGTGCATTTATCACTAAGGAAGTCATTTAACAAAAAATCATCATCAAGCTGAGGAAGACTTCTCCCTACTGCACTACCTGCTTACATATCTTTCAAAGGTTTAAAGTAAATACTTACACTAGCAATATTTGCTATTATTACTGGGAGAAGCAATTTTCTTTGAAAACTAGTAAACTTGTAGTGCTTATCTGCTATTATCTCTCTTCTTCTTCCACATGACAGTAGTACTCTTTTGCCCTTTTTTAGTTAAGCAGGACCATCTAAGTATGTCAGGGCAATGGGATGTGATAGGGAGTGATGTCTGTGCTGCAGAACTGGAACATGTATTTTCTGGTTCAAGACTTGCTTGTTCCCGTTGCAGCAATTAGGAAAGCCTAGGTTGAGATGGAAGTGACACCACAGCAAAGCAGCCTGCACCTCTGAGCACACTGAGGACATATGCCTGGAAGAATTTCCTGGGCCTCAACGGATTTTCTTTTAAAATGAAATAAATTTAATTGTGCCATGTCACTGAAATAGTAATTATGCTAATTACTTTAACATAACTTTCACCTCAACAGATTGATTTTAAAAATTCGTGAAATATCTCAAGTACTTTCATCTGAAAAACCTGATTGCCAGACAATAGTGAAACTTGAAAGGATTTGAGACTTAGCTGAAGTTGCTCTCAGGAAAATGCAATCTCTCTGAAGTTCTGTGTTATTAATCAACAGAATTTTATAAATTTGTTGTTCTGTATTAGTTTTATATTTCATATAAAATAATGATCTAAATAACAAATGATTGGATAAAATTGATGTTCTGTGAAAACATGTTATGTTGACTACTGCCTGTCCACAGTTCAGTTCTCCTGGCTTAAAGTGTTTACTTTTTGCCATTCTCAGAAAAAATATCAGAGTAGCCAGGAAAAGAATAGATATAGAGATTATTCCCAAAATAGAAGAAAGAAAAAAAAGAAAAGATGAAATGAGAAGAAACAAGCTGCTGAAACATTTTAAATAAGGCAAGAGATGTAAGAATAAATGAAGAGATAGTAAAAAAAAAAAAAGCTTGTAAGTGGAACACATTTATAATATGGAAAAAAAAAATTCACCAAACCACCTTTGCAAAGATTATTATGGTGAGAGAAATCTAGCATGGCCGACTCCATCTTGCTTCTAGCCTTACAGATTGGCTGTCTTCACTCATTAGTGGGCATAAGCCAAGCTAACCATGGGGGGAATTTAGTTTATAGCTTAAGCTTTTGAAGCAAGAATGATAATAGTCACTCCCTAAAACTGATTCCCTCTTTGTTCAGGTGCTGAAGTCTCCTTTGCAAAACTAATGAAAGGCCACAAGATTAGAATCATGGTAGGGGCCTGTATTCTGCTAAGATATAGGCATAGTTTCTATAATCCCTTACTACTCAGGAGTCACGTGGCCAGAGGTCACAAGATTTATGACTTCCCCGACTGCTCTCATAGATAATATCACTATTGTAGCAACTAAGATTGCTCCTTTGAGATGTTTTTCAGATTTTTTTTTTTTCCAGACAGGGTCTCACTCTGTTGCCCAGGCTGGAGTGCCGTGTTGTGATCATGGCTCACTGCAGCCTTAATCTCCTTGGGCTCAGGTTATTCTCCCACCTCAGCTCCCCAAGTAGCTGGGACTACAAGAGTATGCCACAATGCCTGACTAATTTTTGTACTTTCTGTAGAGATAGGGTTTTGCCATGTTGCCTAGACTAGTCTTGAACTCTTCAGCTCAAGCAATCCACATGCCTCAGCCTTCCAAAGTGCTGGGATTACAGGCATGAGCCACCATGCCTGGACCTGACTTTCACACTCTGGCAACCAACTGATTCCATCCAGACTCAGGATCCATGAGTCAGCTGGTCTTGTGGTGCCCCCACCCAGAGGCAGACTCAGTGCATGAGGATCATTTTTCATACCCCTATGATTGCATCCCCAACTAGTCAGCAGCACTCATTCCCTAGTCTCCTGCCCACCAAACTATCCTTGGAAATCCCTCACCACGGAGCCTTCAGGGAGACTGATTTGAGTAATAACCCTGTCTACCATATGCCTAGCCTAGAATTAATTAAAGTCTTTCTTTACTGCAATATAGCAATCTCAGTGAATTGATTTAGTCTGTGCAGTCTGTTCAGGGATTACAATGGCAAAAATAAATCTAAGCTTTTGAGTAATCACAATTTATATAAATAGTTTAAATTTTAGTTGCTTTAGGTGGTTTTCTCAGAAGCAGACCCCCCCAGACAAGGATTTGTGGGCAGTAATTTGAGAGCTGATTCCAGAGAGGAATGAAGTGAGAGCTGAAACATTGGGCAACTGAGGTTCTATCCAATTGGGGCTCTCCAAGACAGTTACTAGAGTCACTGGAAGAGTTGCTCCTGGGTGAAGGAGCTATCATGTCTATTCAACAACTTTTATTCCTCATTGTCTCAGGACTGCTGCTGGGGCCATTAGTTCTGTAGCACTTTCTGTCTGTCCCACAACATCTTCCTGCGGCCAGAGAAAGTCGTCAGATAGAGTCACCATTTTTTTCTATTTAGGAAGTATCAACATTACCAGACATAGTCAATTCTGGTCTGACAAGGGTGAAGCACCATCAGCTTCTGCTATACCAGTTAATAAATAAAAATTATCAAGTTGGATCTTTACAAATCAGATACATTGTGTTTACAAGAGACATACCTCCTAAAACATGACACAGAAAGGTGGAAAGTAAAAAAGCAAATATAAAGAAAAGGAATATGTTGTCTATATTAACATCAGTTAAAGAAATTGTTTTAAAGTCATTAATTCGTGATCAAGAGTCTCTACATATAAATAAAATCTTTACTCAGGAATATATAAGAACCTTCTATGTCATCAATAACATATTCTTACAATATAAAAGCAAACATTTTTAGATCAACAAAAATATCTAGACTAATCCATGATTGTTTGAGATTTCAGCATAATTCTCAGTAACTGACAGACAAAGCAAAGCAGACTGAGAAAGTCCATATAAATTTGAATAGTGTGAATAATATTAAGTTAATGGAAATACATAGTACATTATACCCAATTGGAGAATGTTATTTTTAGTACACATTATTTACAAAATTATTAAACAATTGTCAACAGTTTCCAAAATATTGATATAATTCAAAACACCCCTCCCACACCCACCCACCTATGTATAGATAGGTAGGTAGGTAGACATAGATAGATATCTATGCAGTCGTGTATTGCGTAAGTCATTAGGCAATTTCATTCCTGTGGAAACATCAGGGTTTTTACACAAACCTAGATGATATAGCCTAGGCTACACGGTATGGCATATTCCTGCTAGGCTATACACCTATATAGCACAGCACAGTAACACAATGGTAAGTATTTGTGCATCTAAACATATCTAAACCCAGAACAGGCACAGTAAAATATAGTAGTCTAATCGTATGGAACCATTGTCATATATGTGGTTCATTGCTGACCCAAACATCATTATGCAGCACATGACCATATGTCTATTTATTGATGTATCTATATGTACAGAAAAAGGAGTGGAGATGCTTTACAGATGGCAAATGGACCATTTTTTATCAAGTGACACAAAAGGATGAAAAGGACATGAAAAGCCAGAGAATATCAAGGGGGATTATCTGGGATTGTGGGGAGGATAAGGCAATAAGCACTGTCAGGACATAGACAGGACTATATCCAGCTGGCTGTTGACTGGCTCAATTTCTCATGTTTATATCACCTTGAAACCATTGATGCCATCTATTATTCCTCAGAAACAATGAGGTGGTTGATCCATCACTTCTAAATTTGACTTTGTGAATATAGGCAGCCTAGAAGCACTTTTCTCACACATGCATTCCATGGAGGCACAGTCTAACATAGAAGGTTACATAATTAACCAGCATCTACAGCATCACTACAATCTGTGGATGGCTTGGCTCTACTCCGCATTTTTGTCATATTACAGGCACTATCTGTCAAAGCAGGTGTGGTAGCCCTGACATTTTTGCAGGCTTCCTGCCCTTCCATGAAGGCCTCCTGAAGTATGAGAAACTTCACTTAGAGCTGGGAAAAGCTAGGCCATAAAGGCTCTCAGGACCTAGATCAACAACAAGGAGCATTCTTTTGGGATGGATGTTAATATGGTTTGGATCTGTATCCCTACTCAAATCTCATATTGAAATTCAATCCCCAATGCTGGAGGTGGGGCCTGGTGTTGAGAGGTGATTGGATCATAGGAGCAGTTTCTCATGGTTTCACACAATCCTCATTTGGTGCTGTACTTAGGATAGGGTTCTCACAAGATCTGGTTGTTTAAAAGTGTGTGTGGCACCTCCCTGCTCTCTCTCTTGCTCCTTCTCTGGCCATGTAAGACATGCTCTGTACCCCTTTGCCTTCTGCCACAATTGAAAATTTCCTGAGGCCTCCCCAGAAGCCAGGCAGAGGCCAGCATCATGCTTTCCTGTTAAGCCTGCAGAACCATGAGCCAGTTAAACCCCTTTTCTTTATAAATTACCCAGTCTCAGGTATTTCTTTATAGTGGGTGGAGGGCAGATTAATACAGATGCTTAAGTGAAGCGCTCTAGTAGCACTATTTAGGGCCATTTTAATCTACCTGCCTTCCAGACAGTATTCATTAGCATTCAGTTGTGTTATCTCTTGGGAAGGCTTTTTTGGGGCTAAGCCCTTTATCTAAAACTCTGGAGGCGTTTAGGAGTTTACTTGTAGAGGTTTGGGACTCTGACTTTTTCCTTATTCTAACTGCTTACATTTATTAGGCTTCTATCTTTCTTTGTTTTACTGATAAAGTTAGGCCTCTGTTCCCAAACCAAGTGCTCTTTTCATATTTAAGTAGATCAACAATGAAATGTGAATAGTAACCTGTTAGCAAAAATAAAGACCCAGGCCTTGTATGAGATGCAACTCTCCACTTAAATAAGGTTGTAACCATGAGGGACCATCCCAAAGGAAATAAGCCACTTCAAAATAGTGTGATTAAGATTTAATAAATAGTGAAAATGTTAATACTCAGTTGATGATTTCTTTCACTTGAGTTAATTATTCGATCAGCAAATAAACATTAAAGAGGGGAATGTATGGGGAAGGGCAGTTGTCTGTTCAGAGGCTGCTTAGATTCATTTTTGGTAATGAACTTCCCATGTGGTCAGAAACTCCCTAGGTTAGAAAAACAAAAAACTCTGGACTGATCCCTTCCATTAAAAGTAACCTAGAGGAGGGGATATATCACATTCAAGATTCAGCCCGGGTACTTCTTCGTGGGCCACATTATAGATGCCTGTCTCCTGTTTTTTATGTGTTGTTAGGACGATCTCATGCCTATCTATAGCCTACCACCACTGTGTAGTGGAGCAACATTTTCAAATTAAACATTTGTTTTTAATTCATCTTATTCCTAGCCTCCTCAATCCATCAGCAAAGACTTTCTATGTGAACTGCCTTCAGGGTAGGGAGGGTAAGTAAAGAACAAAGAATGAAATTCTAAACTTTGAAGCTGACTTTTGCAATCCAAGCAGAAACAATACTCTGGAAGCCCTGAAATCCATTTCCCAGACACTTGGGAGAGAATAGTGTTTAAAGATGTTTTACTCGAGCCTGGGTGACAGAGCGGGACTCTCTCTCAAATAAAAATAAAAATAATTAAAAAAAGAATTGTAACTGTTTTTTTTATTTTTCAACAAACTTACCTTCAAATAGCAAAAGACTGAACCTGATAGCTCTACCATGAATCATTCTGATGGGAAGATTGTATGGCCATACATATTTATTTTTTAATCACGACTTTACGCCAGATGTTTAACAAAAGAACACAAAGCGAGTGAATAGACACTGCAAGGGCTTATATACTGTCTCTCTAAGACGTCCTCAGAGCCATCTCTTTTCCCCTTTTGCACAAGCCTTGAAACAAATTTGTGGTAGATGTGGGGCATTTAGAGACTTTGGCCTGGCTTTTCAGCAACTCTCAGGAAAGTCCCTCTTTCAATGAGATTGTCAGTGTTTGGGTAGGGTAATGAAAACCTCTTAGGAACCACATCAAATCTTCTTTGTCTTACTTCCTATCCAGAGCTGCTACAATAACTACAGGCTTCAACCAGCTAAAGATAGTATAAACTGGAAGCTCTTTCCACAGGCTCATGTTGTCACTCCCACCTCCTGTCCCAGAGATACTCTACTGCTGTCCTTTGAGATGTTTTGGGACAGTTTAGGGTTTCCAAATGTGCAACTTGGTAGCACAGGTGTATTAATGCTCTGTGAAGTAACGTTTGACCAAGAGGAAAATGGCATTCAATGGATAGCTGCTTTGCCTCTTTTTCTCCTGTGTGGAAGGTCAACTAGGTCCTTAGGATTAAGCAATTAGTAAAAACAGAAACACAGAAGATGCCAAATCGGTAATGCATCTTTCATTGGACTACCATCTTATAGTTTATTCCTTGGATCACACTGCCTAGTAAAGTACCTGCACTCAAGCCACCTACTATACAATGGTATCACAGTTCCTAAGATGCTTATCTGTAGTTAGGTTAAAAAAAAAAAAAGCATTTTGTTATGTAATAACTATAGAACCTGAATTATATAGGGAAAACATTATTACGAGAATAACTAACTGTTAGAAACTTTAAAAATAAAAATGACAGAAAGGAAAAGAAGATTTTTTCCATATATGATGCTGGGTCAATTAGATATCAAGGTGGAAAAACTAATGCATATTGACTTCTACCTCACATCATACACTAGAGTTAATTCCAGATACATTGAATAATTAAATGTAAAAAAGGGAAACGCTACTGTTTTCAGAAGAAAACCGGAGAGTATCTTTGTAATATTCAGTTTGTATGCGAAGATTTATTAAGCAGGATTATTTATTAAACATCATTTTCTCTTGATGATTACAACACAGTAATCATCAAGAGAGAAAAATGATAAATTGGAGCGTTAAGACTTTTGGGTTGCAGAATCAGGCAAATTCTGGAACTTCACTCGGAATTGGACCCTTGGTTTTTCTTCTCCTTCCTCATCCTGCTCTTCCCACTCACTTACTTGTTTCTCTTGGGAACACTTCCTCAATATATCACTCACATAGCAACCTTTGGCTCAAAATTTGATTCTGTGAATATCTGACCTAAGACACGTTATGAAAAAGTGCTTATGCTCAAAATATCATCAAGGAATTAAAACCACACTGAAATAGCTTACATAACTAAGAGAATGGCTAAAATTTTTTTAAAAATGAAGTAAATGAGAGGGAGACAAAACATCAAACATTGGTAAGAATGCTGAGCAATCACAATTCTTATTTTCAACGCTATAGAGGTATAAATTGGCACAATTATCTCGAAAAATGCTTTTTAATATCTTCTAAAGCTAAATTTATCAATATGTGATAACCAAATTATTTTATTTCTAGATGTGTGTCCAGTGGAAATGTATACATATTTATCAAAATACATATACAAAAATATTCACGGTAGTACTAACTCTAATTGACTAAAAATAAAAACTACTCAAACACCCATCAATAACAAAATGGATGAATAAATTATAGGGTATCCACAAAACGGGACCAACAAACAATAATAACATGAACATGAATGAATATCAAACTACTCAAGCACAACAAAGAATCTATACTGTAACATTCAATTTATGTAACGTTCAAAAATAAACAAAAATAATATTAGTGCTGGGTATCAGGACAATGATATCCTTTGTGGGGATTATAAAGTTGAAGAGAGTTTAGCGGGATGATATTGTTTGGATTAGTGTCCCCACCCAAATCCCAAATCTCATGTTTAATTGTAATCCCCAATATTGGAGGTGGGGCCTGGCGGGAGGTGACTGAATCATGGGAATGGATCCTTCATTGATGGTTTAGCACCATCCCTTTGGTGCTGTTCTCATGATAGATTTCTCAGGAGATCATGTTGTTTAAAAGTGTGTGGCACCGCGCATCGCATCTCTATCTCTTCCTCCTTCTCCGGCCATGTAAGAAGTGCATGCTTCCACTTTGCCTTCTGCCATGATTGTAATTTTCCTGAGGCCTTTCCAGAAGCTGATGCCAAAATGCTTCCTGTACAGCCTGCAGAACTGTAAGCCAGTTAACCTCTTTTCTATATAAATTACCCAGCTTCAGGCATTTCTTTATAGCAGTGCGAGAACTGACAACTTGAGGGGCTTCTGAGTTGCTGATAATATCCTGGGTTTTGATCTTGCTGTGTAATTCATAGAGGTGTGTTTAGATTGCAAAAACACAAATTATAAGCTTTATACTTATTGTGTATTACTAGTATGTTATGCTTCAATAACAAAAATAATAAAGTGTTAAGCTCAGTTCAGCTAAATGTTAGTTCAAGTCATGTGAAAGCAAGAAGTCATGTATGCAAGCAATTAGAGAGAACTCAATCAACTGCAGTGATAAGTTACACTATACTGAAAATTAGACACACATTGTAACATCAAGGTGGCATAATTTTAAAAGTTAGACATGCACAGACTTTCTATGTTAAATTCAGTGCCTTGTTAGAAAAGAATAAAACTGAGAGCTGGCATGGAGGTTTTGCGTGAACAACTCTTAGAATCTTGAAATCCAGACACCTCTGAACCTACCAGGCTGGCAGAAGCAGCTCCTTCCCAATTGTCTGAGATGAAACCTTTCTCTTGTCTGGGGATCATAAGACCTCAATTCACTGCAAAAAGTGCTCCTCAGGATGTACTCCTAACATAACTCACGGCCAGCAAGTTGATAGTGAGCACTCAGTATCAGCATTGGTGTTTCTAAGACTCAGTTGTGGTATCTCTTTGAAGTATGGACATGATGAATAATTATAATAAAATGGAGACACTGGAGTGTTCATGATAGTATAAGAGGTCAAAAGAACAAAGGAGTATCATTATCATATTTATTATATGAGACCTGAGGACCCATTAACTGACAATGTTGCATGAGGAAGCCCAGATAACATTTGATTCACTAAGGCAATAATGAAAGAACTGATGAAGGATCTACCAGCATCTTTCAGAAGCTCAGGCATGTTTCTCCTCCATAGGCAGAAATTAACAGTGGACAACATTGTCATAAAACTAGGCTACTTGGTATTAAAATTGTGTGTAGAAAATTGTATAATGGCAGAGGGTAGCCTGTTAACTGTCAGATGCAAAGTAGGTGTAGCTACTGTAATGCTAGCAAGGCTGCGGATGGCTTGCCTGTGAGATTTTGTAGTAATAGCAATTAGATCATAATGTTCTTGGGATAAGACAGAATGACAAACAACTAGGGTACTGTTCAATATATATGATAAATATAAAAATATATGT
Organism: Homo sapiens; assembly: GCF_000001405.40. NCBI lineage: Eukaryota > Metazoa > Chordata > Mammalia > Primates > Hominidae > Homo > Homo sapiens. Next base: position 73,535,220 of record NC_000009.12, read on the forward strand.
GTAATACTGGCAGACAGAAAGCAGCAGTCAATCATCGCAATAGCAAATTTTGTAGAGACTGAGTGCCTGACCATGCAGCACCACATGACTCTGGGAGAGAGGGAATGCCCATCATGACCTGGTTATTATCAGATTCCTCGAGTCATAAAGATGAGCAGACATAACAATGGAAAGTTGTTTGATGGAGAAATTACATATTCTAGATGGAGCCCAGCCAATTATAGGGAGTAGAAGTAAGTTACATGAACATGTGGCTCAGAACGCCATGTTGCCTATCTCTGCTGTGCTGAAGCAGTACCCTTAACTTATACCTTTAGTCTAATGGGAGTTCCTTGTGATAAACTACTGGAGGAAAATAGAACTCATGCAGATGGGTTGGTGATAGCAAAAACATACTATTGGCACAGTACAATCCAAGTCAGGGATAACTCAAAAAGATAGTCATTAAAAGAAATCCTTCTAATGGAAAAGATGCAAACAGTAATTAGACAGTTCCCAACTTACAATGCTTCAACTTAAGTGTTTTTTTTTTTAAGTTTACAATAGTATGAAGTGATAAGTATTTAGTAGAAACTATATTTCAGGTACCCATGCAACCATTCTGATTTTTACTTTCAGTGCAGTATTCAATAAATTATGTGAGATGTCCAAAACTTTATTATTTAATAGGCTTTGTGTTAGATTATTTTGCTCAACTGTAGGCTACTGTAAGTGTTCTTAGCACATATAAGGTGGGCTAGGCTAAGCTATGATTCTCAGTAGGTTAAGTATATTAAATGCATTTTTGACTTATGATATTTTCAGCTTGCAATGGGTTTATCAGGATGTAACTCCAATGTAAGTTAAGGAAAATCTGCATTCGGATATTCATTCTGTATGTATGGAGAAGACATTTGAAATAGAGATATACAAATATTTCTGACCAGTTGTAAATGACTTGCTTCATTAGTCAAGAGTCTGAAAAATCAAGATTGGCAGATAAGACATAAGAAAGCCTGAGATAGAGACACATGGACAAATATCTGGTATCATGTACAAAATGTGAAGATCTTTGTCTCTCTTATTAATTTTCACCATATAGAATCCACTACAGAAGACATTCTCAACAGTGGAACTGGACAATACACTTGCACAGTAGCCACTATGGCATAGATGGGTACTAGGTATAGGCCTGATGACATGTGCTTTCTTTACTTAATCCGAGCTAACTAATGTCTGTTGAATGTTCAATATCCTAGCTGTAGAAACTGATGCTAACTCATTGATGTGGCAGAATTACTTGAGGAGACCAGTCCTTTACTGAGAGGAAGATGGATTACATCCTAAACCTTCCTCAATGGAGAGGCAGTGATTCATACTCACTGGAATTGACACCCACCTATGCCAGGTATGGGTTTGCTTTCTCTGCTTACAGTGGTTTCATCGTAACCATTATCAGAAGCTTACATAATGCCTGATCTAGTGGTATAATTTCCTGCATGCCATTGCCTCACATCAGAGCACTAATTTTATGGCAGATTTGACAATGGGTGTATAAAAGTGAAATTCCCTGATTTTTAGGCCTTACTATTCAAAATCATCTGGCCTAATAAAATGAGAGAAAGCTAGGGTGCCAGCTTGGGGATAACCACATATAAGGTTTGTGGTTCTTTCTCTAATAACTAAAATGCATGGAACTAGAAACAATAAGGTAGGAATAGGGTTGGTCTCTCTCACCCTGTTACCGTTACTTTCAAGGAAGCACTTGTAAAACCTGTGCTCTCCATCTGTTGACTTTAGAGTATGCTATATATATGTTTTGTTTGATGAGAAAAGGTGGAGGGTACTGGGAATGATAAACATGTCTACCAGAGGACACAATAAAGCTTCCACTGAACTTTAAGCTCCAACTACCATCCAATCTCTTTGGCAATTAGTGCCTGCTAAATAGCAGGAAAAGATGAGAGTTACTGTACTGTAGAGGTAATAGATTGATTATCAAATAAAGGTAGGGATTATACTATACACTATGGGCAACAAAAAATGTATCTGACAACTAGGGGACTGCCTGATCGATCTCCTAGGTATTTCCTTGTCTAGTGATAATGGTGTATGGGCAATTGTCCCGTGAAGGCCAAATTAAGTAACAGTTGACTCCTTATGGATAAGAGTCTTAGCCACTCCATTGTTCATGGGCTCCATATACACCAAAGTGCTTGTTGGAGGTAAAGTCTATATAATATGGTTGGTCAAGGAAAAAGAAATAAATATCAATTAATGCTTTGGATCAGTTAAGTTACAGTAACTGAGATTATATTTTATTGACCCTCTTGTATTAAATATTTGTAGAGGGATTCCTGCTGTTTACCGTGAAGGAGATTTAGATGAATTGATTTATTAGAGGGCACATGGGAACTGAGTGGTGCAAAGAGTGGACTGTATTAGAAAGATACATTTTAAACTTTACTTTGATTACTGTCCTAATCCTATTACAGACGCTACCGTGGTGACCTGTTCTGTTTTGTCCAGTCAGCTTCGCATGACGAATTGTGACAGTGCTTTAGTGCAGGCCTGGGCTATGTACCTCTCATTTCCTGTTCCAAGACTGGGTACTCACATATGTGTAATCTAGAAGTGCAGAAAAGTGAATACCCTGTGGAGAATTTTTTGATCAATGAGTGAGAGAGCTGATGGATGAATAGTGTTTCTCTAGGCAAACATCTCCAAAGACTCATTTTAGGAAGTCCATAGCATCAAGCATTCAGTTGTTTATAGAAGAGGCTAATATGCTTCTTTATAATGACTTTTTATCATGTACTATCTTGCTCCTTCTGTGCCAGATTCCTACTGTCTGGATTGCTCTCCCAAATAAAGTACTTGCACTTAAACCTTTGGTCAGTCTCTCCTTTCTAGAGAATACAAGCTAAGTCAAATATCGAAGTCTCAAGTGGGTGCTTAGGTAAATGAACATGAGGCTTTGCTTATGGAGTTCAGAATGGAGTGGACATCCTGAGCTTCCTAAGACTGAGAAGGCTGGTAGTCAGGATTTTTGAGCCTCTCAAGCAGTACTGAATTACTAAGAAGGCTAGCAGAAGTGTGAAGGTTGGGAACAGAATATAATAACTGTGAACTTGATGACTGAAAATCATGACAAAGCTCTTACAATTATGACTGTATGCAGCACAAAGCAAATATCAAAAAAGAGACGTTATTCTTGAAAAATGATCAGAAAGAACACAGAAGAGCATACAGAGCCGAAGTTACTCTACACGTGTGTTCCAAATCCACATGTAAGGTTTTATATCACTCCCAAAAGGGATTGCAAACTGGATGGAGCAATACTGTTTTTTCTACTCTCTACTCTCATTTTACCAAACAAGACAGACTTAAACCCTGTACTGAATTAGTTACTATATATTTGTAAAACATAATTCCATAATCAGTGGAAACTATTGTTCAAGAGAAAAATTATTTCAGATAAATAAGTATTGTTTTAACTTCTGCACAGGGGTTTATAAACCTTCTGGTAATATAAATTTTCAACCCACTAAAGCTGTAAATCCAAACCAAACGGTGCATTTCTAAAGCAGATGTTTTAGTGTTCTAGACAAAGGTGTGCTACCAAAGTAACATTCTATTAGCATATATAGCTCTATTTCATGAGATATGGCATTATAGGTCTTTTGTTTTGTTTGTTTTGTCAGGTAAATGATCCATGAGTTCATCTGGGAGGTATACAGAAAACTCTTTAGTTTTCCTTTTCTGATTATTTTAATGTATCATTTTAACAGTACAATTACTTTCATATCCATTGGAAATAAAACTCTTGGGCTGAATTGAATTATTGTTAACTTAGTTAAACTGGAAACTGTTTTCTAGAATTATCTTTCCTATAAGAGTTAGGATTAGAATTGGCCAAAGGAGAAACTTGTATGAAATATGGAAGGTGGAGGGAAGTAAAGACCATTACTATCAGGGGTTAATGGGTCATCTTGAGTGATGGGCAGACACAGAAGTCCCCAGGAGTCCCAGCTTGCCTTCTTACTATCTGTTCTACCTGCAGTTCATCTTCCTGACCGATGGCCCTGCTGACTACCACCCACAGATGCTTGCCTGCAGAGCCACAGAGGTGGCAGCCAAAACAGAGGCAATGGCTTTCTAGAGACCTTTCAATAAGCATCCCATTTTGCTCATTGCTCATCAATGAGCAGAGCCATTTTCAAGGCCAGATGTGCTGGGCTCTCAGAATTTCCTGTGAGATCTGACTTGTTGACTCATAGTGGGGCTTCAGTAGGAATAATTGATTTCTTCTCTGATCTTCTGACATCCTCCTTCCATAGCTTCATTTTCTCAGACTCTCCCACATTTTGTAGAAGGTCTAATCAATAAATTCTTCATTCTCTTAATATTTATTGTGACTCCACTTCCCTGAATGAACTCTGACTTACATGTCTCCAAACTAATTCCACTTTCAAAGAAATAGACATTTGTTGGGCCCCTATTTTGACCCAGGCACTGATAATTCAAATCTCTTTAAGATTAGTATGAATAATTTAATCATGATTAAATAGAACTTGTACATTTAAATAGCTGACTTTAATCCCAATTTCATCTCAGAATTTAAAGACATTGATGATACAAATCTTTTCCAATCCTGGTAGGCACAAAAACGTTTCTTTGCACCCCTTCCCTCCCCCCAGCAGTGAGTCTTCTTCCCTAGTCCACTGGGCTAGGGCTTTGGCAAGTACAAAGAGTGGTGACCGTAAGTCTGAGCCTGCTTTTACTGGTAGAACAACTCTCACTATTTTATCTGCATCTGTTATGAAGAAAAATATATTACCATGGATCTTTTAAACCCAGACCAGACATTTGAACTGTCATTTTCACCTCTGATTTCCATCAAGGTTCACAAAGCTTTTAAAGGCACTCAGTAATGTATCCTGTATATCAAGATCCACAAAAGGCGACGTTTCTGTTCTACAGGGGTGAGAGGCAGAGCGCCGGACTCTTTGTAGCCCACGACCAGGGAGTTCAAAAGCACCAACAAAGGACTTTTATGCAGCCAAGGACTTTTTTCTATGACTTTTATTCTGAGCAAAATGTATTCAGCCAAGAAAGAATGGGAAATAGTGGTCTTAAAATAATTTCCGTGGCAGAAACTGGATTTCAAATGATATAATGAACTAATGTGCAGTACAGAGATGGAAATAATTAGCTCAGAGAAGGCATTTGATAGAGTTAGCAGAAAAATAATTGATCTACATTTTATGTGATTCTTATAAAAACGAACTCTATGGGAAAATTAGTAGTCTTTGATAGGTATATTCAAAAATACAGATTCACAATAAATATTGGCATTACATTTTGTGAAATGTCATATAGGCTGGATTACAATTCAGATATTCTGTTTATGAGTCCATAAATATGTTCTTTTTCATGATGGAAATTTCCATTTTCCTTTTAGATTTGCGATTTTAGTACATAGATCTTGCTTATCTATTGGGTATTTATAAGTTTTAAGATTTCATCAAGATGTTGACAAAATTTACAGGATACAGATAAAATGGAATTTTGACATGCATAAAACATTACAACAAGATTTAAATGAGAATAACACTGGAAAACATCAAGCAATGTTTACCTGCTTTGTCAAAAAACTGGTGCTATTCTTTGGATACTCAGTTTACACACATCAGGTCATTTGTTTAGCTGTGGTATGGAATTGTGTTGATCTGCCCATACTCTGGTGACTAGAGTTAATGGTTATGAAATTTTGAATTCCTTTAGCATCCAGGTGAATTATTTACAGAAGAGAAGTAACAATTGCCTAGGAAACCACATTGTTTACCACTATTGTCTCATCTCAGACTACTTTCTTTATTTTCTTATTTATTTATTTATTGAGACAGGGTCTCACTGTATTGATCAGGCTGGAGTACAGTGGCATGATCATGGCTCACTGCACTCTCGACCTCCTGGGCTCAAGTGAATCTCCCACCTCAGCTTCCCGAATAACTGCGACCACAGCATGTACCAGCATACTCTGCTAATTTTCCTAATTTTGTAGAGATGTGGTGTTACCATGTTGCCCAGGCTGGTCTCGAACTCCTAGATTCAAGTGATGTGCTCACCCTGGCCTCCCAAAATGCTGGGATTACAGGCATGAGCCACCACCCTTGGCCAATCTCAGGCTACTTTCTATGATGAGGGTCCTTCTTGTCCTAGTGGTATGGCCAGTATTTGTGAGCTACAGCTTCTGCTTCAAATGGAATGTACTTTTTAATTCAATGACTTTACAGCTCTTAAATTATTGATTGACTTTAGTACCCTGAACACTGGCCGTTTTAAATTCCTTCCTGCCTGAAGCTTTGTCCCGACTTTGGTATTCATTTTTCTGGATTCTACATGTAGCTTGTTTGGGACTTTATGGTCTATCTCTCTCAGTCTTGGTATAATCTTAGTTCCTGCTTTCGTTTTGATATGCCCCTATCCTGATGTGTAACTACTTACTATCCTGAATTTCAGAGCTGGAAAGAATAACCATCTATGCACACTAATTCTCAGTACAGCAATTTATCCTTTGCTCTCCTCAACTTGGCCTATGTGTATTGTTTCCGATTTTCAACGAGGTTATTCCTCTAAGTCCTGATATTAAGAAATGTTTACACAGATTTTTTAAAACACTCAGCAATGTATCCTGTATATTAAGATCCATATTATTATTATCCTTATTATTATCTATAATGATAATGGTTGTTGTTATTATTATTATTATTACAGCTTCAGTTAGGAGCCAGCACTGTGTCAACAGGGACTGAGTCATTAGGCACAACCCCCTGGAGCTGTGTAGAGCACAGCCTGAGCAACTCTCCACAGCAGCATCCTAATAGCTGGCACTTTAAAGCATAATTCTTTATGTAATTCTCTCAATAGCAGTGCAAGATAGTTATGATTGTGCTCATTTTACAGAGGGTGGTTCCTAAGGCTCAGAAAAGTTTAGCCAGGTGCCCCAAATCATTCAACCAGCAAGTCGTAAGATGAAGTTTTTACTTCAGATTTGACTCCAAACCGCATGCTTTTGTCATTATACCTTGACTTTGCATTGATTTTTTTTAAATTGTATACAGTATGTAGTAATTTAGTATTTAAGTGGGGGAGCTGTTGGCCTATGCTGTCTTTCTTGTGAATATTTCCTATATTTCACACATTTTCTTAAAACACCAGATATTAAGGGGAGAGGGTGTAAAAGAACACAGTAATCTACAAACTTTATGTACTGCAGGAAGTAATTTGGATTTACCTCTAAAGACAATTTGTTTACTTCTTAGATTTGGGAAATGCTGGAGTGATCTTTGTTATAATGTTACCATGCTGGTTAAGAATATTTTCAAGGTTATGGGCATAGGGGCTAAACTAATTAGCAATTGATGACGTTGGTTATTCCTAGACACCCTCCTTTAGCTCCCCGGAAATGGTCAAGAGCACGTTCTAAGGCTATATTTGATAAGTTCCTTCACTGGCTGCTCACAGAGACATAAGGACATCGTGTCAGACATGATTTCTGACCTTTTCACACATGTTTGTGGGGAGCAACACTCAACTAGTGAACAATAAACTGATTTCATTTATAGTTTAAAAAATCTTTCGAACATCAATATGCAAAATCCAAATAAAATCAAATTGAAAAGCAAGCCCATTTAAGTCATTTACATGTATTATGGCTATGTATGATAATATTAGTAGAAGAAATAGGGTGAGGGCCACAAGGAAACTATAATTTTAGCAACTTATGAATCTTAAACTACTAAACAAAAAAAAGTTTTAAAAGTTTTAAAAAATTAATAAAAGTATGTCTGCTCTTAAGGTATTTTCCTTTTGAAATCAGACACATTGTTCTTTCTAAGTCTTCACTAATTCAAATGTCTTTCATTAATTTCAGTGCAATTAATTCTGTAATGGTGGCCACATTTATCCATGTAGGAGCTAATTCTAGAACAGTGGATACTTTGTCTATCACAATTAACATAACGATATATAGAGAAGAAATGAGCAAATAAAACAGAAAGGCAAAATAAAAGAGAGTTTCTAATAGTGGGAGAAGATCACGAAGAACCATCAAAAACATTGAAAATATATTTTGAATTGTTTGAATTTGGGATAAATAGTGAAATTATGTTTCTTGCTGAACAAATATTTGTGGACCTCTATACCACAACATAAAAAAAGTTTAGAAATATTAATACAGTAGGAATGAAATCATGGGGCTAAAAGGCATTCCTTTATTTTCTTTTTTATAATCGTTTATTGTAATCATCATCAATCTTGTTTATCATTTATTATACACTTAGTTTTTGTAAGGCGCTGTTCTAGGTATTTCCAAGTTTTATATTATAATCCCTTATATTCTAGCTAGACTTACCTATATTTGATGAAAACATTCCTTGTATTTTGCTATTAAAAATAAAAACAACTGGTAAATCATTAATGTAATTACTATCTGTAAGTATTTTAATTTAGTAATATCTTTTCAAAAAAATAAAATTTTCACATGTACACCATACTGTAAAGTGATGTATAACACTAAAGCTTTGATTCATTTATTTTTGAGTTCCAACTATGTCCTCAGTATTCTGCTAAAAAAGAATGGTGATATAACAGACTTGCTGAAGCTTAGAATATAGTGGGGAGATAAATAGAAATGGTAGTTAAAATATAACTTAAAATAAATACATAGTTACAAACTGTAACAAGAATTATAAACAGAAAGGTTCAAAGTTAAGAAATTTAGGTTCTCTTCTGAGCCCTGTCATTAACTAGCAGTAAAACATTCAGAGTATTACACACTCTTGGACCACAAATTTCTCACCTAAAAATTCTATTTTGCAGACACTTTGATTCTATGTTTGCATGTATAAGTGGATTTCTTATTTATATTTTATTTTTATAGATTTTTAAAAGAAATACCTATTTATAATGTAGTTAATTATCTGGAAATTGCCAGAGTTAATATTCATTATTAAATAACTTTTTCAATATAGCACACACACACATAAAAAGACCATAAGATTTGGTATGAATTTGATCCTAAAGCTATATTTTAAATAAAACATGTTTATCAAAATTTTATCTCAAAATTCTATATTTTCACTGCATTGTTTAAGGTTAAAATGCAATTTTCTTCTTGGGTTTGAGATAAATTGCACTACTGATAGATTTTTCATCAAGATTTAGTTTTAATATTTTAGTATTGCCCCATATATGCTTAACTATAGCTTATGAAAAATTTCCTAAAACAAGCTTTACATAGATCTTATTTATTTTCTTCTGGGTTACGAGAGCACAGCTAATACATATCACTTGCTTTGTGCTGGGTACTACATATCACTTTTTACACAACTGTTGAATGTGATGCTGTTGTATGTGTTGGTGCTTATATGGATCTCAATATAAAGGTGAAAAAATGGAGGTGATTACTAACTACCCTGCCTAAGATGTCAGTAAGGGAGAGGGCAAGATTTGAACCCAGTCAGTCTGCCTTCAAAGTTTGTACACCTGCAACTGGGCGACTCTGCCTTCCTTAGCAAACATCTAAATTTGGCTTTACATTTTTGGATACTAACTAATGTAGACCATCCCTTCACTAACCTGGTACTAAGTTCAGACAACACTTTTTGACAGTTTTAATGTGATAAAATGTACTGACCTGCCTTTCGGCATTTTCTATACTTTTCTTTTTCGTTAGTCTAAGAATGGGATTATTATGGACTTGTTAAAATGGCAGGAAAACCTACAGGACACTTTTAAAGAGCTGTGACCTAGTTTTGTAAGTGTGCAATGTGCTGTTAAGGTTTAAGGTTAAGATAAGGGTTTCTTTGCCTTAAATTTGCAAATCTCTGTTAATGAACCTCAATTATGGCCTTAACTTGGTTGCTTCTCCATATATATCAGAGCTTGAAGGAAACTCTTAGTACCGAAAAATTTAGAATTGGAGCAGTCTTTCGTAATTTGGCCCAATTCCCTGCTTTATAACAGGAGCATTTAATTGGGTTGAAATCCATCAATCCAAGTAACTTGCCAGCATAATTGCAATTTCAAATGAAAATTAGAGTCAAATGTGGTAATGAAAAACATTGTTCCTTAAAACAAGTTGTTTGTTAAAGTTACTTTGAATACTGTTACGTTCTAGGCAGTGTTTACTGTAAACACACTATTTGTTGTATTAATTTCATAGAAAAAAGAAATGAAGAGATTAACCTCCAAAAAAGAATGCTTTCACAGTCTTAACTATCTTATATACAACATTTTTTAACTTAATGGGGTAGTACAAAGGAAATAATGATGTTTGCAATTTTTAGTGTGTTTATATTCAATAAATTCATTGTAAATGTATCTAAATATTTATAGCTGTATTGTTTTCGGGAAATATATTTTCCCTTAAAATTTTTAGAATTAGACATAAACAATTACGGTCAACTTTTTCTCAATCCTCAATCTTGGTTACTCATTAGCCTCACAGGGAGGATATAAAACACACACACACACACACACACACACACACACACACACACACGCACGCACACAAATGTTGTAATCCCAACCTAGGAAAATAAATCAATCTCCAAGGTGGAAATGAGTCAATGCTATTGTTTTATGCATCTTCCCCTCCCCACCAGATTAGTTTTATAATTCATGCCTTCTTCCCTTTTCTCATTGCTGACATCAAACTGTGATGTCTTTCTAGGCCTGTAAGAATATTTCCAGATACCCACCCTATGCAGCCTTTTCTTTTTTTTTTTTTCTTTCTTTTTTCTTTTTTTTTTTCTTGAGACGGAGTCTTGCTCTGTCGCCCAGGCTGGAGTGCAGTGGCGATCTCGCCTCCTGGGTTCATGCCATTCTCCTGCCTCCTGGGTTCATGCCATTCTCCTGCCTCAGCCTCCTGAGTAGCTGGGACTACAGGTGCCCACTGCCACGCCCGGCTAATTTTTTGTATTTTTTAGTAGAGACGGGGTTTCACCGTGTTAGCCAGGATGGTCTCAATCTCCTGACCTTGTGATCCGCCCACCTCGGCCTCCCAAAGTGCTGGGATTACAGGCGTGAGCCACTGCGCCCGGCCTCTTTTCTTAATAATTAATACCTTCATCTCCAGTCAAAACATTTTTCCTTCATTTGCACTTCCCTAGTCTTTGAAATCTTTCTTTATTTAGCATGCTGTTTGTTGTCCCTCTGCTATTTAATTGTAGGCTTTTTAGGTGTGATTTCCAGTTCATTTGTATATACGTTTCCTAGCATATAAAGCATTGACGAGGTCTTTAACAACTATCTGCTCGATTGAATTGAATTTAGAATTTACAAATGAATACACTATGAGCTACAATACGGAGAAAAGCAGATTTAATTTTCAAGGCATTCTTTTGTCTTTGATTCACTTAGAAAATTTTACTCACATTATTCCTTTCTTGAAATTCATTAGGTAATAAGTCTATTTTTGAAATAGTCTTTACATTTTTATATATTTTTCTTTTGATGGGGAATACCTCTCTTCTTGTATCTTAAGACCCATCTTAAGTTTACGTTCTCTATGAAGCTTTTCCTTACCCCTCTCTGCCTTCCCTTCATTTCCAAGAAAATCGATTTCTTTTGTGCTTCTGGAGCACATTGTACAAATTAGTCATTGTCTTTTTTTTTTCCCTTTTAAACAAAGAGTGTATGCTGCTTGAGGGCAAGGAGTATAGCATGCTTATTCATCTTTGTATACCAAAAACCTGAAATCTGATTGCCATTTAAAAGTGAATTATTTGAGTAAATGAATGGAAGATTCTGTGGCAAACTGTCTAGGCTGTTGATCTCATTCAATTTCATTGCTTATTTACCAATTAGAACCCAACTTTTCCCTCTGCCATGCCTTGGATTAGAACATAAACCCATAGCCAAATAGAACTAATTTAAGGCTGCCCTGCAGGGTTTCTAATCTTATGGTCAATTTTCTTTTCTTTTTTCTTTTTTTTTTTTTTTTGAGACAGAGTTTCACTCTTTATTTTCCAGGCTGGACTGCAGTGGCGTGATTTGGGCTTACTGCAACCTCCACCTTCCAGGTTCAAGCGATTCTCCTGCCTCAGCCTCCCGTGTAGCTGGGTTTGTAGGTGTCCGCCACCATGCCCGGCTAAGTTTCTTGTATTTTTAGTAGAGACGGGGTTTCACCATATTGACTAGGCTGATCTCAAACTCCTGACCTCAGGTGATCCACCCGCCTCGGTTTCCCAAAGTGCTGGGATTACAGGCGTGAGCCTGGCCAATTTTCATTTTTTAAATCAATTTTGTTTTCTGGAAAGGAGATATTTGGACATAGAAAAAAGCATATAGTCCAACGCTTAGTCCAAACAAGTAATCTTTAGAAACCTGGTTTAATGAAAGAAAACAATATGCATATGGGATAAATTATTTGTTTCAAAGAGTGGCATCCCTCTTAGAATTTTTTTTTTTTTTGCTTTTATCTTATATTTTCTAGATGCTAGGCCAAGCCCTAGATTCTACTGCTACATTTTCCTATCTCAAAAAATTACTCCTCATTGTCTCCTTTTCTTTCTGTCTCTGTTCTGTGCATAAACTTATGTGCGTTCTAAGGCATATTTTACTTTAGAAACTTTGCCAATTTTCTGCTACTTATTAAATATAATCCTACCTACTTTTCGCTATTTATTTGCATCAAACTAAAATGTAATTATTTTGCTTCATATGTGTTATTTGAAAAAGAAACTGCACTTCTATGGTTAGCTGTATCTATAGGATTGGTATCAACACAAGAAATTAATATTTTACCAACTAAACAACCATTTTTCATTTGCCACTGATTCGTTTTCTTCTTACCTGTTTGTGTCCTCCAAAATCATTACGAGAGGAGTCTTAGAAACAAAAGTGAACTGCAAACTGTGTATTTCAGAGCTTCACAAACTCACCTTTCTATTTTGTCTTGTACTGTTATGTAAAATTTGCTCCAGCATTTTGCTCAGCAAGATGGCAATTATTAACAATATATTTCTCTAAACTGTTGCTGCAAAGCTATTATTCATGCAGGGCTACAACCGAGTTAATTTTGGAAGAGAGCTGTTCAAAGAGGCCCAGAGCTGTAGCGCTTATGAACACTGCCTTTTCTCTTATTTCTAATTAGTGTGAAATGGTTCCAAACAGGAGTCAGCCCCACAGAAGTCTGTGTAGCACAAAGCCAGGCTTGTTAACGGACACAGGAAACAGTTTTGTTTTGCTGAATAAACAAATGCGTCATAAAAGCTTTTCAAAAGGAACACAATCTGATTTACCACACTCTTTAAATGTTGAATGTTGTTTATATGCCTCTGAGTCCTTTTTATTAAAATTCGAAAGGCCTACTCTTATGAGTCAATATAGATGATATGTTTGTGATGTTTCCCCGCAGTAGAGCAGTAGACTTACCTAGTAATACATTTTCCCTTCGCTTTTCATTTTATAAATTAACTTTTATCTTTTGTTTTGTGTGTTTTTGATGCATGACTGCATCAAAATTTCACACTATACCATTAAAACAATTTTGTTATCAATAATTACAATATTGTAAGAAAATCTGTTAATTACTTTACAGGATTTAGCTTGTTTTATCAGTGTTTTCTTCCAATATAAATTCCCCACCCATGTTGCTGATAATTTGTTTGTGTAAATACTTAAAATGGTGTAAAGTATAGTTTACTGCAGGAGATCTTCTGATATCTGCATTAGATGAATAAATTGGACAATTTCATCTAATCTAAATTGTAGCTCAAATTTCTCACTTAGTTTTCACTATTGTCAAACCCAGAGATCTAACTAGTCAAATTTGACTTAATCAAATCACACAAATCCTGGTCTTGAATTTGCACAAGATCACTCAGTAATGATGTGTAAAATTATGCTAAATTTCTGTCTCGTCTTAAGAAATTAAATATGTCTTAAGTTGTTTGCACCCTTCCAAAATGCCTATTATATTTTAAGTGCCCAGAGTGGGTCCTTAAATAATGTTATCTGAGCAATACTGCTTTCTTCATGCAAAGTAATATGAAAAGTTAAATCTCCTTTAAATGAAAGTCTTTGAAACATATTCACATGAAGTTATAACCATATTATTATATGATGTTTAACTTCATCATATGGCATATCATTTATTGTGCTCTCAGATACAGATCTGATAGTAATGGCATATAATTTATTGTTGTACTATCAGATACAAGGACATTTCAGATGCAGAGATTAGAGAATACTTGAAAGATTATAAAATCATAATCCCTATTGCCTTGATGTTGCAATTTTGCATTTATATTTAAGCAGGAATGATAAAATTTAATTCTAAATGTGTTTTTTATTCTGAAATCTGTGAAAGAAATTACTTACCCCATGAAACACTAACTGCTGTGGAGAGTAAGGCTCACTGAAGTGGTGTAGATAAAAGAAAAAAAATACCCAAGAAAACGTTAATTTCTATGGCCAGATGAAAATGAACATTCAGAAACTCATGAGCAGGTTTAATACGTTTTGCTCTACTCTGCTTTAACTTATGTGATCCTTAACTATAAAATATGTTCTTTTTCTGTCTTTGCTAGCATTACCATAACCTTTTCCTTTCTGCATAGTCACAAAAACTAGAGAAATGTTTTAAGGAGATAGGTAGATAGAAGATAGGCAGGTAGACTGCTATAAATAACTAGAGATACATTTTAAGAATATATACACACACATGCATATACACACGTACAAACATGCACAAACACACATACGTTATAAATAATAAATTTGGAATATGGTTTAACATTAATTTGTAATAATTATTTACCCTAGTAATCTTGAAATACAGTTTTTTATTCCTGTTTTTCAGCTGTATATACTGAAGAAAGAAATCAAATGTTGCTTAAAGAGCAGAGTATCCTCAAAAACATGACCTGAGAGTTTTTCACCTTTCATGTTGATTTTATAGTTATTTCCCTCAGCAAAATTTCCTCACTTCCTGCAGTGTTTTGTTTCTCTGTCTCTGGATTCTCAGTAATGTCAACACTCCACTCAGATCTACAAAAGAATGTCCACCTATTAAAATGTGTCACGTTAATGATGGGCAGATCAATTCTTTTTTAAAAAAATACTTGAATTAAAAACTTTAATGTAAACAGAAACTACTAAAGAGAAACAATACATTTTTCCCAAATCTTAAGGTTTTTCTGTATTTGCTTAACCCTAGCCTCTCAACTTATTTCAGGTAAAAATAACCCATATTCTAACCTAACTTTGACTTCATTTGCAGTTAGTTCTTTCATGTTTTGCATTCATAAACATTTATGTATGTATATTTGGCATTCATGAACATACACAAATATGCATATATTATGTATATTTGTATATATATGTATATTTGTGTGTATATATTAATGAATGAGAAAGCAAGAAAATTAACAGAAATTTTACCTATATATATATATATGTATTGGCTGGGCTAGAAGATTTTTTTGTTTTTAAATTTTTTAGTTGTCTGACCTCTTTTGGAGTTTTCTCATTGCTTAATTACTAAAATCAATATGTTAGGGGAGAAAGAAACAAAGAAGATCCAGTTTAGATCAAACATGTCTTATTAAAACCCTGAAAGTGGAGCAAATTAATAAGCCAGGGTTGCAGCTATACAACCATACAGAACAGAAAAATAAGGTCTTCTTTCTACTGTATGATTTCATTTTCAGCAGTATATTGAAGATTAGCTCTTGACACTGCATGATTAATGTGTAGAACATCTTTCTTTTTATTAACACAGGTAACACACAGATTTTTGAAATATATCAATGTACTAAAGCTGATATTAGACATAAATGTGCACAATCTAGTGATAATCTGGAAAAATCATTAAAGGAGCAAGTAATTTGTTACTGCTTGTACAGCATTGAGATACTCCTGGAGCTCACTTTCTAGTAATGTGAAAGTGTTAATTCATTTAAATTCCACATTAAAAGGGCAATCTTAGGTGAAAGTCAAGCACCACATATCTTTAACATTGTCACAGTGGAGAGGTCATAGATGAAAGAGATACAGTGAGAATTCACCACCTAATGCTCCTCCCTGTACCATAGGATTCCCTTACCTGTAGTTAGCCTAATTAAACCGGATAGGGGACTGTTCTTAATTGGTTCCCTGCTCTATTAAGTAACGCAGATTTTTTTTTCCTAGTTGTATAAGGTATCTTTTCTCTTTGGTCATACTCTGTATACCTGGAAATTATGCATTTCTGCAGTTCCATGGGTTTTTTTAAATTCACTTCCCTTGAAATTAATGAATATTTTCATTAGTTGTATTTCACGTTAAACAATGTCTCAAAATCACATAACTTAGATGAAATTTAAATTTATACATAATTTATCTGAGAACATTGTTTGGATTATTTAATTTCCAGATTGTTTTGTTGTTAGCTTTTAAAAATGGCAATGATACTATTGGAGTGTTAATGTTTAAATGCTTGCTTTCGCCATTTATTGTGCTAAGCTTTTCCTTATCAGTTTCCTCAATTGGTTAACCCACTATTTCTGATGGTAGACAATACCATACACATTTTATACCTGAGACATCCAAGATCCACTGAAATTAGATATACAATGTTTTAATCTGGGCCTGTAGAACTTCATGGAATCTCTCTGGCACCATGTTGCTTACATAAAACAAACTGTTAAAATACGTTTCCCCAAAAGTCAAGCCAAAGATCCATCCTGAACCAAATACCAGTTGTTAATGAATACAAAAAAAGTTTTAAATTTATAATTTGTCATTGTTTATCACATTGTATTTATTTATTTATTTATTTTAGAGATAGAGTCTCACCCTGTGGCCCAGGCTGGAGTGCAGTGACACGATCATAGCTCACTACAGCCTTAAACTCCTGGGCTCAAATGATCCACTTGGCTCAGCCTCCTGAGTAGCTAGGACTGCAGGTGCACAACATCACGTGCAGCTAATTTTCTTATTTATTTTTATTTTGTATTTTATTTTTTTATTATACTTTAAGTTTTAGGGTACATGTGCACAATGTGCAGGTTAGTTACATATGTATACATGTGCCATGCTGGTGCGCTGCACCCACTAACTCGTCATCTAGCATTAGGTATATCTCCCAATGCTATCCCTCCCCCCTCCCCTCACCCCACAACAGTCCCCAGAGTGTGATGTTCCCCTTCCTGTGTCCATATGTTCTCATTGTTCAATTCCCACCTATGAGTGAGAATATGCGGTGTTTGGTTTTTTGTTCTTGCGATAGTTTACTGAGAATGATGGTTTCCAGCTTCATCCATGTCCCTACAAAGGACATGAACTCATCATTTTTTATGGCTGCATAGTATTCCACGGTGTATATGTGCCACATTTTCTTAATCCAGTCTATCATTGTTGGACATTTGGGTTGGTTCCAAGTCTTTGCTATTGTGAATAGTGCCGCAATAAATATACGTGTGCATGTGTCTTTATAGCATCATGATTTATAGTCCTTTGGGTATATACCCAGTAATGGGATGGCTGGGTCAAATCATATTTCTAGTTCAAGATCCCTGAGGAATCACCACACTGACTTCCACAACAGGGGTCTTGCCATGTTGCTGAGGACCTCAAGCTATTCTTCCACCTTCGCCTCCTAAAGTTCTGGGATTACAGATGTGAGCCACTGCACGCAGCCTGTTTATCACACTTTTAAGAGATTATGCACATTAACTCATTTGTTTCATATATGTCATTGTTTGGGGGAATTTAGTTTATGTTGCTTTCATTAGAAACTGAGGTTGTTGTGTTATTTTGCTCTTTTTATTTTTTATTTTTCTACTTTTGTCTGTCTACTTTTGGTAGCCCAAAGACTCTTGATGATCTGGCCTGTAACAAAATACTCTGGTAATTTGGCCTTCAATATACTTCTCTCTCTCTCTCCCCTTTCCTTTGCTCTTGCTCCTCGTCTTCCTTCTCTCCCTTCTCTCCCTCCCTCCCTGCTTGCTTCCTTCCTTCCTTCCTTTCTTCCTTCCTCCCTCCCTCCCTCCCTCCTTCCTTCCTTCCTTCCTCCTTCCTTCCATCCATCTATCAAGTCAAAGACAATTATTACTGGAAAATCTATAGTGATGATCCAATCCAATTCCCTGCTTCGGGTAGTAGGTGAAATTTTTTATTGGGACTGAAACTAGAACCTGAATCTTCTGATTCTGGGGCAAGTACTCAATCTACCTAACGTGTTTTGTTCTGTATTTTTGTTTGCTTTGCTTTGGTTATTGCAGTTGTTTGTTCTGTTTTATTTATTTTTCAGAGCACAGAGATTATCTTTTAAAGATCAATTTATGTAGAACTGACAGTTGGCATAGATCGTAAACTGTCCTTTCATGTAAGTCCAATTCTTCTAGTCTCTCAGACTCTAAAGAAATTGCTGTATTTTAATATCATTATGTGCCTTGGGAAAATATTCAGCTCTATGTATATACTACAGAACTTAAAGTCAAACTAGTAACATTAATCAATAATTTCTCTCTTACCTTTACAGAATGGCGATCCATTTGTTCTCAAATGCGCTGACATTTTGTCATATGGAACATTTTCATTTTGGCTACAAAATAAGTGGAAATTTTAGTTTGCAGCAATAAGCTTCCATCTCCCATTATTAAAAAGATTATTTTATAGTTGCATGCATCTTTATTATTTTATATATATATAGTATAGGATCAAAATTCATAAATGATGTGATGAATAGTACTGTTGCCTGGCTTAGGTAGCTATGGTACTGATGTGATAAATGATACAGCAAAAATAAAAAGCAAATTCAGGATTCAGTTCACTTTCCACATTTCTTCACTAACTTAAAAAAGTTAGAACACATGGCTTTCAAATAATTTTTCAATCTATTGATAGTGCAACGATGTTATATATTATTATTGATGACTACCACTACAAACAGAAACAAAATACCTTGATTGGTAGTTAAGCAAAAGAAGAGTATTAAATCTCATTATATTGTAAAAGTAATGAATAAAATTTTGGAGATGCTGGAAAAGAATAGATTTACCTATGTTGCACTTTATTTTTAAAGGTCATATTTTTAAAAGTCCATTCTATGCCTTCAAATTTGAAGTCGTCAGCTAATATGCTATTATTTACAAAAGATGTGCAAAACACTTTTGACAATAGAAAGGTTTAATATAGTTGTTGCTCATCAGGGTCTATTGGTTTCAATATCTGATATTCTGGATAAATCGAATATTTCTAAAAGCTCTTTTTCATTGTATTGTTTGCATTTCTGAAGCAGCTCATTATGATATACATCACAGGTTTTTATTGTTTATAATTAGAAAACAAAACTCCACTAACATAATTACTTTATTTTGCTTCCAAAGTATTATTTTTAAATCTCAGAACCCTATTTTCCTAAAAATATTGGCACAAGTAATTAGAAGTGAAGATATAAACTTAATCCCTGCAATCGGACCCATTAACCACCACAAATATTGTCTTATTTAAGCTGATCTTGGTAAACCGGTTGCCTGTTATACCCACTTGCTGTTTCTTTAGGCTAACCTATGTGGCAACAAGTATATTTGGGAAACGAGTTTTCATCAAAAACAAGAAACTGTTTATCTTGGAAATACCATTCTCCCTAAAGTTGTAGGCATCAAGAAGAAAACACAACTGAATTGTTTAACGTCATTGTGTGGGATATGGTGAGGAAACTACTTCCATTTGTCTTTGAGGTCAGATTGACAAGTAGCATTTCACTTTCAATTAGTGAAAAAAGGAAGTAAGACAAAGCTTCCAAAAGTCAACTAATGGCCAAATATTGAGAATGATTGGAGCATTACTTAGCAATATGATGTAAAAAAATATGATGATAATTATAACCGATATTTGAGTGCCTACATGCACCAGGCACTTCATATTAAGTGTTTTATTTGATTTTCCATACTGATTTCTTAAATCTATGAGGTAAGTACATTACTATAGTTTCCACAGGAAGAAATTATGGTTCAAAATTTGGATAGCTATTTCAATATCCATTCCTTTTGGATATTGGACATCTTTATTTTTTAAGCATAACTTTATAATTATGCTCACAGTACATAAGCCCACATCAATTAATATCTATTAAGTACCACAAACACTAAGTTAGTACTTAATATGTGCTAAGAAATGTGCTGAATCAATTCTTTAAAATCTTTAATCAGAGAAGTTTTGTTATTGCTAGATGAAGAAAATGCAATCACCACCTGTTAGGAGGCTTGGTTTTTCCAGAGAGTTGCTAAAGTCTCAGAAAGTCTGTAATTTTACCTTGACATTTACTTTATTAACCAGAATACGGGTGCTTATTTGGTCAAATATTTTGTAAATAAAAAGTGAAATGAATAAAGATTGCCTGTTTTAATATAAAATATAATACATACTTTGTTCAAAAGATATGTAACCGGAAAATCACTAAAAGTAAATTGCAAATTTGGACAAAACAGAGCATGTACTTTGTTTTCTAGACACCATGTTACCTGCTCCCTCTAATAAAAATAACACAAAAAATAGGTGGCAGAATACAAAACATAATTTTAAAAAAGAATCAACTAATGAAAAAACTCTGCTTTGTTAGGAAAATTTACTTCTGATACAATTTAAGCATAAAATTCAATGGCACTAAAAATTCAAGTTAAGTGTAAAGTGTAAACACAAATTTGATGCTGGATAAACATCGTGTCAAATCAACTTAAAACTAGGAAGGGAATTATTAACATGATTTTAAATAGTCATCTAAATGGTTATTTGCCAATTATATTTTATTCAGTTTTAAATGCCTTAATGCCAGATGTGAATTAAGGAAGACTTTTTTTTGTGATGTTATTTGCTTGATTATTTGTTTTTGACCTGGTCAAGACTCTCAGACCTCCCAATAAACTGTTAGTTAAAGGTTAATTTCTATTGTGCCAATAGGGAAAAATAGAAAGAGAAGGGATGTAACTTCTGAGTCATGAGTTACTAAGCTGCAGAATGTGATTTCAGAGAAATAAAAAATTGAAGGGACTCCAGGAGGTTCAACCTCGTCTCTAATATATATATGTTTGCCATGGGTTGCTAATTTGCAATAGCTGTCATAATGAGAATAGCCAAAGTTGGATAAATGTGACAAAAGATTAACAAAGTGTTTCACACCCTTAAATTATACCACATCAAGAATGAGGAAAAAGCATTGCCAAAGGAAACTACTGCAATGCTACTTGCATTCTTGCAATAAATCCAGCATAGCATCCAAATTAAGAGAGTTACCATCTGACTTCTAACTTTTTCCCCTTAAGAACAATTTGAATCTCTGGCATCCACCTCGTCGGTACTTTAAAACCTGTATTTCCCACCCAAAGTCCAATTAGTCTCCGGTTGATGAGTACTCTGATATTGCTTTCTCTTGTCCATATTTCTTGGTTTGGGATTATTCTAGATCAATAGGAGGGTAAACTATCAGTACCAAGTTTGTTCTAGATGAAACACATCAGGATAACCTTCCATCCAAATACTGTGTTGATGTCACAGGGGGAAACAGTTGAGCTAATTGCGCACCATAATCTGAAGTTACATTGCAAGTGTCAGGTGTTAGACTGCAGTGAATTGGTTATACCACAGGGAACGTTATTGCAAGAGATTTGGAGGACACTAAAATAGATTAATGTTACACATCTCCCTCAAAAATAAGAACACATTTAACTCTTTATTTAAAAAAAACATTATGGCAAAATAAAATGAAACCATTTAATGGCATATTTTCTGAAGGGATTACTTTTTACATTAGTGTAGGGTGAAAATCACTTAATGTACTTGATCTCTAGTGTCCCTTTCACCTTTTCCTCCCTTGAGAACTCTTTTTCCCCCTTCTCCCCTGCACTTCTTTAATTTACAATATCGCTGTATGTGCAGTTCTTAAGAAATGAAGCAAGAGACTGTAACAGGGGAGAGAAGAAATCTAACAGCTAAACAGGTGTACATGGAAAATAAATAAAAAATTGAAAAATTGGGCCTCTTGGGTGTTATAAAAGGAACATTTGCTGAATAACTACTTTGGTAGCCCTTGTGCCCTGTGAATTATCATTCTGATTTACCCAATCACACTGTCTAGCAAACTCAAATTGCTTAACACTCTAATTATTCTGTATGCGACATGAAAGGAGAGCAATTTCTTACTGGCCAATTATTATAGAAAATACGTGGTTCTATTTTTATTTGTTTTTAATGTTGAATGATAAAAAAGCAATATATTAGATAAGATGGCAAATTAAAAAGACTTTTTGTGTAAATACTGTATTATATTTGTTTATATTGCTTTGGTTTCCCTCTATAATGGAGGACATATTCAGGCTTAAAGAATACCTGATTCATGTATTTTTAATGGTACCAAATATGGTATCAAATAATTAAATGCAGTATGACAATTGCTTAAAAGTTAACTGATTATTATTTAGATAATAATAATCAGCATAGTATTGTCCTCTTTATTCAGTTACTAAAGATTTATTGAACACCTGCTACGTGTATCCCTGCCTACTATGACTGTGCCAGTTAGGGTCCCAGACATTTGGAAATGTATACAGTATTTTAGACCAGTCATTTTATATAATGTGTTCTCCATATAATGTATCATTTTTTCCCCTAGCATCCTATACTATCATTTCAGTATTCACTTTCTAAACACATGAGGCTTGTATAGTTAAACCAAGGTAAAATTTAACAATATGCAATTTTGTTTCAGAGTTACTGCCAAATTTTGTGCTAAGTGCATTCTATCTTTTACTTATCATGAAAATCTCATTAGTTATCTACTATTATTATGCCCAATTTAGAGATAATGAGATGGAATTCATTTAAGTAACTTGCCTAATGTCACATTACTAGTATGTGTATTCAAACTTAACCAACTTCAAAGAATAATCTGTTGACCATGATTTTATATATGATCTAGATGTCAAGTTCATTGACTTTTTATATATAAACAAATATAATACAGTATTTACACAAAAAGACTTCTTAATTTGCCAACTTATCTGTTACTTTTTTTATCCTTCAAAATTTTCAAGAGAAAAGGGATAAAATAAAATAATCTTATAATTTTTTTCTTTAAATATGATTCTTTTCCATAAATTTCCTAAGAAGATAATCACTATGGATAGCAAAACTCACAACCAAATGACCTACGCATCAAATTCATTTCAGAGTATTTACTTAGCTATTTAATTATATGGAGTTATGTTGCTTGTTTTCCTTTAAATAATTCAACTTCCCTTCTCCAGCAGGTTCTTTTATTTTTATTTGGTTTCTTTACTTTTTCTCTATTCATAATAGAGTCTACAGTGAATTGGGTCATTACAGTAATACCAATGCCCTGAACACTTTTTTTTTTTAACTGTCCTTTAATCTTATGGATCTGGCAAAACTTAATTAGAAAATGAGCCTCACTGTCCATTTTCCCAGCTTGCATGAAACAGCCTAGAATTGTCTGTGGGGAGTCTCAAAATACATTAGGCATGTATTCCTAATCACTAATCTCAAATATGCTATAATTACTGTCAATTCTACTGCCTTTCTGTGATCAACACATATTCCAAATTTTCCCAACTATTTCAAATTCTGTGTTCTTAAATATCTTGCTTTTTTTTTTTTAAAGAAACACCTTATTCATGCTCACTCTAGGCCAGACACTCTGATATATCATTTAACTCTCATAATCACTTTGAAACATTTACTCTGAAATGTTTCAGAGCTTCTTAACCCTTAAACTGCTGAAATCCAAACTCACCATCAGCCACTAAACAATCGGTCCTCTTTTGATATTCTTTATCTCAGTAATTGGTAGATCCTTGATTTAATTCAGCTAACTAGAAATTTTGGAGAAAACCTTAACACCCCTCCTTCACATTTAACATCCAATACACTGCCAAGTGCTGATGATTCTATCTTCCGAATCTTTCTCAAGCATGTCTAATTCTCTCCAACGCTGCCACCATGCTTAGCCATGCTACCATCATCTTCCATCAGGTCTATTATAAGAAGTGCTGTAATAGTTTTCCATGTTGTATAACCAATTACCACAGAATTAGCAGCTTAAACATGATGCATTATTATCTTACAGTTTCTGTAGAACAGAAGTTCAGAGAGGGTCCCCTGCTTGGTGGCTTAAGGTTTAAATCCAGGTGTTGATTAGGCTGCTTTCTCATCTGGAGTTCTGGGCCTTCTTCCTAGCTTATTCAGAGTGTTGGCAGAACTCAGTTACTTGTGGATATAAAAATGAGGACTGTTTTCTTGCTAACTGTTGGCCAGGGAATGCTCTCAGCCCCTAGAGTCTTACCCTTAAGTCCTTCCATATGGCTCTATCCATAGGTAGTTCACAATATGTATGCTTATTTTTTTCAAGGCCAGCAGCAGAACCTCCCCTGTTTTGAATCTCTTCTTTAGGAAAGGACTGAATTCTTTTTGAAGGACTCACTTGATTAGTTCATGTCCATGATAATCTCCCTTTGTTGATCTAAAGTCTTTAATTACATCTTCAAAATTCCTTCACCTTTGCCATATAACATAGCCTTATCATGAATGTGAAATCCCACCATATCCATAAGTCTTACTCATATTCAAGGAGAATGGATTATATAGGGTATATACATAGGAAGTAGGACTTTGGGAACTATCTTAGAATTCTGCATGTCACAATTGCCAGGCAGTACCTGGCATCCATCTTTGTTCCCTTCTCTAATGCTGGAAGGATTTTCTCAAACACAAATTTGATCATTTTATTCCCTAAATTAAACTCTATTTTGTTTCCCATTGCTCTTAACAATTAAAATACATTTTTACAAAGAATACAGTAGCTAGCATGTCTTGGCCCTAACTACCTCTCTAGCTGTATCTTCTACCAGATTCTTTTCAGTCTCTACATTCAAGTTAAATGATTTTTAAAAATTCCTTTTATTTACCACGCTTCTTCTTGCCACTGGGACTTTGTACACCCTGATGTCCATCCCTGGTCCTTTCTTCCCTCTCTTTTCATCCAGTAGTTTTAATGCATTTTCTAGATCCCAGATTAAGCATCACTTCCATAGACTAACTCCTCCTTTTAAGGGCATTCTTTGCACTGTGCAGTTTTTTCAGCTTTCCAAGCTGAAATTTCTCGTCTTATGAAATAAATATTACTGTCTCCTCTACTAAGCTGCTTAGGGAAGAGACCAGTTTGAATTTTTATACCCTTGTGTGTTCCTAGCATTAGGAATAGTAGCTAGCATAAGTTCAATCAATATATGATGACTGACTAAATGAAATAAAATTTCTCACATGGTATCTTTCATATTTGGTTCTGAAAAGAAATGTGGTCTTCTTTCTAAAGCAATTAATTATATTCGTGAATATTTGCTTATAGTTTATGTTTTTGAAGCAGTAATTAATGGTGTGAACCCTTTAATAGAGTGTATATGGACCTAATGTGAAAGTGACATATTTGAAAATTGCCTTTCTATGAAAAGGCTCAGATTTTGAACAATTTAGAACAAATTGATTAATCTCTTACTGTCATAAGGAACACCATCATTTAAAGGAATATTAAAATATTTGCCGAGAGGTTTTAATTGTAAGATTTTTGAAAAGAAAAACTATATTCTGACACATGAAAATTTGAAAGACATTTTAGTATTAAAATTGTAGACATAACAAAATCTAATAGAACATACAATAGCAAAATATAGTTGTAGACATAACAAAATCTAATTGAACATATAATAGCACAATATAAAACTGCAAACACTTAGACCTGTAGGAATCTTAGTAAAAAAGTAATTAACCAAGTTGATTATACTTTTAATCTGATTAACTCCGTATAAGGAATCTCCCATGTTAAAATTAGAATATTAATTTGAATAAGAGAAGGAATGTGTAGGAGAAAGAAATCCTGCCAAACCTAATGCCTACCAAACAGAGATGTGTATTATTGAAAAAGACTGATCTACTAAATTGCCACATTTTCCAGAGTTCATTTTCTTATGTCTGCCTAGGTTTTCAGATTCAATATTCTAAAAAAAAAAAAAAATTCAAGACTCGCCTCTGCACCCAAGTATTCTAGAAGATAGGACCCTGAACATCTTCTGATCTCAAAGTTGTCAAACTATCAAACCAGTGGAGGACAAGGAATTCTCAATGGTTATCCATATTTCTTTCTTTCCTTTTTTTTTTTTTTTTTTTTTGAGACAAAGTTTTGTTCTATTGCCCAGGATAGAGTGCAATGGCGCGATCTCGGCTCACTGCAACCTCCACCTCCTGGGTTCAATTGATTCTTCTGCCTCAGCCTCCCAAGTATGTAGGATTACAGGTGGCTGCCACCATGCCTGGCTAATTTTTGTATTTTTTGTAGAGGCATGGTTTCACCATGTTGTCCAGGCTGGTCTCGAACTACTGGCCTCAAGTGATCCACCAACCTTGGCCTCCAAAAGCGCTGGGATTACAGGCGTGAGCCACCACACCAGGCCTCATATTATTTCTTAATATATCTTAGAGATGTATATTACCAGTTATAAACTAAGAAAATTACCTTTGCAAATTGATGTATGACATGATATGACTATTTCTTGAAGAATAAACAATATTTTAAAAACAAGTATGTATAAGAACAATCTCTCAAACAGGATCATTCTTAGTACATATCTAGTTCAAATTTGGAAGCCTACTATTAGATGCATACACATTTATGATTGTTATATAATTTTAATGAATTGATCCTTTATCATTATATAATGTTTCTCATTATTCCTGACAATATGACTTGTTGTAATGTTTACTTTGTCTAATCTCAACATAGCCACTAAAACTTTATTTTGATTAGAATTTGCATAGTATATCTGATTTCTGTCTTTTACTTTTAACCTATCTATATCTTTATATTTAAAGTGGATTTATTATAGACAATACATAAATGAGTTTTGCTGTTCTATCAAATCTATCAATCTTTACTTTTAATTAGGGTGTTTACCCGATGAATGTTTAAGGCAATTTGTATCATCCGATTTACATTTGCCACCTTGCTAGTTGTTTTCTACTGTCTAATCTTTTATTTTGTTTCCTTTCCTTCTTTGGGGATACTTGAGCATTTGAAAGTGACTTTATTTTATCTTCCTGATAAGCTTATTTTTTACACCTCATTTTAATTTTTAAATTGCCATTCAAGGTTTTACAATATACACTTTTTTTTGACATGGATTTTTACCAAAGAGAAAAACCACATGATTATCTCAATAGATGAAGAAAAGGCCTTTGATAAAATTCAACATCCCTTCATGTTAAAAACTCTCAATAAAATAGGTATTAATGGAACATATCTCAAAATAGTAAGAGCTATTTATGACAAATCCACAGCCAATATAATAATGAATGAGCAAAAGCTGGAAGCATTCCGTTTGAAAACAGACACAAGACAAGGATGCCCTCTCTCACCACTCCTATTCAACATAGTATTGGAAGTTCTGGCCAGGGCAATCAGGTAAGAGAAATAAATAAAGAGTATTCAAATAGGAAGAAAGGAAGTCAAATTGTCTCTGTTTGCAGACAACATGATTTTACATTTAGAAAACCTCATCATCTCAGCCCCAAAACTCCATGAACTGATAAGCAACTTTAGCAAAGTCTTAGGATACAAAATCAATGTGCAAAAATCACAAGCATTCCTTTACACAAACAATAGGTAAGCAGAGATCCAAATCATGAATGAATTTCCATTCACAATTGCTTTAAGGAGAATAAAATACCTAAGAATACAGCTAACAAGGGAGGCTGAAGGACCTCTTCAAGGAGAACTACAAATCCCTGCTCAAGGAAATAAGAGGGACACAAACAAATGGAAAAACATTCTATCCTCATGGATAGGAAGAATCAATACCATGAAAATGGCCATACTGCCCAAAGTAATTTATAGATTCAATACTATTCCCATGAAACTACCATTGACATTCTTCACAGAATTAGAAAAAAAACTATTTTAAATTTCATATGGAATGAAAGAAGACCCTGTATAGCCAAGACAATCTTAAGAAAAAAAATTGTAGGCATCACACTACCTGACTTCAAACTATGCTACAAGCCTACAGTAACCAAAACAGCATGGTACTGGTACCAAAACAGATATACAGACAAATGGAGCAGAATGGAGACCTCAGAAATGCCACCACTCATCTCAACCATTTGATCTTCAACAAACCTGACAAAAACAAGCAATGGGAAAAGGATCTCCTATTTAGTAAATGTGCTAGGAAAACTGGCTAGCCATATGCAGAAAACTGAAACTGGACCATTTACTTACACCTTATACAAAAATTAACTCAAGATGGATCAAAGACCTAAATGTAAAACCCAAAACCATAAAAACCCTAGAAGAAAACCTAGGCAATACCATTAAGGACATAGGCATGGGCAAAGACTTCATGACTAAAACACCAAAAGCAATGACAACAAAAGCCAAAATTGACAAATGGGATCTAATTAAACTAAAGAGCTTCTGCACAGCAAAAGAAACTATCATGAGAGTAAAAAGGCAACCTACAGAATGGGAGAAAATTTTTGCAATCTGCCCATCTGACAAAGGTCTAATATCCAGAATGCACAAGGAGCTTAAGCGTATTTACAAGAAAAAAACAACCCTATCAAAAAGTGGGCAAAGGATATGAACAGACACTTCTCAAAAGAAGACATTTACATGGCCAACAAACATATGAAAAAAAGCTCAACATCACTGATATTCAGAGAAATGCAAATCAAAACCACAATGAGATATCATCTTACACCAGTCAGAATTATGATTATTAAAAAGTCAGGAAACAATAGATGATGGCAAAGCTGTGGAGAAATAGGAACACTTTTACACCACTGGTGGTATGTAAATTAGTTCAGCTGTTGTGGAAGACAGTGTGGCGATTCCTTAAGGATCTAGAACCAGAAATACTATTTGACCAAGCAATCCAATTACTGAGTAAATACCCAAAGGAATATAAATCAGTCTACTATAAAGACACATGCACACATACGTTTATTACAGCACTATTTACAATAGCAAAGAAATGGAACCAACCCAATTCCCCATCAATGATAGGCTGGATAAAGACAATGTGGTACATATACATCATGGAATATTATGCAGCCATAAAAAGGAAGGAGATCTTGTCCTTTGCAGGGACATGGATGAAATTGGAAGCCATCATCTTCAGCAAGCTAACACAGGAACAGAAAACCAAACACCACATGTTCTCACTCATAAATGGGAGCTGAACATTGAGAACACATGGACACAGAGAGGGGAATAGCACACACCAGGGCCTGTTGCTGGGGTAGGGGGTGAGGGGAAGGCACTTAGAGGACAGATCAATAGGTGCAGCAAACCACCATGGAACACATATACCTATGTAACAAACCTGCACGTGTATCCCATTTTTTGGAATAAATTAAAAATATATATACACTTTTAAGCTATTGAAGCATGTCATCAAATATTATTCTCCTTCACAATGTAGTATTAATTTCTTCCCTCTCATCCTTTGCTATTACTTTTGCAGATTATATATATATATATATATATATATGCAAGTGATATATTGTTAGCATTTTGCTCTGGAGATAATTATATTTTACAGAAATTAAAAACAAAATGCATCATATATTTACTCTGACTTTGCAAAGACTAAATTCTTCATGTCTTGTGTAGATCAAAATTTCTTGCTGGTATCATATTCCAGCCTGCAAGACTTTCTTCAATATTTTTTTGTAATGCAGGTCTGTTGTTAATGAATTCTCTCAAGTTTTGTTTGTTTATAAAAATATTAATGTTACCTTCAGTTTGTCTTTACATAAAAGAAGTTCAGAAGCATCATGGTTCCAGGGATGGTTAAACCAGTGATTCAACAGCACCATTCAGCATTGTTTTTTAAAATATTTATTCTCTGCCGCCCTAGGAATGTTGGCTCTTGTCTTAACCTTCATAACCACAGTATGACTGGATCAGCCCAAAGAATCTTATAGTTTGGTGCATGAACGCCTGAAAAGAGAATGCCTCTTTGTTCTTCTCCCAGAACACAAAGAGCATGTTTTCCCCATTGCCCATTGGCTTGAATAATATTACGTACATACTTTTAAAATACTCTTTATCAAGGAGATTGCTACTAACATTTTCCCCGAAGGTTGTACAGAGGTCCAGATCCTCCTAACATAGAAGACTGCTCCGATACAATTGCAGTTCTGTAAGTGTAGGAATTGACTGTTGGGTAGACAACCAAGAGAGGTAGCCTAGACCTGCTCTCACTTTTATTATTTCAACTTGGTAAGAAATAGATGTTGTCAAATGTGTTGGTTTTTCATTTCATAAAATGAGAATTATGAGAGGAAATTGACCTTAAGCCACTTTTATCTTCAGTCATTTAAGGAAGTTATTTCTTCTACATATCAATGATGTGTTTAGGCACTCGCACACAATGTCTTACATACATCTGGGGAGGTTTTCTGAGATGCCTTCCCTCAAGAAGCCACAGGAAAACAAGTAAAAGATGTCATCTCTAGTTATTTACTATGTTTAGTTTACATGTCTTAACTCATATTTAAACATCATAGAATCATAAACCATTGCATGAGATTAAAATAAAACTTTCTTCTTACTTTCCATTTAGTTACTTAGTGTACTCATCAAGTGCATACACAGCTTCTGGTAAACATGTTCTCAGAAAAGGAATTTACCACAGTCTGAGGAAATCAGTTTAAATCATAAGGTTTCTTACAGTAAACCATGTTTTTTCTCTAGAGAGAGTTTCAAGCTGCATGTGTCACTTCTGCCCTCTGGCTGCAGTGGTGTGCTGGAGCTGGGCTTGATGGGTTTGAAAGGCAATTGTGTGTATCTCTTCTCAGCTCTACATTCAATGGCTTCACATTGGTAGCCTGAAATTAACTGCAGTGGAAACATTTACACTACAAAAATCAGCAAATACCACAAATCAGGATTTTTTACTTCAAAAAATTAGTTTACCAACATATCACTGCCTCTGGGGTAACATACATTAAACTCCACCTTTCACAAAAATTACTAAAATATTTTAGATTATTTCCCTCTACCTCCTCCACTACCTTCCTATCTCTTCTTTTCCATGTTAAAATAAACATCCTTGTTCAACTGTTTTTTCTAAACATATTGTTTTGTGTATTTTCATCATGTTAGTCTTACAGGAAAACAAAACAAAAGAAAGCACCAATATGTTAATAACTCTATTAAAATGTGATATCCAAAATAGTCTAATGTCCTTTGGAGGTCCCTTGTACACAGGTACCATCATACTATTATTCTTAGTTTTTTATTTGTATAAAATAACAATAACTTGTTTTGTAGATACTTGGTTATATTAGTTCATGTTAAACTTACAGTTTTAGCTTCTTGAAGAATGTGAACTATTCTCTATATTTATACCACACATTTAGGCCAGTGGGTGGCAAGCTGCTTTCTGTAAAAGGCCACATAATAATTATTGCAGGCTTTGGGCATATGGTCTTTGTTGCAGCTACTAACGATGCAGTTGTAGCACAAAAACAGCCAGAGATAATATATAAATGGACAGGCAGGATTGTGTCTCAATAAAACTTTATTTATAAAAATAGATGGCAGCATGACATGACTTGAGGACCATAGTTTGCACACCTCTTATTTTGTCCAACAGAGTAAGGCAAGAACTGCACTATTTGTATTAAAAATCAGTGCAATAAGGTGTATAACCCTCTTTAGGTTAAGTGCTCTTAATCTGAGTTCCATTAATTGTAGATAGATTTCACTGGGTCTGTGAACCCTGAAGTTTCTAAGTAAAATGTTTTGGGCATATATATTTATGAAGAAGAGGATACATAATTGAAATTAGATTCTCAAAGCAGCCAATAACCTACTTCTTACCCACACCCTCAAAGAAGGGGGTGAACCTCTGCCTTGGATGACTATAATAATGTAAGAGTAGTTAAGACGTCCAAGCTGTGGGAGCAATTGTCAGTAGTAATTAGCAAACACAGGGAAATAGCAGCAAAGACACATAGAATAACAATATAATCAACAAAACCTATATTAAAATAAACGTATCATAAAAACACATATTAAAATAAAATTCTGGATGGCTCTGACTGATTTTTCTTTTCCTTTTTTTTTCTATTTTATTTTACTTTTTTGAGACAGAATCTCACTCTGTCACCCAGGCTGGAGTGCAGTGTCACTATCTCGGCTCACTGCAACCTCCACCTCCTGGGTTCAAGTGATCTCCTGCCTCAGCCTCTTGAGTAGCTAGGATTATAGGCATGCACCAGCATACCTGGCAAATTTTTATATTTTTAGTAGAGACAGGTTTTCACTATGTTGCCTAAGGTGGTCTCGAACTTTTGGCCTCAAGTGATCCGTTTACCTTGGCCTCCCAAAATCCTGGAATTACAAACAAAAGCCACCACACTGGGCTCTGTGACTGCTTTTGATGGTAATATCTACCTAGGAACAATAAAGCAAGTAGGTGCATTCAACAGGAAATAGTAAGAGCTGGTTATGAGCCAGGATCCATTCTGTGGTAAAGAATTAGAAAAATGGTATACAGAAGATCAAAGATACATAAACTGAAACAACACGTATTGTCACTGATCACTCATTACACACACGACTCTTTTCTGTCAAATCCATATGCATTTTTTTTAAGTTGATTTACTTTTCATTATCACCAGGAGCTGGCAATTCTAAATAAGATCAGCAATAAAATACTCATTCCCCAAAAATCTTTTATTTTTTTCAATCAGTGGAAACATTTTTATTTATTTATTTGCATCAATAGTAGAGACCAGTTTAATTCCACATAGTATATATGGTATGTTAATTGAACACAAGGTTTTTGAATTCATTTACATATATGTTTTCTATAGGTCATAATGTAGAAAAATATATTTGACAAAGGTTGTACACTGTTAGAACTCAGCTACGGAGCTATATAACTACTAAAGTATAAAACAAAAATGGAAATTATATCTGTCTCTCTAATCACAAAAGATGTATTACTATGAAATTGTTAGCAGCCAAATTCTTAACTTTGATGAGTGTCAGGGCACACACAATATCTAATAGCTGGTGTTTTAATAAAAATATTTAATAATAATAATATTACATAGCCTTCTGCAATGTAATACTATTCATTTTTAAGACTTCAAAGTCAATGTTTAAAGAAAAAAATACCTATTCTTATTAAATTTTCCACTCTGCAGCCAGTGGCAATTATTCAATCTCCTATTGAAAATTTATTGTTCTCGTAAAATATTTGTTTTTTCTGCCCCTTATTCTTAGATTTTTTTATTGCTGTCTGCTCAGAGAAACAAAAGCACTATGACAATAAAGATATTCATTTTTTTAATTTGTATTTTTTTGTTATTGTTAAAATCTAGCATAAAATTGTAATTTCTGACATTGCTTGGGGGTTTTATCTTCAATCATGAAATCTACAAAAACAGATGGCAATACAAATGACAAAACATTCTTTCAGATTTTGGAGAATTCAAAAATTTGTGTGTCTGTAAATGTAAAATATCCATAACCACTTTTACACACAGTCCTTACCAAATATAAATGTTTGTAGTGAAGGCTACATCAAGTCAAGTGGCCAAATATGTTTAATCCTGTTATGATCCAAGTATGAAAATGAGTGACTAAATGAATGTAATTTCTTTGTTTTTATTCAGCTGTAGTATGTCTATGAAAAGTACTGTATTTTCTTTTAAAGTAACTTAGTCTCCACACTTGGGGAAAGAAGTGTTGAATATATATGCACACCAAAAGGCATTTTATCTGACCTAATAACCTCCAAAAACAGCACTGGCAAATAAGAGTTATGGTACAGTTGTAGGTATTTTTCCACATGGTTTTGGGCGAATGGAGAGTACCGAAGAAATGCTTCAGATAAATATATGTGCTATATATGAATATGTACCCTCCCGGTAACTGGAAGGAAAGTTTTAATTCCCACCACATAATGGCCCATTTGCCTCGAGTGTTTCAGAATGGTTCAATAATCACTAGCCATGTGTGTAGTTTGTTGAATTATTTAAGCTTATTTCCAGGGGGAAAAAAGACAGGGAGGAAGGCAACTGATTCAATGCAAATGAAAAGCTTTTGAAGCTCCCTATGGTGAAGATGTGATTACAGTCAGACAGTTAATAACCTAGACTTAGAAAAATCTGAAGGTTTTAAAACTGTCTGGCCAGTCAGTAAATGAGGTTTTTCCACACTATCGACCAACTGCCATGCATTGTAATGGTTTCAGATCTGTTTGGAGTTGGAGTGGACCCACAAATGAAGCAAGAATACCACCCCTGTACTTTTGATGATTAAGAAAAGTAGTTTGTAAACCTCCACGGTTTTCCTTTAGATTTGGGATTGAGTCTTTAGTGCAAACAGCTTATAGAGCCATGTATGGTGAGCACTGCTCTCTGAAAAACAAGGAGATAGAACTTGAATTGTTAATTTGCAAAGTACCTATATTTTGGGGTGAGGTGTCTCCTCTTAAACTAACCACTGTTCCTCTACCATGGATATTCAATTCGTGTATAACTGGAGAAAACTGCTGCTGCTAGACGAATTTCTGGGCAGCAGTATTCTTTCCGGATATTAGATCAAATTAAAATAGGAATTAGAAGACCTAAAAATTTATTTTAATAAAAATTATAATACTTATCAAATAGGAATATAAAGTTGGAGACCTAAGATTTTATTTTAACCGCTACCAATAATCCGTTTGATACATGTATGAAAAATATAATTTTATTCTTGTAAATGTTCATCGAATATCTGTGTGGTACAAAATTCTCATCTACAAATCTCTTTGCAGAAATGATAGAAGGACACTTTTTATGGGTTTCATGAAGATTCTTTGTAATTAGACAAGTGTTATATATTTGATTCAGGTAAAACTTTTATATCGTTTATGCAGTAGTCATGAGAAGTTTGAACTTGCTTTGAAAACATGAAGGTAATGGCAAGTGTTTTTTCTGATTTGAGTAAAAACAACTCAAAATCTGTTATGAGCTCTGTGGATAAAATTTTCTCTTTAGACACAAAGTCTAGTTCAAGTGTTTTCTGCTTCCCTTAAATTTTAAGTGTTGGTTATTTTATTGTTGGCTAGGAGTATGAGACAAGAAACACTTTTTAAACATTTTACCTTATAAGGGATTTTGATGCCCTTCTGTAATAATTTTCTTATTAGAATTGTTTTAGTTATTAAAACTATCCAGGATTTGTCCTCAGGGCCAACAGGAGCCTGTTATGCAGCTGCAGTAACCTGGGGTGTGTGTGTGTGTGTATGTGTGTGTGTGTGTGTATGTGTTTGTATGTGTGTGTGTGTGTATGTGTGTCTTTCATTAAAAAAAAGTAGAGGCAAAAGGGATATTAATGTTTCTGATCATCTGAGGGAAATTTCTTACCTCCAGACCTAAGCACTGAAATTTCTTCTGCATCAGCAAAGGTGTATGATTTAGGTAGTTTATATTCATCCACACAGAAACTTTTTTTTATTCAATTCTCTTTTAAACCTGTAAAATCCCATAAATCATGAAAAAAATCCTTAAAGTAGAAGATGATCAGTTGTATAGCAAATGTAGTATTTTAAATTATTCTATCTCATAATCCCCCAACCAGATTAATTAACAGTAAGATACTTATCTTGGGGGGAAAAAAGACCCACCTACCCTTTCAAAACTCTTTTGTTATAACTCAATTATTGAGGGAGTTTACTCTTTGAATTTCATCAGCAGTTTTTGCTCTATGCTGCATTACAGAATGAAATACTGGAGTTTCTCATTATGAATGAAGATGACTTTTTGTCAAATAAGACATAAAATGGTCACTTTTCTTATTTATTTATTTTTGCTTTCTCTCTGAAGAAAAAATTATGTAAAGAACAGAGAAAAAAGTAAGAATGCAATAACATTGGGAATTATATGAAGCTTGATTCATCTTACATTCAAAATGCTAGAATTAAATTTTTAATTAAATTATTTTTTCTTGAGAAACCACACAAGAAAGAAAACATTTGTATGTTATCTGGAAAAATTTAGACATAGTAATATTAGTTCCAAAAAAAATATTGTTTTGCAAACTTAAAAATAAATTTTATCTTCACAATATATGGTGAATTCTACTCCCTATTTTTAACATTTGGTTTCAAATCATCAAGTTTTATATCAGGAGTCAAACTGTTTAATTGGCATAAAAGCTCAAATTGTTCAACTTGGCATAGCTACTATTTCATTTTAGAAACTGCCACGTAAATAGCCTTTCCTTCTCCAAGATTACCAATATTTGATCTATATTTACACAAGTAAACTAAAGAAAGAGATCATTCACAAAATTATACACTTGCATTCTGTTCCAAAGTAATAAAATATTCCAAAGCAAACAGGCAACAGCCTCCATACTCACAAATGGAAAATAAAACCTCCGTCCATACAAATCAAAGGTCTACATTAATGAGGGTCATTGGATAAAAATGTATTTCCCTACATGACTGCAAGGGAAAACATTAAAATGTGTGGAAGAGGTCAGGATTTAGCTTTGGAAAAACATAAGTGAAAACTTTTAAAATAAAATTATGTTGTTGTCATTTGTGAGGTATTTGTTTCTATTTTATATATACCTAAATCAGCTGGATGTGATAATGTCTCAGGAAAACAAAAATGTAAAGTATAAAAAATTTAGACAGTCTAGCATTATCATACGAACTGTTTTCTGATAATATCCAAATTAGTGAATTGGCTACCTTTAAAAGAAAGCCACAGGTTTCAAAGTTTTATCAGCCTACATGTGGATATA
The DNA here is from genome assembly GCF_000001405.40 of Homo sapiens. Classification (NCBI taxonomy): domain Eukaryota; kingdom Metazoa; phylum Chordata; class Mammalia; order Primates; family Hominidae; genus Homo; species Homo sapiens. The sequence goes on from NC_000009.12 coordinate 73,572,079, forward strand.
GCAAAATAAGGGTACTTTAAAAATGATATAAGCTAAAAATGATTAAACTAAACATACGGACTATATAATACAGAGTGTTTTCTTCTCTATCTCAGATTTTGGCACAAATATAACATGTTTTCTAAAGGATGATATGTGTTTATCTGTGATATGTTTGTTGAAAAATTTGCATGAATGATATAAACTACTATATGTTATAGATACTATATGTTAAGAATAATCCTTCAGCAAAGTTGGGTAAGGAAAATATAAGCTGTAGCCAAAAAAAAGAAAATACAAGAAACATTACCAATATAATTGTTACATATTATATATTGAAGGGAATAAAAAATTAAATAATCTTATTGCTATATATTTAATATGTGGACAGAACCCTTCTACTTAAATATTTTCAGTGAGCATGCAACTTTAATATACTATGTGAGTAGAATTAAACCCAAACCCAAAACCCAATCACTTTTTTGCCTTGACTGTTTTCCCAATAAAAGAAAGGAATGAAAACAATACTTTAGAAATGATTCTAAAAAGTACTATAATTTGGAAATGAATAATAGACTTGCATTTCAGATTTTAAAGTTGCATTTCCCCAGTAGGACAACAAATTCTGTGTAGAAGGTCGATTGCTGACAAAAATCAGCGTCAGCACATCCAGAAATTGCATCCGATCAAAAAACAAAATGAAACTACGTCTATTTAACTCAGCATCCTATTGGTGTGAAAACTGAAGTGGGAAGGAGAGAGTGGAGGGTTCTAATTGATTTTTAGAATCCAGAGAGTTAAAAAGGTTGGTGTCCAGAGTATTCAGAAATATGCACACCATATCCTAAACCAGTGAAAGAAATAAGTCTGGGCAATACTAGCTCAAGGTTTTCTTTTGTGGCTGTTGTTGTTGTTGTTTGTTTGTTTGTTTGTTTGTTTTTGTGGGGTGAAAAGAGTAACTTCTATATGTGAAAAAATTAAGCATTTCAGAATCATACATGCTTGGGTATTAAAATGGATTATTTGCCTTGTTCATTTGGGAAAGTCCCTATCAATAACAGGTGTGGCTCAATCACATCGCATTAAAAGACTAGATTGTTCCATTAATAAAGAAAAGAAGAAGCTAGAACTGTAAATCAACAGGGACTCCTAGTGAGTTATATATTAAGCAGTAATTAAATAATAGTTCATGTTGCTTTCTTTCACTGGGAATTACATCCTTTTCACCTCCTCTCTGCTAAAGCAGAGACATCCATTACGATGAGTAGCTTCAACACTTGTCAGATCGAATCAGCTCCAAACAGCTGAAGGCCAACTGACGTGTACTCTCTTAAAGCAGGGTTTCTTCTCCCCCCAAAGCCCACTGTCCTTTCACGTGCATGCAACAGTCAAAAGGGATCACATCACCTAATGAAGAAAAACAGAAGCATATGGTTGGAAGGGGCCCCAGCAGGAGATGGCTGAAATGCCAAGGCTTGCACATAAACAAAATATATGCAAAAATGTGTGCTCATAGAACCTGTCAGCCACAGCTTCAGGAAATAATAAGCCTGCAAAGGAAGATAGAGTTGTACTGTGACCACGGTTACCTAGGAGTCTGTATTTTTAGTTTAATTTTTTATTGATCTATAAAGTGGTGCACCAGAGCAGGCTAGTCCCAGGTAGTTAACTATGCATAAGCAGTTGCAAAGTTCGATTTTGCTGTATAATATTGAGCCACATATTCTTCACAGTATATTTTGCTCATACCTACTGCAGACTTCCACATGACAGCTGAATTGCAAACTGTAAGTGACTTCATTGCTGCCTTCCTTTTCGCACCCCATCGCTATGCAGGGTGAATGTTGAACTAAGTTCATGAATGCACCCTGTCTTTGTAACTGGAACATAAGGGCTCATCTTTCCAGAGGTGTATTAATTAATATTTTAGAGGTGCATTGGGCACATTCCCTCTTACTGTTTCTTTCAAATTTGCCTCTGTGCAAAATTAGCAGTCTTTATCAAAGCTCTTTCTTCCAGTAATGGCTCTGATCATGAGAATATGGCTGTCCTGATGCACAGAACCTTTATTATTTGTTAGTGAAAATGCACATTATCCCTGCTTTTGACTTGTCAGCTTTTATGTTGGGACAACCTTAGTGTTATCATTTTGTATAATCAGTTTGACTGGAACTTTCAAACTTTTGTGTCCCTTTGCTGTGAACATTTTAATATTTTGTAATGATATTGTTAGAATTGGGAGATTTGTAATGACAGAACTTGAAGATGAACCCTGTGTGATTTATAAAATATGACTACAAGCATTTTTCATACCAATGTTGACAACAGACAAAACAAGATATTGTTCTAAAAATCAAAAAGTGACATGGGATCTCCTGTGCATGACTGCAGTCATGAAAAAAAATACTATCTTCAAGTTGAATAAAAATGCTTTCATTTGAGTTTTAAGCTTCAGTTGCATAAATAAGATCTTTGTTCCATTTAGATATTTTGCATTTTATATGAGGAATAATCATATTTCTAACATTATATTAAAAATGCTTTTTTTAACCTCTAACCATCTGTTCTCAATGGCACCATTTTAACCTAAGAAAGTAAACATATTTATATATTCATTTATTTTATTTAGGGGATAATATGAAAATGAGTTATCTACTTTTAATTCTTAAAAATAATTCTGTGTTGAAAAGTGCCTGAAATTATGGGACTGTCTTTGAAATTTAGCACCTGTTTGAAATTAGGAATGCAGTTAGTTATACAACAAAAAATTGGTGCAATGAAGTTTGGTTTCTCAATGCTTCAACTGCTTCATATACATTTATTGATTTGTTTGCTTCATTGTACACGTATAAATGAATAAATGGCATTTGTGAGCAATTTTCTTTTCTTCGGAAGTGATATGAAGACACTTCGCTAGGCATTAACAAAATCAGAATAGCAGGGCTTCTGTATTAATCTTTACCTTGAGCTAGCCTTTCCCGATGGATATTCTCACTGTTGACAGCAACATGGGGTAAAAAACACATTCATGGATCATTTTTAAAGGCTTATTTTGTTCTTTCTCTCTTGTCATTTCATCCCAAAATTTCCACTTTGAGTAACTAAAGAAATCAGAAACTACAACTCAGGAATTTGCATCCTAATGAAACAGAGACTCCAAAACTAACACTGACTGAATCAAAAGGATGGCAGAGCTCCAACAGGTAGCTAGTTATTGGAGTCTATTCAGGAACAACTAATTGAGCCTCAATGCCAGTAAGTGAGGCCATGCCTTACCATGCATTTTCTTCTCTATGGACAGGTATAAAGAATTGGCTTGAGATATTTCTCAGAATCACTTTTTCTTTTGGCTATGATTTTTTAGGTGGATCTAAAACAGCTCTGCTTGGCCCAGGATTGTCCCAAATGTCCTTTTAGCTACTTTATTACAGGCAATGGGAGAGTCAGAGCGAGCAACTTCAGGCAAAATGTTGACTCCTCGTGATGTGCCTTTGATTCCAGTGCAAAGATACTCTCAGCATTCTGTTACGCCCTTGATTCATCTCTTAATGCTCAGTGTGTTAGCAAAAGCTTGGCCCTGAAGTGCTTTTTTTTTTCTTTTTTTTTTTTTTCCTGAAGTACAGCCTTTCAGACACTTCTGGCAATTTGGTTTTAAAATGTGAAATAAAGAGACTAGGTCCTTAGTGCCAGGGGGAAAAGCTGTGCTACACAATTACTAGAATAATTCAGAAAAGAAGAAAAAAAAGAAAAAAATTTGCCTGAATACTGTGGTCATTACGTATTCTGGTTGGAAAAGACCTTACTTGGCAAATATTTTGCAAGAGAATATAAATATTTCTGCACAGTCTCTAAGATAGTTTTGAGTGGTTGCTTATTTTCTTCTCTAACCCTTTGAAAAAGTCTCCAAGAATAAAGTAAAGCAGATATCTAATATCTTAACACAATAAAAAGCAAGCAAGACTATTGCACATGTTGACAAATATAATCAATTTCTTAAAGCTTTTATTATTAGCCTCTTAGAGCATTTAAAAATTATTCCCAGTTATCATGATCATGTGCAATTTGTAACAAATAATTTAATTCATACTTTACTAGACAAAATATTTGAAAGAACTGACAAAATTTTATACAGAAAAATATTTATGGCCCTGATAATTTTGAATTAAAGTGGAATAATTGCTACTTCATAAACATGCAGTTCTTCCTTTTTAGTTATAAGTATTTACATTTAAAGAAGTATGGTTGGTGTTATAAAATATTTTACGTTAAATGTATATTGAGAACAAAGATAGCATGATTTTAAGGAGTACATTATTTAAATATAAACTTACATTTTCAACCTCATCAAAGGTAATGTGAGTGCAAATTAAACCCATCTTTTTTCTTATATTACTAGGATTGTACTATATCCTATGGAATTTGCAAACACTGAATATTTTCATATCTTATTTGATCTCATGAAAATGAAAAAACTACTAATATCTAACTAGAGGCAAGTGGCAGAATCCAGCTAAACATATTTCATCAATTCCACAAAATTAAGGACTTTCCTATTGGCCAAGAAATGATGTCTCATATTTAGCTGTCGGCAGAAATCATTTCTCTTCTCAAAATTATATTCTAACGAAGGCAACTCTTACCATGGTGTTCCAGTGCAGACACTTATCTTAGAACATAGAAAGACACATTGGATCTGTGAATGGAATCTTTTTCACCTGGAAAAACTGCAACCCTTAGAGGGTTTTTACTTTGTTTGTTTGTTTTACTTTTATTTTAAGTTATAAATGAAATAATGGGGAAAAAAAGCAAAGCATGTAGAAGAGATGGAAAATATAAAACAGTATGCCTGTAGGAGAATAGCAGAACTGGGTAAATTAGAAATTGAACAAGCACATTGATGATGTTTGGTATGACTGGATTGTTGAAGCACCTCTGATAATATCCATTTGACTTTTGGAACATTTAGACCTTTCTTTGAATTATTTTTAAACAGGACAAAGAAAAAATAGCTACTGAAAGCATTCTCTTGCCTTCCCTAGTCCCTTTGATATTCCTAGATGCTAACCAAGCTTGCTTTTAAATATTGTTATTTTACTAACATCAGTGCACCCTGCTGCTCCCTAATGAGTTATTTATTTTAGTGTTGAAAGTTTGTGTAAAGGCTTTAATGTCCAAAGTATGAAAATACAAAATGCAACTGAACCTGTGGATCAGATCCCAATAAGCAAAAAGAGGAAACCAAATAGTACATATCCTTTAAGAACATGTTGTTTGAATACAAAATCAGAATAAACATCATTATTTGATTCATGGAGTCATTTAATATATTTTTATATGAAAGTGCCAAAGCTGGATGTATAAATGTGTTCAAGTACAAAGACGCAAAGACCACGTGGTATCAGAAACAATATGAGACATGGAATTTTACTTTGCATTTTAGCAGCACTGTCAAAACATTTAGGGCTTCATGTATTTTTAAACATAGGTGTTTAACAGTGACGAATTTGCAAAGCTCTAAATATTAGCTCCTGGAGGTTATGCTTTTTATATTCGCTAATAGCATATATTATTTGACTAATTGACAGATATTTCAGCTAAGAGAGCCAAAGTTAAATATTGTTTTGATGGAGTAGCTCCAAGGATTGACAATTTGGCACTGCCTTTCAAAGGCTTGGCATGTAGCTTTCAAAACATACTAAATCACCCACATAATCAATAATGCTGTAATAATAATAATAATAAATGGCCCTCGCACAATTAATTTTCTGTATGAATTGTGATTTCACACCCCCTACTCATTGTCTTTGACAGGTAAATGGCTGAAGACAGAAGACTTATTATAGATTTTATATCCAGCCCATGAGGATTTTGACTGATTCCATTGAGCAAGCTCAGGTCAGCTAAGTCCTTTCCTTCAAAGCATCATGGGTGTCTCCGAGCATCATTGCAAGCTTGTCCTGGCAGTAAGCCAGGCTTCAAAAGCCTTTCACTGCAGTCACTGACTCACTAATGGGCAACTGCAGGCTTTCTGATTTTCCTTTCGTTTCATGTGTTCATTTGACATAAATTTAATTAAACCAAATCTGGTGTTAAAGCAAGACGAGATAAAAGTGATATGTTTCAAATTAAAGAACTGTGAAAGATACAGGAAATAGAATTATGCTTTTTTAAAAAAAAATCTGTTTCTGTAAAATATTGTCAGTTTTTGTAAGCTCATGACTTAAAGTTGGCCAAAAAAAAAAAAAGATACCGGTATGCATTATTAAGAATAATGTGTATCCAGGGTTAGATGAAGGTCTTGGCCCTATATTCTCTGTAGTAAAACCTTTCATAGAATTCTTATTTTTTCTTTCATTCTCACACTTCAGGTAGTCACCTCTTCACAGGATATAAGACAAGTCTGCCCTTCTGCTGGCTACATAGCTATAGTTGTTAGACAGCTCAAAAGCACACAACAGCAGAAACATGAAAAGATCATATATTAAATATAAAAAAATCATCATTTTTCAAAGATCTCTTTTGCTTTTTACTTAAGGCTAAAGAGGAGATTGTGAGAGTGAAAAAGAGCACATTGCTTAAAAAGCTCCATTTAATTGCTTTGAATGTTGCTTTAGGAAACATCCAAGTTTCTCCTTTTTTAAAAAATCTCTTTTTGCCCATTAAAAGAAGTCTTGGACTAGAAATACACTACATGAACTAAAAGCAGTTTTGCAATCTTCTTCAAGAATGCTCAGACTGATCCTCTTCCTTTCTGCAGCTGAAATGCTGCCACTTCCTAGGACCACACTCTAAGTCGCTGGATGTAAAATGATTACTCTGAGCACATACACACCAACCAGTAAGTGATTGCAGTGTCCTGTGGATAAGAATCAGAAAAACCAAAAGAACTGAGCTGGCGAGTTATGCAGTAGAAGGGAGATTCCTCGAAGCATGAAACAATGTGTGTCATATTGACCCTCCACCTTTGTTGCACCCCATCTTTTGATGGCCAACTTCTTCTCTTGCAAACAGAACTCAGGTGCCTTCTTCATACTCCCCTGACTTGATTCGACTTTCTGTAGAATCCATTAGGGCTAAAACTCTCAGGGTTTACAATAATCAAATGCATCTGTGACTTCTTTCATTTAACAGGTGAAAAACGGAAGGGCCAAGACAAATTAAGTGACTTGTCCAGGATCACACAACCAGTTATTAGCTCTACTGAGAAAAAAATACACATCTCTTGACGCCCAGATGAGTGTTTTGTTTTCGTTATTTAGCATTTCGAGTGCTTCTGTACAACATACCATTTGTATTCTTTGAAACAAACTCTTCGGATATTTCCAGGTGTTTTTCACATTTCTGACCTGAGAGAAAGTATACCTAATGGTATAAGTAGACTTAAAATCTATTTAAAATTCTCAAAAGTTTCTAATTCTGTTCTTTTAGTAACTACTTAAAAATGTTAATTGTCTGTCAGTCCTTTGGTTTGGAGAACTGCTTATGGGACCACTTTTAGGTTATGATAGGGAGAAGACATTACACATGAAAGCCATCCGGCTGTCTAATATTACAGAATAAGCCTACATTTCACCAGCATCCGCTCAGAGTGATAGCCCTGAATACAATGGGTATTTAATGTTCCTTAAGAAATTTCACTTGAAATGTTACTCTGAATCCAAATTATCATCAAAATGGAAAAGATAGAGATTGTTATATTTCCTGTTAGACATAGAGCCTTAAATAAACCTTCTGATTCTTTTATGCATAAACCTAAATTTACTTACAGAGTTATTACTTACTTTTTATACCTAATTATGTCTATCCGTATACACATTTCTAATATAGACTCAGGTTTTAATGAAGACTGTTTTAAAATGCTTAATGAGACTGTCAAGGTTCACATTGATAGCCTGTGTTAACATGGCTTTATCAGTGTTTGTTCAATCTACCGAGTTTATTTATTCAGCAAATATTTATCAAAAAAGAACTCTGTGCAATTCACTGCATACACACAGAAAAATGCTGAGCCAACCACTGAGCACTTAATAATCACTCTACATAGCAAAGATGCCATGCATTTCTTAAGGTAAATATTATGCCTTTGAGTAATTTTACAATGTTAAACTTGACATATTATCAAATTTTTATAATATTGAAATTCTAGAATTCCTTAAGTATTTTATTTTAGTAAAGGTGAAATTGCTGGCGACACACCTCAAAGGTAAAAGTTTTATAAGGTACTAGATGATCTAACCATACTACGTAATTGAATTGATTGATCGGTATGTAATTTAGAATGTTTACAAAGCTTGCCACTCTGAACAGCTGATAGGTAAATAAACTATTTAAAATCACAAATATATGTAAAGTCCTTCAGTGTTTACCATAGTGGCAAAAATAAAACGTCATTTTTTTTTGAGACAGGGTCTCACTACATTGCCCAGGATGGAGCGCAGTGGCTAGTTAAAGGCATGATTGTAGTGTGATACAGTCTTGAATTTGTGGGTTCAAGTGATCCTCCTGCCTCAGCCTCCCAAGTAGCTGGAACTACAGGTGCATGCCACTGCGTCCAGCTAAATGTCAGTTATATATAGTAATACGATGACAATACAAAAATTTTCATTCCTTAATTTGTTGCAAATCTGTAGAATTAAACATTTTTGTTAACAAAACTAGAATACGATTTTAAAATAGCATGCTTAATTACCACTTCCATTTCAGGAAAAAAAATATTATGCAATCTTCCTGTTTTTAGAAAAGCAGGTAAAACATAACTTTGCCTTGGTAACAAGCACATGAATCCTTGTTACAGAACAGAATCTTCCTAAAGCAGAATGACTCCCAAGGTACAGGGAATCCTGAGTGTGTTTTCCAGGAAATTTTTTTTTCAAGTTTCTCAACAGTAATAAAAGACTTCTGACAAACTGGTATCAAAGATTTCTTTGAGCAAATATGAGAAACTGTCAGCTTGCCACTTCTTAATAGCAATAAGAAGCAAATTATTTATAAAAACTGATGTGTGAAAAAATTAGAGTTCAGAGAAACAAGAAAGAATTTCCAAAGTAATCTTTAGAAATCAGGTTTTTAGAAAGTTCCCTCTGATATTTAAGCATATTACAGGGTATGAAGTATCTCCAATAGTCAGCATTAGGTTTAATGTCCAAACAACTGTCATCAGGTAACTAGTTCTTGAAAATAAATAAGAAGTGTAGCCTGAGGCTTGGCAGAGTCTATTCCTCTGTTGTTAAGAATTTAGATAATATCTAAGGCTTGGTGCCTCACATCTTTAACTTCCTCAGGGTGAGATTATGGTGGAGAATACTCAATACAGAACATTAAAGGAAAAGTAATTTTTTTTAGAACAACCATTGTTTGGTAAATATGGGTGAGTGATGGTCTTTATAAGCCTCTATGGCCTCCCACGCTTGTATCTTATTTGGTATCATATTAGATAAAATCAATCCTTCCCACAGAATGTCTTCTAGGTCATGCAGCCTAAGACTTCCTTCTTCTCCCCTCCTGCTCCTCCTTTTTCTCCTCCTTCTTTTAAGAAAACCACAGTAAGAATAAAAAGAGTTCTGCCGGGTGCGGTGGCTCACGCCTGTAATCTCAGCACTTTAGAAGGCCGAAGCGGGCGGATCACCAGGTCAGGAGATCGAGACCAGCCTGGCTAACACGGTGAAACCCCGTCTCTACTAAAAATATAAAAAATTAGCCGAGCGTGATGGTGGGCGCCTGTAGTCCCAGCTACTCGGGAGGCTGAGGCAGGAGAATGGGGTGAACCCGGAAGTCGGAGGTTGCAGTGAGCCGAGATGGCGCCACTGTACTCCAGCCTGGGCGACAGAGCGAGACTCCATCTCAAGAAAAAAAAATAATAATAATAAATAAATAAAGAGTTCATGCTTGCCATATTATTGTCCACATACATTTTATTTTATTTATTTTCTGATTGACAGAGTCTTTGGCAAGGAATATTTTGTCAAACAAAACTTTACTAATCTACGTTATATGCTAACGTAGAAACTGTTAAGAGGAAATATGAAAATAACTCTAAGGCCTAAATGCTGTAGAGTAAGAGTTAGCAAGTAAACTAAATATAGTTAATATTTTAGGTTTTGCAGGTGATACACTCTTGGCCACAACTGCTCAGTTCTGCTGTTGCAGAACTTATGCTGTCTTTAATAATATCTAGATATTTTGCTTATAACTTGTTGTGGATTAATTTTGATTTTTAACATATTGCATTAAATATGGCTTATCTTCATGACTGAACTTTTTGCACCCCTCCCCACCCTTAGGTTCTGTGCCTGAGGTGAGTACCTAAATTGCCTTAGCCTAGTTTCAGCCCTATGTAGCACAAAAGCAGCCACAGACAATACATGTATAGATCAGCATGCCTGTATTTCAAAAAGTTATATTTATAACACACTGAAACTTAAATTTCATATTATTTTCACATGACATGAAATATTATTATTTTCAATTTTCAGTATTTAACATCATAAAAATCATTCTTAGCTCACTGGTCAAAAGTTAGAGGCCATTAGGTCATAGTAGGTGGAGCTTTATAGAAATTCAGGTCTGTTTTACTTTGTACGAGACTACTTTGCAAAAGTTGCATTCACATTTAAAAGGCTGTAAAACGATAATAGTTGTCTTAGGGGAATGAAATTATGGGTAACTATTTCCTCTGTACTGTGGTTGTGTTGCTTTCATAATTACAACCACTCAAAATATTAATTGATAGCTTATTTTATAATAAATTGAATAACTTCTGTTAGATTGCATCAGAATCTCAAAACTATGTGAGTTCATTTTTTTTATTGATTTTCAGTGAGCAGTTATTCTTAACAGAAGATTTCAAACTAACCATTACTTATCCCTTAAGTCAAGTTTTTTATGATCTGTGGACAAAAGCAGACATTTCACAGGCACTTGAGCTCATAATTCATTGTCATTAAATGTTAAATGGTAAATAAAAATACCACTTATAAATCTACCATTTGAACATTCAAATCCTTGAGTATTTAAAAAATGATTATAACCACCCTTTAAACATAGACTATCCATCTCCTTCATAGGATAAGTATTCTAAAGAAAGGTGGTAAGGTGCAATGGAAAAACAAACAAAAAATCCCTATAGATTTGGGGGTCATAAATAATCTGGGTCTTTACCACAAATTTGTTTCTCGAATGGGTAATAGATAACTAGCACTTCTTTTCTGTTATTAGATTCTAGGAAAAGAAGAGGATTTTCTCATCATTACTTGGGTGCAGTGAGGAGCTAAATTTGTGGAATCAGAGTCAAATTTGAAACAAATTTGTCCATGAAAAAGTCATAAAAATTGGTTAAGACCTCTAGCATTAGTAGTTCCATGTGGCAATCAAATAGCTTGTGTGGGGCTGACTGTTTAATTTACTACACTATCTCTAATAACTTTTCTTATCCAATAATGTGTTTCATATTGTAAACTGCTTACATCCCATCATAAGTTTGCTTCACAAATTGTGAGTTTAGCTTTATAAGTGCACATAAAGTTATGCATGGCTTAAGTGATACTATAAATAAATAAAACATAAAAGATACTGCCTATCTGGCTGCAGAAGTAAACTACCACCAGATTTCAGCCCAGTTGGCACAAGAATAATGCTTTGGAGCAATTCAAGTCTGAAACAGCTTCAGTGATACCATTTAAGCTTGAGGTATATTGGCAGAGCAAGGATATGACTAAACTAAATTTGGCTTAAGCCACCTATTACTCATACCCTCTTTCTACTGCATTCACACTTCAATTAACAAACTGTATATGATACACACACATATATTTATAGTTTATATTTTTCCTGTGTTGGCAATGAAACTTTTTAAATTACCTTCTGTAAGCTGTGAGAATCTTCTATTTGAATCTATTTGACAAGATAAGACTTAGCTTCAAAAGTGGTGGGGTACATGGGTTTTTCCTGTTCATCTTTAAAAAAGAGTTAACATTTGTGCACTTTAACTTACCTCATTACCACTCCTTACTCCTCTTGCTAAGTGGGATATGATCATCACATCCTTTTTATAATAACTAACACTTACTCAGAAGGAGGCTGTATGTCAAGCATTTTGTATGTGCTACTATTATTTTCAATAGTGTGATAGATACACCGAGATTTCAAAGTTAGAAAAATCCACCCAAGTTACAAGGTCAGCATCTTCTTTAGTCAAGGCATCATTCTCTACTCTTTTAAAGGTGAAGTTTATTGAGGTATAATTTACATACATGAGGAGGCACCATTTTCTATGAGTTTTGACAAATATTCTAAGTGTGTAACCACCACCACAGTCAACAGAAAAATATTTTCATGACTCTTGATGGTCAATCCACTTTCCCTACCTGGCTGGCTGCTACTGACATTACTGTCATTATATGTTTGTCTTTACTAGAATGTCATAAAATTGTAATCACATAGTATGTGGCCTTTCGTGTGAACTTCTTTTCTTGGCATGCTACTTTAAGATGTATCTTCATTTTTGCATGTTAATTCCTCTTTAGTGATAAGTTGTATTACATTGAATGGAAGTACTTTGTTTATTCATTCACTAGTTAACGGACATTTGTGTTGTGTCCAGTTTTTAACAGTTAACGAATAAAGTCACTATAACCATTCATGTACATATATTTGTATGGGCATGTATTTTCATTTATCTGGGTAAATACGTAGTGGGTCATAAATATGTTTGTTGTTTGTATGTTTCACTTAAGCAGAAACTACCAGACTGTTTTCCAAAGGGACTACTTTTTTTTTGCATTCCTATAAGCAATGTCTGAGATTTCCAGTTGCTCTACATCCTCATGAGCTATTTTAAGCTCTGTGTAGTGAAATTTTATTGTAATTTCTATTTCCCCAGTCAATAATGATGTTGAGCATCTTTTTGTGTTGCCTGTTTGTCACTTGTCTTTTTTCTTTGGTAAAGTGTCTTTTCGAATCTTTTGCTCTTTTTGAAAATTTGATTGTTTTCTTACTACTGAGTTCTAAGATTATTAAAATATATTGGAGGAACAAATACTGTGTCAACTCTGTTATGCAAATATTCTCTCCCTGTCTGTGACTTGTTTAAACCTTTAAAAACAGTTACTTTAAGAAGAGTAAATGCTTTTAATTCTAATGAAGTCCAATTTATCATTTCTTCTTTTATAATTTGTGCATTTTTTCCTAAGAATTTTTTCTGAGCCCAAGATCACAAAGAGTTTCTTCTATATTATATTCTAGAAATTTATAGGTTTAGCTTAATTTGTATCTACGATTCATTTTAAGTTAATTTTTGTGTATGGTTCAAGGTATAGATAGAGGTTCAATTATTTGCAATTGTTGAAAAGACTATCTTTCCCCCACTGAAGTATATTTACACCTTTTCCAAAAACAATTGCCCAAATATTGATAGGTATAACCTGGTTTCCTATCATGATGCATTTATCTCTATGTCTATAATTATGCCAGTATATACTGTCTTGATATTGGAGCCATATTGCAAGTCTTAGTCATATAATGTAATTAGTCAACTTTGCTCTTCTTTTTCATTGTTTTCTTTTAAGCAGTGCTTTGTAACAGAGCTTTATACTAATATTCTAAAGACACTAGTTAATAACCTCTAAAATCCTGCTATGGTGTATGTTTTAATGTGTTTACTACTTAGAGATGTATTACTCTCTCTTACACCTCTAAGGAGAAAGTTTAAGTTCTTCAAAAAATGGGACTCTTTATTCAGTAGGTGACATCATTAATCAATTTAATATTTATAACAGTCCCACACCCTGCAGTTGAAAATTTTAAGACTGTGGCAGACGAATCACATTTTTAATAGATCATCAAAATGTACTATTAAAATATCTATCTTATATTAAAAATTTGTTTAGGGTAACAAGAATCTGAAGAAAATCTTAAATCTGAAATAAAAATTATACTAGTTTATTTTTAAAGAATTATCATAAAAATATTCAGGTGCTGTTATATTTATTCTGATCCTTGGTGAAATAATTCCAAAATACGTTTTGAAGAATAAACTTGTCTAAAAGGCAAAGAATTTCTTGAAAATAAATTACAGTGTTAAAGATGTTGCACCAAGATCAAATCATTAAAGTGTCAAGTATCACACTAAAACCAGAATGGACACGTTCCTATTACAGGACAAAAAATACAAAGCAGATCAAAGTGTGTTGTGTTCGTGCATGTGTCTATGCATGCATGTAAGTGCATGTGTGGGGAAGGAGAAATGTATGTAGTCTATCATGAAGTTACATTTTAAATAACTTGGAAAAATATAATTTACTTAAGAATGATTCTGGAGTACTGTGCATTATGAATAAAATAAGTTTACATAAATAATGTTTTACCATATAAAAAAGGCAAATTCTATTCTAATTAAGACTTAAAATATAAACAAGAACCACTAAAGCATTGAAAGATAAGTTTAAATAAATACATAACTTTGATGAAGAAGCATTATTAAAAAGTAGCTCAGTAATTATTGACTGAGACTTTACAAATTTCTAAGCACTGAAATTCAAACCCTTTGCAGGCATTATCTAATTTAACCTTAATCGATTGACCATGAACGTGGAAGCTGAGAGGTGATAATATGAAGATCTAATAAATTCACACCTGGAGCTCCCTGAATCTGTGCTAAAAATGATAAATGTATTTGACTTTACAAAATTGTAAAAATGTATACTTACATTATTTAATTATAATAATGATATAAATTTGTGAAATGTTTGCTCTCTCTATAAAACAAAGTATTAATATTCTTACATATAAAGAGTAATTATCAAAACAATCACAGAAATAAAAGGGTGCAAATAATAAGATTTGGCAAATCACCAAAGAAGAAATACATAATAAATGAACTTGTCAAACAATGTTCACATTTCTAACAATCAGAAATGCAAATAAATAAATTTTTCTATTATTGGAAAACATTTAAAAAATTATTATAATTAATATCACTAATGATTTGTCACAATTAAATCTAAGCAAGATAGGAAGTCACATTTACTGCTGGAGGGCCTATAATTTGTATGAGCTCTTTGGAGGACAGTTTGGCAATATGTATCAGGAGCCTTAAATGTGCATTTACTTTGATCCCCAAATTTCACTTCTAGGAGATTTTCCTTAAGTAGTAACAATAAAATAATGTAAAACCCAAAACTATAAATACCCTAGAAGAAAACCATTCAGGACATAGGCATGGGCAAAGACTTCATGACTAAAAAACCAAAAACAGTTGCAACAAAAGCCAAAATTGACAAATGGGAGCTAATTAAACCAAAGAGCTTCTGCACAGCAAAAGAAACTATTATCAGAGTGAACAGGCAACCTACAGAATGAGAGAAAATTTTTGCAATCTACCCTTCTGACAAAGGTCTAATATCCAGAATGTACAAGGAACTTAAATGTATTTACAAGAAAAAAACAAACAACCCCATCAAAAAGTGGGCAAAGGATATGAACAGACACTTCTCAAAAGAAGACATTTACGTGGCTAACAAACATATGAAAAAGAGCTCAACATCACTGTTCATCAGAGAAATGCAAATCAAAACCACAATGAGATACCATCTCACACCAGTCAAAATGACAATTATTAAAAAGTCAGGAAACAAGATACTGACACAGCTGTGGAGAAATAGGAACACTTTTACACTATTGGTCAGAATATAAATTAGTTCAACCATTGTGGAAGATAGTGTGGCAATTCCTCAAGGATCTAGAACCAGAAATACCATTTGGCCCAGGCGTTTTACTACTGGGTGTATACCCAAAGGAATATAAATTATTGTACTATAAAGACACGTTCACACATATGTTTATTACAGCACTTTTTACAATAGCAAAGAAATGGAACCAACCCAAATACTCATCAATGATAGACTGGATAAAGAAAATGTGGTACATACACATCATGGAATACTATGCCGCCATAAAAAGGAATGAGATCATGTCCTTTGCAGGGACATGGATGAAGCTGGAAGCCATCATCCTCAGCAAACTAACACAGGAACAGAAAACCAAACACCGCATATTCTCACCCATAAATGGGAGCTGAACATTGAGAACACATGGACACAGAGAGGGAAACATCACACACCAGGGCCTGTTGCGGGAGTGGGGAGTGATGGGAGGGAACTTAGAGGTGGATCGATAGGTGCAGTAAACCACCATGGAACATGTATATCTATGTAACAAACCTGCACGTTCTGCAGCACAGGTATCTCGTTTTTTGTTGTTTTTTTTTTTTTTTTTTTTGGAGCAATAATGACAAAAAAAAGAAAATAATATAAAGAAATTTGTAGAAATGCCATCATTAAAATATTTTTGGAACAGTAAAAATTAATGTACTAATAAATTATGTTATAGTAATATAGTGGACTATATTATTATCAAGAAAGTAATGCTATACATATTCTTACTATATCACTGATGAAAATTCACCAATATATTATTGAATAAAACTTATAAAACATTGTTGTGGTATTAGAATCCAGCTGCCATTTATTCCAGCTATTCCAGGAAGCACTGAAACATATTTGTTCTAGGAGGACAACCATCCCATCTTTTGGATAAGTCAGTTAAGATGAGTATGAAATAAAATGGTTCTAAATAATAAAGAGTAAGAGTGATTGCTTGCTTGGTCTTTCAATGTCATTTATGGTGCCTGTAATGGAAAAGAGAGAGCAGAGATGGAAGAGTGGACCCCAACTTTAAGATGAGATATCAAAAATAGTGATGGCCACTAAACAGGGGAACTACAAAATTTACCAACCAAACCAAGATATGCTTGACAGTGAAGAGTCTCTGTTTATAATTACACCCAGTGAGCAGGAATATACTCAATTGGCTATATAAACTAGAAAATTGCTCTTATCTGTTAGTAGTCTCTCTGATGATGGTCATTTTTTGTTATAAGGACCCCTCATATCTAGTTTTAGGTCACATTATATTTGCAGTGAAATTCTCTCCTATTATCTCCAAACTATCCATGATGATTACCATGTAACAGAGCTCTGTGCTTGTGAAACTGTAGAGGTCTGAAGGTAAGGGAGGCTGAGTAATTATCTGTGTGCAATAGTACAGAGAACAGTGTGTAAGAAGGAGTTATCTGGAAAGTTCAAATAGTCTTGGAAATCCACAGGTGTCTACTGTTTAACTTAAAGATAGGAAAACTATCATTTCTTTATATCCATGTACATAGCAATGGGTTTAAAATGTAGAAGATGCTGAATAAAAATAGATTTGTTAAATAAATAAAATAAAAATACCTAAATATGAATACTGACATTCCATGAGGCATTTTGACTGTGTTTGAAAGTAATGATGGCTTCAATTTTCTATAAGCCAGATGCTGTTTTAAATGCAAACTATGCATTAATCAATTTAATATTTATAACAGTCCCACACCCTGCAGCCAAAGATTAAGAGAAATACACCCCAAGTCATGAAAAATTGGGCTCATTGACTCGTTACAGTGAAGAAAACTAAAAACCTAAAAAAAGTCAACAAGTTAAAAAAAAGTCCTGTGGAGTAAGAAGGTGTTGAAAGGGACTTAGGGAATTTAGTCTTGGGTGATTTCAGTGAGAACTCAAGGAAGCAAGCTTTTCCTCTGGATGGGACATTGCCAGGAAGCCTGGGGAATTCTCCAATTTGACATATTAATTTTTATGTAGAACGTGGTAGGAATGAAGAGGGGCTAAGATGTAATTGATGAAGAAGCGGATGTTTTTCATGTTAGCTGGGAGAGGGTTGTAGTTTGTGCAATCACAATATTTTTGTCTCTGCTCAGATTTGATCATGAAGTAATGTTGATGTTGTTTCACTTTATCTCAGTCACAGACCGACTGTCTGATGGTGGCGATGTCTGACATTATGTGTTCAATGGGAGAACACCACAGCCTAACTGTGAGGCAGGTTTAACAACAAGGCCTAGCTCTGTGCCAGGCTAGCTACTAACTGTCTGATGCCACTTCTCTGTTTCTCAGTACCATTTTGTCCCCATTTTGTAGGTAGAAAAACAAAGAAGCTGAATAATTTAAACACAGTCATAGTAACTGGTGGAGGTAAGATTCTGGGATTTTTGGTTCTAGAGTTCATATGAATTACTATGCTGGAAATAGTTTTCTATAACATTCAGAATTTCTTTTGCAATTGTTATGGAGGAAAGATGCATTTCTTCTTGTTGAACATGAAGCTGTTTGTCTCCTGAAATAAAAAATATTGCTGTTCTTTAATATATGTGATTCAATGTAGAGGCATAAGTGAATTCCTTTCGCTCTTACATATTTTCTGACTAATATATTTAATACATACACATTATTTTTTTATCTCAGTGAATTTGGCTCTGTATTTCTCAAGAACAAGAAGTCTCTCATTTAATAACTTCTGACTTTAGACTTATATACATTAAGAGATATAACAGTTGGCTGTGCAGATGTTAAGCCTATTGAGACTATTTTTCTCAATCCAACATCTCAATAGAGGACATCCAGTCAAAATGAGAGTATGACTGTGGGAACATTCAAGTCTCATAATTCTCATTATATGCTGGTTATTGTCCTAGAAGATGACTTGATTTTAAATCCTACTGAAAGGCAAGAAAAGGGTGAGCATAAGAAAAAAATGTTTGCAATGTACCCTGTCTCTCTGGGAGTTTACTGAGGAATAAAATAAAGCCTGATAAGTACTGACAATGGGAGTAGAAGCTCAGGAAGAAGGCGGTAGAGAGAATCCGCCTGTGCTTGATGCTCACGTCTCAATAACAGCATCTATATTTTACCACTTCTCTTCACTAGGGAGGAGCCTAATATCCTCTCCTTTGACCCAGCCATAGTCATAATTACATTTATTGAGTGCTTACTCTACATGAAGCATAGTACTACTTGCCTCATAATACACAGTATTTCTAATTTGTGATGGTTAATATTATGAGTCAACTTAGGGAGGTAGAAATGATACCCAAGTGTTTGGTCAAATGCTAAACACAGTGGCTGATGCCATTGTGATGTATTTATTAGATGAGATTAACATTTAAATCAGTAGGCTTTGAGTAAAGCAGAATCCGCTCATAATATGGGCAGACCTCATCCAGTCAGTGGAAGAAGACAGAATTCTGCTCCCAGATTGTTTTCAGGTTTGAGCTGTAACATTAAGTTTTCTGTGGATCTCCAGTCTGACAGCCTACCCTAAAGATTTTGAACTTCCCAGCCTCCACAATCATAGGAACCAATTTCTTAAAATAAGTTGATCTTTGTATGTATCATCTTTCTGTGTCTGTCTATCTATCTATCTATCTATCTATCTATCTATCTATCTATCATCTATCTATCTATCTATCTATCTATCTATCTATCTATCTATCTATATCTATCTATTCATTCATCCTATTAGTTCTGTTTCTCTGGAGAATCCTATTAAGATCTCAACCCTTTTTAATTTTTTGCTGAAAACTCTCAACAACCTCTTTCTTCATTATTCTAATCTCTGCTGCTGAAGACTTGGGATTCCCATACCTCTTCCTCCAACACTTACAAAAGGTCTTTAGAATTCATTGTTCTTTTACATAACCATTGCTACTGACCAAGTCCAGGCCATCATCATCTCTCTCCTAAATTCATACAACTTTCTAACTAGTTTACCTTCTCCTTTCTTTCCCTTTTTCTGCTACACTCTACAAAATGTATTTCCACTTTTAGTTTTCTCTCCTGAACAGCACGGTAGTTCTCTCTCTAACTCCTCTGCTTCCCTTTACCTATTTGCTCATTTTTTCTTTCTCAGTTGGTTTACTTTGCTGGTTTACAATTCTTGCTTCCTTATAACTTCCGTTTATTCTTGGTGGTGGTGTTTTTTTGTTTTTTTGTTTTTTTTTTTTTTTTTTTGACAGGGTCTTTCTCTCTTCTCCAGGCTAGAGTGCAGTGGTGCAATCACAGCTCACTGCAGCCTCAACCCCCTTTGCTTAAGGAATCCACTTGCCTCAGTCTCCCAAGTAGCTGGGACTACAGGTGCACACCCCTGTGTCTGGCTAATTTTCCTTTTGTTTTTGTAGAGACAGATTCTCTCCATCTTAACCAGGTTGGTCTTGATCTCCTGGGCTCAAGTGATTCTTCTGTCTCGGCCTCCTAAATTGCCTGAATTACAGGTGCAAGCCACCTCGGCTGGACTTTAATTTGTTTTAATTCCTCTTGCCCTAACTCTACTTCATGTCACTTTTTTTCTATTCACTCTTTTTAAATTTCTTGGTAACAGAATTCCAGATGTGAGAAACATCATTTGGGGCCACATAACAATTATAGGTCTCCCCTGGTATCAGGTGTTGAGCTTTGATATGAGATGTGGCCAAGGGATCACAAGTTACAAAACATGACTGCTGATCCCTCAGTAGAATTCTGAGCTGTAGTTTTCCTTACAAAGTATAATAATGAAATAAAAATCATGAAGTCCCTAGCACATTTTTTTTTGCCTAGTTAAATATTTTCTTAATTGTCTTTCTTATGCAATTTGATACATGGTCACTTTAAAGTTCATTTATACAGATATATGAGTTTGAATCAATGCTTTTCTTAACTTTGAATCTCTTAATGGCTCTTCCTCTTTCTTTTTACTGATAATTACTTTAGCTAGAGTTGGATGATGCATTATTTCTTAATATTTTGTTAGTGCTATTTTTCTTTCCTGCTTTTGGTTACATGATTGACTACACACTAGGGAGTTTTCACTAAATTTACTCATTAAATATTTTTTAATTGGTTTATTGCTTTGCTAATTTGTAGAAGGCGCATGCAAATTATCTACAAACATCGCATTCTCTTTCTTCACATACAAATATGACAACAGTCTACAACGGTGATTCTTTCTTTTTTTTTTTTTTTTTGGATTTTTTTAGTAGAGACGGGGTTTCACCGTGTTAGCCAGGATGGTCTTGATCTCCTGACCTCGTGATCTGCCTGCCTCGGCCTCCCAAAGTGCTGGGATTACAGGCATGAGCCACCGTGCCCGGCCAACTGTGATTCTTAAACATTAGTATACTTCGGAATTCCCTGGAGAGCTTCTAAAATCAGATTGCTGGGTCCCAAACCCAGGGTTTTTGATTCAATAACTCTGGGTTGGGATCTGAGAATCTGCATTTATAACAAGTTTTCAGGACACGTTGATTTTATAGTTCAAGAACCACACTTTGAGAAACACTGCCTTGCACAATTGAGATTTCAATATGTTTTGAAGCCAATCAGATCTGAATTCAATCCCCATTTAAGTTAAGTGATTTTGATAAAGGGACCTAAATTATAAGAGTCCCTGTTTATTCTGTTGAAAAATAAGGATATTAAGAGTCTTAATATAATCAACAGAGCCTAGCACTTGCTAAGCAGTCAGTAAATGTTACTGCTACTTCTAAATGCAAATTTATAATATTTGTGTATTATCAGGCATTTAAAGTTTTTGTATCGTCAGGCATTTAAGGTTCCCTAGCAATTTATGTCTGCAGGCAACAGTGGTAGACTTTAAAATATCAACAGAGAAATCTATTAAATTTCTCTTACATTTACCTTGTGACTTCATCTGAGTCTTTCAGGATTTTGCTGACAATCTGTGCATTTGGGTTAGTGCTTTTACATAATGAAACCATTCAAAGATAACAATATTTCATAGTTCTTCTGATTTAGTTAAAGTTTTTAGCATACACAGTCCTAAATAATTGTTCCTGAACTAACATTCTCTGTGAGTTGCTCTCTGGCTCTGATTTGCTCCTGCCTCAAGGCGTTGGGGAGTCGTAGTCTACTTTGCAAGTGGAGACATTCGCATATACGTGGGTGGTTCTTCAATTCAGGACCCCATAATGAAGATAAGCTAATTAACTAAAAAAGATGAAACCCATCTATATATGCAGTTAAATATATATTTTATATATGTGTGTGTATATATATGCAGTTAAATACATATTTGTATATATATGTGTGTGTACATACACACACATGTATATGCTACATACATATATGTGTGTGGGTTTGTGTGTGTGTGTGTGTATATATATATATCTTCCAATGAATCATTGGTAAGAAAATGGTAATAGCACAAATCCCTCTCTCTTACAGACTCTTCTGGTGTATATTCCTCTTCTCCAAGGTCCTGAGATCCCTTTATGCCACAAAGTTTCTAGGCAGTAGGTCTGCTTCTACTTAGGCTGATTTCTAAGCTTTGAATTTTTGCGCAATAAAAGCAGAATGTCGAAGCTCCTTAACTGTTTAGAACAAAAGTCCCTGCTCAACAAGTTGCAGAATGAAAAGTAAGTGAAAGTAATCAGGTGAAGAAAAAAATTGTGGAATGAATTAAATGTCAACTTCTTTAGCTCATCTCCAGCTTTTACCTGTCTTTAAAATTGTTCCCAACTTTTTTCTTTAAACCCAGAAGAATTGTTTGTGGGAAAAAGTGACAATGACTCAGTTCAGTTTTGTAAAGTACCAACAGTTCTCAAGAGGAAATATGCTATATTGAGTAAGCGCAAAGTATGATTATTAAACTTAATACGATATTTTTAAACTGCTGACAGATGGTGAATACAATGAAATATTTTGATAACTGCTTGTTATATTTTCAGAGACTTGGAGGCTTAGTGAAAATATGAAGTTCTAAATATTTGAACATCCAGATGTCATTTCAGATCAGTGTGACCAAATAATATTTTTGTAAATAACATGGTGGAGTTTAAAAAGGAAGGTGGAGCTAAGAGAAAAGAAAGAAAAAAAATGCATACAAATGTAGGATTCCTGGAAGAATTCTAGTGGAACATCAGACATTACACCTCCGGGGCAATCTATGTATCTTTTAAACAGAAACTCCCTCCGATGAGCTTGTCTAGGATCACTAAAAGAACTTGGGCCAAGTATGTCAGCATTAAAAATACCGAATTGGCTAGAAATACTATTGTGTGTCAACCTTTATTTGTCCTTTAAGCCAAGAAAAAAGAATAAAAGTATGCCTGTAGGCAAAATAAAGGCCTCCTTTTTTCTTTCCCCTCCCTTTCATTCCTCTTGCTCTCTTCAACTTATATGAGATTTGTAAAATGAATTGTAATAGAAAGTTCAGATGACAAAAATTACAGTGGTGTGGCCAAGAAAACACCCAGGGGGCCTTTAGCTTCCGTTGTGCCAGGACTGAACTATCAGATCAGCCTTCTGGACTCAAATGCGACACTGTCAATAAGAATACATCATCTTTTTTGTGGTGTAGAAGAGCTGTCGGTTATAATTCCCATTATTCCAAAGCCAGGATTTTCCATTAGTACAGCCACCTGCTGGGTTGCTCTACTCAGGTTTAATGGAGTCTGAATTTGAATTTATCACCATCTGTGGGAAGACAGGAAATGAGAGAGCATCACTAATTCCATTCTTCATTTGCTAAGCCTAAGTATAATCTTCATAAGGAGGCAGCAAAAGCAGCAGAGATTGGGGATAGATGGAAGAATATTTTAGCTCATATTGACATCAGAGCTCCAGACCAAGGGGAAAGAATGCTGTCTGTTCTATGGCCAATTCCAGCAACAAAAAGAATGTTTTAATTTCCTATGTAATATGGTAACAAAATCATGCAGATTCAGAATACTGTTCCTCTTCAGCTTCCAAAAAGATCTCAGAAGATTTAATATGATTTCTGGTGAAGATGAAAGACTTGCATACATATCAAGTTCACAAAAAAGAGTTCAAGATTCCTAATTGCCACATTAGCTTATAAATAGAACAGTATAGACTACTGGTGTCTGTTTTATGCAATTTCTTCTTTTCCTCCAGAAATTTTTTTTAAAAGCCTTTGTAGAACTCAAGAAGAGAAAAACATCAGGGAACATCAAAACCTTGAAGATGATCTCTAGAATCAAAGTGTAATGCCTTAAATTCATGTGCATATGTCTCAGTGGTTCCGACTTACACAGAGTCAGGAAGGGTGCATCATTATCATTTCCAAAATTTAAAAACAAACATTAAATGAGTTTACAGGAGGGGTAAGCAATTTGCAATTAAATTCTTGCATTGGCTAGTTGCAAAACTTGCACTTCTGATCTGCCAATCTTTTACACCGCTCCATCAGAATGTTGCCATCTGGATTCTGCCGTCCAGGCAAAAACTCAGAGAAAAGCTAAGCCAACCTAACACACCATTTGTAATAAGTGTTGCTACTCACCCAAATGAAGAACAAGCCAGAAGATAATGGCAGTTGAAAAGATGAGGGGAAAAAAAATCCTTGCAGGAAAAAGGAAGGATTTAAAATCAAAATACACACCTACACACATATACACACAAAGCCTCTGGGAAAACACTGCATGCCATTGTCTTTCTTCAGGAACCATGAGTTCATCCCTTTCTCATGAATCTCCCTCCATGTTTATAATCTTGGATTAATGACTCTAAACAGCGAGTCTTTTCTAAAGTCATGGGGGTCAGCTCTGCAGACTTGAGGAGCTTGGATAATTGGAAGGAATGTTACTTATTACAGTGAAGCAACAATTCCAGGGGAGGAGAGGAAGAAGCACAACAAATAACTGCACTGTTGTTCTTTAAGGCTACCAAGAGAGTTAGCACTCCTATCAGGGTGGCTGTGAATACTGTATTGTGACAAAGCAAAATGCCTCCTGGGTGCCTGCTTCTAGTGGAAAGCTTTTGATGTTTGATCTGTAATGAGATGGAAGAGGAAAACAGTTCCCTTGGTTAACTAATACATACTAGATATGAACAGATTCAAAGATTTAAGTTTCAGTTCTGGGACAAGATCCCCCATCCCACTAATTTATTATTTAGAAAGTTCTGTAAGTTCTTTTTTTTTTTTTTGTACAGAATGCATGATGCGTTTAAGATACTTCTGCTTTCATATTTGACTTGAATAGTAATCCTAATGATTACTATGCCATAGTTCACTTTTGCTAGGTTGGCTCTTTTTTCAGTGTGAATGTCATGTGGCTTTATCTAATTCCTTTTGGCAAATATGAGTGATCAGAACCTGGATGCATCTCGGGCCTAAGTACTTTGTACAGGAAAACGTCCTGGGCAGTGAGCTAGGAAAAGAGTAAAGGGCTACATAGAATGCAGAGCTCAGGAGGAAGACAGAATTAAAAACAGAAACAAAATAGGATGCATAAGCAGTTAATTTTATTCCACATGGCACGTTACGGATGATGTCACACATATGGTTATTCATACTAGGCGCAGCAACTTTAGAGATGAAGACAAACCCTAGAAAATCTGTCAGTTTGGGTTAATGGAACATTGTTATTACCTCAGGTCAAGCAGATGGAGGGCAAACTTCTCTGCTGGATTCTGCTGCTCTTTAATTAATGTCCACATTTGTTATGTCAATATAATGCATTACATTTGGTCTAAAGGTTGTTTTACTATTTTTTTAGAAAAACAAGAATGATCATTTTATTTATTTTCAACATTGGAATAGTTGCACAGAATTTTAGAGGTATATGTAGATACCTGAAAACTAATGTTTAAATTACTGTATAAGAGGGAGAGAAAAAGAGAAGGAGCTAGGCTGGTTTTACATATTTCATTCTTGATGTAGAGATGGATTTGATACTTCTTTTATGAGCATTTCCAAATGAGGGATTTTGATTGCATGCATATGACTATCTCAGAAAAATAGGAATCTCAGAGATGATAAAGCAAGGCAGGTCTTATTACAGTGTTATTCCTTCATAAAGAAATTAATAGCTGCAATTCATTTAGTGTTCTGTTTACTCTTGTCAGGGAAGAATGGCAAGTGAAAAAATAGCACAATAGAGACATCTTATCTTCCTTCGTAAACTTTCATTATCTTAGGCATGTTCAGAAGGCACAAGGAATCCCTGGTGTCTGATATTATGCGTGTGAAGCTGTGGCGTTGAATCTTCAGCACAATTCAAAGAATCAGCCTATTATGTAACAACTAAGGAGGATGTATGCCATAACTGTGAACATTCTTTCTTATAGATGACAGGTTTACATTGTTCATTTTGGGAAAATATGTTTGCTTTGTTGGCTCCAGCCTCTAATTATTTAAGCTAGTCAAATCCAAAATCGTTAAAATGTGCAAATATTACCTGGAATCACTCCAAGAGGAAACAGTAGGCAGTGATCTGGCCCTTGGATTGAGCACTCAATTGCTGCTTAGTTTCTTTTCAAATTTCAGAACAGATATGCTCTTTAAAGCCAGTATGTACTCCCTTTGGCAACTGGTAAAATATGCTTGGTAGTTACACACAAGGTTTCTGAGTGGCTAGACCACACCCAGTCCATTCTGTTCTAATTTATGGAAGATGAGCACTAAATATTTTTATGAATATAATTTTTCACATTAGTCACTTCATACTTGCCCCCCAATAGACACATACACATGCACATGTGTGCATCCTGGAGAGGAGAGGCTGTATATTCTGCATTTGTTTCTGTATACCACCCTTCTGGATTACTATGTCCCTTATAATTCTAAGATCTTGTATGCTCATAGATTCACTGTAGTAATGGGCATTTGAAGAATACACTTGAAGACACTACTGTTAGTGCCACACTTTTAAAAATTGACAATTTAGGCCAGTGGTTCTCAAACAGAGGCAATTTTCTCCCCTCAGGGTACCTGTAACTGGAGGAGAGGAATACTCTATTAAAATCTAGTCAGGGAAAGGCCAAGAATGCTGCTAAAACTTTTGAAATGCCTAAGATAGACCCCCAAACAAAGAATTATCTGGCCCAAAATGTTAATAGGGCTGAGATTTAGAAATCCAAGTCTGTGTCAATGAAACCACCTTGTTATCTCTAAATAAATAAAACGTCGCCACACAAGTAGGTAAAAAAAAAGAATAGTTTACAACCCAAAGAATTGTTTCCACAATAGGTGCTATAACTAGTGATGAGATATGTAATATCGACCTTGGTTGTCTTACATGTCAATGAATTTTATTAGTACATATGACAGTAACATATATAATTACAAAACATATAATTATGGTTATTCTATTCATTGGTTCTTTCTCTCCATCACTTCATCATACATTTTTACCAATCTGTCTTTACATTTCTAGAAAAAACTCTCTCAAGAAATGTACCAAATGACATGTTAGCCATGTACCAATGACACATGTCTGTGTCTAGAATCCTTTTTAATTTTCAGTCCTTCAAAATCTGAGGTAAAACACATCAATTGAGAAACTTTTCCTATCCTTTTAAGTAATGTTTTTTTTTTTTTTTTTTTTTTTTGAGATGGAACCTTGCTCTGTCGCCCATGCTGGAGTGCAATGGCGCAATCTCAGTTGACTGCAACCTCTGCCTCCTGGATTCAAGCAATCCTCCTGCCTCAGCCTCCCAAGTAGCTGGGATTACAGGCATGTGCCACCATGCCCGGCTAATTTTTTTGTATTTTTAGTAGAGATGAGGTTTCACCATATTGGCCAGGCTGGTCTCGAACTCCTGACCTTGTGATCCACCCACCTCGACCTCCCAAAGTGCTGGGATTACAGGCGTGAGCCACCGCGCCCGGCCAGCAATGGTTTGTTTTTTAATTCTACATGTTTTTTCCATTTAAGTGTTTGGTTTTCCCATATGATTTTACATGGTTTTTTTTTAAAGAATCTTTGAGTCTAACATCTCTACATGTTTCCCATCTTTCATAAAACAGCAATATTCTTAGAGTTTTTTTTTTTTCCTTTATAATGTTCCTTTCTTTGTTACCCATCTCTAAGGTGCCTTCTCAAACACTTTCTTTCCCTCCTCTCCACACACAGCCCTGGATAGAATTTGGGGTGCAGGACGAGTTCAGGAAACAATGTTGTTTTTCTCAAAGAAACAGCTAGGCTGGGAGACTCCTCATTTTTGTAAAACTATAAAAATTGAGGCCGGGCGCAGTGGCTTACGCCTGTAATCCCAGCACTTTGGGAGGCCGAGGCGGGCGGATCACGAGGTCAGGAGATTGAGACCATCCTGGCTAACAAGGTGAAATCCCGTCTCTACTAAAAACACAAAAAAATTAGCCAGGCGTGGTGGCGGGCGCCTGTAGTCCCAGCTACTCGGGAGGCCGAGGCAGGAGAATGGCGAGAACATGGGAGGTGGAGCTTGCAGTGAGCCAAGATCGCGCCACTGCACTCCAGCCTGGGGGACAGAGCGAGACTCTGCCTCAAAAAGAAAAAAAAGACCAAAAAAAAAAAAATTGATGATAGCCCTAACATGAAAATGCTACCTTAGTTTTTTTATTTCTATTTGCCCTGAGGTCATTGATGTTTGATCTAAAATAAGCCACACAAACTGAAAGTATCTTAACACATTGGAAGAGAGCATAAAGCAGACCAGGATGAAATTTAAGGCTATGTGAAGTATATTCACACTATGAAATATACAACAATGAAATTAACAAACTATAGGTATATATATAATCATGAATGCATCATATACACATAATATTAAATGAAATAAATGAGATCCAACCTAATGCATGCCTCTGATTCCATTAATATAATGTTGAAAAATAAGAAAACTAATCTCTACTGTTAGCAGTAAAGGTGATGGTTACATTTGGGGAGTGAAGGGTGGTTAGCGATTGGAGCAGGTTTTATTTCTTCGTTTGGATAGTGGCTATATCAGTGTATTTATTGTGTAATAATTCTTTGAACCTGGATTATTTTTCTATTGCTGCAGTAACAAATTAGCACAAACTTAGTGGCTTTAGGTGACATCCATTCATTATCTCACTGTTTCTAATAGTCAGAAGTCCATGCTTAGCTGTTTCCCTGCTCAGTCTCCCAAGGCTGAAATCAAGGTGTTGGCCAGCCTACATTTCTGGAGGCTCTAGGGCAAAATCTATTTCCATCCTCATTCAGGTTGTTAACACAGTTCAATTCCATGTGGTGGTAGGACTGACGTCTCCATTTCCTTGCAGTTAGCCAGGGGTTGTTCTCAGTTTCTGAAAGCTACACACATTCCCTGGTCGTTTACTCCCCCTTCACGTACAAAGCCAACAATGGAGGTTGAGCACCTCTCCCATTTCAAATGTCACTCATCTTCTCTTCTAACTGATTTCTCCATTCTCACCTTCTTCTCTGCAGCTCTGTGACTCCAGCTGGAGAAATTTATCTGCTTTGAAGTGTTAAGGTGTTTAGATTGGGCCCACATAGATAATCCAAAATAATCTCACTACTTTAAGGTCCATAACATCAATTAGCTCTGCAAATTCCCTTTGCAGCAGTACCTAGATGCATATTTGGTTGAAAAACAAGACGGCAAGAATCTTGGGTGAATATCTTTAGAATTCTGCCCATCACAATACATACATATTATTGTATGCTTCTCTGTACATGTTATAATCTAATAAAATGTTTTTTGATTACGTAAAAATATACTGCAGAATATCCTTTTTAATTCAATCAACACATATTTATTGACTGCTTACTATTGCTGGGGCTTGGAAACTAATACCCTGAATATGGTGCTTTGACAGGCTAGACTAAAGCAGCAGCTTCCAGGTCTCTCTGACCTTCCCCACCCTCCTATCTCTCAGTCTCTCCCAAAGCTCTGGATGAAACCCTTCTCTGAAGTTCTCATCTGCCTGAAGTCCAGACCACCCCAAAAAGAAAACAATTACCTCTGATCCCTTCCCTGAGTTTTCATTTTCTTAACTCCTATTTCAAGAAGAAAGACTGAAGCCTGTCAGCCCACCCAGACAGACTTTTGTCATAAACCACTGTCTTCTATGTTGGTCCCATTTAATATATATATATATATATATATATATATATATATATATATATATATATTTTTTTTTTTTTTTTTTTTTTTTTTTAGACAGGTTCTCACTCTGCCACCCAGGCTGGAGTGCAATGGCACAATCACAGCTCACTACATCCTCAACTTCCCAGGCTAAGGCAATTCTCCCATGTCAGACTCCTGAGTAACTAGGACTACAGGCATGCACCATGGCACCCAACTAATTTTTGTATTTTTTGTAAAGATGAAGCCTATTCCATATTTCAGAGAATCATTTACCAGCCATTGTCTGCTCTGTAGGTCCAACAAACTTTGTCTCAGGCCATTGTATGTTCCCCAAGTCCATTCATTTTCCCCTAAAAAACATTTACTATCTTTCGAACTGCCACTTTTCCTGCATCTCCCTTCCCCTATGAAGAAGGGTATATAAACATCTGTACCCAGGGGTTATTGGGTAATTATTCTCATAGAGTTTCCATGTGCTATGCATATTAAAATAAATTGTGTATGCTTTTCTCCTGTTAACCTGCTTTTTGATGGTTGATTTTTAGAGAACCTTCAGATTTAAAGGGAAAATTTCTTCTTGCCCCTATGTTATAAACCATAAAGACAACAATTCCTGCCTTTATAGGCTATATAATTTATGCATATTTAAAAAATTCACGAAAAAATTACCTACTCTCTGTGAACATAAATAAATGTATTAAAAAATTTGAAATGACAGGACTTCTATAAAGCAACTTATGGCTTTTGATATGTCCACAGAGTATTATTTCTATCAAATAAAATAAATATTATAAAATGATTAAAAATTTAAATCATTTCTGTATGTTTATTTACCATAACACTGTGGTTTTTCTGTTTCTTTGAAATCTTCCAGAAAAGAAAACATGCTGTGAAGTGTAATAGGGGATTTTTAAGATAAATTTAGCCATTTATTACATATTCTTTTAAATTTTAACAGTCTTTCTTTTAGGTCTATGATCTAAAACAAAATAAAGATGCTATATTTTGACCACAATGACAGATATTTAATAGCTATCCTCAAACACTGTTTTGCAGATGAAAATAATGAGTATTTAGGATAATAATATTTTCTTATTCATGGACTGGTTTTCAAATTCATGAGGGCAAGATTTTGTCTTTCATGTTTACTAATGCACCCCTGATGCCTAGATTACTGTCTATCACATATTAGACACTCAATACATACTTGTCAACTACATGAATGAACGCATCTTGGGTATGAATGAAAATGTTGGAAGTAGCAACGGAGAACTAGTATGCAAATATGAGAGCCCCTTCCTATTACCTCTTTTATTTTTTCTGTTGTTATGAAAATACATATGACATGTGCCACAGAAAAAAATGGTATTTGTCCAACTACTATTTTTCTTTTTTTCTGGAACATAAAGAAATATTACATTGCCTCCCTTGTTGCTAGTTTGGAACCATGTAATTGAGTTCTTGCCAATGGGAATGTGGGAGGTAGTGAAGTGATGTGCTACTTCTAGTTTGAGGCAAGTAAGAATGCTATGGTGTCTCTATTTTCCTCTCTCTTGTCTTTGAGGTAGAAGAAAAGAAGTGTGAAATTATGGATGTATAAGATGGACAAGTAGAACGCAACTCAGATCCTGACTCACTTTTAGAACGATCACCAACAAAGAGCCACTCAATTAGCAGACTGTAATATGAGAGATAAATAAAACTTTTGGAGGTAAATCCATGGATATTCCAGGATTTAGGTGTTGCAGAAGTGGAGTCAGTAAGTTTGTGACTAATATATTATTAGACACTTTTCAAAGGATTTTTCTTTTGCAAATGTGTTGACATTTGGAGATGTGGAAGATAATATTGAGCAAATTGTGCTCCAAGAGGTGTTATATATATGTGTGTGTCTGTGTGTGTGTGTGAGTGTGTATGTGTGCGTGTATGAATGATATTAATTGATATATAGAAAAGTCCATATTCAAATAATCATTTGTAAATAATGGGTTTAAGCAAAATTAAATTATGTTTACTGCAAGACTTTTCAGAATCTCTAATATACTCAAATGCATTGTAAATTCAAGAAAGGGAGATTTAGTAACTATATTTTCCAATGTTATTGGATCACAGAACTTTTTTTTCACGAACTTATAATTAACATCCTATGAAATTGGTGGTCTGAAAAATATGCTATGGCCAATCTCATGAGTTATCTGGAATGTCCTTTCCCTGTTGCTGAGAACCTCTCATTTACAATTCCACAATTTTACATTAATAATTCTGAAGCCACTAGGAATCTAGGGATCCAACTTCTGGTAGAGGGTAGGCACCTCTACTGGGCAGAATGTAATGCGACTCCCTTGCTAATCATCTATTGCTTGTAGTCCACTTCTGGTCCAAAGGAAACACTAATATAGGCTTTGGCTAAACAAAATCTGAAAATGCATACCAAGCCCATTGCAACTGCCACTCCTCTGGCTTGTAAGTTAGTTGCTGGCCAACCTGTCTCCAGCTCTTCAGACTTCTCAATGTGAGACAAACATTAGTTGCCTGTGTCCCCTATATTATAGAAGGTATAGATTAAATTATTTTAGTAATCCCATTGAAGATTATTTACTAACTGAGTACCATCCCCCATTCTGAGTGTTGAGAATCACAGTGTGGCCGCTTCCCGCTTCCACAATGAAGCCTTCTTTGGAATTTTCTAATTTCCACTCTGGAGTCTATGATCACTTCAATACAATACTTCAGTGAAGCATCATATTATATTTTTGTTTATTTCTCTATCTAATTTTTTGCCAGCTTATAGGCTAGCCAGTCCCATAATTCACTCTGAAATTTCGTATCTACTAAACATTGATGCTTCAATATAAAGTTCTAGCACAGAATCAAATATACTGTACTGCACTTTGTAGATCCTTTAGAGAAATTTCAAAATAATTTCATCAGTACTCAGTTTTCACCAAATATGTGAACATTAGAGCTAGAGTTAATGGTGAGTGTGGTGGCTCACACTTGTAATCCCAGCACTTTGGGAAGATGAGGTAGGAGGATATCTTAAGGCCACCAGCCTGGTCAACGTAGGTGGACCCAGACTCTACAAAAACTGTACAAGAACACCAAGAACAAAAATTAGCCAAGCACAGCTGTGTCTGCCTGTAGTCCCTGTTACTCAGGGTATGAGGCAAGAGGATTGCTTGAGCCCAGGACTTTGAGGCTGCAGTGGCTAAGATCTTGACATTGCATTCCAGCCTGGGCAACAGAGTGAAACCCCTTCTCAAAGAAAAAAAGAAAAAAAAACAGTAGACTCCAAGTGTAATATTTGACTGCTCTCTGTAAAAAAAGACTGGAGAACTGAGAGGTTGGAGCCTTGCTTTCTAATTCTATTTCTTTGACCGAATTGCTAAGTGAGCTGATTAACTTCTTCACTTATTTGGACTTATTTTTCCCCTGTGAAATATAGACAGTTCCCTGTCTTACTCTTTAGAAACATTATGAAAGCACAATGATAAGTGATGATAAAATCATGCTCTCAAATGTAAGATTTCCTTAATATAATACATTTATATTAAAATCAGTAAATCTGTTTCTGAATTTTGAAATTTTGGTTCATGTTCTATTTAAAAAATACATGGAAAGATGTATAGCTTTGTTTACAGAGATAAATTTTAAAAATCATAAGTGAACAATATTTATGTT
Organism: Homo sapiens; assembly: GCF_000001405.40. Taxonomy (NCBI): domain Eukaryota; kingdom Metazoa; phylum Chordata; class Mammalia; order Primates; family Hominidae; genus Homo; species Homo sapiens. The sequence continues at coordinate 73,605,477 of NC_000009.12, forward strand.
AACATTTCATTGACATAATGAAGGAAATAGTGAAATGTTCTTGGGTAGGACAAGAAACAACCTTAAAAAATACTATGTTTCCAAAATTTGGATATTCCATGTGACTTCAGTCAGGAGAAAAGAGAGGATAAAGAGGGAGCAGAGGAAATTTCTCTAACTTAGATACATTAAGAATTTTTTTTCTACTTTAATTTGTTCAGAAACACCAAAATAGGGGAATATATTATCTTTGTGAATAATTATTATATAAAATACAGGAATGTATTCATGTCAAGATATTCTTATGATCTGAAACGAAAATATTGGATGTCTATACCATTCCCTAACAGAATTTGAATCTCAGTAATTGACTTACATTGAGGTAAAAAATTCCATTCTGGAGGTAAAAATAGTCACTGTATCAGTGATAATATGAACTTATCTAGACATTTCAGTTATTTAAAGCTCATAGAAAGCTCAAGAATGTCTCATATACTGATTTTTAAAAATATTTATTAAAGTAGTAAAAATGATTATATTAAAAATATACCTTTTCTCAATCACAAAAAAGTATATACATTACCAATTTATCACTCAGAATATTTATTCATAAGTGTTTATTCCACATAGTAACCTTGCAAACTGACACCAGACTTTGTGTGTGTGTGTGTGTGTGTGTGTGTGTGTGTGTGAGAGAGAGAGAGAGAGAGAGAGAGCGAGAGAGAGAAAGAGAAAGAGAGAGATGAATTAACATATTGGGGGCTTATAGTGCTAAGCACTGATCATGTATTTTGACTCAGATCTTAAAGAGGAAACTTGTGATGTCCATTTGGTTGTAAATTATCATTGTGGTAAATGTCCATCTTCAATGATTTTAGACAGTTCTTTTTAAAAATATTTAGTTAATTGTCTAACAAGACATTCCAGTGTTTATTTCAGTAAATAAGGTTGACATTGGAGTCATGTGGGTTTCTAACATATTTTTAATCTGGATTTATAGAGTGAAGCACTTGTTCCTGAAGTGATGTCAAAAGAGAGTGACCAGCCGGATAATGTATAAAGAAGATATAGTATTTTATAAGGCCATTATGGCTCTAGACACTGTCTTTCATTTGTGCAGGTTCAAGCTCAGAGGCACCAACAAAACATCCATGCACAAACTTATAATGTAAGATATTGATTTATTAGCTTCTAATGAAATATGTTTTTATTAACTAAGAGATTGATACATAAAACAAATCTTGATACTTTAAGCAAGAAATTTCCTTGTAGTGAATAGCTTTACTAGAAATAAATTTATTATTCAAGATAGTGGTTTGTGAACATAGGATTGTAAGTGAGAAGATGTCAATTAAGTTAGTTGTCTCTATTAATTGACTGTGCTGGTGTTGCAGTAGTTTTTCAGAATTAACATAACTAATTGAAAGCAAAAACATCTCTCCAAACATCTCTGAGAAAATGATACATTACTGTCTAATTTTCCACCTTCTTTTCTATGTTTCCTCCAGTTTATATTATTATTTCAGTTAGGTACAATACAACTGATTGATGTAGAACTTCTTTTGTACTGTTTATAATCTTCTCCTTGGAACATAAACTGCTATTGCTTTTATCAGAAGAAGCCTTACTCCTACAAGTAACACACAAACCACACACCTAGGTAATTCTTTTATGTAAAAAGTTAATCTGATGTATTGAATGTTCTCTTTAAATTTCAATTCCAGACATCTATTTTCCTGATATATTTTACCAATTTTGGGGAGTGTGCTCTATACTAATTGTTTTTAAGTATAATGATGATCAGCATAAGAGTTATTATTAATATCCGCTAGCTGTGAGATTTGTCTTGGAAAATAATACTTCTCATTTGTAGATCAGTTTTTCCCAGAACACATTATGTTGCATATTAGATAAGAAAACAGTGCCTCTGCAGCAAATTACAAAAGTCAGAGCAAGAGAGCTAGGGGAGTTGAGAATCAGTACCTCAGAAAGAAACTTTGCTAGAATTGTACCTTATTTGTTTGAAGACCTATTTCTTATGTTGGGGATGGGGATGAGGATGGGAAGCATAAATAGACACCGCTTGACATCAGTGTCTGTAATCTCAAAACTGAAAAACTAAAGTATCAGTGAAAAAATTTCTTCAGTTATTCATGGTGTTAGAGTATTTGAAAAGCAATAGAAATAAAAATGTTAAGGTATTGGTTTTAGATTTGTTGGGAGGTGATTCTTCCTGAATAGAGAGGCATTGATATCCTTTGTTCTGAACCATCTTTTCGAGAATATTTGTGTAGTACTTACTATACTTTTATTTAAACATTCTCTCCACTATGATAATAAAGATAATGTCTCCCTCAAGAGCAAAGGTTGAAAACCAAAGGAGAAAAAAAGAAATGTTTATTATGTATCCTTAAGGTTCTGTTTTTTATTTTTGTGTTTATTGTTATCAGGTTTCCATGTAACAGAGTATTTTCGAGTGTGAGGCTTGACAATGGCTCCATGGATTTAATGTATGCATTCTCCTCTGCCTGGCTATCACACACTAGAGAGAGGGAACACAATGATATGCTCCCTCAGTTTTATAAGTTTCTAAGCATTGCCACAGCATAATTATAAAGTATATGCTGATACTCTTTAGGGGAACCATGGTGGTGTCATGACCATGTGAACTCCCCATGCAGGTATTCAGTTCCCCTTCTTTCAACTCCCAGCTTTAACTTACCCTCCTGGCTTTAGAAAGCAGAACTTAAAAACTGATGAGTAGGTAATGCAAAATTACAATCATTACATTTTAGATTTGAAAGACATCATGGAGAGCTTCTAATCTTATCACTCCATTTTATAAAGAGGGAGTAAATTGATCAGAATTGCTAAGAAGATGCTAGTCAGTTGTGAAATCTCTTCTACCCAGAATAGGACAGGAGTCTATGATTTACTCTACTTTCTTCCTATGTAAAATAACTTTACCCAGATCATCTACTTTCGTACTATAATATAGACTCCCCAAAGGCAATAATGACGTTTTGTTCAACATCTACCAATTCCACAGCTCCCTGGCATGTAACTGAATTCATAGCTAATACATTTGATTTTACCTACTTGAGCAAAATCTCCAGGGAATAATGGTGAGTACCTGAGTAATGGAGGTAAATGTCATGAGTAAAAGTATAGATTCACTAGATTCAAATACTACATTAATGTCTACTGTGTGACATTAAGTAAATTATTTAAATTCTCTAAATCTTCAGTTTTATTATTTTTAACTTTGAAATAGTAATAGCTAAAAAGTAGATATGACCAACATGAAATAATTAGGGTAAAATGCTGACTTACTACCAAGTATGGAGCATAGTAAATGCTCAGTGAATTATAGTTATATTTTTCCATAAAAGGTACAATAACTTACGAAGTTCTTAAAAGGCATTATATTTTAAATCTACTTGAACATCTTCTTCCTGGATTACTGAGCAACCAGACATAATTCTTTTTTCCTTTTTTGAGTCAGCCTCTTCCGTTTAGTTCTTCCAAAAACATCTTCCACTCAAGGCTACCTAAAATAAACCCTTCTGCTGGATCTACTGTTAGGTTACTCTTCCCATCTCAGTTGCTGTGTTATATTTTTATACTTGAGGGATTATATTTCCTGCAGTTGAGTCTAATTTACACCCTTAGGTTAGATGAATAGTTTGTAATTTGAAGTTTGGAACTGATAAGATGGAAGCACAACTAATATACAATACAAAGTAAAACCATTTAAATCATCACATGCCTCATACAAGTATCTATTGACTACTTATTATACACCAGGCATCTTTCTAACAGTACAGTAATTAATAAGTCTCCAATAATGGTTTATGGTATTTAACTGCTTGAAATTATTAACATTTAAAGTAATAATCATAGCTAACATTTATTAGATATTTATTAGGTGCCAAGCTTTTTCCAAGTGTTTTATAAACTGTTAATTCATTTACTCCTTGCAAAAAACCCTTGAGATAAATATTATTATCTCCTATAAACAAAAGTAAAAGAAGCAAAATGTGTCTAAGTAATTTATTGCACGTCAAACAGTTAGGAAATGGTAAAACTGGGCCAAAAAACTGAAATAGTCTGGCTCCAAAGCCCTTGCTATTAATCACTATGTAGAAAGACAATAGAGGCATACAGGCAGTAAAATGCAATGAAAAAGAAAACTCAAAGCCACAAGAGATATTGTATTAAGGTTAGGTTTTTATTTGAAGAATTTTGATCTAGGTTAGCTTATAATATAGTACTTTCTCAATTATATCAGCTAATTTTTTATGTGTCAAAATGCTCTACAGAGACCCCAATGGGGATGGGGTGATGTTAGTTTTACCATCATCATCACTTACTATTAACTTTCTGGCTGTTAAGTTTCTCAGCTAAAATAAGGTGCTCACTTGTCTTGTAGATACCATGCACTATATATTTTCTAAGAAATTCCAAGGTTTTAGTAATTGTGCTTCATGAACATATTATGTTTTATGTGTGTGAGTGTGCATGTGTGTGTATTCAGTGAAGTTGGAGACTATGTTTTAATTTCTGTGTTTTACATGCTTCCCTAATTCTTTCTACCTGACAGATCCATAATTAGTATGTTTTTAAATGCCACCTGAATAAATCTCCCAACTTGATAATAATCCTGTTGGTTAACAGACTAAAAGAAGGAATTTAAACTCTTTTAGGGTGTGACCTAAGCCCATTACTCATAAGTTGTTCGAAATCTTTTCTATTTGATTCTGTGATGCTGTGATTATTCAGAATGGTTAACTAATCTTGGAAATTACTGAACCTGATGATAACTTTAATTTCAAGACTTTGAAGTACTCTCCTTGATGCCTCACCGCTTTTATGGTTGTCTTCAAAGTTCACACTGTCTCATTTGCAGAAATTTCTATGTAGATCTATTGCAAATTGTATATAATGTTTCTTGTGCTCATCATATCCTCATCAACATATTTTGAGGTTATTAATAGCATGATAATTTTGAAGTGTTATGTAAAAGAAGAAGCCTTTTATGTAAAGGAGATCACATTAATCCAAACTGAAGTATATGCAGTATAGGCTTGAGGGAAAAGAAATTTGAATGCAAATCAAATTGGATTTTTTTCTGGAAATGTTCTGTTTAAGTCTGTGAGGAAGTCACTGCAGCTGTGATTAAAACTTATTTTCTTATATTTGATCAGAAATAAAAGTCCCTCTCCTTTTCAAAAGGGGTTTGTTATGAAGGAACTTTACAACACTTCCAATCCCATTTAGTTATTCATTCAAGAGCCATTGCCTTTCACCAGGGCAATATTAGCAGAATTGGAAGTGTAACAAATACATAAAATAATCAGTGGGTCGAATGAGAGGGAGATCACAGAGACAATGAGGGAAGACAGCTCTTTATACAAGATTTCTAGTAAAGAAAAGGAGGATCCAAATCATGAGCTGAAGAATCCCTGGCAGCCTCAATGGGTGAAGAGAGGTTTTAATGAAGCATCAAAGCAAGGGATGGGGCATCTTTTGCCTTTTGAGGAAAAGGGCATTTAATATTCATGTGTTTCTCAGTGAGCAGGTCTATGCAAACCTACCTCCAAAGTCAGAGGAAGCTGAGAGGCCTAAGAAAGAGGCTGACAAATCCCATTTTTTAGAATCAAACATTTCGCAGGGATTTAGGAACAGAAGCCATGTCTGTGTCTCAAGCAGTGTTGAGATAAGATACTGGATCCCCATGCCATTGTCCCTCAGACCTAGGGCTTATATAACATAGGGAAGTGGTGACTCAGAAGGCATGTGTAGGACAACTGCAGTACAATAATATCAAGGTTAATTTGACCTAAGGGCAGGATTTATGGTAAGCACCTGCTCTTACATAAGAAACAATAGATGAACTGAAAATCGTAGCAGCTTCCCAGAGCAGGAATTAATCAGAAGTCAACATGTTGAATTAGCATCCACAGTGGAGCTGCCTTGGCCTGCACATCATCTTTGCAAGAGAGCTATTCTTGTATTGACTTCATGATCTCTTGTTTTGCCTTCAAGCTTCCTTAAAATCCATGGTTTTTGTCATTTAAAAAAACAAGCAGGGTAAGGAGTTATGGAGGAAAGGTGGAGAAATGTTATTTTAGATAGCAGTCAGAAAAAGCTTGTGCGAGGGGAGATACTTCAGCAGTAATCATAATGAAATGAGGGAACAAGACATGCAGATGACTAATAAGAGCACTCCACCTCTGGGCACAGTAGCTCATGCCTGTAATACCAGCACTTTGGGAGGGCGAGGTGGGCCAATCACCTGAGGTCAGGAGTTCGAGGCCAGCCCTACCAACATGCTGAAACCCTGTCTCTACTAAAAATACAAAATTTAGCTGAGCATGGTGGCACATGCCTGTAATCCCAACGTCTCGAGAGGCTGAGGCCAGATAATCTCTTGAACCTGAGAGACAGAGGTTGCAGTGAGACAAGATCATGGCACTGCACTCCAGCCTGGGCAGCACAGTGAGACTTCATCTCAAAAAAATAATAATAAAGATAAATAAAAATAAAAATAAAATAAGAGCACTCCAGATTAATTCCAGCAAAGGCAATGGAATTAATGTCAGAAAGTTTATGGGAAGTTTGAAAAGCAGTAAAAAAGTTAATAAAATTCATTATGGTCAATGAAGTAGACAATGGTAAAATGATGCCATAAAGAACACTACGGACAAGATAACAGGGAAATTTAACACCATGTTGAGAACTTTGGATTTCATCTGTGTAGGATGGGATGCCATCTGAGTGCACTGAAAGGGGATGTTTCATGATAAGAAATACATTTTAAAAGGATCATTCTAGCCACTGGACATTGAACAGATTTTTAGTAGGTATTGAATAATTGAGGACCTGAAAGACCCTGGTAAGGAGTTTGACATTTAATATAAATGTGACTGAAAGCCATTTGAGTGATATAAATAAAGTATGAAATGATCAAGTGTATGACTTTCAGGGATGTTTTAGTTGCTGTATAGATAATAATTTTTAGGAGAACCAGGAAGATAATTAGGAGACCATTTTAGTGGTCCAAGTAAAACAAAGTAGTGATTTGGACTAAACAGTTGGTAGGAAATGGTAAAAAGTAGTTGGTTTTGGATATTGTAAAGGTTCAGATAAAGGAACTTGATGTTAGATTGAATATGTGATTTATAAGAAATGGGAGATGGCCGGGCACGGTGGCTCATGCCTGTAATCCCAGCACTTTGGAAGGCCGAGGTGGGTGGATCACCTGAGGTCTGGAGTTCAAGACCAGCCTGGCCAACATTTAGAAACTCTGTCTCTACTAAAAATACAAACATTAGCCAGGTGTGGTGGTGTGTGGCTGTAGTCCCAGCTACTCAGAAGGCTGAGGCAGGAGAATCGCTTTAACCTGGGAGATGGTGGTTGCAGTGAGCCGAGATCGCGCCACTGCACTCCAGCCTGGGTGACAGAGAGAGACTCCACCTCAAGAAAAAAATAAGAAAGTGGAGAGTAAAAAACAACTTCATGTTTGGTGCCTGAGCAAATTAGAAGTTACGAATTAATTTGCTGAGACAGGGAAGCTTGGAGGAGAAATGCTTGTACACATGGGGAATCAAGTATTCTTTGGACATGCTGAGTTTGAGATGCGCTTAAGCTTTCAAATTGGAATGTGGATTTAGAAGTTGGATATATGAATGTGGGGTTCAGTAGAGGGTATATTCTCAGGATTAAAAGTATGGAGTCATCAGAAAGAAATAGATAATGTGGTGTGAGATTTTTCAGTCCTCTGCTTTTCAGGTATTTGCTAAGATGGCATTTCTTAGCTCTCTGTGGTTATGTGGAGCCTTGAAAATAGCTATGAGAGGAAGCTATTTTAGGCTGGACCATTTAACTTCAGTTCAGTATGAGAACTTCAAGATATCTTTTTGTTGTTGTTCCTGTGGTTGTCTCCTGACAGTTCTCCAGATGGTGGCTGCTCCATCTGTCTGGGTCCCAGATTAAGGACAACTTATAGCATAACTCCCAGCTGACTCACAATGATATAGCATGAGTGAGAAATCGACCTTGCCATCTTGGTTTCCTGAAATACGGGAGTTATTTGTTATTGCATCATAGCCTAGCCCATCCTGAAAAATACCAGAAATAAATAACGCTGTAGGACTGAGTGAGATCACCCAAGGAGTGAATATGGAAAGAAGAAAGAAGAATTCCAAGGATTGAGCCATGGCATACTCTGACAGTCACTAATCAGAAAATGAAGAGGATGAAGATTAGGCAAAGGGACAGATTATGAATCATTTATTTATTTTCTAAAACACCATTATTACCGTTATTATTTATTTTTTGTTTCAAAATTGATAACAATTTAATAAAAGCACTTTTCCCCGGACAGCGGAAGAAAACACTTGTTTAAAAACCAAGTAGAACCAATTATAGCACGCATTTGTCTGTATAACTAAAAGAGTATTTCTGTATCAAAATAAGTCGAGTGTAAAGCCTATTTACTTTCAGTTTATACAGATTCCTCTAAAACAATTTTGACTACTGAGGCTGATGTATCCACAAGATGAAGCCTAAGTCATAAAATCTGCTTAACTTCATCATTTCTTCAATATATTTGAAGTTGTGGTAAAACTTTATGGCAAATTTTAGTATGTAGCATAGTCTAGTATATCATAGTCCAGTAACATTTAATAGCATATACCAGGTTTTTGACTGAATTTCCTATTTTACTCATTGCAGGGTCATTTTGATTTCCTTAATTTAATTATATATCTCTGAACTTCAGTTCTACATAAACTGAATCATTTGGAGCAACAGGTATTTGTTGCCCAGGTGATAGCCTGAAGAAAGACAAATTGGCCACACACACACACACACACACACACACACACGCCCCGTAACTATTTAAACTCTATAATATACACTGAGCAATGTGCACACTTGGTTAATATAATTTCATTGTGTGATACATGATAGGCAAAAATGCTGGTCCCATGTGGATTCATGACAAAATATAGCTGCCTCCGTGGCCGCCTTCCCTTGTTAGGTTCTGAAAAGCTTTACAACAAATGTGAAAATGCCATATTTCCATCAGTGACAGGTATCAGCTTCATTTATAAATGTATATTTTGAAACTATTTTACAGCTCTTCTTCCTATGCAAGAAAGTTTATTTCAAGGCTGTCATAATTTGATCTTTTTGAAGACAATTTAATTTACACATATGAATCCAAATTCCTATTAAGAAATTAACTGCCTGTCATAATACTAATGAAAATAACCCTCCTAAGGTGGCCACTGATGAACACATGAACATCTTTAACAAGGGTAAGCACACACAGACAGATGGTGACAATTGTGTCAAGGGTGTACTCCTTCCCAGCAAGGTGTAAGTTTTCTTTGGATGTTGATTTTAAAACCAACCCCAATTTCAAAAACATTGAAATATTTTTAATGAATAAAACTTTTGATTGTTTGAATATTCCCCATCATCTCTCTCGTCTCATTGCTAAAATGGTTTCTGGTTTTCTTTGGTTTCCTTTTCTCTGACCCCACCCATATGGGATAAACCAGCTATTGCCAGCTTAATTTGGGGGGTTTTGTGATGCTAAGTCATAAAGAGGGAAGGGTCGAAGAGCAAAGTGAAAGGGTGGAAGGAGAGGTGTACAAAGCCTAGGGACAAGAACTGGTGTGGTTGGAGGGGGATTGGTAACAGAAGAGTAATCAGCAGGTGTGAGTAAAAACTAGGTGAGATGAAAGAAGAATGACTAAATGTCAGGAATTGGATCTCCTTTCTAGACTTTTAGAAGTACAAGTGAAAAATGGAGTTCATTTTGACCTGTTTGGACATTGTCTCTTTAAAGAAAACTGAACTAGGCTGTTTATTTTTTCAATCATTTATTCACTCAACAATTTTTTATTGAGCTCCTACTATATGCCAAGCATTTTCTTTGGTTCAAGGAATATGGTAGTAAACGAAACAGCCTGGTTTTCAAGGAGCTTATGTGTAGGAAAGCATTAATTAAACAAATGAATTAGTAAAGCATATGGTAGAAAGTGATACATTGGCTAAAAAAAAAGGCAAATCAGAAAAGACAGATAGGGAGTCTTAAGAACCTTCCAGGGAGAAGGTACAAGGTGAAGGTCTTGAATTAGTTGAACCCTTTCCTGTTCCAGGATGAACAAAGGTCTATGTGGATGAGTTAAGTGAGATGGGAGGGAATTCAAAAGAGAGATTAAAGCAGCAACAGGGTCCAGGTCTTCCAGGTCCTCTTGGGTCATTGAGAAGGGCAGCTTTTGCTAAGAATGAGATAAGACTTTGGAATGTTTGGAGGTTTGCATGTGAAAGGGTCAAAGAAACATTGTTTTATTTACATCAAGATGCTGTTCATTGTTCTATGTGAGGCCACCAACTTAAATGTTAGATTCCAAAATATTTTCAAATTCAGTTGTAAATTGAAGTTTGATAGATAGAGCCATTTCATTAAAAAACACAGATATGATATTGTTTCTGGGAAATTACCTTCAGAAACTATAAAATGCTATTAAAGCAATAGTTTAATAAAAATAAATATCTAGGACACTTTGTAAAGACAACTTGGTTCTTAGCAGGTTCAAAGTAAACGATACCTATTATTGCTATCATCAAAGTTTCTCTTGATGTGAGAGCTGACTCATAGTACTAAGATATCAATTACACAAAAATATAAGATTAATGATGTTTTATGTGATGATAATTTCCTTTATGAAATACTTTTTCTTGGTGAGCTTTAAAGGAAGCATTTGCACTGTTGTAATAATATCTCCCCTCTATCATAAATTGTTCTTTAGCAGACATACAGCATGCTGGAGGGCAAAAACAAGAATTAAATGGAAACTATTAAGAGTAATGTCTAGGACAAACTGAAATAGATTGCATTTTCCATTAAACTAGGATTTGTGGTGAGAGAGTAAAACACTACTCAGAATTTAATGTTGGAAGTTCAGAAGGATAACCTAAGTCTAACCCAGAAAAGAAAAGGATAGGGGAAAGTTTGAAATGTTAACAATCTGAAGGGCTGTAAATGTTATTGACAAAAATGTCATTCTTTTCTTTTTTGCTTGGAAACTTTGGTTCCGACTTTCCTTCTTCCGGCTTTCACTCTATGAAGCAACAGAGAGAAACTCAGCCTTGGGGAACTAAGCCAAAGCACCAGCTTGGCAAAATGGCTACAGATAATCAGAATTAAATAAGAAAGCTACTGAATAATGTTCTCTGGAGGCCAATAGGTCTAGTCAATATAAGGCACTGGGATATTGGGCAGAAGACAACCATGTCTTTCCAACTATAATATTTACAGTCGCTGCAGACTTGTAAAGAAGATGCTCCAAATATAGTACCCAAGTATGTGCTTGGTGTCATTTCAAGGTAGATAGGATAGGAATGGATATCTATCTTATTCAAGCAATTTTCCAAGAAGCTAGGCCAAAGTTGATAGAAAGTTGTTGCAGAAGAGGAGAATTCTTACAACATGTCTGTACATTACTGGCTCCTGGTAGAAAGACGTTGCATTCAGAGTCTTAAATAGATCTGAATTCCAGTGAAGTCACTTATTAGAAGTGTGACCTTGTGCCAAATCTCTGCCTGCTGTATTTCATCAGTTAAAGAGAGCAATACTTATATAATGGGATTAAATATAATAATACAGTGTATGGTATACAGCATGTATTCAATGTAGTTTAAGTATTGTTAGTCTCGGTGAGTTGGCAATCAATGAAAATTGGATACTCAGAATATCTTAATGTTCACAACTATCAACCTTTCATACTCAAATCATTGAAACATTGTATTAATGTCAACAATAAATCTATAAATTTCACTCTCCCCATTCCAGGAAATATACAAATTAAACCATCTTTTAAGTAACAATTCATTTTGGTGGCAGCCTTTTTTTGGGGGAGGTATTAATTTTCTCTACCTTGGAGGAAGGTAAAAGAAATAAAATATAAAAAGAATACTTAAGGATGTGATTGCATCCCTTGTCAACTTTTACTTTCCTCTTCTCAAAATGATCATTTCTATACTTATCTTAAGCATCAACAAGTGAGCCAATTTAAGTCTGAGCCTCCCTCTCCTCCTTCTCTTCCTCTCTCTCCACCTTCTCCTTCTCCCTTTTCCTCTCCCTACCTCTTCCTCTCTCTCTCTGTGTGTGTCTTGCTCTTGCTCTTACTCTCGCTCACTCCCACTCCCATTCGCTCCCTCTCCCTCTCTCAGTATACAAGGTCATTAATTGCTATTGGGACCTTCATAAACCCTAGTCTGCCGAGGGGGTGAGAACTCTATTGTTAAATGTATTATGGCAGGACTGTCTTTGGAGATTGCCTGCTTGATTGCTTTGTAAAGGCCCAATGGCACACAGCAATTAAAATCCATAGACCTCTATAACCTTTCTGATGTTTTATGGGCCTTTTTGTGTCCTTCGGTAGAGTTTACCATTTGTGTATTTCCCACTGGGTCTGTCTTTCAAAACTGTAAGTGGGATTTTTTTTTTTTAATCCACTGTGATAAAGCTAGTTATACATCATGTGAAAGGTTAATGAATATTTTCAAAAGGAGCATATGTTTTAAGTCAGAGGGTGAAAGTTATAGTAAAGAATGGTAATATAAAAACGAATACTATTTTTCTAATCTCCTCAGAGTTAATTTCTATATACCTCACCAATACCTGTGATTCCTAAAGTAAAGCATAGCTTGTAAGATTTAAATGACCTCAAAAATTAAGGAAGTGACTTGAATTTACTTGAAAAGCCCACTCTGAACTACTGCACGTGATACAATTCAACTGTCAGGCTTATGCCATATGCAGAACTGATACAGCTACTTATTTATTATTTCATTGGAATTATAAGTTTTATCTGAGTAGAAGGCTTTGCAAACAAAGATTCCTAGTTGTTGGCCAGATGTGAGAAATTTGATATTATAATACTGGGAGAAGACCAGGAAAACAACCTCCATAGCAGTGTTAAGGACAGTAGCACAGCTGAGTGTAAGCCAGGGTTGTAAAAAGTCTGCCCGTTTCAGATATCTTCTCCTTTCAGCACCACTATCATCAGCAGACCTGACCCTGACAATAAAGTCATTAGGCAATTCGTGATGCCTTTAGTCATTTGACATTGTAATTGCTTTCTTTCCCTGAATACCTTTTTCCCTTTTCCCCCGTTTTCACTCTTCTTTACTTCCCCGTGCTCCTTCTCACATACTCAAAGGGCATTTAGAAATCTTCATTGGAAAAATGATTTGTACAATTTAAAAGTAAATTGTTCAGTGCCTGGAGCTCTTTGACGGAACAGCGTTATTGAACTTCAGAAAGAGAACACTGAGCTTCAGATTGTGCTCTGCATGAAGCCCACATATTCTACAACTTTGCAAACTCTTCGGTGTAAATGGTAGATCTGAGAAGAGGACAAGTCTCATCTTACGAATTTTCTAAATCTACTTATGGACACATATTGCAGTATGCAGTTTAAATATTATGTTTTTAATTTCTAAATATTATTGCTCTGTAAATTACATCAAGTTTCAACTGCTCAAGAAGTAAATAATTCATCCTAGTTATGAATACTTTCTAGAGCTGTATTTTCCAAAGTGTAGTCATGCTCTTCATGGATCTAGATGATCATTTAAAAGATAGATTCCTATTCTACTTTCTGAAATTGGAGTATTTGAGGATATTCATTGAAAGCAATCTTTTCACATGGCCCTTAAGGACATGAAAGTGTGGAAAATCTTCTAGAGCTTAAAGTTCCCAGTAGCTTTTGTTCAACAAGGAGTTGATCCTGAAAATACACATTCCAGGCACTATGTAGCTGTTTTACAAATGATTACTCTTTTAAAATTCTCAATATTCTTGCAAAGTAAGTCTCATTACTTTTCATTTATAGATTACCGTTAGTGTTCCTTGGTTTTCAAAAATATTTTTTGAGTACCTACTGCCCTCTGGGTACTGGAAAATTTACAAATAAGACAGTTCTTATTGTTGAGTGGCTGTCAGTTTAAAAGTGATCTGAAGAAAAGTAGACAGATTATATTGTCTACTAATTTTTCACATTGTCATTTTCAATGACCCTGAAATAAATAATTAAACCTATATCTATATATTTAAAATTTTTATATTTCTAGAGATAGAGTCTTGCTTTGTCACCCAGACTGAAGTACAGTGGTACAATCATAGCTCAGTGCAGCCTTGAACTCTTGGGCTCACGTGATCCTTCCACCTCAGCCTCCCAAGTAGCTGGGGCTATAGGTGTGGCACACCACCCCTGTCTACCTTTTTGTTTTTCATTTTTTTGTAAAGATGAGTTATCACTATGTTGCCCAGGGTCCTCTCAAACTACTGGTCTCAAGCCATCCTCTTGCCTTGGCCTTCCAGGATGCTAAGGATTACAGTGTAAGCTGCCATGTTAATATATTTGACATATTTCTCCATTCCTTGAAAACTCTATGCTATGACAATAGTCTTTTTAGTTATATTAATAATCTCTAAACACGTTAACCTATTTCTTTTATATAAAATATGTCAATAAAATATTTAGATATATCTTTGAATGTTAGAATTTTACTGTAGTGAATTTCCATAATTTTATGTTGCCTCAGCATCTATTTTGAATATAAGTTGGACTTTCTCATGCCAGAAACAAGGCTTAGTCATCCTTGACATAGTTTCCAGCTTTCTGCCTCCTCCTAGTTCCTCAATGTGTCCATCCAGATATCTTCCCTAAACACCCACCTCCTGATGGCCACCTCCCTATGGGACAGCTAGATGCAACCCACTTGATTCACCCCGCCCACCCAAACATGGATAACATGACTTCCTGGGACTCATGCCTGTTTGCTCTAAACCCACCAATTAGAACTGCCCTATGGAAACCTGCAAGGATGACACCATGGACTTCAATAAAGGCTTTGGCTCACAGGTCTCTCTCTTTCTGTTTGTCTTGTTCCCCATTGGCTGATTGAGTGCATGTGTCCCCGATGGCTACCCCTTTTTCTTTGACCCTGTAACACATTCAGTAGCGACAGTAAATGCGCGATATGTATGCTGCTAAGGCTTCTTTCCTATCTCACTGCAAATCACTGCACTTATTAATACATGATGAGGTTGACTTGACCTCAAAATACCCATCAACTCAGGTAGTCATTACCAATAAACCAGAACTGGTAATGTAGATGAAACTAAACGTTAGCTTTTTCAAGCACCATTAGTAATGTAGATTTGATCTGTGTTGCTATGATCCAAGTCTACTCTAGTTTCAGTTTTTTAATCAGAAAACCAACTTGTTCATTTACACTTGGGTGTTTTTCTAGTATGCACGAAATGCCAATGCTTGTTATCCCAGGCTTCTCAAATGTTAGGTACCAGGAAAATCAAATGTATAATCAGATTCTATTTTACAAGTTTGGACATGGAACAAAGACAATAAGACAGTTTTAAAATATCTATGGTATATCCCAAGGAATTCTCCATTTTGAATATTTTATATTCTTCAAAGGGTAAATATATTTAAGGACACTAAATCAATTTTTGCCTTTGTGTATGTGGAATTAAAACTGCATTAGGCTCAAGTGACTTTTCAAAATTTAATTACACCATACCTTTCCTGTTTGTATCTTCCTTATGCCATTGACAGGCATCATTTCATCAGTTTTTATTATTCATTATATTTTCCATATTTATGGACATTTTTATTATGTAAGTATCAGTTTGGATTCTTTCAAAAATATATAGAGAAACATTCAAATAATAAATAAACTCTTTCAAAACATATGGCTGGGCACAATGTCTCATGCCTGTAATCCCAGCACCTTCGGAGGCCAAGGCAGGGATATCTCTTGAGGTCAGGAGTTCAAGACTAGCCTGGCCAATATGGTGAAACCTCGTCTCTACCAAAAATACAAAAATTAGCCAAGCGTGGTGGCACGCACTTGTAGTATCAACTACTTAGGAGGCTGAGGCAGGAGAATCGCTTGAACTCTGGAGTCGGAGGTTGCAGTGAGCCGTTATCACACCACTGCACTCTAGCCTGTGCAGCAGAGGGAGTCTCTGTCTCAAAAAAGACAAAAACAAAAAAACAAAATATGTTATGGATGGGTTTTTTCTGGAAATCTATCAATTGTGGATGTGTATAAGCTTCAATTCTGATGGCTGTCCTTCCCAGACTTGATGGTTTTGTTACTTTCCTGTAAATTACAGAACCTAATTCACTGTGAATTATGTTGTCCTCTATCCACTAGTCATACATTCAAGATAAGATCTTTTATTTAAGGCCCAGGTACTATTTTAAGTGAGTTAAATCTCACTATACAAATGATGTACTCTTTATCTTATACAAAACTGTGTTAGAAACATAAAATAAGTAGGGAAAACTGCCGTGTTCATTTGAAGATGATAGTATACAATCGATATCAAAACTAGATAAGAACAATACAACAAAATAAAAATTTTAGACCAATTCCACTTTTGCATAAAATGATCAACACCTAAATGAATAAAACACAGATTATCCTCCAATAATGTGTATAAAGCTCATCATAATGCATCATAATAAAAGCAACAAATGCATCATAGTAAAAGTTGATCTCATGAATGTGATTAATATAAGTTCACCAATATAATTCACCCAAATCACGAATTAAATGAAATAAATAAATAAACTTAAGACATGTAGACAAAGCATAAGAATTAACAATTTTTTTTATTTCTAAAACTATCTTAGCAAACTAGAAATAGGCTGGAACTCCCTTATAAGCAAAAAGTACATCTTAACATAAAAAACCTACAGAAAATGTTAATGTATGAGGCTCTAGAACAATACCATTAAAATCATTCACACACAAGGCTGCCTGCTATTAACTATTTAGTATTTAGCATCACATTGGAAATCCTAGCCAGTTTAGCAATGCCAAAAATAGACAAATAAATAAATAACTTACAGGAATAAGATTAGGGAAAAAAGCATAAAAGCTGGTTATCATGTGCAAAGGATAAAATTGCGTTAGGTTCATGCAAACGTAATTGCAGTTTTTGTATTGTTGAAATTTGCTGTTTGATATTGAAATGCATTCTTAGATAAATGTGGTTATCTTAATGTGCATTTCTTGCTTTATGTTTTTTGCTAATGACTTATTAGTTGCCGTTTATTTTATATTTATTTTAGACTATGGAAATGATGTTAGACAAAAAAGCAAATTCGAATGATTTTCTTACTCCATTTCAAAATGGGTCATAAAGCAGTGGAAACAACCCACCACATCAAGGAATTTGTCCCAGGAACTGCTTACAGTTCCGTGGTGGTTCAAGAAGTGTTGCAAAGGAGAGGAGAGCCTTGAAGATGAGGCGCTAGCAGGCCACCACTGGAAGTTGATAACTATCAATTAAGAGCAATCATCAAAGCTGATCCTCTCACAACGACGTGAGAAGTTGCCAAAGAACTCAATGTCAACCATTGTAACCTAGATGAAACTAAACATTAGCTTTTTCTGAGCTCCATTAGTAATATAGATTTGATTCATGTTACTATGATCCAAGTCCACGCCAGTTTTCATTGTAAATTTTATATACACATACAAAATTGTGTATATTTATAGAATTCAGTAAGATTGCCGGATATACACAATGGTCGTTTGGCATATGAAGCAAATTGGAAAGGTTGAAAACTTGATAAGTGGGTGCCTCATGAGCTGAGCAAAAAATTTAAAAAATCATTTAAGTGTTATCTTATTCTATGCAACAACAGTGAACCATTTTTCAATTGAATTGTGACATGCGATGAAAAGTGGATTTTACACAACAATCAGCAACGACCACCTCAGTGGTTGGATTGAGAACAAGCTCCAATGCACTTCCCAAAGCCAAACTTGAACCAAAAAAAGTTATGGTCACTGTTTGTTGGTCTGCTGCCAGTCAGATCCACTACATCTTTCTGAGTCCCAGCGAAACCATTACATCTGGGAAGTATGCTCAGGAAATCAATGAGATGCACCAAAAACTGCAAAACCTGCAGCTGGCATTGGTCAATAGAAAGGGCCCAATTCTCCTCCATGACAAAACCCGACTGCATGTCGCACAACCAACACTTCAAAAATTGAACTTATTGGGCTACAAAGTTTTGTCCCACACGTCATACTCACCTGACATCTTGCCAACCGACTACCACTTCTTCAAGGATCTCGACAATTTTTTGCAGGGAAAACACTTCTACAACCAGCAGGGTGCAAAAAATGTTTTCCAAGAGTTTCTCAAATCCCGAAGCATGGATTTTTACAATACAGGAATAAACTTATTTATCAGTGTCAAAAATGTGTTGATTGCAATGGTTCCTGTTTTGATTAATAAAGATGTGTTTCAGTCTAGTTATAATGATTTAAAATTCGTGGTCTGAAACCACAATTGCTTTTGCACCAACCTAATATGTATGTGGAGAGATTGTATATAAACACACAAAATTATGTGCATATATGGATATATATATATATCTCTCTCAAGAAGATTGCTGGACACACACATGCATGTGTGTATGCACATACACTATATCTATAGCTGTATCTGTACCTATCTATCTATACTTATATCTATGGCTATGTCTACATCTAAATCTATATATAAAATCACCATGTATATGTTTGTGTATACATATACTTTCTTATATATCATAAATCTTTACTAAATATAATAAAGTAATATCTTATTTACAATTCCAGCAATATTTAAATGTAGCTGAGATTAAATTTAACAAAAGCAGTACAAAAATTTAATAGAAAATAATGCAAAACTCTGTTAAGGGTATAAAAAATAATATATGGAGAGATTTGCTTTGCTCATAAATAGAAATGATAGTATAAAGATGTCAATTTTAGTACAATCTATACATCTGATTCAGTTTCAATCAGTATCTTAAAAGACTTTTTATAGATATTTACAAACTTTCTATATTATTTAGCTCTTACTAACAAAAAAAAACAATTTGAGTAGTAAATATAAAAAAAATCCAAGAAAATTTCAAAGATGAAGGTAAGGAGAATTTTTTCTTTAATGAAGTAAAGACTGATTACAAAGCTATGGTACTAAGGCATGTAATGTTAGTACAAGGATGTTTAAATTGAATGAAGAAACTGACATCATAAGCAATAGAAAAAGAGAAGATAGCCCGTAATTAGTCCAGGCACAGTTAACTATTAAAATATTTTTTTATATCAGGCTACATAAAAGCAAATAAATTCTAGATGGACTAAGTCATATATACGAATAAGAGAACTTTAGGCCCGACATGGTGGCTCATGCCTGTAATCCCAGCACTTTGGGAGTCCGAGTCAGGTGGAACACTTGAGCCCAGGAGTTTGAGAACAGCCTGGGCAACCCTGTCTCTACAAAAAATACAAAAATCAACCAGGCATGTGTGTCTATGTCCTAAATTTTCCTGGCACGTGATGACAAACCCCAGAGTATATACCCCAGACAATGCAGCCCCTTCACTACCTGAAGACTTTTTTAAAATTCAGGTTCTGATATACTATATCTGGGGTAAGGGGTGCCGACTTCTACATTACTAATAAGCTCCAAAGTGATGTCGAGTTGCTGATCGTTGAACCATCCTTTGAGCAGAAAAGCCATAGGTATGTTTTTTAACCTAATAATAAAACTGTATCTATTTGCAACTAATCCTAGTAAGATTTTTGTGGGGAAATTGAGCAGAGTAAAAGATTAGTAATGTACCAGGGCTGCCTCCTATTGAAGTAGCCTCATTGTCTAGGATACCCGAAGTTCGTTGTCTCATGACCAAGGAAATTAAGAACGTGAACACACAAGGAGTGAGGTTGAGTGGAAGCTTAATGGGCGAAAGAAAGAATAGCTCTCTCTGCTGCAGAGAGAGGGATCCCAAACGGGTTGCCGGTCCGTAACAAAATGCAGGGGGGTTTATAGATACCTGGTGAGGAGGCAGTGTCTGATTTACGTAGGGCGCAAAAGATTGGTTGGACCAAGTGTGCCATTTGCATAGGGCACAAAAAAATATTTAGGACTAGGTGTGCCATTTGCATAGGGCGTGAGTTTCTGGCCGTCCCCATCCTAATCTTTTATTACGCAGCTGCCTGGTCCTCTGCCTGGTCTGTGGCATGTTGTACATTTGGTAACACACAGAAAATGGAAGATAGAACCTCACTGTTGGATATGTTTGGCCCCAAGGTGGGCCCTTTTATATTGGCGCAGCTACCGGCATTCCCCCGTGAAAGCTTCTAGCTTGCCTATTTAGGTTTGCAGCTCAATTTTTCAGGCTGCTTTTTGTTAGAAAAAAATAATAATAATTTATTGGGCTGCTTTTTGTTAGAAGGGAAGCTTTGCCAAGGACTCTTTTACCCTCACTATCTGCCTAAATAATTTCTTTCTAGCTCCTGTATGGTATATCCCCCCCTCAGGAGTGGAAATCCTAACTGCTGTTAGAGGGTATTGGAAGATAACTCCTTCTGGCTACTTCCTGCTGGAGAGATACGTCATGTGGGGAACAGCAGCAAAGGCTCCTCCTGGGGTCAATCTAAGGGTCCTGTAAAGGTCCTGCATGGTTCTATCTGCAACACCATTTGGAGTTCAATAGCTTCTAGGTGAGAAGAGGTAAATTTTACAAGAAGGTTTAGAATACAGATTTTGAATATGAGTATTAAGATTACCACTATTAGTGGGGATACTACAGGCCATAACCATGACAGTGGAGTTTGATATCTGTTAGCAATTTCGATGGGTTTTAATACTGGTTGCCTCCACCAAATATCGCTATACTTTACCAGAAGCATTAATAAGGAAGCAAAATTTTTCTTTTCTTTTCTTCTCTTTTTTTTTTTTTTTTTTTTTTGAGACAATCTCGCTCTGTTGCCCAGGCTAGAGTGCCGTGGCGCGATCTCGGCTCACTGCAAGCTCTGCCTCCTGGGTTCATGCCATTCTCCTGCCTCAGCCTCCCAAGTAGCTGGGAAAACAAGCGCCCGTCACCACGCCCCGCTGATTTTGTTTTTGTATTTTTCGTAGAGACTGGGTTTCACCATGTTAAGCAGGATGGTCTCTGTCTCCTGACCTCGTGATCCGCCCGTCTCAGGCTCCCAAAGTGCTGGGATTACAGGCGTGAGCCACCGCGCCCGGCCAAGAAGCAACATTTTTCTTTGAGTAAAACATGTATTCCCCCTTGACTTGCCGTTAGGAGATAATTTTAGGTCTGGGCCATCTTTTGTAACTTGCGATAATATTGGGAGGAATACGTTATTGGGTGACCAGAGTAACTTTAGTGTTAACCTTAGCTGAATCTTTCCTGTAATTATTAACCCTGCTATAAAGATGATAATTAGGCAGAATACAGCAATTAGAATTTTCTGTCCAGAATTCCACTTTGCAGGTGCCACAGTAAGTATAGTCCTACCACAAATAGTAAAGTGAGGATAGCAATCCTGCAAGTGTGCTGTAATAAATAATTTCCATCTAAAATTTTACTCACCAAGACATAGAATGTCCCTTTGGGTGTCTATGAAGTTACAAATGTAACCTCATGGATAATCAGAATCTCTCTGTAAGTACACATCATAAAGAAGTTCTAATATATGATGGTGAATCTCGAGAGGAAAAGTAGAAATGAGTGAAAGTATCTGGTAAGGTAGGGGTGGGATTGAGTAGGAGAAGCAGCTCTCACTCATTTACTTATGTCCTAGACAAATTTAATAAATTCAAGCCAAGACAAAAACATAATGCAGACATTCAGGCAGAAAAAATGCTAACTACCAAAATACAACAATCTAATTTTTCTTAGATTTCCATCATGCTAAATCATTGAATGATACATCACAAAATTTTCTTGAATTATAATTGGTTACAATACAAAAATTTTCAGGTCCTGTTTTAAGCCATTTGAAATTTTAAATAAAATATACCTTGTGATGAAATGTAAATCAAACCACATCTCTGGTAATTCTCAAAAGAGAGAGTTGACAGAGTTGTTAACCCCAGTACTAGATAAGATATGGAAAGGTAATTCATAAAAGAGGAAATATAATTAGCCACTCAACACAGGAAAAATGTGTGCAACCTCTCTCTCTAATAATCAAATAAATAAGACTTATTCAAATAACATGAAGTATGTTGCCTTTATTAAATTGGCAATGATACATTCTTTTCATTAATTACGAGTGTTAAAATTACAGTTATATGAGCTCTGAATGTTATAATTTAGCATAACCTTTTAGGAAATCACTTTTTTACTATGAATATAAACATAAGAGTTTATATCTTTTGAATCAATAAATTATTTCCTAGGAATCCATCCTAAGGAAATAGTTAAAGAAACCTCCACACATGCATATACATAAAAGTTCAGCAAAAGATGATTTGTTATCACAAACAAAAACTTTAAATATCTAAGTATATGGGAGTGTTCATTTAAATTACGGTACAACAATAAGATAATTAGAAAATCATTAAAAACCATGTTTTTAAAGGAATGTTTATAAAAATTGAAAGTCATCATGATCTCATAGTGGGAGAAAAATGACTACATAAATTCTCCATCTAGTATAATAGCACTTAAATATGTAAATATGTAGATATGCACTTTAACAAGTGATCCTATATATTAACATCAATTCTCTCTGGATTATAGGCATACAAGCATTTTTTAGAAATTATTTTTATATTTTCCATATTATAAAAATAATATGTAAAGTAAGTTGAAAGAAAATAATAATTAGAAAAGAATAAACTTAGAAGAAGAAAAATTTTGGCAGGGCACATTGGTTTACGCCTGTAATCCCAGCAATTTGGGAGGCCAAGGCAGGTGGATCACTTGAGCTCAGGAGTTCGAGACCAGCCTGGCGAACATGGTGACACCTGGTTTCTACTAAAAATACAAAAATTAACCAGGAGTAGTGCCATGGGCTTGTAATCTCAGCAACTTAGGAGGCATGAGAATTGCTTGAACTCGGGAAGCAGAGGTTGCAGTGAGCAGAGATTGTGCCACTGTACTCCAGCCTGGGTGACAGAGTCAGACTCTGTCACCAAAAAAAGAAAAGAAAAGAAAAAGAAGACAAAAGAAAAAAAGAAGAAAATTTTCTAAAAAAAAAAAAAAAAGGAACAAAAATTATAGTTTTGAGAGGAAAAGTACTGTATAGCCAAGACATTTTAAATTAAAATATTATATTGTTGTGAATAATTTATTGGTAATTCTTTAATTTAGAAAAAATAGAAAAATGTACAGTCCACATATTTTCTTTTTTTTTCTTTTTTCTTTTTTTTGTTTTTTGAGGCGGAGTCTCGCTCTGTCGCCCAGGCTGGAGGGCAGTGGCGCCCTCTCAGCTCACTGCAACTCTCGCCTCCCGGGTTCATGCCATTCTCCTGCCTCAGCCTCCCGAGTAGCTGGGACTACAGGCGCTCGCAACCACGCCCGGCTAATTTTTTTGTATTTTTAGTAGAGACGGGTTTTCACAGTGTTCGCCAGGATGGTCTCGATTTCCTGACCTCGTGATCCGCCCGCCTCCGCCTCCCAAAGTGCTGGGATTACAGGCGTGAGCCACCGTGCCCGGCCTCCAGTCCACATATTTTCTTAAAAAAATTATTTTCTAGCAAACTAGAACACATTTGTAAATTAATAATTTTGTGATGGCCAAGACTTATTTAAAAGTGAATAGTGGAAAGTCATAAAAATTGTTAGAGAGTTAAGTTTATGTAATTATCATTAATAAAGTCTTTAATACAAATGTCAAAAATATTTCACAGAAGTGTTAATAATATAATTATACCAATTAGTATTATACTCACAGATATCAGAGAGGAAGTATATGGTATGTTTGCTCACACTATTATCTGGTAAATATCACCAGCTAGAACAGGCAAAGTTTGTGAATGAGGCTGGTAGATTTCTGTTAGAATCCTTTAAGAAAACAATAACAATAAACATACTGCAGAGAGTACCAATGTCAGAGATTGCAGGCAAAGGTCTTCTTGGGGGACAGTGCTTCAAGATCAACTTTAATCCTCAAGCTGAAAGAAGTCACAGTGACAAATATGTAATGAGTATTCTTATTTAATTCAAGAGATTTAAGTTCATTATTATTGAGACATTTTCAGTGTGGTAAAACCTTAAAAAAAATTAAATAAAAATTGCTCCAGAAAAAAAAAAAACCACTGCAGAAAGCTTCTACGAATCTGTTGGACTTGTCATTTAATGTCCTTATATCAAAACAAAGAAGCATCATATATTTAACTTCGTTTTAGGAGCAAAGAATAAGATGATTTTTAATAAGAGAAAATGATAATCATTTGGCAAAGCTGTTTGCCAGTGTGCAGTTTTTTTCACGAACTCCAAAAGAGGTCATGGGCCAGGTAGCATTGAAGCAATTTGAGAAAAAATAAAAGCACGCTAAATACAAAGCAACTCAAAAACACTACAGTACCAAATGGAGTGCTTCAAATTGCTCCTGAGTATCAGGATTTTATGATGCAGAATTTTGAGGGTCTATTTAAGAAAGCACTGTATCCATGGACTGTCCTAATCCTTCATCTAAAATAGTAGATATTCATGGCCTATCCCAGGTCCACTGCTTTATTTATTTATTTATTTATTTAATTTTAGATTCTAGGGCACATGTGCAGGTTTGTTACATGGATATATTATGTGATGCTGACGTTTGGGTTTCTATTGAACCTGTCACCCTAATAGTGAACTTAGTACCCAATTGGAATTGGATGCAGGGACTCTCCAGATCTAGAACAGGCTCCTCCCCACCAGACTTGCTTGGTCTGGACCTGCTAAAGGATCAGAAAGGAAGAAGATACTGAGAACTAGATGCATGTACTCAATAGTATTCCCATTCAGTCTTTGAAGCTTAGTATTTAGACCAAGGCTAGTGCGACCTTTTAAAAGGAATTTAAACAAAAGCAACTACTTAGCTCAGTGCCTAAAACAAAGTAGTTAGTAATTTAATAATAATTCATTTTCTTTTGTTACATTTTAAAATTGACTGAACATGTCATTTCTTACTGAAAAATTTGAATATACATAGGTTAGAAAAATAAGTGACCTTATATATGTATATATATATATCTGATTTTTTTCTTATTTATTTTCAATGGCATAATCTTATTTTTTTTCATTTAATTAGTAATCCTAAGTGGAAATATATTTCAAAATAGTTTTAAATATGTAACATGAAAAAAATAACACTTGAAAATTAACCCACATTTACTATGTGATCATTTTTCTTAAATCTATAAGTTAAACCAATAATATTTTATAAAAAGGCATAATCACAGACAATAGACATATGAATTCTTATGCTAAGGATTGAATTTTTACCAAATATAGAACAAATAATATTTATAAAATATGACTGATTTTTTATTTACATAGAAAGACGTTTCCTGGTTTATGATTTTCCATTTAATTATACCATACTTGCAAAAAAGTAAACTTTTTATATTTGAAAGGAAATAATTTAAATATATGTGTTAGCTTAAAAGTAGGTACATTTACATATTTGCACTTTGAATGTCATTCTCCAAGTAAAATACAAAGTAGTTACATGTACTTGAACTAGAGGTAGGTCAGTGTAAACTTCCCTGATTATAAATCCATTTGTTCTTCCAAAAGACCTATTTATTTTAAGCAGCAATCAGCAAACCACAGCCTATGGTCGAAATCTGGGTTGTGGCCTGTTCTGTTTTGTTTTTGGAATTTTCTGGGCCTTATGACAGTATCATCATCTCTAGCTGTTTTTCCTTTTTTTTTTTTTTTTTTTTTTTTGCCCCCTGTTTTAGGAAAAGTTTCCGTGATACAGAGCCACACTCATTTGTTTTTGTAATGTCCATGGCTACTGTCTTTCTAAACAGTAAAGTGGAGTAGTTGCGACAGAAAACTACGGCTGTGCAGCTTAAAATATTTGCTATCTGGCCTTTTACAGAAAAGTTTGTTGATTCCTGATATGGACAATAAAAGTTAACCCATTGTAATAAGTTCAGTGTATATAGATTTGGTTTGATTTATTTTATTTTATTTTATTTTATTTATTTTATTTTATTTTATTTATTTTATTTTTGGTATGTCCTAAAAGTTGTTTTATTGTGGAACATTGTTAACCTGTCCTTTTTTTCCTATTTTTTATTTTACTATACTCTCCTACTTTATTTGCCCTCTTTCTTTTTTTTAACTCCTCATTTTTCATTGCTTCTTCTTACTCTTCACTCATACATCTAACTCCATTTTAGGAGCACAATACGATAGGAGATTTTATTTTTTTAAGAAATTGGCAATTATTTGGCAAAGTCATATTACCAGCACTACAAAAGAGGCCATAGGCCAGTATGAATGGCCATGCACAGGGTGGAGGCAGAAAAGCACACACACCCCCAGTAATTCTACCCTCTGTCTCCTTACTTCTTCCCTCCCTTCACGTTACGTGACACAGTATCTCTTCATTAGCGAGCATGTACGAAAGGATGACTACCGAAATTCAACAGAAAGGATTTTTGTTCTCTGCATCTACAGGTTTTATTTCTACTCACACTTCCACATTTGAAGAATATTAAGTTAGAAGACATTATTTTCATCTTCTTTTGTCTGAGTCATGGAACATGTACATTTTTATATTATTCGAAGGTGACCAATGTGTAGTTTCATATTTTCAATGTTTGAGTACCATACTACTTGCTAACTGTTTGTGTACTGAGCAAATATAATAACTATCTGGGCCTCAGTTTTCTTACATGTAAAAGAGGACTGTTGTTAGGATTAAAAGATATATAAACAAGACATAAAACACTGTAAACATGCTTAGAACAGAGGTGGGCACAAGTAAAACACTTAGTATATGTGAACTATTCTTAAATAAGCAAACAAAATCACCATCTTTATTTAATATTTTCTAAAACTATTTGTGGACTTATTAGTGATTCCTGTTAGCAATAATTCTCCCCTTTCTTTTTAGACAATAATAAACATTATGCCTTGTATGTGTACAGTTTGGTGGAATAACTCAGTATTCATTTAAAGGTTTTGGATATTACAAGTGTCTTAAATGTGAGAAAGTGTCTCAGATTTAGATCTATCATTGTACCTGTTATCTCTCAGACAACAGAGCCATTAGCAATGAAGGGCTAACTGCTGATCACATATTTTTTATTATAAAAATCTTTGTAGAGACAGCATTTCATGGAGAAGCTTGAACATTGCTTGAACTGGTAGTAATTTCAGAAGAAATAAGTGATTCGAAGAAATATAATGGTGAATATATTCTATGGCCAGGCAGCAGTGATAGAAGGATCTCCTTTGACCCTATGACAATTGTTATTGATTATCTTGTGATGAAAATGAACAACTGTAATTCCTAGATAATTTAAATACATATTTCTACGTTATGCTTGGCTTTAACAGCTGTCTGTGTGTATATATGTGTGCATATCAATTTTAATCAGTCCCGTGGGACTAGAGAAATTAATGTCCTCTGATTTTTTTTATGTTTTATTGTGGATTGATAATGAGTATGTTTATACACCATTAGTAATACCAGCAGCAATATTTTCATAGCTGGCTGATTTTTAATTTGGGTTATATTGAGTACATTCAATATATTTCAACAAGAACATAATAGCTAAGGATGAGTGCCTGTAAAGGCTCTTCTTTGGATCTATTCATATTTTTGATCAACCATACCAACAGTTACTTTGTACACTCCTTCATGCCTATAAAATTATGTAACAATGTCCAATAGTTCTGAAACTATATCATAGATTTTCAATATGTACAACTGACCCTCAAATTTTCTAGTTTAAATAACTCTCTATCTTAGCTTAACAGGATGATCAATGATGCTGAAACAGGGTGGATGCACATAAGAGAGGAATCAGTGTTTTGATGTCATGGTTTCAAGCCAGATGATAAGACAAATGTTACATCAGGCACTTTGATGGAATGTTTCTGGAAATCAATAAACCTTGAATTTCTGACCCTTAATTTACTATGGACAAAATGATATCTATAATAAGCAGATAAAAGTGGTAGTCTTTCTATGTCTCAAAAAAAAGATATCATATATATAACCCTGTAGTTTGTGATCCATCTTTCTATGTATATAAGCTTATAATGAGGATGCATAGCTATTTATAAGCTAAGAAATGTAAGAATTAATTATATATATAACTATTGAATTAAAAATTAAGCATATTGCTTTTATGCTCTCATTCAACATGCATGTATTAATGGTCATATATGTACACATGTATGTATATATGAATGTAAGTGTATACATATATGGTTGTGCACATGCACACGTGCATATATAACTTGTGTCAGAGTTGCCATACAGTGGTATCATTTACACTGTATTCTATAGATCTGTGTGAAATGGAAGCCCTGTCCCAGATGCCGTATAAACACTGGTAAATATAATCAATATGGTGTCAATCCCCAATAATCAAAGTTCAGGAGAGATAAGAAAGTAAAGAACAAGGAAACAAACATAGAATTAGTATGTGTGATGTACCCTGAAGATGATAATATTAATATAAAAGAGTGGTCAAGGGAAGCTAAATTATAGAAAGTGGCAAGGGAAAGCTTTATTAAGAAAGCAAGACTTGAAGTTTGAGAAAGAACCAGTCAAATGAAGAGCGTGGAGACTGAGTATTAAAGGCAGGAGGGAAAACATGTGTTCAGAGAACACTGAAGCAGGAAGGATTTTAACAACATTGAAATTATCAAAGAATACCGACACAGCTGGAGAAGAGAGAGGGTAAAAAAAGACCTTAAAATGATATTGGTGATGTGTCTAGTGGCTGGATCATACAGGTCCTTGTAAGGTATATTTAACAGTGTGGATTTTATTCTTAATGCAATGTGGAGCCACTGCCAGCTTTTAAGTCTGAGAGTAGTAGCTTAAATAATTGACTCTGGATATTGTGTAATGAGAGCCTGAAGCAGAGATAAAGTAAAAATGGGAATAACAGTTAAGAAATCATGGAATCAATCCATGTAAGAGATGACAGTGGCTTTACTGTGATAATGGCAATGGAAATAGACATATTCAAATACTATTTTGAGGACAAAAAATGTCAGAAATTGGTAAATTATGTGATTATTTATCATATAATTTATGTGATTACTTATCACAACCCATCTAAGCTATTATCAATTTCTGGCATAATAAACAATAGCTATGCCCTCACAAAAATATCATAAAAAAGAATGAATTATAGGTATTATTAAAATATACATTTTTTTATGAGCAAAAGAAACCACATTTTATTCAAAGGTCTAAAACAGAAGTGTCTAGCCTGGGAGAGTAATGGGCGATCAGACGAGTAATGTTTACTTTTAATATGTCAAAAATGTTTCAGAATTAATGAATTTTCTTTGATGAGGCAACTTCAAATATCTTTGCTTAGGATGTTTAGGGCTTGACATGGAAAACTTTGTTTAGCTTTTGATAATGTATTTATTGTCTGTATATGATTCATCATGATGAGAATATTATGGATTCCCTTTAAATATTATCCAGTGTGTGTGTATACATGTGCATATATATGTGTTAATAAAGTAATGTATGCTTATAAAAACAAAACATATTTAAAGGAATAAAGAATAAAATAAAAACATTTAAAATTCTTCTATCCAGAGATAGCCTTTATTAAAATAATGGTATATTACTTCCAAGTATTTCCCCGTGCACACAAAATCACATACATGTACACATTCAAAGCAGAATGGCTATGTGGAAAATAACACAGAATTTAGAGTGAAGCAATATTGAGTATGAATACCAGAGTTTGGCTGCTGGCTAGCTAAGTATCCCTGAAAATGTTATTTGGACATTTTGACTCTCCATTTCCTCATCTTTATAAGGAGGGGAAGAATATTCAGAGCAATAATGCAGATAAAGTACCGTACTAATACATGCAACACCATGAAAACACTTAGATGAAAGATGTAAGTGAAAGAAGTCATACTCAAAAGGCTGAATTCTCTGTAGTTTCTTTTTGTGACATTTTACAAAGCAAAACTATAGGACAGAAAACAGATCAGTAGTTGCCATAAAGACAGGTTGGAAAATGATTGACTACAGTGGGGCATAAGGTAATTAATTATGCAGGGGGTGGGGGTGGAAGTGGAATTTTTTTACATCTTTACTTTTTGGTAGTTAAATAACTTTATATATTTATCAATACTCACAGAACTGTACTCTAAAATGAGTAATTTTATTGCATATAGTTTTTACCTAAAAAACCAAACCAAACAAAAACCTTTGAGAAAATTAGGAAAATCAAGAAATATTAAAATTCTAGTCAAGGATATCTACAAAAAAATTACGTCTACCATCATTCTTAACAATAAAATACTCAATATTTCCTAAGATTAGGAAAAGGGTAAAGATGTCCACTCTTACTTCTTCTATTTAACATTGTTCTACATATCTTAAAAAGTATTGTAAGACATAAAAAGTTATACAGATTGGAAAATAATAAGCAAAACAGTCATTCTCTGTAAGCAACTTGTTTGTGTATGTAGACAACCCTAAGGAACATACAAAAAACAATCTGTTAGAATAATTGAATTTAGCAATGTTGCAGGACAGAAAGTATTTTACAAAATCAATTGTATTTTTATATAGAAGAAATGAACACTTACCAAGTGAAATAGAAAGAAACAACCCTATCGATAATAGCATAAAATAAAATCTTAGGAATAAACGCAACAAAAGTTTCCTAAGATTTATACATGAAAAACACAAAACATTCAAAGTAATGTTGAAGGAGACACAAATAAATTGAGAGTCAGATCATCACCATGAATTAGAAGACTCATTATTTTCAAGATGACAGCCATTGACAAGTTGATCCATATATTCAACGCACTCTCAAACAAAATCTTAACAAGCATTTTTGACAAAACTGGCAGGTTGATTTTAAAATTAATATGGAAAGGCAAAGCATATATACTAGCCAAACATTAATTGAAGAAAAACCAAATTTGGAGGGTTTAAAATATCTGATTTCAATATTTGTTATGAAGATAAAAGTTATTACTGTGCAGTATTGATGTAAAGATAGACGTATTAAGCAATGTAACAGGACAGACTCATACGACCAACTGATTTTCAACAGAGATGCTAAGGTACTTTAATGAAGAGCAGCTAGCCTTTTCAACAAACGGTGCTAGAGCAACTTGATATGGGTATGGAAAAAATGACCTTTATATTATGGATATACACAAATTAATTCAAAGTGGATCATAGACCTAAACATAAAATCTAAAATTATTAAACTCATATAAGAGGCATAGAAAATGTCTTTGTGATATTGAGATAAGGAAAATATTTTATTTAAACATGGCATGAAGAAGTGGAAAATGTATAAAAAGATTGATAAAATGGAATTGATCAAGATTACAAAATTTGCTTTTCAAAAGATGTTGGCAATAAAGAGATGGAGAAAATTTTTATAAAACATATCTAAGGGGATGTATCCAGAATATATAAGGAACTCTTACAACTCAAAAACAAGAAAAAAATGAACAAAATAACTTGAACAAACCCTTCACAAAAGCAAATATAAAAATAGCCAATGGGTACATAGAAAGACGTTCAACATCATAGTCTCAGACAAATACAATTAAAAGTCACAATGTTACCACTGGACAATCAACAGAAAAGCTAGATTTAGAAGATTAACAATACTAAGTGTTGGTGAAGATGTAGGAAGATGATAAATCTCATGTATTTCTGTGGAGGATGCAAAATAACACAGCCGTTTTGGAAAATAGTATGCTAATGTAAATTTAAATCTATATTAACTTATCTAGCAATTTTATTTCTAGGTATTTGTAGAAGAGAAATGAAAACATAAGTTCATAAAAAGACCTATATATGTATGTCTATAACAACAATATTCATAATAAAAAATCCACCAGTCATCCAAATGTCCAGTTCAAGGTGGGTGGACCACAAGGTCAAGAGTTCAAGACCAGCCTGGCCAAGATGGTAAAACCCTGTATCTATTAAAAATACAAAAATTAGCCAGAAATGGTGGCAGGCACCTGTAATTGCAGCTATTCGGGAGGCTGAGGCAGAGAATTGCTTGAACCCAGGAGATGGAGGTTGCAGTGAGACGAGATCGCGCCTCTGCACTCCTACCTGGGCTGCAGAGTGAGACTCCATCTCAAAATAAATAAATAAACACATAAGAACAACTTATAACTCATTAAACACATGTAAGTCATGAAATCAAACATGAACAGATGCAGATTCAGTGCCAACCTATACAAGCCATATTGCAATTTAATTTTATTCAAGTATGTGTTTAGAAAAGACAAATGATTAAGGCAATAATTGCAGTTCAATATGTTTGGAGAAAGAGGAAATATCAAAGCATACTTTATTTCTTTGTTATAGATGTGATTAAGAAGAACTGTAGAAAGCTTTAGGATTCTTAAAATACACATTTTTATAGGAAAAAACTATTTTCCATAGAAGTTTCTAATAGCTACATTATTAATGCCTAAGTTTAAAAATTATACCTTAGAGGTACATAATTATTCAGAAAACTGTGAAATTTTTTATGTCCTATAATTATCGTGCTATAGTAGAAAACAATTTTGAGTTGTGTTTACATATCTGAAATTCCAGACTCTATTCTTTGGGGCAGTACTGCAAGATTCAATGGGTAAACCTAAAGAATTTCTAAAAGAATCAGAACATCTGTACAGTCTTTGCTATGCAATCATCTTTAAGAACACCTGAAAGGGAAGATGCACTTCACTTGCAGAAAAGTGAATTCTCTGCTAAATAAACAAGTCATTCTTAATGTTTTTGAAGAATAAAAGGACCACTTCTTGGCAAAGAGATACTTTAGAATAAAAGGAAGATGGAAAACACTTCTAAAGCTGCTGATGGAAGTAAAAGATCACTGACTGTGACAAGAAGCTCACTGAATTTGCAGTGTCTTGTGGCATAATCTTCCCCTTGAAGATCAGATATTAAGGGCAGAAAAGTAAACTTACATTTAGGATCTCTCATTTTAAATGAATAATCCCACAGAAATTGAACTTTTGATTTTTGACAATAAGAACTTCCTTATGGTGCATTTTTGAAATGCTTATTTACTCCTACATAATTATCATCGACTCCCAGCATAGGCTATTTGATATGGTTTAGGTAAAACTGGTCACTTAGGTAAGGGTGACTTCTGAAGACACTAAGAAAATATATTGTTCCCAAATGATTCCATCAACATTGTCTAAAATGTTACCATTAGATATTTATTTCTCTAAAAATTGGTCCATTCACAGAATCGTTTTTAATGCACATTTTGCTATTAAATGGACACAGATGAGTTTCTCAGGTGGCAGTCATTACAGCCTTTGGCCTCTAGAGAAAGAAAAACTAGTACAGAAAGGAAAGTAGGAAAATCACAAAGAAAATAAAGAGGTAATTCTCTTCAAAACATGAATTGTGCTAAGCCCAGTGAGGCATAAAAATGCAGTCACAAATATATTGGTTACCACTACCTGTAATCATAGAGTAACAGGTACCAAAACTTTTACATATTGCAAAGAGGAAAATATAAATTAAGTGTTCTGAGTCAAAAAAAGAGATGCTTCTACCAGAATTGTTGAAATACAAGAGAAATCCTAGAAATATAATTCAGTATTCTCATTTTACCAATTAATAAGCTGAGATATTGTAGTATGGCTAAGTTTCCTATGATGACTAGCGAAAGGTTAAAATATAAAATCTCTAAAACTAAGTCTGTAAACTAAATTAATCTGTAATCACTACTTTCTAGAAGTAACACTAGATGTAATCATGTCAAATATAATAAAAACAAAATAAAACCTTAAAATGGAATAGAATTATTTATAAATAAGTGTTTTAACTAATGATTAGGTGGTATGAGAGAGTCATAGCATGAAATGTCTAATGACAAACAGTCCTGGTTCAAGTCCCAACTCTGCACAATTAATTTTTCTATCACATTAGACAAAATTTTTATTTTTCTTGCTTATTGAGATATAATCTACAGAAAATTTATTCTTTTTAGGAGTATGAGTCTATGATTTTTATAAACTTATTTAGTCATGTGATTACTACCACAATCAAAATAGAGAACATTTGCATCATCCCAAAAGTTTCTCTCATATTTTTTTTTGCAGTCAATATCCACTCCCAACTCCAGCTGCTAACCACCACTGATCTGTGTTTGGTCCTCATAGTTTGACCTTTTCCAAGATGTCCTCTAAATGAAAATACACAATACAGGTTGAGTGCCCCTTACCCAAAATGCTTGGGACCAAAAGAGTACATATGAATCATAACGTGTTTATCCATTTACCAGTTGATGGACATTTTGGTTGCTATGTATGTGTTTTGTATGAACAGATGTTTTCATTTCTCTGGGTAAATATGTAGGATTTGGTTTGCTGGGTCATATGGTAAGTAAAAGTTTAACATCGAAGGAAACTGTCTAACTGTTTTCCAAAGAGGCTGAAAGAGGCTGAACCACATATTATACATTCCCAATGAACAATATCTGAAAGTTGCTCTGCTTGCTCTGAAATCTCACCGGCATTTGATATTGTTAGATTCCTGTAAAACAGTGCTTACTAATATCTCAGTTTCTTTGTTTGAGAAGATTTTATGAGATAAGAACTGCAAAACCCCTATTGACATTTCAGCTGTAGAGTAGGTCATGTATACATTTTCAGCTTCTTCTAAGTTTCTGTTAAAACATATACTCTACCACTAATGATGATAATCCATGAACACCTTCCAATCTGTTAGACACTCATGAAAATGTTTCTGGTTACCAGGAAACATAAGGCTAGTAAAGGTATAGTAGTATGAATATGGTTAGCCAGATGCTGAAAGATGTTGGATGAAAATGGAGAAGGGGCCATTGGAAAAGCTGACCTAGTTTAAAGTGATACTCTACTACTTAATTCTGGGGAAGATAACTATTTTTGAAACTCAATTTTCTAATCAATAAAATGAGGATAAAAATAATACTCACTTTTTAGGCCTTAGTGAGTGATCAAAGGATTTATAGAAGAAAGGGCTTTTTACAATATGAAACATTAATTTGTGTTATTAAGGAGAAGCTGGTTTATAAATGTAATGATATAAAGATTATGTTGTTTTCAACATCTCCATGAGATGTATTAGTCAATTTAGTCATGAAAAAAATACAAGTAAATATAATTATTCATGTGAAAACTCTAACCTAATGTGTCATTTACTTCATTCATTAAAAAAAAAATATACTGTGTATCTGCTATGTGTAAAGCACTGAAGACACAACATTAAATAAAATATATATGACCTCTTACCCTCTTAGAGCTTTCAGCAATTTAGTACACTAATTAAATATGCAAATTACTATGCTAGAATATAATCAGTGCTATTGATGAAAGAAAAGCAGATAGGGAGAATATGGAGTGTTAGGAAGGGTTGGGTGTATTAGGACTTTTAATAGGGTGGTCAGAAATGCCTCTTTCTAAAAGTGATACAACTGGAAATAATTGAGGATATGAACCATATAGGCTGCGGGAGCAAGATCTGTTTTAGAAAGAGGCATAGGCAGGATTGGAGCACACCTGGCATATACAAAAAAATGTGAAGAGGGCAGTTGACCTGCAGAAGAGGAAGCAAGAAAGATAAAAGTTGTAAATTATGTGGTGGGAGTGTGCATGATCACATGAGTCCTGTGTGCTATTATAACAAGGGTTTTCACTTTTACTTTGAACTAGTGGAAAACCACTGGTTTTGAGCAGAAGGTTGACTTTTTTTTTTCCAGTGCATATTATTTTTCTACTGCTGCTATAACAAGTTACCACAAACTTAGTAAATTAAAATAACACAAATTAATTTTCTTATAGCTCTGGAGGCCAGAAGTCTGAAATGTATCCTACTGATTAAAACCAAGAAAATGGCAGGGCTTGTGTGCCTTCTGATGGCTCTAGGGGAGAATCTGTTTCCTTGCCTTTTTAAGCTTCTAGAGACACCTACATTTCTTGGTTTATGTCCTCCTCCTCCACTTTCAAAGCCAGCAGTCCAGCACCTTTAAATTTCTCTCATGCCCTCCTGTCTTCCTTTTATAAGGACGCTTTTGATTGCATTGGGCCCACCCACATTATCCAAGATAATCTCCCAAACTCAAGCTTCTTAACTTAATTACATCTTCAACATCTCTTTAGCCATGTGAAGTAATATATTTAAAGGTTCTGAGGATTAGGATGTAGACAATTTTGAGGGCCAATTATTCTGCCTACCACAGTATGTCAAGAGGTATTAGTGCTTTGGATGTCTTCTAAAGAGCAGCAGGAAACTGAAACTTGGATGGGAAAAATGTGGCAGTGTTTACTAATTGTCTAACACTATGCTGGGAGAAGAGTCTATTGGAACTAGACATGACATGTTCATGTTTGTGTTATAAGAATCATCTTCAATGCAGCAGATGAAGAGAAACAATTTATCTAGATGGCCAAGCTTAGTAGAAATGAAAATTTTAAAAGTCCAAACTCTAAGTGATCCACTTCTATGTTGATTAGGATGCTTTCTGATCAATGCATTGATCTCACGGGTCATTTTATTAAAAATATATGGGTGCCCACAACAAATAACTGATGCTAATGATCTTTCTATTTACCTGCCATTTTAAGTTATTTAGACATTATGGGTTTTAAATTAGTCCCTTTTGAGTTTGGTTAATGATGCTGACTTCTAGAACTCATGTTGGAAACCAAAAAATTAAACCAGATTTTAGAGGTGTATTCTAAGAACCAAGTCCTGGTCCATGTTGATTCAGTGGATATAGGGATGAACTATAAGTCTATAACAGGGAGCAAATCACCTGGCCTTCACATACCTTATATTCACTTAGCTTTAATGTTTCTCATTTAATATAAAAAACAGCAACAGTAATAATAGCTAACATGTATTAGTCCCTTAAGTGCCAACACAATATTAAATGCAGTTCATGTATTATTTTCCTGTGCAATCCTTTGATATAGTTACTCATAATGGCCTCATTTTACACATAAAAACTCTGAGAAATACTCTAAAAAATGTTACTGAGCTTACAATTTCATTTATTAAAATGATAGGAAAGCAAATCCTGTCTTTGATAAGAGAGAAAGTTTCAGACATTAAAATTCCCAGCACACCAATATATTCTCTATGTTTTAATATCAGAGATTAGGTAATATAAATATAATTTATATTAATCCATTTAACTCATGTGTTACACTAACAGTTAATATTGAAGACATATATTTACATACATACATAAAAACAAGCATAAAAACACATACAGGGTATAATAATCAAATTGATAAGTACTTACCACTTGAGACTACATGAATAGTATCCCAATTTTCTTTTACTTTGTATTGAAACCAATTGGATTTAAGTTCAAAATATTTTTTATTTTTCATTTATCCCAAAACGAAAGGAACAGAACAATGCTTGACAGCTATATACTTTTTCATCTTTCAATATTTAAAGAAAAAAAGAGAACAGTGTGTCTTTTTTATTACCACTGAAAAATTCTTCATGTTGGCATTCTGAAAGTGGCCATTAATAGCACATTTGTAGAACTAGCTACAGAAAAGGAACATGTGCTAAAGACTTGATTTCTGTAAAAATGATGCGATAAGTAAAAACGTTCACTCTTTTCTTTCCCTTCCTTCAGTGATTACCAGTTAAGAAAATGAGACTCTTACATTTGGATCCAGTAGGTAAGAAGAATCTATATTAGTCCTTTTCAACATCATAATTTTTAAAGCCATTGTTGCATAATTTACAAAGAATTTATGGATTATAGAAAACAGGAAGACAGACTATAATATCATTTTGGAAATAACAATATTGAAACTACAGTGTCAGAGCTTGATATTTTTCTGGCATTTCAAAGACACAAACATGAGTAAGGAGAGGTAAACTTCCCGTTGCTATAGGCGATGAAACTCATGGTAACATAGCATGAGGGGATTTAACTGGTTATGCATTGATAACACACCAAGCATTAGTCATCCCGAAGGGAAACTTTAATTTCTTACATCAAATTCTTCTCCATGGTGATTCAGCTTGTGACCTCGCATATTGGAGGCATAGTTATGAGTAAAAGGTGAACTTTGTTATATGGTGTGTTCTTCAATCTACCATGACTCATGAACCATATTTTATAATGTCTGCTTTATAAACGTGTTTCAAGTTGTGAAAATAATATGTACCTCATCAAAAAGTAAAGAAGAGCAGCATTCCATGGAAAGGCAGCATTGTAGAACACTGACCTTTTCACATTTATCATGTAGCTCTCTTGCCTCTCTAATGGATATCTTGACATTTTCATTTGAAACGATTGTTGTGTTCCCTGACATTTTTGTCTCCGTCATTGAAATCATAAGGGCTAGCAGCAATTGTTTGCAATTACCTGGCATGTGAATCATTTGCAGTTATAAGAAGCATAAAAATATATTTTAGCACAAAATGCTTTGGGATATATCTCAGATCACAGAGATTTTGCATTTGTTTATGCAAGTGATTCAGTAGCTTACCTGATTTGATAAGATTACAGCTATAAATGTTAATTGTACATAGCATTCTTTTGAGTCTAAATATTTTTCAAATATAAATTGAACTGAATGCTCATATTCTCAAAGTTTTTTGAAGATTTGTTTTTATAAGCTAATTAATTCGTTTATACTTTTCATTTTGAGTTTAAATATAACATGAAAAATATAAATATACTTTTCAATAAGTAAGCATGTATATATTTGCTTATAGTTTATTTTTTATCTAACATCTGAGGTTTATACCAAAATACGTAAAACAAAGAAGAGAATAAATAATAAGAATATTGAAGTTAAAATATATGAGGAATTTAATAAAGGTAAGATTATTACATGAAAAGGTATATATTATGTGATGTTATATGGTTAATAAAGGTCATCTCCAATTTTGATTCTGAGATATGTAGAGGTCAAAGCACAAAAGAAAAATGAAGGGTTATAAGATTCACAGCATCACTAAAATAAAAACAAACAAGTTGTTTAAGCAAAACACAGCTTATCTTCAAAATGAATCCTGTATCAATTTTCCCCCGTGGGTCTTTATAAAGACAATTATTTCTTTAGCATCCCAGTGTTTTTCCATAATACATGCTCTGTACAGCAGTGGTTAACAAAGAATACCTGGAATTATGTTGTTAGGGTTGAATCCTGGTTAACTAGCGAGCTGCTTAACTAACAGGTTTTTTTTTATATATGTAAAATGGGGAAAAGCAATATTAATTTTTTAAAGCTCTTGGGAGGAAAAAATTGGGTGAGTTTTGTGAAGTGCTTAGTTCAGTGCCTGACACATTTTTAGTATTGAATTAATATTAACTTCATGCAGCTTCAACATCCTCTGGGTTAAGTGATAAGGACGCTGATGTATAATTGAGTAAACATGTATTTTATGACTGTCAAATTAATGGGGTCCAAGAATGCCATTCTGGTTTAATCTAAAGGAATAATTTAGAGCATCAAATAGTCTTTCCAGAGCTTAATCCACAGAACACTAATGTCATAAGATGGTTCCATCAGATTGTTGTGTGAAACTCAACCCTTTAAATCCTCTCTTCAGGCTGCAGAGTAAACATGAACCTATTTGGGGCTCTGAACTACCCTTTTTTAAGCAACCTATTTAACTCTGTTCAATACATCTTATTAGTTTTGTTTGTCTGTTTGTTGTTTCATTGCTGAACTGTTTTGTTTGTTTTTATAACATAGTTTTTAGAACCATGTATTAGTATATAGTTATTAGTGTTCAACTGTATGCAGTTTAGGAAACACTGCCCTAGAGCAATAGATGATGGCATGGACCTCAGGCAATCTTCCATAATGCAATTTCTTATAGCTCAGTTTTGGGAAAGCATTACAAGGCAAATATTTCAAGTTCATATTTTTTGAAAAAACCCAGAGTGCAGATATTTTACATTGCTGCCTAACATCTGAAGCATGAGATTTTGTTGGTGACCAATAATGAAAATTAATGGGCTTTAATAAAATACATGCCTGAAGAGGTTCCATCACAGTCCAAATTTATATTGGACAAGAAAGTGTTGCTGGTGGTGAATCTGTATGGGTCTGCAGGAACCTCAATTCTTGCCTCCTCAGAAAAAAAGAATTTGATGGAGGGGCATAAGGTGGCATAAGAAACCAAAGCAAGTTTTAGAGCAAGAGTGAAAGTTTATTTAAAAAATTAGAGCAGAAACGAAGGGAAGTAAAGTACACTTGGAAGAGGGCTAAGTAGGTGCCTTGAGATATCAAGTGTGCAATGTGAGCTTTGACTTGGGGTTTAATATGTTGGCATGCGTCCATGGTCTTGTGTTACTTCATCGTTGATTCTTCCCTTGGGGTGGGTTGTCCACATGTGCAGTGGACTGTCAAAGCTTGGGAGGGCCGCATGTGCAGTACATTTACTGGAGTTCTACACATGCTCACTTAAGACATTCTTCCCTTACCAATCAAGTGTTCCTATAAGAACATATACCGGTTAAACTCTGCCATTTTGCCTCTAGTGTGCATGTGTGAACCCACATGCCCAACTCCTGAAATCTTACTGGGAAGCAGCTGATTACCACCTTCAGGTTTTTTTCTATTAGGAGACTGTCTTCCCCTGGCACCAGCTGTTGAAATGGGAAAAGTTCCCTTGTCCCCCTCACAGGGCATGCACTGGGGGCATGGCTCACTTCTTTAGTGCCCTGCTGCTCAAACCTCTAGGGGAGCATACAGACAGGCAGGCTGTGGGGCTCTAACCCCACGGCAGTGTCTGGGGTGAATGTTTACGTCTCCTGAAACCCCAGTGGACCTGTGTTACAGTGTGCGCTTTTAGTTTTGCTCTCTATAGGCAGCTTGTGTTAATCAGCTCAATTAGACCCTCTACCTTGTCACAAGGACAGAGGGCTTTCTGTAGCTTGGTTTCTTGCCTTGGTGTACCGGAAGAATCGGATCACACCTGGGCTTGGAGAATGAGTGCAAGGTTTTAATGAGTAGCTCCCAGCAGATGGGGGAAGCCAGAAGGGGATGGAGTGGGAAGGTTTTCCCCTGGAGTAAGGCCACTCAGTGGCCCAAGCTCTCCTCTGCCTGCCCCAGCCAAACTCTGTGTTGTTCTGCCTATCGGTAGCCCGCCAACATGCTGTTGCTAGTCCGTGTGCTCCTTTCAACATCTAGCCACCTGTGTGTCTGCCTGCTAGTCTTGGGGATTTTGTAGGCACAAGATAGGGGCATGGCAAGCTAGGGTGGTTTTGGGAAATGCAACATTTGGGTAGGAAAACAAATATGCCTGTCTTTACCTAGGTCCACAGGCACAGGCCCAGGGATGGAGACCTAGCCAGGGACCACGCCCTCCTCTACCCAGCACTTCCCTTCCCCACTCCATTTCATGGAAGGGACCATGCCCTTCCCTTCTCAGCACTTCCCTATCACTTTGACCAATTATTATTTTAGAGCGACAGTTACAAATCTCCTGACCGTCATCTGATGGTTGCTTGACATTGCTAGTGGGGGTGGTGCTCTCCTGCCCTGCTCATGTCTGACTAGTTACCTACTGTAACAAAAGGAACAACTATCTGGGCCAAAATCTTACTTAAGATACCAGTTCTGGGCCTATTTCAACATGGTCATATAATTGAAGACTCATAGAATATAGCATTTTAAGTGTAAGATAAAGCATTTCCAAACAGTTAGCTACCACAGACTTATACCACGTAGCCACATATCCAAAGACGAATTAACTCTCAATTTTACTACTTAAGAAATTGAATAATTTTACCTCTTGCAGAAACACGTGTACCATACATTCCTTATATGAAATATTGTCTGATATCTCCAAAAATCTTATTTCTCAGTAGTCATTCTTAAGCCATCTTTTCAGCAATAATTAAATAGCATAGTTAATAATTTTTAGACTACTCTTAGCATATGCTAAAAAAATCACATTATAAAAGAAAAGTATCTATATTTGATTTCAAAGTTACATATGGTTCATTCAAAAGTAGCAAAAACAAAGCTGGGGACATCACACTACCTGATTTGAAAACAGAAAACAGTTATAGTAATCAAAACATCATGGTGCTAAAATAGAAACAGACATATACTCTGTCGCCCCAGCTGGAGTGCCATGGTGCGAACTTGGCTCGCTGCGGCTTCTGCCTCCTGGGTTCCAGTGGTTCTCCTGCCTCGGCCTCCTGAGTAGCTGGGATTACGGGCATGCGCCACCACACCCAGCTGGTTTTTGTATTTTTAGTAGAGATAGGGTTTCTCTATGTTGGCCGGGCTGGTCTCGAACTCCTAACCTTGGTTGATCCACCCGCCTTGGCCTCCCAGGGTGCGGGGATTACAGGTGTGAGCCCCCGTGCCCAGCTGAGA
The DNA here is from genome assembly GCF_000001405.40 of Homo sapiens. Lineage (NCBI taxonomy): Eukaryota > Metazoa > Chordata > Mammalia > Primates > Hominidae > Homo > Homo sapiens. The sequence goes on from NC_000009.12 coordinate 73,647,905, forward strand.
TCTGATGGTTTTACACGTGCTTGGCAGTTTCTCCTTCACATGCTCACACTCTCTGTGCAGCCGCCATGTAAGTGGGACCTGCTTCCCCTTCTGCTATGATTGTAAGTTTCCTGAGGCCTCCCCAGCCACGGGAAACCATGGAGTCAATTAAACCTCTTTCCTTTATAAATTACCCAACCTCAGGTATTTCTTTATATCAGTGTGAAAACAGATTAATACACCTTCTGATAATCATGCTTGAGGAATTGGGGAATTCAGACTACCTGGGATCAAATTGTGGCCCCACCCTTAGCAGTCATGTGGCCTTGGGGAGGTTACTTACCTTCTCCATTTCAACTTCTTCTGTAAAATCTGTAAAATGAGATTGTTTCTGAGGGTTAAATGAGCATAGCACAGTGGGGACACTGTCAGGCACATACTCCTTGCTAGATGGTGAGTATTCATCTTTATTGAATTAGGACAGTGGTACCCCACTTTATGGCTCTCAATTTTTTATGACAAGATCATGTTTAGTGCTTTTTTAGTAAAAGAAAGAAAATCTGAAAGTCTCTACCATGGAAGGAAGAAACAGAAGGGAGAAAAGAGAGTTGGTAAGTTTCATCATTTTAGAGCTTCAGGGAAAAGTTAGGTTTCTATTTTATGGAGAAGGAGGTGGAGGCAGGATGGTCCTAAGGTGTCATTCAAGACATACAGCCATAACTCTTTATTGAGAGTAGAGCTAGGGCCCCAGGGATTGCTGTGGTCAAGTTACAGACAAAAATGACCACTCATTAGAAGACAGGAGAGGAGTGTTTAGTTACAAAAGCAGTCAACAATTCAGGTGTATCTACATTCAGTCAGCAAATAAAAGTTGTTCAACTTGGTTGCTAATGGGAACCACTCTACTGAGGCTTTGTATAGAACTCATAGAGGAAAACGGCTTCAAATAACGAACTACCCTGTGCTTTTCTTGCAGCATATTTGATGAACGGTTATAGTTATTTACGGTTTCCACTGTACATATCAGCCAGACAAGTAATGGAGGTGGGAGTTTAAGTGACTATTCCTCCTCCATTCCATCGACTCCCAGCATCAGCCAGGAGGAACTTCGGATCGATGTTCCTCCCACTTCCAACACACCCACGCCCGTTCGCAAGCAGTCCAAGCGCTGGTCCAACCTGTTTACCTCTCAGAAAGGGAGCAACCCAGACAAAGAGAAGAAGGGCCTGGAGAATCGTGCAGACAGCATCAGGAGGGGCAGAGCCATCCCCATTAAACAGGGCATGCTATTCAAGCTAAGTGGCAAAGGGCTGAAGAAATGGAAAAAGAAATATGTCACCCCATGTGACAACGGCGTGCTGACCTACCATCCAAATTTACATGATTACATGAAGAATATTCATGGTAAAGAGATTGACCTTGGGAGAACCACTGTGAAAGTCCCAGGGAAGAGGCCACTGCTAGCCACATCTGCCTGTGCGCGCATCTCCAGCTCTAAAACCAATGGCCTAACCAAGGACATGAGCAGTTTACACATCTCACCCAATTCAGACACAGGGCTGGATGACTCCCTATGCTCCAGCCCCAGTATCTCCAGCACCACCAGCCCCAAGCTCCACACGCCCCACTCTCCTCAGGCCAACAGAAAGAAGCACCAAAGGAAGAAAAGCACAAACAACTTAAAAGACCATGGCCTGTCCGGCACTGCTGAAGGACAAGAAGAAAACTTTATCATTGTGCCCCTCACTGGCCAAATGTGGCACTTTGAAGCCACGATGTATGAGGAGCGGGATGCCTGGGTTCAAGCCATGGAGAGCCAGATCCTGGCCAGCCTGCAGTCATGCGAGAGCAGCAAGAGCAAGTCCGGGCTGAGGAGCCAAAGCGAGGCCATGGCCCTGCAGTTGATCGGAAACATGCGGGAACTCCAACTGTGTGGACTGCGAGACCCAGAATCCTAACCACATTACCCTTTCCCTATGCTATATAAGCCCTGAGCTGGGGAGGTGGCGGTAATGGCATAGGGATCCACCATCTTGTCTTGGTACCATCCCTGACTTGGCTTCTGTTCATAAACGCCTAATAAATGTTTCATTCTGAGAAAAAAGAAACAGACATATAGATGAATGGAACAGAATAGAGAGCCCAGAAATAAATCCATGAATGTGTGGCCAATAGATTTTAACAATGATCCCAAGACATTCTGTTCATTAAATGATGCTAGAAAGACTGGATATTCACATGGAGAAGAATGAAAATAGACCCTCATCTCATACCATATGCAAAAACCAACTCAAAATGTATTAAAGACTTGAATGTAGAACTTAGAACCGTAAAAGTACTTTAAGAAAATAGAGGGATAAAACTATGTGACATTGGTTTTGAACAATGATATTTTTGTATATGGAACAAAAGCAAAGGCAACAAAAACAAAAGTAAACAAAAGGAAGCACATCAAACTAAAAAGCTTCTGCACAACAAAGGAAATAATCAACAGATTGAAGAGACAACTTATGGAAGAGAAATTGTATTTGCAAACCATACATCTGATATGGAGTTAATATTCAAAATACATAAGAAACTTAAACAACTCAGTGGTAAGAAAACAAATAACCCAATTAAAAAGTGGTCAAAGGACATGAGTAGACATTTCTCAAAAGGAAATATACAAATGGCCAACAGGAATACTAAAAAATGTTCAACACCACTAATCATCAGGGCAATTCAATTTAAAACCGCAATGGGGTATCACTTTACACCTGTTAAAACAGCTGTTATCAAAAAAGATGGAAGATAAGTGTTGGTGAGGAGATAGACAAAAGGGAACCCTTACATACTGTTGGGAATATAAATTAGTACAGCCATTATGAAGACAGTGTGAAGGTTCCTCAAGAAATTAAAAATAGAATTACCATATGACCCAGCAATCCCACTATTGGGTATATATGCAAAGGATATGAAATGGATGAATGCATAAAAAATGTGTTATGTATAAACAATGAAATACAATTAAAAAAAGAAAGGAATTTCTGTCATTTGCAACAACATGGATGAACCTGAAGGATATTATGTTAAGTGAAATAAACTAGACACAGAAAGACAAATAATGCATAATCTCACAAATAATGCATTATCTGGAGTGTAAAAAAGCTCAATTCATAGGATCAGAGAGCAAAATGATGGTTACCAGAGGCTGAGGGGAATGGTGGGGACTGGGGAAACAAAATTTTAGTCAGATGGGAGGAATAAGATTAAGAGATCTATTATGTGTCATGGTGACTACAGTTAATATCAATATATTTTATATTTGAAAATTGCTAAGAAAGTAGATTTTAAATGTTCTTACGGCAAAAATAATAGGCATTTAAGATAGTGCATATGTTAATTAGCTTTAGCCATTCTATAATGTACACATATATCAAAACATCATGTTGTACACTATAAATACGTAAAATTTTTACTTGTCAATAAAAAGAAGAGACAAAACGAAATGCCAGAACAGTAGGCAGTAATCTAAAAACAAAACAAAACAAATTAACAAGACAATAACAACAACAGCAAAAATAGAAAATCATTGTTGCATTAAATTAAATATTATGAGGGGGACAAAATATATCCTTACTATACTACTTGAAATTGTTATTGTTCTGCCAGGAAGCTTTTCCTAACAACTTCCTTTACAAAGGTAGAATTAAATAAGAAATATAGATTTTAAATTTCTTTTAAATGTTGCTTTCAGGTACATCAGAACAAGCTGAATAAAGGAAGATGCCTTATTGATTGACTTCTCTTTATATGCCCATGGTGTGGCAAAATGCTAAGCATGTAGGAGACACTTGATGATTGAATGAAATAATGGATTCATGGGAACTAGCAAAGAACCTCAAAAGCAGGATGATTATTCAGCTAGTATATCTGTCTATAAGGAGACACAAGTGAAATGTCCTCATTCTTACACCATACTTCTAGAATTGGCTTACAAATTATCTCTTCATATTTCCAACCAAAAATTGAAATATGAGTTGTAGAGGCAGTTCAAACCATTTTAATTGAGAATGAAGACAGATCGACCAGAGTCAAATTCTTTTTAGAGGGAAATATAATGAACCAGAAATAGGTCAACAAATATTATTCAATTAAGTGAAAAAGATTTGAAAATTTTCTTATCAATTAAATATGAGTTTTTAAATGGTTTTAGTTTGGGCATGGGGGTAAGTTTAAAATTTTCTAACACTGAGAGCTCTTAGGATGACAATTTCCCAATTAAAAGAATTAAGACATAGTTTTATTTTCATAAATCAAAAATGTTTACTCACATAAAAATGTGCCCCTAACAGTGTATGGCCATGAAGAAGAACTCACAAAATATGTGTTATCTCTGTTCTCCTTAAGTTGATATATTACAATTTTATAATTATCACAAGTAATGCTTTAACAGTTGTAGAGCTTAAAGAAGATTTTCCTCATTAGCTATTTTAGTTTCACATTCCTTTTTTTATTAATATGGGAAGTATAAAGGTAATTTTTGACATATTTAAGAAATGCTGTTGCACACAATTTCTAAATGAAAAGAGAAGCAGCTTAAAGGCTCACATCATCCTTATTCGCATGCATGAAGAAGATATCAGTATAATATGCCCTCTAAATTTCAGGGTACCCATGGAATTTACCCTGGCCACATATACATTTTTCATGCATCAAGCTACATATCATTTTCCATGCAAAAACTAAGACTCAGATTATAGGTGAATAACTCTGAAATTTCTCCCTTATTTTCTGACCTTCCTGACTTCTTTTGATAGGCTGTGGATGGTTAGCTACCTAAAGGTTTAATGCAAACTTAGTTCCCAAACACCTGTTTTAAAAGACTGATCATATGGTTTAGCACTTCAATATGTAATGTGGCGAACTTGTTATGTACTGTCTTAAAACTCCATTGATGAACCCATTTTGTCAGTACTGAGGAAAACGGCATGAACCATGAAGGAAAGAATTGATAAGTTAGGCACTATTAAACTTAAAAAATATATGATTTGAGATATTGTCAAGGGAATAAAAAGACAAATCGAAGACTAAGAATATTTATAAAAGACACATTTGATAAAAGACAGTTATCTAAAATACACAAAGAACACTTACAACTCAATGATAAGAAAACAAACAACCCAAATACAAAACGGGCCAAAAACTTTAATACACACGTCACCAAAAATAGTTAATAATAATAATAATATTAGTGGCAAATATGTCATATGTCATACGTCATTAGGGAATGGAAAAGTAAAATAATGATGTGATCCTACTATACTCACAGAGAGTGCCTAAAATCCAAAACAGTGATAACACCAAAAGGTAGCAACATTTGGGACCATAGGAACTCTCATTCATTGCTGGTGGGAATGCAACATGGTATAGGCACTTTGGAAGCCAGTTGGCAATTTCTTTCAAAATTAAACATACCGTTATACAATCCAGCAATTGTGCTTATTGATATTTATACAGAGGAAATGAAAATTTAAGTCTATTTAAAAAACAACACATGTATGTTGTATAGCAGCTGTATTCATAATTGCCAAAACTTGGAAGCTGTCACGACGTCCTGCAGTAGGTAAATGTGTAAATAAACTGTGGTATATCCAGACAATGGAATATTACTGACTACTAAAATAAAATGTGTTACCAAGCCACAAAAAGACATGGAGAAAAAAATGTATATTAATCCGTGAAGGATGCCAGTTTGAAAGGCTTCGTACTATATGTTCCCAACTATGTGGCTTTCTGAAGAAGTCAAAACTATGGAAAGAGTATAAAAAATCAGTGGTTACCATCAGTTAGGAGGAAAGATGGATAAATAGGCAAAACATAGATAATTTTTAGGGCAGTATAACTATTCTAGATCATACTATAATGATGGATACCTGGCATTACACATTTGTCCAAATTCATCAAATGTACAACAACAGGAGTGAGTCTTAATATAAACTATGGGCTTTGGACAATAGTGATGTGTCAGTGTAGCTTCATTGATTACAGTAAATTTACCACTCTGGTGGGGAATGTTATAATGGGGGAGATTATGCATGTATGAGGGCAGGAGATACATACCCTTTTTATCTTTTTATCTTTTCTTAAAATTTTTTGTGTATCTAAAACTGCTCTTAAAAAGAGGCCTATTAAAAAAATAAAGTTCACAGGTAAAGGTAAATATATGAGCAATTATAAAAACAGTACTATTGTAATTTTGCATTATAGTTCTATTTTTTAGTTCCCATGAGTTAAAGTATCTATCTATCTATCTATCTATCTATCTATCTATCTATCTATCTACCTATCTATCTACATTCAATGTATAAAGATGTAATGTGTGACGACAACATAAAAGGGGCAATGAAACTACATAAGAGCAGAGTTTTTGTTTACTATTATCATTGGTAACAATTCAAATGAGATTGTTATAAATTTGGGATGTTAAATGTAATCCCCATGGTAAGAGCAATAAAAATATCCAAAATATGTAACCAAAGCAAGTTAGAAGAAAACCCAAATATTTCACCACAAAATATGAAGTAAACACAAAGGAAGTCAACAATGAAAGATATGAGAAATAAAAAATATAAATCCCAGAAAAAAATAATGAAATGACAAAAGCAAGTCCTGCCTTATTAGTAATTACTCTAAATGCAAAGATTGGAAGAATGGATCTAAAAAACATATGATGCAACTGTATGTGGTTTACAAAGATTTAATTTAGATCCAAAGACACAAACAGGTTGAAAGCGAAATGATGGAAAGAAGCTAAAACCATGAAAATGAGAAGAAAATATCAATGTAAATTTTTATGACATCAGATTTGGCAATGGATTCTTAGTTATAACACCAGGAGCACCAGAAGCAAAGCAAAAAAATAGATAAATTAAATCTCAACACAATTAAAACTTTGTACATCAAAGGACAAGTTTTTCTGGCTGGGCACAGTGGCTCACACCTGTAATCCCAGCACTTCGGGAGGCCAAGGCGGGCGGATCACGAGGTCAGGAGATGGAGACCATCCTGGCTAACAGGGTGAAACCCCGTCTCTACTAAAAGTACGAAAAATTAGCCAGGCGTGGTGGCACGTGCCTGTAGTCCCAACTACTCAGGAGGCTGAGGCAGGAGAATGGCGTGAACCCAGGAGGCGGAGCTTGCAGTGAGCAGAGATCTTGCTGCTGCACTCCAGCCTGGGCGACAGAGCAAGACTACGTCTCAAAAAAAAAAAAAAAAAAAAAAAGAAAGAAAATATATATGCAACTTGACATTGTGGTTTGGACTTCATAAATAGCGTGCTTTCACACAACATAGATGCTCTAATTTACAAAAAAAAATTTCCAAGTATTTTGAAAATGAACAAATGACAAATAGTTTCAAATAGGTGGGGAATTTTTAGAAAGTGCTTACTTTTCTCTTCAATGGTCTGATTTGAGTGCCAATGGTGAAACAGCAAAACAAACCTGACACATAAACCCAAGACTTGTGGATGAAAATAAGAAAAGATGAGCACCTAACAGAGAATGCTTAGGAAACTAAACACATTTTATGTTTTTAGAAATATTCTGGATTGAGCTCAGATAAATATTGCCAGCCTAGCTTGTCATAATTGTCAGCTGGTTTGGGGCAAGCCTGATCCATCAAACCTCAGGGGACAGATAGGATCTTTGTAACAGAGGCACATTCAGAAATAGAATTAGGTGAAAGTCGGGAGTTTCTCAACCTAATTGGTCCAAATCTGAAATGAAAACAGCTGACACATTTTGCTTGGGAATTTTGCAAATCACTATCAAACTTAAATAAAACAATGTAGCAAAATAGCACACTGGCCAAAGATGGCTTTGCATTTTAGCCTTTCTGTAAGAAATGGATTGTTGTTCTTTGTCAAGTTGCAATTCCACATCATCAGTTACCTTTATCCCTTTTCTTCATGACTTTCATTCTTCCAAAAGCTATGTCATGTTCATACTTTTGAGAGAATACATATTTCCTCTTTAAAAAAAAATCTCATGTGATGATTCTATTTTTCACTTTTCATAATCAACTAAGGAACAATGAATGTAGAAAGGAAGACTTATTCGCAGAAAATTGGCTGAGGAAGCCAAAAAAGAATTTGCTGAATTGCGTATTTTTTTTCTACACTAAACAGTCAGGAGACAAATGAAATAGAAGAAGGAAGTAAAGCTTTGCTATATTTGTTTTCAGATAGATTAATATATTTGTCAAAAGTTAGATTACAATAAGAGAGCTCTCAAAATATGACCAGCTTGATAGTCAGGCTGGAAAGTCAAAATTGAGCTGGATCTATTACAAAATACAGATATCACAAAGAAGTATTTGCTAAAATGTCAAACTTTAAATACACAGAACAATTGAAGTCCTTGCTTAATTTTATCCAATTAGTTGTAATGTATAAATGGTACAAATTAAAAACATTAGATGTAATGTTAAATTGAGGAATGACTTGAAAATCACTAAGATGCAGTATGACATTGAATTTTATGACTGTTGTATACAAAGATAATTTCAATATCATTTATTTGTGGGTTTTGAAAATGGATGTGAATATTTGAAACTTCTATGTTATCTACACATAGACACAGATGTGTCTTTAGTTTGCTTTTAAAAGTCTACACCCAAAATAATACAAGAAATGGCTTTGCTCTCCATAATTTATGTTAAGGTCAGTAAGATGCAAATGAGTGTGAGAGAAGTTTATTTGATTAAATTATGGAGTAAGTTTTCTTTCAAGGAAGATTTATTTAGAAAAGTTATTTGATTTTAAAAGATTTTAATACATTTACTCATATTTTAAAAAGGGGCCACAAATTATTCTCCGGTACATCTTCAATAATTCTTTTTAATCACTTCAGCTCTTCATTTCTAAAATCAAACGAGTACATGTAAAAATATATTTTAGATATATTGATATTTTAAAATGTTTTAAGACTACGAGAATGGAGGCAGTATGTAATGATCCTTTAGACTTGCCTACCCATTATTCTAAATTAATATTCCACGGTGGTGTACATAGGATAGAAACTTAGGGGTTTCTATGTTGGTCTTTTTTCAAATGTTATTTAACTTGTATATTAAGTCAGAGTTTATAACTTTTTAAGTCTTTTCCTGTTCTAATACTTACTGATGCAATGGATACAACTTAAAAAATATGTAATGGGACATATAATATTTATCTTTGTCTTAAATTCAGAAGTCATACAGTCTGAAACATTATTCCTGAAAACAAAGTTTCAATTTGAGAGTAAAGTTTTTAAAAAGAAGAACAGTTTCTGTTTTATTTTGTTCTGCTTTCTTATTTTACACTTCAGAAATTCTTAATTTAAGTTTTGAGTTGAATCTAAAATGCAAGGTCTGTAGAACCTGAGCTTGTCTTCAGGAACCATCTGAATGCAGTTTGAGAAAAATCCATCAAAATGGAAATCATATCTGATAATAAACAAATGATCTGTTACATACTTCAAATAAATGTAAATCAAAACAGACAACAGACTTTTATAGGAAAGTACAAATTGCCAAAAACATAACCATTTAATTATATACTTATTTTTTGAGGCATCAAAGAAAAAAAGGTGCTTTTTGGAGCAAATATTGAAAAAGAATTAAGAACTTCTGCATCTAAATGTGACTGAGTAGCTCGAAGCAGAACTATATGCCTAACAAGAACAAATATAAAACTTCTAAAACATTTTTAGGAATTAGTTTTATGCATTAAAAAGAACCAACATTGCAAGGACCTGAGAGACCAAAACACTTAAGTCAATGGAAAATCAATAAAATAATTCTGATATTCTACCACATTTTCCCTCAAGGCATCTACTAATTGTCAAGTTAGTTCACATTCCATAGGGTGAGAAAATGAATAAAAAAGACCACAAGTGAGATGCAAAGTAGAGCTTTCAGCAGTTTCCTAGTGCTGAGGAGACTAAAAAAAAAATTAATTCAGGAATTTTCAGAGAAAGGGCTCTGATAAAAATTCTAGATAAACATCCCTTCAAAGCCCTGAAGAGCTTTAGTGTATGAGCAATAGAGAAACAAAAATAAACCATTTCTTACAAAGACTGCAACATAGCCTTTAACTAACTCAATCCTTTATTGGATGAAGGTAGTTTATCTGTATTTTAATTGCCTAAAACAAAACTAAGTTCCTAACTAAATCATATTTACTGGGCATTTCAAGACACAGGGTCAAGAGAACAGACAATGAAAAGAGATTTGCAGGTGGTTAGGATAATGGATAGAAAATATGAGCATTAAGCATACTGTGGTTAATATGTGGAAACAAAAAACAATAAGGTGGCTAATGCCAATGGAGAACAAAGTCTTTTTCAAAAAAAAGAATTATAATTCTATAACTGAAAAGTATATTAACTGAAATTATGAACCAAATTGATGAGTCTAACAGTAAATCAGATAGTTCTAATGTGAAAATTAGTAAACAGGAATATATATCAATGGTAAATATTAGATGAAACCATCATGAGAAAATAAAAGAGGAAAAAAAAACAAAAAACAAAAATGAGAGTCATACATGATGAAAAGATCTTGCAGGCATGCAATTGCAACTCCAAAATGTAAGACGATAACAAATGAGATAGAAGCAATCTGTGAAGAGACAGAGGCCAAGAATTGCTCAACGCTGGCAAAAAATATCAAGGTCCCAATTCAAGAAATAATGAAAATAACAAGTAAGATATTACAAAGAAAATGAAACTTGGAAACATCAAAGTAAAAGCTTTGAAACTAAAGAAAAAGACAACAATCTTAAGGGAAATCAAAAAAATAAACAATCATTTAAAAATAACAATAGGATTAACAGCTAATTTACTAACATAAATAATAAAAGTCAGAAAAAATATGTATCTTCAAATTCTGAAGGAAAATTCTCACCTAAGAATTCTATATGCCACAAAAATATCTATCCTGAAAATGAAGGTGAAATAAGTATATTTTCAGGCAAATTAAAAAAAAAAAAACTAAAATCATCCCTGAAGACCTTGAATAAAAGGAGTTTTTAAAGCAGCAAGATAACAATCTAGAAACATGCATGAAAATGTGAAGAAGGAAGCAAAATGGAAATAATAAGTATATGGGTAAACATGCATGCTTATTGACAGTATAAAATTGAAAAACAGTCTTTGGGCTTAAAATATGTGTAGAAATAAAATGCATAAAAACATTAACGAAAAGGCTAAAAGGGAACAATGGTAAGTAAAGATAAACACCTTAGGTTTTCACTTAGAATTGGAGTTAACAGATAAATGCATTTTTTTGGAGGTTTTGAGAGCATTAATTTAGACTCTACTAAATCAAATATTTTATAATCGTTGAGGAGCCCTTTTAAAAAGTAAAAGATAATACAGTTAAAAATAACAGAGAAGAAATTGTGAAGGAATTTAGATAATATTTTTAAACAAATGATAGAGCTCACACATACATATACACACTCACACAGAGTGTGTGTTGTCTGTTACTTTGGTTGTTTGTAATGAATGATTCTTCCTGGTATTCACACACCTGTGTAATCCAATCCCCTTGAATGTGATCTCTGCTGGTGACTTACTTGACATTACTGCAAAGTAAGACAAGAAAGAAAAGAGAAGGGACCATAAAATCAATGCAACAACAACGTCAACAAAAGCAAGATGGTAGCAGGAAATGCAACAACACTAATAATAACGTGAAATGTAAATGAACTAAATAAATCAATTAAAAGACAAAAAGTTAAACTGGATGAGAAAAACAAAGCTCGGTTACATGATACTTACAAGAGATGCATCATATCTATTTAAAGACACAGAAAGGTTAATATATGTATTGCAAAAATATGTGTTGTACAAATACTAAAAAAAGAAACTGTAGGTAACATAGTATCAAGTAAAGTGGACTTCAGAACAAGAATGACTCCAGAAATGATTCATTGTGAAATAATTAAGTAGTTATTGCCCTTCCAAATCCAGGGACATACGACACTTCTAAATTTGAATGAACCTAGTAGTTAATCTCCAAATATATGAAATAGCTGCAAGGAAAGAAGCTGACAAATCCAGAGATATGTTTGAAGATTTTAACCTACTTTTTCTAATATCAGATAGAATAATCACACAAAAATGATGATGGTATAATAAATTTTAATAATAAGATTAAAAATAAATAACTGATATAAAAATATCATAGTACTTAAATTCAGGGTGTGTGTGTGTGTGTGTGTGTGTGTGTGTGTTTCCAATTTTGCGTAAGGACCATTAGCCGAAATTAACCATACGTTGGCCTATAAAGCAATTCTCAACAAATTTCAAAGAAGAATAACATCTCAAATATAGAATTAATCTCTAAATCTGTAATGATCACCAAAATTAGTGTGTTTTTCATATATAATGACTTACAAAATATTTGAAAAAAATTAAACAAATGGTAAAACTAACAAATGAATCAACACACAATGTATCAAAACTAGTGAAATTTAGCTACTATGTGTGTGATAGTTGGTTACTTTGGTGACTCCAAAAGAACCACTCCCATTTTTATTAATAGCCGGTAAAAATTCTTTTCCACTGAATTTTGGGTAGGTCTGTGACTTGCTTTAATAAATGAAGAAGGCAGAAGTGACCTTGTACCAGTTCACTGCCTGTCATCTAACAAGTCCTGTTAGCTGCTCTGTGCTTTTGGGAGCATGATCTGCTATGCAAGATGACAAAACATCCTACTGGAATGACTATTTAGAGAGACGATGTGGAGCAACCAGGTGGAAAAACCATGTGGAGAGAGAGGTGCCCTAAGATTACTTAGAGAGTGATACAGAGGGACAGGGACATCCCAGTGTCCCAGCTGAGCTCAGTTTTCCTGCCATGGTGCTGGAAACGTGAGTGAGCCCTTTTGGGTATCCACCCCAGTCTTGGAAAACTTCATCGCATGGAGCAGTGGATCCACCTGAGTTTACATATTTGTTTAAAGTTAGTAAATTTAGGAATGATTTGTTATGCAGAAATTATGTAATAAATTCAACCAACAAATAAGCAATAGGGAAAATAAAAAAAGCCAAAAATTTGTTTTCTAAATAGATAAAATTAATAACCTATATATGACTGATAAGGCATAAAAGAGGCATAAATTACAAATATAAAAGAGGACGTCATAGCATAATCTACATTTTTATTTGTGTACATCTCTGTATTTTATTAAATCCAATAAAAATTGAACTAAAAATGGATGAATTAATTTTTAGTTCAACTGATATCCATCATCTATACAATTAATTTATATAATATTCAGATATTGTCTTAGTATGCTAGTAGAAATTACCCTAAAACTGTCTCTTCTTGTAATGTCAGAAAATGTCCAAGAGCCACATCCAGGGGTGGTGCTGTATGGTGAGCAACTGATTTCCTTGTGAATTGCTTTTAAGCAAATGTCTAATTAGGCTGTTTATAACTAAGACAGGTGTCAAGATAACAACACCTGTCTGTTTCTCTGCATCTTTTCTGCACATTATTGTCTAAAAATGGTTAGTTATCCAGGGAAAGCAAGTTGCCTTCTGATCATTGTCACATGTTCACCTCAGTCTTAAAATTAACAAACCACCTTTAGCTATTTAGCTCACTCATTGGGCAGGAAATAGAAGGGATCTCATCTTTCTACTGTTTCTGTTTGTATACACTTTTCTTTCCTTTTCAGAGCTCGATTTATTAGTCTTATTTACACAACAGGGAGCTGTGTTAGGGACTGCTTAGTGTCTGTGAGACTAAACTCCCATTAACTCCTTGTTTGTTTGAGACAGAGTCTCGCTCTGTCGCCCAGGCTGGAATGCTGTGGTACAATCTCCATGCACTGCAATCTCCACCTCCGGGTTTCAAGCAATTCCAAGTGATTCTTGTGTCTCAGCCTCCCAAGTAGCTGGGATTACAGGTGTGTGCTACCATGCCCGGCTAATATATATATATATATATATATATATATTTTTTTTTTTTTTTTTAGTAGAGACGGGGTTTCACCGTGTTAGCCAGGATGGTCTCGATCTCCTGACCTTGCGATCCACTTGCCTTGGCCTCCCAAAGTGCTGGGATTACAGGCATGAGCCACCAAGCCCGGCCAACTTCTTTTTTTTTTTAAGCTCAGTCTTGCATACAACATATTACTGTACTTTTTTTCTTCAAACAAATCAATAGTACTGTTTCTTCCATATCTTCTTACTCATTTTCTCTATGTGCATGAAGAAAATAGTTTGGAAAGTTCTTGAGAATCATCATCAGAATAACTTGACTGGTCTGTCAAATACTTCAGGCACCAAAATAAACTTTTTCATAAGGCCATGTGACTAATGATTTCTTCTAAAAACGTAAACAATTTTTATGCTGATAATGCCACCTATCCAATTCCCCTTTTTTGTTGTTTTCCTGCAAAAATTTGCAGAGTGTTGCAGTGCAAATTGCAGACATACTTTCTTCTTGTGAGCTAAAATCCACATAAAATAATTCAGCATTTTGATAGATGTTTGCTAGTTCAAAAAAGTATCTCTAAAAATAAGATTCAAAGGTGTTCTAATTTTTTCTTTTTTCAAAAACTTAGACGGGTTTTTTTCACCAGATAATTCCTAACTTACAATGCATGCATTAGTGTCATCTGTATTAGTTTGTTATTGTGAGTTAAAACAAATTTACACATGATCTCATTTGGTTTGTGAAAGTCGGGCTGTTGTGCCTCCGTTTCTTTATCTATCTATGTGTGTAGATATCTATCACTTTGAAAATATTGCAAAGTGAGCCATATACATATATAGATGTGTGTGTGTATATATAGATATATACATAGATAGAGAAATATATGGCTTCAAATTCTGAAGAGAAATTGTCACCTAAGAATTCTATTTACATTTTTAGAATGTGTATATATATACACATTTATACACACACACACACACACACACACACACACACGCACCCATATATATATGGCTCACTTGGCAATATTTTCAAATGAGAGAGATAATTTATTAGAAAACTGAAGGTTAGCTAACTTACCCACCCAAGGTAAAAACCTACTACTAGGTGGCAAAAAATCATGTGTTCTTACTCAGTGTTTACTGGATGTTCATACATGAAACAAACTACAGGATAAAGTCAAAACTCCTTAAGCCATGCAAAGCATTTTAGAGTGGCGTCTTCGCTGTATGCCAGCCTTAGTCTCTGCTAAATCAAGTCCGATCGTGCCAGATTGACATCCCATCCCCAGACAGCATTAATAATGTTTGGAGTTTGTTTGTGTGTATAATGTACTTCATTTAAAAGTTTAATGCAACCGGACGTGGTGGCTCACGCTTGTAATCCCAGCACTTTGGCAGGCCAAGTTGGGAGGATCACTTGAGGTCAGGAGTTCGAGACCAGCCTGGCCAACACGGTGAAACTCCCTCTCTGTTAAAATATAAAAATTAGCTGGGTGTGGTGGTACGCGCCTGTAATCCCAACTACTCAGGAGGCTGAGGCAGGAGAATCACTTGAACCCAGCAGGCGGAGATTGCAGTGAGTCCAGATCATGCCACTGCACTTCAGCCTGGGTGACAGAGTGAGACTCTGTCTCAAAAAAAAAAAAAAAAAAAGAAAGAAAGAAACTGGATCCCTTCCTTACACCTTATACAAAAATTAATTCAAGATGGATTAAAGACTTAAATGTTAGACCTAAAACCATGAAAACCTAGGCAATACCATTCAGGACATAGGCATGGGCAAGGACTTCATGTCTAAAACACCAAAAGCAATGGCAACAAAAGCCAAAACTGACAAATGGGATCTAAATAAACTAAAGAGCTTCTGCATAGCAAAAGAAACTACCATCAGAGTGAACAGGCAACCTACAGAATGAGAGAACATTTTTGCAACCTACTTATCTGACAAAGGGCTAATATCCAGAATCTACAATGAACTCAAACAAATTTACAAGAAAAAAACAAACAACCCCATCAAAAAGTGGGCAAAGGATATGAACAGACACTTCTCAAAAGAAGACATTTATGCAGCCAAAAAACACACGAAAAAATGCTCATCATTACTGGCCATCAGATAAATGCAAATCAAAACCACAATGAGATACCATCTCACACCAGTTAGAGTGGCGATCATTAAAACGTCAGGAAAAAACAGGTGCTGGAGAGGATGTGGAGAAATAGGAACACTTTTACACTGTTGGTGGGACTGTAAACTAGTTCAATCATTGTGGAAGTCAGTGTGGCAATTCCTCAGGGATCTAGAACTAGAAATACCATTTGACCCAGCCATCCCATTACTGGGTATATACCCAAAGGATTATAAATCATGCTGCTATAAAGACACATGCACACGTATGTTTATAGCAGCACTAATCACAATAGCAAAGACTTGGAACCAACCTAAATGTCCAACAACGATAGACTGGATTAAGAAAATGTGGCACATAAACACCATGGAATACTATGCAGCCATAAAAAATGATGAGTTCATGTCCTTTGTAGGGACATGGATGAAACTGGAAACCATCATTCTCAGCAAACTATCGCAACGACAAAAAACCAAACACCACATGTTCTCACTCATAGGTAGGAATTGAACAATGAGAACACATGGACACAGGAAGGGGAACATCACACACCGGGGACTGTTGTGGGGTGGGGGGCGGGGGGAGGGATAGCATTAGGAGATATACCTAATGCTAAATGACGAGTTAATGGGTGCAGCACACCAACATGGCACATGCATACATATGTAACAAACCTGCACATTGTGCACATGTACCCTAAAACTTAAAGTATAATAATAATAACATTTTTAAAAAAAGTTTAATGCATATGTGTGAATAATACATATACATCCACATATTATGAAGCCTTATTTTAAAAATTCTGTGAACTATATGCTTTTACTGTAAGCATTTGATAAAAGAGGATACTGAGACCCATAGGGGTCAAGTAATCTCCCTAAGGTCATAGAACTAGCAAGTAATGTAGCCAAGTCATTTTGAACCCACAGTTCAGGCTCATAGTCTCCTAGGGAAGTTATTGCACTCATACTTGGAAACCCAGTGCATACTATTTGTTTTTAAATATATTTAGATGCTTTAGTAATTAATAAAATGAAAGCTAATTTTATTGTTTCTGATACTATGAAAGCCTTTAGTCATGGATTTTTCACAATCCAAAATGATCAGAAATGCATTTTTAATGTGGATGTTTGCAAAATTAAAAGGGATCCTCTTATTGGAAAAAGCTGGGAACCACTGTCTTAGAACATAAACATGAAAAATCAATTAAATCAATTTTTTATGAACAGCCTTTCAGAAGTCGGCTTCTGAAGTCCCTGTACAGCCTGTTTATCACACTGAGGACCAGTGTTACGTCTGTGGATGACTGAAGTGCTGACTGATGTTACAAGTACTAATTAATACCTCATCCTGTGAGGTAGAGTTCTGGTAAAATCATCATTCTGAAGCTAATTTTACAGAATTGCTTGTCCCACCTCAACAGATGCTGCACCACTGCCAATACAAAGGGTTATATTGCATAAAGCAAAGAGTAATTCAAGACATGTTAGCCTCTGCATAAGTTACTTAGCAGTCTCTCACTGTACATTTCTGTAGCTTATAGATAGATGGAACTTGTAATTATACATTTCTTAAGGTTTTATTGTTTGTTTGTTTTCATGTTAGTCTTTATATAGTTGTGTTAGCTTTATGCAGTAGGGACTCTGGCTGTTTCCCTTTGCTAATATATTACCAATACCTGGCATGGTAGCCAGTATTATATTAGATACTGAATGGACAAATGAATGAATTAATTAGTGGAGTCAGACAAATGAAAAATGCAGGAATCCCACATCATATGCCTGACTTCGGCAAAGTTATTTAACTTCTTTAAATCTCAATGTCCTAATCTGTGAGATACTGTCTTTTTTAAGTGTTACATGAGATGATGTATATAAAATCGAGTAAGCACTCAATAAATAACTATCACTAGATTTCTTTTAAAATTTTCATATCTAAAAAAGGCGTTAAAGAATCTGGAGGAGGTAATAATTAACATACTTAAGGTCCCGCCAAAGATACTAAACTATCTCACCAGGAAGGGAAACTCAAGAATAGGTCTAACAACAGGCTGGTCAGAGCAACATAACTTATATATTTATATTGGTAAGTTAAATCATAAAAATTGAAAGTAAAAAACCCTTACTGACAATTTCTTGCATATACAGAATTATGGTTTTAATACTCCAAAGACAATAGTTGCCACAGAGACTAGAACAAGGGTGGCGTTTTAAATTCCAAGAACATCATAGGATCAAGACAAATTGCTTGATGTGAATTAAAAAACACTTTAATACAAATATGTACAATGTAGAGGGAGAAATTTTATAATTTTCACACATGTAATTTGTATATTCAGTATTCATATTTCCTTGGTACACTATGTTGAAACACCAAGTGTGAAAGACAAACATTATCTGTGTTTCCAGCTTTTGGGTAGTGTAGTTAGAAATATAGTTTAGGAGCTTATTTCATGCCCTGGAAGCTATGTACCCATTTTCACCTTTATATTGTGAAACAACACAGACAAAGAGTGCATAAAATGTAACTGCAGCCTAACAAGCTATTATAAAGAGAGCATCTATATAAACATTTGTCTGTCAGTTGCTGATTGATTTCCAGCATTTCAGGCGTTCATTTATATGACCATCTCTATAGGATAACGGCCTTCTCCAATCCCATTCAGTTTTGCCCTGGGTTGTATGGTAATCAGTTCATTGCCTATCTTTATAGTTTTATCACCAAAATGTTTTTGTAAACACTTACTTCTTTCAAAATTTATATAAATAAAATCATCTGATATATATGGTATATTATTTGTAGTTCCTTCTTTTACTAAAAGAAGTAAAATTAGACTACCTTTTAATATTCAAAGATATCATTACAAGGATAAAAATTCAAGGTTAGGCTGGGCGCGGTGGCTCACCCCTGTAATCCCAGCACTTTGGGAGGCCAAGGTGGGCGGATCACCTGAGGTCGGGTGTTTGAGAACAGCCTGGGCAACGTGGTGAAACCCCGTCTCTACTAAATTACAAAAAAATTAGCCGGTAATGGTGGCACACGCCTGTAGTCCCAGCTACTTGGGAGACTGAGGCAGGTGAATCCCTTGCACCCAGGAGGCAGAGGTTGCAGTGAGCCAAGACAGTGCCACTGCACTCCAGCCTGGTGACAGAGCAAGACTCCTCCATCTCAAAAAAAAAAAAAAATTCAAGGTTAGCAATGGGAAGAGACACAGAGAGAAAGGCAATGGGAGCTAATTGCACAGTACACAGTGCTGGTAACACAGAGTCACCAGTGAGAGAAGAAGATCAGAAGATATTCCTGTCTTAGAGTTTGGGCTTCTTTGAGTCCCTGTTGCTGCTGCTGTTGCCAAAGCTGCAATGGGATTGCCTGGGACACGAAGTAACGGAGCAAAAAATAGGAGGTAGGGTGGGGAGGGGGAGGTGGGTTCCTTATTCTCTTGGAGCATTACAAGTACTCCTTCTCATTTCTTGAGTCAGAACTAGAGAGCTTCTCCTGGTGCTCTCTCTGTCCAGGAATGCTGGAGGGAAAAAAGAATTGCAGGTTCATCACCAGGTCCATGGTCCTTCAAAGTTCGCTCTTCTTCCTCAGTCTACCTAGGATGATTCACTTTTCAGAGTCCTCACTAACCACTTCATTTTATACACATTTTACTGCAAAAGTAAATCTGTCAAGTATGTTCTTTGACAATATGCAGATACTGATATCTCATTGCTAAGTTATATATTTTTTCTTGTTGTGGTTTAAGCCTGACTCTCTAAAGATCACCCTTCTGTATGCATAGCTTATTTTTGAGCCAAAGATTGGTCAGAGGTTGTGTCCAAATATTTCAAGCCAGAAAGTCTTCCTCTATCTGCTGATTGATCAGTGTGTGGGCCAGAGAGCACATTCAAGCTTCAGGCTATTTGTAAGTTCACATCTCATTTCACTTTCAGCTGGACTCTCTGGCGTCTCCTCTGGGTATTGCAGGCTCCTTCTTCCAAGGATGTGCAGGTGGTTGGCACATGCACACAGTGTCTGCAGCACATACACAGCATCTGGTCAACCTGGAATATGTGACTCCTGGCCACCCTGTTCTTTATTAGTCTTTTGGTCTCTTACTTTCATCAAGCAGGCCCATAATCTCAGAATAAGTGCCATTAACCCTTCTTGCTCCTTTGTCATAAATGTTGCCACTTCAGATGTCACAATCCAAATCAAATCTGCCTCTTTGGTTTATATTTAAACCAAAGTTTAAATTAAGTTAAACTTGTGCCTCAAAGTTTATATTCGCAGCATGCCTACCCTGGTTGAACTACTATATGGGCTGAGTTGAGGGACACAGGAGATTCTCTGGGCAAAAATGCTACAGACTATGTTGTTCTTACCTGAAATTCAGTGGTTTTCATGAATAAATGCTTCTCATTTGACTGTATACCTTTGATTGATTCCAGAGCATCAAAATAATTATAATTTATAGTTTTGTCCAACTTTACAATGGTCAACCACCTTATTCAATCATGCTGGATTTCAAAATTAGATATAATATCCAAATTTATCAAAATTGCTTGATAAAATGCCTATATACAAAATAAATTATATTATCATATAAGCATTAAACAAAAAGAAAAATATATTTCAAAAACATAATGCTGTTTTAATAGCATTGATAATTATCAGATACCTAATAATAAATCTAAGGGATCTGAAAGACTTCTACAGTGACATGTAGAGAACATAACTAAAACAAAATAAATGGAGGCTAACATAAACATTTTCCTTGGTTGGTAGATGCAATTGGGTAAAAAGTTTAATGTTATCCATATTGATTCAGAGGGTAAACTTAGTTCCAGAAGAAATTCTAGGGGTATATGCATGTGTGTGTATACATGGGAATAATGTTTCAAAAAAAAGAAATTTTGAAGAAAAAAAAAGCAAGGTAAATAAATTATATTACCAGATACTAAGACCTATTAAAAGGCTTTAGTAATTTAAAAAACATAGTAGTGAAGCAAAAATCAGACAAGTAAACCAATGATATAAACTAGAGAATCCAGAAATAGTACTCCATGCATGCAATAAACTAATGTGGAACAAATTTTATAATCCAATGCAGTGAGGAAAAATAACTTTTCAATAATTAGTGCTGGCTCAAATAGATATCTATTTAGACACAAAATAAAATTTAACCCTACCTGACATCATACACAGAAATACTACAGAAGTGTATATCTAAATGCAAATATAAAATAATACCATTTTTGAAAAAATTAAGGGAGAGTATGATCTTGAAATCCACAAACATTTATTAACTAGGGTATAAAAAATATTAACAATAGAGGATTAATACATTAGATTATTTTAAGATTAAAAATTTCGATTAGTAAATGACATCAATAAGGCAGTAAAAAGAAAGTCATGTAAAGAATAAGAGAATTATCTTATGCTATGTGTAGAAATTATAGAGAACACATAAAAAGTAGTAAGAAAAAAATGCAGTCAGAAAAAAATGACTAAATGTTTGACAGGCACTTCACAAAATTAGAGTTAATCTAAACAACCAATAAACATATGAAAAGGTATTCAACATACTTCAAGTAAGTGCAAATTTAAAATAAAGATATATTAATGCATAACAACAGAGTGGCTATAGCAGAAAATAACAAAACAAGATAAAGAAAGGAAAGAGAAAGAAAGAGAGATAGAGGGAAGCAGAAAGGTAGGGAGGGAGGAAAGAAAGGAGAAAGGAAGAGGAGAAGCAAAGAAGAAGGAAAGAAAGAAGTAGTGGAGAAAATGAGATAATGAGGGAAGAAAGGAAGAGCAAAGGAAGAGTAGAGAAGAATTTGGAGGAGGGTGAAACCAGAGCTTTCATACTCTTCTGATGAATGTATATATGGTTGGACACATTCTGGAAAACCGTTTGGCAATATCTACCAACTTTAAATATGTATGACAATTTACCCAGCAAATCCCCTTGTAGGGAAATACAACCAATGGGAATACAATTATGTAATCACCAAAATATACAATATTACGATAATATTCATAGTACTACTATATGTAATAAGCAAAAATAGGAAACTATCCAACTGCCAATTGAAAATATACATTTTTATTTTATTCAGAAAATGTTTGGCTACATAGTAATGAAAATGAGCAAATTACAAATGTTAATATAATTATAGATAAATCTCAAAAGCCTGATACCAAAAAGAAGCCATACACTGAGACTTCATATTGTATGCTATAGTTATATAAATTTCAAAACCAGACAAAACTAATATATGATGCTAAAATTTAAGATTGTGATTACTCATGAATTGAAAGTGGCACTATTCCCCCCCGACCCAGTCTGGTTAACTTCTGTTTCTTTTTTCAGAGATAGGGTCTTGCCACTGCACTCCAGCCTGGGTGACAGAGCGAGACTCCGTCTAAAAAAAAAAAAAACAGAGATAGGGTCTTGCTCTACTCCAGCTCCAGACTAGAGAGCAGTGGAATGATGATGATAGCTCTCTGCAGCTTCAAACTTCTAAGCTAAAGTGATCCTTGGCCTCCCTAGTAGCTAGCAATACGGGTGCCTGCCACCATGAATGGTTAATTTAATTTTAATTTTGTAGAGATGAGGTCTTGCTTTGCTCCTCAAGCTGGTCTCAAATTCCTGGCGTAAAGCAATCCTCCTGCCTCAGCCTCCCAAAGTGCTGGGATTACAGGTGTAAGCCAGTGTGTCCAGCCTGTTTCTTGAGTAGGGTATCAGTTACTCAGCGGTGTTCAGTTTGTGAAAATGTGTGAGCTTATACATTTGTGATCATTGCAAGTTTCTGCATATTTATATAACCTCAGTGAAATGCTTATGTAACTGATGTTTGCTTTAATTCTTAAATGCAAGTTATGGTGGATTAAAGACTGCCTCTTCCAAAAAAAGTCATTTTTATTCACTTACATTAAATAAAATGCAAAGTAGAAAAACTGGTGGCATGATAGTTCATAGATTCATAGTTGTGAATAAGGCACACTCTTTTCTCTATCTCAAAGCCCTTATTCTACATGTAACAAGAATAGTGGCTCATTTATACAAGTATTTTTGTCATAGGTCAATGTTGAAAAAAAATGGTCAGAAATTCTACTTTATATAACCTAACATGCCAACACATTTTCTACCTAGTCATTGGATTTTGTTAATCTTAATGATAACTACAATTTTATATGAAACTAGGTAGAACTGTGGTCAGTAAAGTGCCAGATCTGCTCAGGTATTAAAGAGGTAACAATGTGTGAGAGATGGAGCAAAGAGACAGTTATTTCTGGTTTATATCCCTATTTGAAGTGATAAACATTAAGTTCAGTGAATAAAATATTAATATATCAGCAATTTCACAAAGACAGGCCCTGAGCATTAAAACCTAGTATACATCCATGGCTAGATTTATCTCTATCTATCTATCTATCTATCTATCTATCTATCTATCTATCTATCTATCTTTTATCTTTTCTAAAGCCAACCCAACCCCTTTTTCTTCAGGTATACTATTTTCATTAGTGGTTGTTTGTTCCTTTGATATTTCTGATATTCTTTATTTTTCATATTCCTGAGTTTAATCAACAGATTTGATTTGTAGAAACACGAATGGAATAGATACCTACAAAGATAGATTAATGGAGAATAACAACACACATTGGTAAAATGTAATAGGTAAGTGTTCACCTATAATGTTTACCAAAATCCTAAAGCAGTTTCTTTAAGGAAGGTAAGGTTAATTATGTAAATATCAAAAAGTAAAATTCCATCTAGTCACTCAGTTATGTTAGCTGATTTTGCTTGATTTTTTTCTATTTTTTTTCTTCTTCTTCTTATTGCTTATGCTTAGTCTTAGTCTTTATTTTGACTTTGTTTTGTTTTTTGTTTCTTTGTCAGTTTGATTTCCAAGATGGCAGATTAGAGGCTTTTAACACAACTTGGTCACTCAGAAATATCAAAATAGTGCATACAGATAAACTCAGTGAGCTTTAATTGGGAAATGGGAATCCATCAGAACTGTGAAGGAAAACCCATATCCTGGGGAGAAGAAGGTGAGCAAGCAGTCCCTGTGGCAATGTCCAGCTGAAAAAAGTGAGTGAAGCCCCAGTATGTTTATTCCAGGCATACAAGGTTGGTTCAACATACACAAATTAATAAATGTGATTCACCACATGAATAGAATTTAAAACAAAAAAAAATCATCTCAATAGATGCAGGAATAGCTTTTGATAAAATCCAACTTCTATTTATGATAAAAATCCTCAACAAACTAGACATCAAAGAAACATACCTCAAAATAATAAGAGCCATCTATGTTAAATCCCTGGCTAACATTACACTGATTGAACAAAAGCTAGAATCATTTCCTTTAGTAACAAGAAGAAAACAAGGATGTCCACTCTCACCATCTCTATTCAACATAGTACTGGAAGCCCTAGCCAGAGCAGTCAGGCAAGAAAAGGAACTAAAAGGCATCCAAATAGATAAAGAAGTCAAATTATCTCTCTTCACTGATGATATGATTCTATACATAGAAAACTCTAAAGACTCTACAAGAAGGCTCCTGGAGCTGATAAACAACTTTGGTGAAGTTTCAGGATATAAAATCAGCACAGAAAAATCAGTATGATTTCTATACACCAATAACACCATGATGATACGATTCTATACATAGAAAACTCTAAAGACTCTACAAGAAGGCTCCTGGAGCTGATAAACAACTTCGGTGAAGTTTCAGGATATAAAATCAGCACAGAAAAATCAGTATGATTTCTATACACTAATAACACCCATGCTGAGAGCCAAATTGAGAATACAATCTCATTAACAATAGCCTCAAAAAAAACTGGACTACATCTAACCCAGGAGGTGAAAGACCCCTAAAAGGAGAACAACAAAACATTGCTGAAAGAAGTCACATATGACTCAAATAAATGGAAAAACATTCCATGCTCATGGATTGGAAGAATCAATATTATTAAAATGGCCATAGTATGCGGAGCAATTTACAGATTCAATGATATTTCTATTAAACTACCAAAGTCATTCTTCACAGAATTAGAAAAATAAACTATTCCATAACAGAGCTCAAATAGAAAAAGCAATCCTAAGCAAAAAGACCAAAGCTGAGGTGTCACATTACACAACTTCAAACAATGCTATAAGGCTACTGTAACCAAAACAGCATGATATTGATACAAAAACAGACACATGGACCAAAGGAACAGAACACAGAACTCAGAAATAAAGTCACAAACCTATAACCATCTGGTTTTTAATAAAGTTGACAAAAATAAGTAATGGAGTAAAAACACTGTAGTCAATAAATTGTGTTGGGATAACTGGCTAGCCTAGACCCCTATCTTTCACCATATATAAAAATTAACTCAAGGTGGATTAAAGACTTCAATGTAAGATTTAACATTATAAAAATTATAGAAGAAAACTTAGGAAATACCATTATGGATATTGGCCTTGGTGAAGAATTTATGACTAAGACCTTAAAACCAATTGTAGAAAAAATGAAAATTGTCACATGGGGCCTAATTAAACTAAAGAGCTTCTGACCAGCCAAAATAAACTACCAATAGACTAAACAGATAACCTCTAGAATGGGAGAAGGTATCTACAAGCTATCCATCCAACAAAGGTCTAATATCCAGAATCTATAAGGAACTTAAAGAAGTGAACAAGTGAAAAACATAACCTCACTAAAAAGTGGGCAAAGGACATGAACAGAAGCTTCTAAAAAGAAGAAATACAAAAGGCTAACAATCATATGAACAAATGTTCATCATTACTGATGAGAGAAATGCAAATCAAAATACCAATGAGATACTATCTCACACCAATCAGAATGGTGGTTATTTAAAAAGCCAAAACAAAAGATGCTGGCAGGGCTGTGGAGAAAAGGGAACTCTCATACATTGTTGGTGGGAATGCAAATTAGCTCAGCCACTGTGGAAAGCAGTTTGGAGATTTCTCACAGAACTTAGAATACTACTCGACCCAGCAATCCCTTTACTGGCTATATACACAAAGAAACATAAATCATTCTACCCAAAAGACCCATAAATTGTATGTTCATCTCAGCACTATTCATGATAGCAAAAGTGTAGAATCAACATGGATGCCCATCGATGATGTATTATATAAAGAAAAAATGGCACATATCCACCATGGAATACTACACAGGCATAAAAAAGAATAAAATCATATTCTTTGCAGCAACATGGGTGTAACTAGAAGCCATTATCCTAAGCCTATTAAAACAGGAACAGAAAACCAAATACCACACGTTCTCATTTATAAGTAGGAACTACTTATTGGGTACACATGTACAGAAAGATGGGAACAATAGATATCAGGTACTGCTAGAGGAGGGTGAGAAGGAAGAGGGAAGGGCTGAAAAACTACCTATTGGATACTATGCTCACTATCTAGGTGATGGGATTATCTGTACCCAAAACCACAGTGTCACACAATATACCCATGTAACAAACTTTCACATGTACCCTTTGAATTTAAAATAAATGTTAGAATTATAAAAAAGAATGTTTCCACAATTTTTGCTTTAATAATTAGAATATCTCTATCTCTCTATATATACACAGATGTACATACTATATAGATGTGTATAATTACATATATAATTTAATATATATTATATATAAAATGTATCATATTTTGTATGTATTTTAATGTAATATATAATATAGGTACATATTGTATATTGTATATACATATCATACATAATATATATTTATTTTGTATATATATTATATAGACATACATAAACTTATATATTATATAAAGAATGTCTATATTATATATAATTTTATATATAATACTTATATATATTTATTCAATAATAGATATTTAATATAAAATATACAAATATTTATGTAATACAAATTTATACATTTAATATTTATATAAAATGTAGTCAATATATAATATTTATATATTAATATATCATGTGGAAATTAATTAAATATTAAATATATAATATTTATATTTTATGTTATTATAATAATATAAAATAATATATAATTATATATTATAATATATAATTATAATATATAATATATAAATATTAATTATAATACATAATATATAAAATACATTAAATATTAACTGTATTTATATATTATAAATATACTATATATTATATATAAAAGTATATATTACAGATATTATATAGTAAAATATATATATTGCATGTCTATATTATATTTTATATTAAAACATATACAAAATATGTATATATTTTGCATATATTATATATATATAAATTACAGAAATCATGTTACTTCAGACCTAAATACATTAAAACATGTATTTCTTAATAACAAGGGCATATTTCCATACTGGGAGATGCAATAAATAGCATTATCATACCCAAAATATTTGACATTGATATTATATCTAACATAGAGCGCATAATAAAATATATATAATTACATAGAGCATGTAATAAAATATAGACCATTATTAAAGCAACCTACTTATAATTATGCTTTCTTGATGTAAGATACCACTAATAATTATGTTTTGCTTTTGGTCGTCATTTGTTCACCTAATCTAAAACTACCCCCTGACTGTCTGGCTTCTTTATTTTTAATGACAGTAGCATTTTTTTAAAAAAACTATACCAATTCTCTTAAATAATGTCACACACCCGAGTTTGTTTTCTGATGCCTAGTTTCGTTAAATATTTAATAAGAATATTACTACATAGACGGCAAACTAGAAAAATTTCAGCATCAGCAGCATAGTTTGATTTGTTTTTATTTCTCTGAATCATCTCATAAAAATATAAAGAACCTAGGATATTAAAACCAACTAAGTATGACCAAATTCTAAAAAATAATTAAATGGCAAGGTATACCCAATTGGAGCGGGCAAGGACAGGTCACCAACACCTAAAGAATTTCAAGTATCAGCATCTATATGGGAAGAAGCAAAAGTAGGCAATAGGATATCTAATGGTCTTGAGGACAGGAGCAATCCAGAACAACGAAGTTGTACTCATTTAAACATGCAGGTCGGGCTAGGCGTGGTGGCTCATGCCTGTAATCCCAGCACTTTGGGAGGCCAAGGCAGGCGGATCACGAGGTCAGGAGGTTGAGACCATCTTGGCCAACATGGTAAAACCCTGTCTTTGCTAAAAATACAAAAATTAGCTGGGCGTGGCAGCGTGCGCCTGTAGTCCCAGCTATTCCGGAGGCTGAAGCAGGAGAATTGCTTGAACCCAGGAGGCGGAAGTTGCAGTGAGCCGAGTTTGCGCCACTGCACTCCAGCCTGGGTGACAGAGCAAGACTCCGTCTCAAAAAACAAAACCAAAAACAACAACAACAAAAAAGCAGACGCAGGCCAATTTGAGCATAGAAACTGGGACTGGGATTAGTTTTATACACTCCAATTTGTGCATGAATGCAAGGGTTCACCGTAAAGTATAAAAATGTAAGAGAAATTGGGCACTAAGAACTTTCATAACCAACCACTGATTCTCACTTAGAGGTGAGGTCCTAAACTGAAGAAAAACTGTTGGGAAAATATTCCAAATTGAGTGAGACATGGAAAAAAACAAACAAACATGAAATGAAGTAAAAAATCCATGTAAAAATAGAGAATGGAAACTGTCTGGACCTCTCATTAAATAAAAGGCGATATTTTTATCCACTTTATGAAAACATTAGATGACAGAATTCTAGTACTGTGGAGTCAGGAAATCTATACTCAGCTAACATTCCCTTCTGAAAACCAGAAGAAATAAGTAATTTTACATACAAATAAGCAACAGGAAGGAATCATACCCAAATTTCATACAGATATTTTATTAACATAATTAAAACAGACCAAAACCCCTCCAAAAATGAAGCCGTGTCCATAAAACAGATACAAACTATCAATTCATATTAAAAAGTAAAATAAAATAAATTAAGAAAATGGTGCAAGGACAAAAGGCCAAATTAAAATAGAAAAAAAAAAGAAACATTACAGTAAGTGACTGAACCTTGGGAAAAAAAAAACATAAATAATAATTATTTCCAAAATAAAGACCATGAAGAGTGCAAGAGCTAATGAACAGACAGATATTGTGTAAAAAGTAATGGAAAGTTAAAAAGAGAACTTTCCAAATAATTAAAAATTAATCATTTAATAAATTCACAGAAAGTGAAGAAAATTAAATATACAAGAGAAGACAGAATACATGTGTAATAGATATCCCCTCAGAAAGCTGAAGCAATAAAAAAAGAAAGTATAAACAATAATTCAAGAAAGTTGCCCTGAATAATAAAAATATGTAAGACTACATATGGAAAAGGCACACAAACACCTGAAAAAATCTATTCAGAATTATCAGTATCAAGATATTGTAGATATCAGTATAAGGAAAGAAAAGAAAAACAAAAAACAAGATGTCATATAAATTGTCAGAAAAATCAGATTGTCTTTGTTCTCTTTTCTTTTCAGAGAAAATTTTTATGTCAGAAGGCAATGGAGTAAAACATTAATATACATGAGAAAAATAATATGACTAAGATTTATAAACCCAGCCCAAATGACCCTTGAATATAAATGCTACAGTCAAGCTATTATAAAAATTGGATAATTCTACAGATATTGTATCTATGAGCACTTCCGAAGCAGTACATTAGAGGGCAAAATTCAGATAACCAAAATACCGAAGAGATGTTAGATAAGAACTGTTTGAAACTAAGCATGTATTTATTGCAGGACTAATAATAAATGATGTTTATAAGACAGATAACATAATATAAAATGTCTGTCTCCTCAAAACGCGTAGTAGGACGAATAGATCGAATGTAAGAGAATTAAAGTAGGCTTGTTAATTGCCTTATAGATATTCTTTGGGAAAAAGGTACATATTATATATTAAATATTACAGACAACATTGTTTTATATATATAGGAGACATTTCTACAACAAAATACATTCAGTAAGGTTAAAAGTAGAATGATAGAAAAATATACAATAGACAAACAGCAACTTTAAAAAGTAATGGATACAATCTTGATATCTAATAAGATAAAATTTATACCAAACAGCATTTTATAATAAGACTAAAGTAGCTGGGCATGATGACTCATTCCTATAATCCCAGCACTTTGGGAAGCTGAAGTGGCAGGACCACTTGAAGCCAGGAGTTCAAGATCAGCCTGGGCAACAAAGTGTGACCCAGTCTCTACAAAATATAAAGTTAGCTGGGCCTAATGACAATGCTTGCCTGTAGTCCTAACTATTAAGGAGGCTGAGGTGGAAGATTGATTGGGCCCAAGAGTTTGAGGCTGCAGTGAGCTCTGATCATGGAACTGCAGTCCAGCCTGGGTAACAGGGCAAGACCGTCTCAAAAAAAAAAACTTTATAAATATAGAGAGAGATTACAAATCCTCAAAACCATAATTCACAATAAAAATAAAATTTATAAATACTTATGTGTCAAATACCACAGCAATAAACAGAAACTATGGAAGTCTCATAGTTTGACAAAGACTAATAGAAGTTTACAAAATTGCTTTCTTATTCCAAAGCACATCAGGAGAATAAATCGTTAATAGGGCTACAGAAAACCTAATAACCATTAATGCAGTGGATGTTGCAGCTATACATATATCTCTGAAACCCAAAAACAGTGAATATATTTTATTTCACATGGCAAGGTCACAAAAAAATTGAACACAGATTACAAAAGAAACTTCAATAAAATATAAAATATAGATATAATACAATTATGGCACACAGCACATATGTGATACAAACAGCATTCTGCCTAAAATATAGAAGTCATACAATATAATGAGATAAAAATTAAAAAGATTCTTCCATCTGAAGGAAAAAACCTTTATTAAACAAATATTGAGGTGAGGTAGAAAGATAAAATCACAGATTTGTTTAAATAATACAAGTAAAATTATAACGTCAGAATCTCTATTGTATAGCTGTAATTATCTGAGTAAAAGGAGGCGGTGATGAAGAGAGTCAGTTAATGAGTAAAAATACGCTTAGAAGAATAAGCAATAGTATTTGATAGCGCAGTAAGGAAATTATAGTTAATACTAATTTGTTGTATATTTTTAAATAACTATAAGAGAATAAATGTAATTTTCCTAAGAATGAAGTAAAGATAAATGTATTAGGTGATGGATATCTCAATTACCCTGATTTGACCCATTGTATACATGTATCAAAATACCACATGTATCTCTCAAATATATACAACATTAACTAAAAAATACAAAAAAATTAAAAACAAGAGAGTTAAACATGTAACAAAAAAACACTATAAAACAATAACAAACCATCAAAGAGCTGTAGAAAAAATTATTATGCTAAGTGAAATAAGCCAGACACAGAAAGAGATATGTGTGCTACATGATCTTACATGTGGAATCTGAAAAAGTTGAACTTCTAGAAGCAAAGGGTAAAATAATGGTTGCTACGCTCTCGGGTGGAGAAAAAAAGATGAGCTTATAAATAAATCCTAATGCTCATTTTTGGAGAAGTCGACAATATTAAACAGTTATCAGCAAATCTACTTTTAAGAGAAGGGAGAAATATTAGTACACAAAATTACAGGTGACAAGAGGAAAATATGATCTAAGCATTAGAAATTTAAAGAGAAACCACTTACCATAACTCTTTGCACACTTAACCGAAATTCTTTTCAAAAATAAAATTTACCAAAAATATCTATAATATAATATCTATAATATAGAGAGTTTAATTAAGCAATTGCACTAAGTAAATAAAAGTCTAGTAGAACTCTCCATAGTCCTCACCACTGTCCCAGTCCCCACTCAATACACGCAAGAATTATATTGAGATGGCTTCAACTGGCATTTTACCAAACCTTTAAGAGTCAGATAATTTCAATTACACTTAAGGAAAATCAGAGTATAGAAAAAGAAATAATAGTTCGTAATTTATTTTGAGAAGCATGTGTAACATAAGCTCTCCAAATCTGACAAATATTGTACCAAGGTAAAAAACTATGGATAATCATCACATATGAATATCAGTGTCATAAGTTTTCAGGCACATTACATAATTTCAAATAAAAGCAATACTAGAAAGAACTAAATGGAAATACAGAGATAAAAAGCATAATACATAAAGTTTAAAAAATAAATAATTATGGACTGAGCTAAACAGGAGGTTTAAGATAGCAGAAAAAAGTGTCTCTACTTGAAGATGGATCAAGATATTACTCAATCTGAAAATCAGAAAGGAAAGAGGCTGAAAAAATAGAATAGAATTAAAGCGACCTGTATAATAACAGTAGTCTAACATATTATATGATTAACATATGAAAGTTATGATGGTGCAGAAGAAATATTTTAAAAATAATGGCTTTAAACTTCTCAAATTTGATGAAAAAGAATCCTAACTTAGGGACCCAAGATGCTTAACAAAACCTAAGAAGAGTAAGTATGAAAAGAACCAGAGCTCAGCATGTCATAATCAGACAGCTGAAAACCAAAGATGAAGAAAACATCTTGAAAGCAGCCAGAGGGAAAAGAAGTATCAGGTTTGGGGGAAAAATATAAATTGCTAGTGATTTGTCATAAGAAACAATGTTGGCCAGAAAATCATTAACGATTAAGCAAAAATACATTAAAATAAAATTCTATGTTGAATGAAAAAAATATATATATGCAATTTGTCACAATAGTTTCACATTATAATAAATTACTAAAAGGTTTCCTTCATGCCAAAGGGCAACTATCAGATAGGAAGTTGAAATATAAAAACTGTAGGAGATTATTGTATTTGTTATTTATTGTTATGTAACAAATTACCCTCGCCCTTAACCATTAATCTTATGCCTGTGGATCAGGCATCCGGGAGCATCTTAACTGGGTGGTTCTGGCTCAGGATTTTTATTGAGATTGGATTCAGGCTATCAGTGAGGAATTAAGTCAACAGTGGTTTGACCAGGACTGGAGAATCAACTTTCAACGTGACTCCCTCACATGCCTGGCATGTTAGGTGCCGGTTGCTAGGACGAGGCTTCCGTTATTCTCCATGTGTGTATTTCCAAACACTGAGAATCCTGATGACATGCAGCTGGTTTCCCCTAGAGTGAATGATCCATGAAAGAGTACAAGGAGATTGTTGCAATACCCTTTATGTCCTAGCTTCACATCGTATCATATAATAGTCTCTAAATGATACTTTGCATTTCTGTAGTCTCAGTTGTTATGTTCCCTTTTTAATTTCAGATTTTATTTTGGTCTTCTTTTTTTTCTTGGTCTAGCTAAAAGTTTGTTGGTTTTGTTTAAATCTTTTCAAAAAAAACCCCAAATTTTTGTTTTATTGATCTTCTATAATTTTGTTGGTCTCAATTATATTTATTTTTACTCTGATCTTCATTATTTCTTTCCTTCTACGTTTTTTCAGTTTGGCTTGTTCTTGATTTTCTAGCTCCTTAAGGTGCATTGTTAGGTTGTTTATTTGAAGTCTTTCAATTTTTTTGATGTAGATGTTTATTGCTATAAATGTCCCTCCTAGCATTGCTTTTGCTGTATCAAATAGATTTTGGTATGTTGCATTTCCATTTTCATTTGTTTCAAGAAATTTTAAAATCCCCTTCTTAATGTCTTCATTGATGCACTGGAAATTCAGGAACATATTGTTAAATTACCATTTTTTGTATGTAGTTTCCAAGGTGGTTTTTGGTATCAATTTCCACTTTTATTCCACTGCAATTAGAAACAATACTTGATATGATTCTTTTTAGAATTTGTTAATACTTGCTTTGTGGCCTAAAATATAATCTAGAGAATGTTACATGTGTTGATAAAAAGAATTTGTATTCTGCAGCAGTCAGGTGAAATGTTCTGTAAATGTCAATTAAGACATTTGGTCTAGTATGTAGTTTAACTTCAGTTTCTTTTTTGACTTTCTGCCTGTATAATCTGTTCATTATTGAGAGTGGGTGTTGATATCCCCTACTATTATTATATTGTACTCTATCTTGCCTTTAGATTGATTTATGTTTGCTTTATATAGTTGGGTACTCTGGTCTTGGGTGTATAGATATTTATAATTGTCATATCTCCTCCTGCTGTATTGTTGACTCCTTTATCATTATCGAGTGACCATTTCTGTCTCTTTTTAGTCTTTAACTTTAGTCTATTTTGTCTAAGTATAGCTACCCCTTCTCTTTTTTGCTTTCTACTTGCATGGAATATCCTTTTCTTCCACCCCTTTCTTTTCTGTCTATGTGTGTCTTTATAAGTGAGGTGAGTTTCTTGCAGGCCACATATGACATAAGAAACATGAATTTTGTTTCTTTATTCATTCTGCCACTCTGTGTCTTTTAATAGAAAAATGAGTTAATTTACATTCATTGTTATTATATATAAGTAACAACTTACTACTGCCATTTTCTTACTTGTTTTTCAGTTGTTTAGTAACTCCTCTCTTCCTTTCTTTCCTTCCCACAGTGATCCTTTGTGGTTAAGTGATTTTCTCTGGCAGTATGTTTTGATTTTGTCTGGCAGTATGATTTTTTTTATTTTTAGTGAATCTATTATAGGTTTTTGCATCTGTGGCTTATAAAAATCCTCTTAAAACAAAATCTTTTAAAAATATGATCATTTATTTTAGATCTCAAAAAATCAGAAACAAACAAGAAGCTAAAAAAATTATATACTTTAGGTTCATCTCCACCACATTTCGACCTTTGGTTATCTCAATTTACATATTTTTATATTGCCTGTCTCTTAACATGTTCCTGTAGCTATTGTTTTCTATAGATTTGCTTTTTAGGCTTTATACTGGAGTTATGAGTAGATTACACAGCACAATTGCAATATTAGATTATTCTTAGGTTGTCTACTTAATTTTACCAGTGGGTTTTATGTTTCCAAATGTTTCCTCCTTGCATGTTAGTTTTGCTTTCTTTAAGATTGAATAACTCCCTTTAGCATTCCTTGTAAGAAGGGTCTGGTGTGGTAAATTATCTTAGCTTTTGTTTGTCTGGGAAATACTTTATCTTGTCTTCATAACTGAAGAATAGGTTTGTTGGATAAAGCATTCTTGGGTGACAGGTTTTTTTTTTTTCTTTTCTTTCAGCAGTTTGGAAATGTTTTTCCTCCCTCCTGACCCACATAGTTTTCATTGAAAAGTCTGTTGCCAGACAAATTGGAGTTCTTTTATATGTTACTTGCTTTTTTTCTTGATGCTTTTAGAATCAACTGTTTGTCCCTTTGAGATTTTGATTATTACATGCCTTGGGATAGTCTTATTTGAAAAACCTTTGAGATTTTGATTATTACATGCCTTGGGATAGTCTTATTTGGGTTGAATCTGTTTGGTGTTCTCTGATCTTCCTGTACCTAGATATTTATATTTTTATCAAGTTTTGGAAAGTTTTTTTCTCTTTTTTTGGCATAAGCTTTCTACCAAGTGCTCTTGCTCAACTTTGTTTCGAATACCAATAATTCTCAGGTATAGTCTTTTGAAGTAATTTCCTATATTCTGTAGGTAATCTTTGTTTCTTTTCATTCCTTTTTTCTCCTCTGATGATGTAATTTCAAATAGCCTGGCTGAGCTCAGTGACTCTTTCCTCTTGTTGATCTGTTCTACTATTGAGAGCCTCCAATAAATTTTTCAGTCCAGCAAATAAATTTTCAGTTCTGAGATTTCTGTTTGATTTTTGAAAATTATTTCAATCTCTTTGTTAAATCCTTCTGATAAGTTTCTCAATTACTTTTCTGTTTTATCTTGGAGATCACCAAGTTTTCTTACAGCTGCTGTTTTGAATTTTGGGTCAGAGAGTTCATAAGTTAGTCACTTGTTCCTTGCTTTGTCTGTTTGTGGAGGTCATGGTTCATTGTTTGCTGATGCTTCTAGTGGGTGTGTGTCTATGCATTTGCATTGAAAAATTAATTACTTATTCCAGATTTTTTAATTGGCTTGTTTAAATTTTTATTTGAAGTGTTTGCTTAAAAATTCTTAATTTACCCATTGAATTTCTTGTATTTTTTCCACTAGGTCACTGCCTCCTTTTTGGCACTAGATGGCATCTTAAGTCCAGGTTTGCTTCAGCTTTAGCAAACAATTAGAGCACTGCCCTGCTGGAATGGATGAGATCCCAAAGGGGACATCCCAATGATACAGGATTTTTCTCTAGCTCAGCTAAAATCTGGGTTCTTGTCTCATGACCAGGAAAAATTAAGAATACAGACACATTGAAAGGTGAAGAAAGCAGAATTTATTAAAAGAAAGCTCTCAGCAAAAAAAGAGAGGGTACTGCCAACAGGCTCCCAACTCACAGATGGAATACCAGGCCACCACACAGGAGCTGAAGGGGCCAGGCTTCTCCTCCCTTCATAAGGGGTAAATTTCAGGTGGCTCCACCCCATTCTCCCAGTGTGTAGGTGGGCCTTTACTCTGAGTCACTCAACATTGATTTATTTACTTTACTGTGCATGAGTTAAGAGACAGAATTTTGTACCCTGGGCATGTTTAGGCAAGCCCCCTGTGCACAATGACCTGAGTGGCATTTGGCTGCCTCCTGTCTCTATCACCAGCAGTGTTAAAAGGTTGGCTAGGGGTTTGTGCCCAGGGGATTTGTGGAACATACCTTCTACACCCTGGTGTTAGTGAACAGCCACTCTTATTTGGTGTCTCCTTTAGCCTAGTTACAGAGCAGTATTTCCCATGCTGGGGATGGTAGTCCCACCTCCCAACTTTGTCTCTAGCTGTCTTCAGGGCTTTCTCTCCCCTCGGGCATGCTTCCCGTGGTTGAGGCATGAACAGATCTCCTGCCAGGGAACACAAGATGGTGAGTAATCTGGTTGTCCACCTTTATCTCACTTTTTCCAGTGTAGAAATCATGAGTCAAGGAAATTTTCCGCATGCTTGGGGCCAGGTAGACTGGCAGAAGGGGTGTCATGGATATGAAAATCCTATTCTTTGACTGTCTTCTTGGAGTATTTTTCACTCCTCTGCAGCCCAGGGAACTGATTCATCCTAATATTTGAGTTCTGGGATATGGCTGGTGATAACTTCACTGATGTGTATTTGGTTTTGGTTTTCTGTGGGGTGGAGTGGGTGAAGCCAGCTTGCATCTACATCACCAATTTGGATCGCTGCTAATTTATTTTTAAGAAGACTGGAAAAGGGTACTTTACAAATAACAAACACAGGAAAAGGTGATTAATATTGTAAGATGTTAAGAAAATTCAAATCAAAACCACATAATAGGCCGGGCGCAGTGGCACATGCCTGTAATCCCAGCACTTTGGGAGGCCGATGTGGGTGGATCATGAGATCAGGAGTTCAAGACCAGCCTGGCCAATATGGTGAAACCCCGTCTTTACTAAAAATACAAAAATTAGCCGGGCATGGTGGTAGTCCCAGTTACTTGGGAGGCTGAGGCAGAAGAATCACTTGAAACTGGGAGGTGTAGGTTGCAGTGAGCCGAGATCGTGCCACTGCACTCCAGCCTGGGCAACAAAGCAAGACTCTGTCTTAAAAAAAAAAAAAAAAAAAAAAAAACCCAAAAACAAACCAAAAAAAAAAAACCACTCATAATAAATATATTACTACATTCTCACTGAAAATGACCACAAATTTTTTTGCAAAAACTGAAAAAGCTGAATTTAATGAACCACTGGAACTTGCACCCACCAATAATGGAGAATAAGTTAGTATAATTACCTTGAAAAACGTATTGGCAGGATCACTTATAGTTAAAGATATGCTTATCTAGTGACCTAGCAATTCCACTTGTATGTAAATATCCAAATGAAATGAAAGTTATTGTCCACTGAAAACATATAAAGACATATTCAAAGTAACTTCATGTACTGTAGCTAAAATGCATAAACAATACAAATATTCATCAAAAATAAAATGTGCCCTGCACAGTGGCTCTCGTCTGTAATTCCAGCTATTCAAGAGACTGAGATGGGAGGATTGCCTGAAGCCCGGAGCTTGAGACCAGCCTAGGCAACATAGTGAGACTCCCCTATCATCTTTAAAAATAGTTTTAAAAATTAGTCAGACATGATGGCAGTGCTTGTAGTCCCAGATGAGGAGGGTGAGGTGGGAGAGTCCCTTGAGCCCGGTTGTTTAAGGCAGCAATGAGCTATGATTGCAATATTGCACTCAAGCCTGGGTAACAGAGTGAGATCCCATCTCTAAAAATATAAAATAAAATACAACAAGAAAATGCATAATATGTTGCTGCATGTTCATATAAAAATATAGTAGAAGGAAAAGAACTGCTACTCACAATGATATGAATAAATCTCACAAAATAGCAAAGCAAAATAATCCAGACATGAAAGTCTGAATACAGTTGTCCCTTGGTATCTACGGGGAATTGGTTTCCGGGCCCCTGCAGATCTTAAAATCTGTGGATGCTCAAATCCCTTACATAAAATGATATATTTGCATATTTACCTAAGCACATTCTCCTATATATTTAAATCATCTGTAAATTATTTATAATATATAATGTGATGTAAATACTATGTGCATTGTTGTACTGTATGTTTTGAAGAATAGTGACAAGAAATAAGTCTGTACATGTTCAGATATTTTTAATCTGTGTTTGGTTGAATACGTGGATGCAGCACCCACAAATATAGAGGGCCTGCTACACATGTGCTCTGAATCCACTTTTAAAAAAGGCAAAATATCTATAATGAATAAAATCAAATTGGTAGTTACCTTTGAGGTCTACTAACTGGGAGTGGTACGATAGCATTGTTTCATTATTTAGGTGTTTGGTAATATTTTAATATTGATCCACTTCATATGTTGGTTTCTCATGCATTTTCATTTTTAAAAACACATCAAGTTGTACTTTTAAGATTAATCAGTTTTATAATGTGAACTTAATAATGAAGAAAAGAAAATAGGGGTATATCTTCATGTGTTAACATAGAAATATTTCCAAGATACATTAACATTAAAAAGTAAATTTGAAAATGATATCTGTACTATGACCTCATTAATATTAACATCTCATCTAAACAAAATATAAAATAATACAATATACTTATATGTGTATAATTTATACTATGTGATTAAAAACAAATCAATTTTATTCATAGAGTAATTCTGAACAATATCTGGGTCAGAGAATTCTCATTTAACCAGTTATTTCTTATATCTAGTTTTCAGGCTGATAAAATTAAATGGAAATATTTTCTCAGTGTCAAATTTACTGCAACAAAAATAGCCTAGCCTAATAATTTTGTCTCCTCAAATTAAACACAATTACTTTGTGTGATAAAGCATTAATTGTGACACATTATATATGTGTGTGTGTATACAGATAAAATTATATTAATATATATACTTTTTTTCCATGGTAAAAACCTTGCTTTTCCCTTTCTTTGACTTGAAAGACCAGGGGAAAGACATGACTACCAAATTCTATATCCATGTCTAATCAGTACTAACTTTACAATCAACTCAAGGACCAATGATCAGTCTTTGCTAGAGTTAGAAAGCCTGAGTTTCAGAGAAAGAAAGAGTGAAAAATTTGTCTTATATCCTTAAATCACCAAGTATTTATTCATCACTAATCATGTGATTAACCCTTTCTTAAGCAGCCTGAAAAGTAATGAAAAAATATCAGACACAGTCCGTGCTATAAAGGAAATAATAATTCAAGTTGAAAAGAGAATTTTGGTAAAGATCTTTTGTAATTTAAACTATCTACAGTAGGATCATTTGTCAAATTGACCGATTAAATTCTAATCCAGAATAGGAAACCAGTGACAAATATACACTTATCACTTAGAATACTTAAGGAATTATCAGACTGATAAATCTATTGGGATGACCTAAAACAAAAGTGACACAAAATTGATTACATTATACTTTGATAACTCTGAAAGACTTATTGTGAACAATTAAGAGTAATGAATGTGACAACTATAATTTTTTCTAAATTTAAAAGTATCTTAAAATTAAAAATGATAATCATTCTACAATGTAAAATAGATCAAAATATCACACTGTATCCCACAAATATACACTATTATTATTTTTCATTAAAATTAAATAAAAAATTAATTTACAAAGTCAAATTTCACAAAATTCACAAAAAAGTTCACCTTTGACCTATTACAAATTCACAATATATATTTTTGAATTTCCTCAAATCTTTTTTCATAGAAACGGGGTTTTCACTGAGTAGAAAATATAAGTACTGATAAAGAAAATGAACATGATAAAAATAAAAATAATAATTTCCATGTGTCGAAAGTATATGTCACTTGACCAAGTTTAGATAGATGAATAGAGTAAAAGTCTGAATGTAGTTTTATCTACAGCTAAATTTATACAATTTCTTTCACCCCAGGATTCCTTTTATTCAGTTCTATAAAAGTATACAAAATTGTTTCTACATTTAATATTAAGTGATAGAAAAATATTATGATTGTGTCACTCAATGTCTCATGTGATTGACAATATTCAACATTTTACAACAGATGAAAATATATTTGTACTTTCGAATGAGCACTTTTCTATCAGATTAGGGTTATACTTTTTCTTACATTTCTCTTTTGGTCTACCCTCTCTGAACATATACAGCCACATTTAAATCTTGTAATAGAACATATTAATATTAACATCATCCTATTTTCTTTTCCCTCTTTTGTGCTTATGTCACTTTATTTGAAGTTGCCTGAAATTCTTCTTCAGAAAATTTGAGTTAAGGCTAGATTAAAATTAGATGTGACAAGCATTGAATAACTTCTATTTGTAAATATAGATGAAGGTTCAACAAATATGAGGCAGATACAAATGAAAAGGTTTATTGAGTGAGGAAACCTTGCATAGATTAAGTCTGTAGTCTCTAAGGGTTTTTCAACTCCATTACCTTAATTTTTATGAGTCTATGTGAATAGAGATGTATTTTTTGTTCTCACTAGTAGTGATGAAGGAAAAATAAAATGACTTCATTTATAATCCAAAGAACAATAGAGCTGAGAGGAATCTCCAAATATGAAGTATATTCTTCTACATCAGGGCAGCCTTTATTTAAAATATTCCAAACAGACAGGCATCAAACTTCCTCTCAAATATCTCCATGGAAAAATGGATCCTGCCATCATTTGCCTTCAAGTCTTATGTGTTTCCTCAGTGGTTTTCCCACTGAGACACTCTCCATGAAGCTGTCTGATTTCTTCATTCTTGCCAATTTTCTCTCTTAGACTTCTGTCTAAGCAGACTGTGTTTTCCAAGATGAGTACTGATTCAGCCTGTTACTTCTGCTTTATGCTTCTGAGCACCAAGGGCTATGATTTTATCACATGGTGCATTAATGTTCTAAACGCCATTGAGAGGAAAACAAGGGCCCAAAGGGTGAAGGCATTAACGAAAACAATGAGCATTTTAGTACGAATCCCAGGGCATTTACATCCAGTGTCCCAGAATTGTGTATAACTTTATCAGTTGTAGCAATCATCTCAAGGATTGATTATCTCTTATAAGTTGTAAATATAGGTATCATTTTCGTTCATGCAAAATTCTTTAGAAAGCAAAATATGGAAATGTTTTCTACTAATTTAAATGGTAAAAGAAGAAGAAGGCGAAAGACTGGAATCATTGCCATGCTCAGCCCTAAAACAGAAGATCCTCTGTTTGGGCAACAGTGCTGTGGATATAGCCAAGAGACTGTTTTGGCACAAAAAAGAATATATCAGCATTACCAGTGCCAGTTACATTCCATTGCCTTCAGTTTCCTGGCTGAATATATCTGTGTGTTTGGGGGAGGGGAAAGGCAAGAGGGAGGCAGGATCTGGCAGCCATTTCTCTTCATCTCTACAATGTCCTTTTTAGCATCTAAATAAGAATATGTTCATATTTCATCATCATTTTGCAGCTCTAACTAATGGGAATGTCAGCATTGCAATAGTTACCACAATATTGCTGAACACAGCTATTACTCTGGTGATCTAAAATCAAGGAAAGATAACATTTGATATAATGAAACTTTGATCACTCTGATGTTTAATTCATACCTGAACTTCTATCTATTACTGTGTAATAAACAACCCCCAAACATTGTGCTTATAACAATAATCATTACCTCATTTGATTCTATGAGTTGACTCAGCTCAACTGGGCAGTTCCTACTTGGGGATCTGTCATGCAGTTGAAGGTAGATGTCAACTGGTGCTGCAGTCATTTTAAGGATTGACTTGGTTGAAAGTCCAACATATCTCCTTTACATGAATGACTCCAGCCAGTTGATGCCTGCTGTTGGCTAGGACTTCATCTGAGGCTGACTATTGGAACACTGATATGCCATCTTTCCATGTGACCAGAGCCACTTCTAGCATGGCTGTTGTGGTCTGACAGGTAGTATCCTAGGCATGAGCATTCCAAGACAGAGCGAACTGCCAGTCTCTGAAGTCTCGAACTTGAGAACAAGAACAGCATCTTTTCTGCTGATCTTGATTGTTTAGAGCAGTCACAGAGACTTCCCAGATTCAAGACAAGGTAGAGGGGCACAGACCATTCCTCTCAATGGGCAGATTATCAAGGAATCTCTGGCCATCTTTAATATGCTACATATTAAATATTACCACATCTGAAGAATAACATTTGAATTAAATGGACAAAATGGTTTGTGCATATCATTGAGATATTAAATAAAAACTCCATGTTTAACAATTTGCAAAGTGGTAATCAACTAAACACAGTATATTTATATCTTGCTAGTAGGGAAAGAACATTTACAAAATTAGTATAATTTAATTTGTACTCCACCATTTTGACTCCTGGAGCTAATTTTCAGAGGGCTGACATACTTTCACATAAGACATTCTCTTATTGTCCCAGAATGAGCAAAAACATTATGAGTATGTGTAGAGGAGGTGAGGATCCATCTAAGATATGAGAGTATATGTTCTCTGAATACCGTTCTATTTTTATGACACTGAGGGCAGAAGTAAATAGATGTTTCAGATTAACCTTGATTTATAATAGGGTCATAAGGTCTGCCATGACAGAGTCCAAGCAGTTTATAAATTGAATTTTTTGTATTAAGATTGCCCCATAACTCTCCACTCATAAAATGACCCAAACCACACAGAATCCCACTCTCCAATATGTCTCCTATGAACTCAGGTGACTTCTAGTCTTTTTCTTAGTCTCTTGAATTCTAAATAAAATTTTCTTGACACATCCCCTAATTTCAATGGGCTAGAGAGGTCAAAACACCACTTAACGTCAGCTCAAACTTTCAGACGAACATTCTCATGGTCAATTATGCTATAAACATTGTTTCTACTTCCACCCTATTTTCACATAGGTGCCACCATATGATCAAAGTAGCTCAAATTGTCTCTATTACGAGAACAAGGAAAAACATATTGTATATATCCGATATGGTCAGGAATATTAAAATATGCTGAGATTCAACATACATGAAATATCAATATATTAGAGCATTTGAGCAAAGTCAAGGAATATCCACAAACCAGAATGATGGACAGAGAGGTACAAAGCCCTTTTTGTGCTATTTAGTTATGGGTACACACTTTGGAGGATGAGTGTAGGATGACATACCCTGAATTTTCCATAAACCTCACTGTTTGCAGGAAACAACATTGGCCATCTTTGTCTTAGTTTTGAAAACACTTAAAAGTACAGGTTGATCACATGGACTTTTTTTTTTTTTACAAATTTAAATATATTAAAGTCTTTTGAAAGCTAGGCTTATAATTCTTGAAATGTGAACAATAGCAAAAGACCAAAAAGCAGGCCTACAAAATATCCAAAACAAATAACAATAACAGAATCATTAAAAAAGCAATAGAAATAACAAACCTAATTTAAGCACAGTGGCATATAAGTATATCTAAACTTGATAAGTATTTTAAAGTATCTAACCAGATTATTGGAAACCTAACCAATCTTTTGGAGGGTGAAGATCAAAGAAAATGTCATCTCAAGTCTTCTATTTCTTTTATTGTCATATCAATTTAATATTGCTTTTGGGATGAACTATTGCTATATTCTGCCTTATTTTTTTCTTTCCAACAAGATAATACTGTCTATCTGCCTAGTAATGACAAATTGATTTCATTTCATGTGACAACTCTAATCAATTGATAGTTACTGCCCAGGGCATTGTTTGTGTGAACAGTTTTGAGGCTATGTCTGGAATTAACAGGACATAAAGTTCTTTGTAACTGCCAAGGGCATGGTTCAGGAAGTAAAGTCACCACTCAAATGAAAGGTATTGGTCACCACTGCATTGCCTGCTAAGAACCATGGACAGGGATGTCTTTCCAGAGTTTTAAAAGCAGTCACTACTGTACTCCTATCTCCCATAAAAGAAAGCATTCAACAAATGAACAAATAAAAAAATGGATAAAATATACTGGATTTTGGTTTTCATAAAATAGGTATGTAATGGACGTATACTAGTATGCATACAGATAGATAAGGAAAGAATTTTAGTAGGCTACATCAACAAACGTGTCTTTCATAAACATCAGTGAACATTAAGAATGTCGTAAAAAGATTAACAAAATAGA
This sequence comes from Homo sapiens, assembly GCF_000001405.40. Lineage (NCBI taxonomy): Eukaryota > Metazoa > Chordata > Mammalia > Primates > Hominidae > Homo > Homo sapiens. The sequence goes on from NC_000009.12 coordinate 73,692,536, forward strand.
TACTCTGGCTTGATTGTTAAATTTTCCATCTCTTTATTGAAACAACTATTTGGATAAGTATGAAATTATCTTAATTGGACCTCTTCTCCTTAGGAAACCATGGGGTTAGAATTTCCTGAATGAGATTCTGAAATATAAAATGACATGGGACAAAATTGTCCATTTCTGAGCGCATTTCTATCCCAGGAACCCAAATCCTCACTCTCTACTAGGCTGAGACTCAAGGGCATGAAACTGTTATATACAATTTCCCTTCCTGTTCATACCCATAAATATTTCTCCATAAATATTTTATTTGGAGGTCATCACCTGATATTACTATATAATTATAAATCCTACATTTAAGAATAATTATATTTGGAACTTTTTGGTAATCTTCTCAGAAATTATACAAAATACATTAAAGTATACAAAACTGTATCAATACAAGGTATTTTTGAAATAAATAGATGAATGTTTAGAGTATTCTACACCTACATCAAGCAGCATGTTGTTTTTAACAAGGATAATAATATTATAAATAATAATAAATTTTTAACTCAGTAGTATAGCATAGTAGTTAAAAATAGACAAGTTACATATACTTGGGTTTCTGTGCTGGCTTCATCTCTTTCTGTGTGATTTTGGGTAGGTAATTTAAATTTTCTATGCCTAGCAGGGTTCTCCAGAGAAACAGAACCCACAGAGTCAATAGAAAAAAATATGTATATATATAAAAACCATATAAAATATGTGTGTATATATGTAATATTTATTATATATAAATGTATATAATATCTAAATAATATATGTATATATTTTAACATATTATATATATACAGAAAGAGAGAATGAGAGAGAGAATTATTATTATAAAGTATTGGCTCACTGCAAGCTAGAGACCTAGAAAGACCAGTAGTGTAATTCAAATGCCTAAGGGCAACAGAGCCAATCTTGTAGATTACAGTCTGGTCTGAAGGCTTGAGAATGAGTAGCACTAAGAGCAAGGGGAGATCAATGTGCCAGCTTAAGCCTTCAGGCAGAGACACAATAAACCCATATGCTTCTGTTTTGCCTTTATGTTCTATTCAGACCTTCAACAGATTGAATGCTACCCATCCACGTTGAAGGGCGTAGGTGGAAGGAAATTAGTTTTACTCAATTCACCAATTCAAATGCTAGATTCTTCCAGAAAAACCTTCACAGATATGCTCAGAAATAATGTTTAACCAGATATCTGGGAATCCCATGGCCCAGTCAAATTGACTCATAAAATAACCATCAAACCTACTTTTCCTTATCTGTAAATAGATGTAAAAGTTGTAACTACATTAAGAGAAAATATTATAACTGGTATTTGTTTTGTTTTACTTTAATTATGTACATTAAATAAGACAAGTTATTACAGCATTTCATTGTTACTGCTCCAAGTATGAGAACAAAAGGTTTTTTTTGTTGTTGTTGTTGTTTTTTTTGAGGTAGAGTCTTGCTCTATCTCCCAGGCTGGAGTGCAGTGGTGCAATCTTGGCTCACTGCAACCTCTGCAACCTCTGCCTCCTGGATTCAAGTGATTCTCCTGCCTCAACCTTCCAAGTAGCTGGGATTACAGGCGCCTGCCACCACGTCTGGATAACTTTTGTATTTTTAGTAGAGATAGGGTTTTAACATATTGACCACGCTGGTCTCCAACTCCTGACCTTAAGTGGTCTGCCTGCCTCAACCTTCCAAAATGCTGGGATAACAGGCATAAGTCATTGTGCCCGGCTCAAAAAATGGTTTTCTTGAGATAAATTAGCTTCAAATAAATAGAAAAATTGTATAATTTCCACCCCTGAATCCCTCCACAGTGCATTTGGAGGTCCAAGGGATATCCTCACAAGGACAAGATATTTCTCCCTGATGCCTTTCTCCTTGGAAATAGGAAAATTCAGTTTCTAGCCCTGAGGTGACATACTCTCAACGCTTAGAAATGCATTTTTGTCCATATCTTACTAGACCCATTTGACGTTCTTATCCACCTTCATTTTTGGAAAGTCTTGAAGCCTTCCCTTGTTTTCTTTCTTTCATTATCTGTAACAATTCCTTCTTAATATCTCACCTGATATCTTAAATGCGTGTCTTCACCAAAATTCCAGTGTGGTCTGTCTTTACCTGTACACTCTATAGAGCTCCACACATGTGAACCTAGTCAACTACCCACATCTCATTGTATCTCTATGGAACCTCAAAGTCTTTTTAATTGACTGTAATTGTACTTTAAATACACCTCTTATAGTCTCCTTCCTGTTAAAACCACCAATCATACTGCTGTGCAAATCATACCTGAGGTCCTGAATTTCTCCCTCTTCTCTCCAATTCCCATAATTCTGTTTATCAATTCTGCCCTAGGCTTTCTATTCCCTTCATTGTTGGCTTTTTCTCAGTTATATTTGACTTTCTAAAGAGACTTCTAACTAACCTAACTTTTAGTTTCATTCTTTTGAAGTCTGTTTGTGGCAAATTTGTCAAAGCGATCTCTCTAAAAGGTAGGACAATTCACGTCTCTGCTTTCCTGAAAGTCTTCCCAAAACATCCTTAGTTTTCAGGATAAAATTTATGCCTTTTAACATGACATCATGAAATATCATGATGGCTTCTAGGGTGGGAAGCAGAATAGTATTTGTTAAAAGGTGAAACACTAGAGTCAGACTGCTTGAATTTGACGCCTGACCCAAAGGAAAACTCTAAGGATTTGGGATAAAATACTTGATCACTCCATGCTTCAATGTTTTCATTTTTAAAATGGGAATATTAAATGCACAGATATCTTTCATAGTCTGTATTCTTCTTGCTTCTTGTTGCATTACATGGCTGCACAAGTACCTTTGCATTTATCTCTGAAAAATTACTTGCTGCTCCCAGAATAGACTGTCTCCTCCTCATGCCCTTTTACTCGTCCTCTTCTGAATTTTCTCCAATCTTTAAACGGCCTATCAGTTTGCTTACAAATTTCTAAGACTCTACCTCTCTGTCCTCTTATACCGTGTTTTGCCACTTGCATTATTATCATTATTATTGCCATTCTGCAGTAGTAATAGTACTTTCAGATTATAGCACTGTACTAATAATAGCTGTAGTGGTAATCTGATATGGTTGGGATCTCTGTCCGCACCAAATTTCATGTTGACTTTTAATCCCCATTGTTGGAGGAGGGCCTTGGTGGGAAGTGATTGTATCGGGGGCAGTTTCTCACAGTTTAACACCATCCTTCTTAGTGCTGTCATCAGAATAATGAGCTCTTATGAGATCTGGTTGTTTAAAAGTGTGTAGCACCTCTCCCCTCTTGCTCTTGCTGCTGCTCCAGCCATGTAAGACTTGCCTCCTTCACCTTCCCCTTCCACCATAATTGTAAGTTTCCTGAGGCCTCCCCAGAAGAGAAGCAGTTGCCACCATGCTTCCTTTAGAGCCTGCAGAACCATGAGCCAATTAAACCTCTTTTCTTTATAAATTACCCACTCTCAGATATTTCTTTATAGCAGGGCAAGAACTGACTAATACCTAATTGCACACCGTGCATTTAATATTCCCATTTTAAACATGAAACAATTGAAGCATGGAGTGATCAAGTAATTTATCCCAAATCCTTATAGTTTCGCTTTGGGTCAGGAGTCAAACTCAAGCATTCTGACTCTAGTGTTTCACCTTTTAACAAATACTGTTCTGCTTCCCACCCGAGAAGCCTAGTTACTGAGTTTAAAGGGTGTATTCACTTGTTTGTCTCCTCTGATAGGATCCAAATTCCTTGAAGTGAAGGTCACAGTCTTTGTCTTCAAATTTTCAATGCATAGCCTTGATCCCTGCATTCTGACTGGCCAAGAACAGTTGAAATATGATAAAAAGAATTTGCCAAGTACAGAAAGCCATAGTAAAGTTTGGTACTAGCCTTAGGAAATACTGAAGTTTGAAGCTCCACTGGTACAATCGGTTAGCATTCTGTACTAATACAGAAATATTAGGGAGTAGGGAAGGAAATAAAGAAGTGTAGTTCAAAATGATGTGAGGAATAAAATCACTCAGCAGTTATGGAGTAAGCACTATATTCATGCACTGTGTTGGTCAATCTAAGCAGCACAACGGAATGTAAGCTATCTCATTGGGTTACCTGTTTCACAGAGACTGCTTATCCATTCTGAACATCTGTTTATGTAGCCTTCATTGCATTGCGTATTTTAGGTAAATATCATATATATAATTTATTTATATATAATTATTTATGTAATTTACTTTTAAAATAAAATTTCATATTTCATGCATATGTCATTAAGCTCTCAAACTTTTGGTGAACTGAGTGTGATTATTATTATTTACAATTGCAGAAACTAGAGAAACTGTGACTTGTCCGAGTTTGCATTTTTGCTACACCAGAACTTACACGAATGTGTAATAAAGAGGAGAGAAAAAGAGGAAGGAGAGAGAGAGAGAGAGAGAGAAATATTATTATTACATGTGTCTTTATGTATGCATTTGTGTGTTTGCATGTATGCATCAGGTCCCAATAAGTTCTTCCAAGATTGGGGGTCTGGGGGCGGTAGTTGTTGATAGAAGTTTGGAGAGACAGAAGAGAATGAGGTCAGGGCATTTATTCTCTGCCTCTCTCCCATAAAGTTTGCCTCAGCTTGGCTTTCTCCCTCAACCTCAGTTCAAGGATTCTCTCCAGGCTGCTAACTGTATTCCAGTACATCCTCTTCACAGAGCTAGGGATGAAAGGCTTAGGTCACACTGAACATTGGCCAGTTCTGTGGTTTCCCCATACCCACCTTTTAAAACTAGTATATTTTAAAGTAAAATTTCACATTTTGAGGGTTCTGTTTGTTTACTGTGGGAAGCAGACTGATGAATCGGGAGTGTGTGTACATATCACAGTGTACTAGCCTTGCAGTCTTCCTACCGTCTAGTTATCTACATTCCATGGCACCACGCTAATGTCTCTATAGCATCATAAACCATAATTTTACTACAGTTGCCTGACTACAGTAGAAACCACAAACTAATTAAATGACAAATTATTACAGACTTTCTATGAAAGCTCCATAAGGTAATTTGTAATCTTTTTATTGAATAAGCCAACTGCTCATGTGTAAACAGAATCCAGTGCCTCAACATTAAGCAGATTTCTAGAGGAAAATTTCCTATACTATTGCAAGTATGTTTCCCATGGCTTTGGAAAGACCACAACTATTAGTCTAATAGGAAGCTAAGAGAGCAACAAGTGTTCCATTTTAAATTCCCAGGTCAGCAGTGATAATAGCATAGCATTATTTACATCCACATTTCCAATAGATTCTGCTTAGAACTGTCAAGGTCAAAGCTGAGAAAAGCTCTCCTGTCTCACCACTTTGTAATCCTTATCCTCACAGGCACAAACATGGAAATTATTTCCTGTTATGGGCCAATAATGTTGCTATGATTATAAAGGTAAAGGAGATTTCTCAAAATAATTGGAAGCGTGATTCTCCATTATGATTAGTCATTGCATGGACAAGTTGACATGAAAATATAAACTTTAAATTTTTTTGCTTCCCTCACTATTTCTTCTGCTACTATATAGAGTTTCATGTTGTACATAACAAAAAAGTATATCTCCAAAATGATTAAGCATAACATAGTTGGGAAATATATATATTATATAGTATATTATATTAAAGATATGCTATATTACATTATGTGGATATCTTCAGGTACTGACTGTAAGATGCTGTTCTCTCTAAAACTTTGGATAGGGTGGTTGAGATGGGTGAGAATAGGGAAATCATCTTGAATTTTGAATAGAGTGGTTGGAATATTGAAAACAGGAAAATCATCTTCAATCTGCTTATAAACCTGTATGATGACAAAGACAATTTCTTCAGTATGATGATATGTTTTATCAGTTAAACAATCCTATTATGCAAAATTTATAATATGCTATACTATTCAAAGAACTTGATGAGAATATAATTGTTGGCCTATAATAATGTAATAAATATATGCATTATTGTAGAATTTTACCGTGTTGCATGTATTAAAGTGATTGCAAATCATCTCTTACATTATTTTTTCTTTTGCCAAAGCTAGATTTAATGACGTTTCCTTTTTCCAAAACACCTTCATTTATTAGACAACCAAATTCCTTTTGGGAATCTCTTATTTTCCCAGGATAATTTTAGGTTTTTTTCATCTTTAAACCAATTCATGCCTAGCGTTCCATTATTGGACCGCTGGGCATGTGGGATTTATTTACATCCTGCTGCTCAACGTCATCGCCAAGGTCTCATTGCAAAAACTCAAACAAATTGCAACTTCAGACATAAATGGGTTAACTTGATTTGCTATAATTTTTTTCCTGCCCACCATTGATATTCTCTTAAGCATTGCAATTCTATAAGTTAAATTATGCAGATACTCTCATTTGAACTCAAAATAGTGCTCCCCTGTCATATTTTCACCTGAAAAATCTAAGAATATATTGCATAAAATTCAAATAGCCTTTAATCATAGGTAATAATCTTATCTAAGAATTGAGAAAATTAACAAGAACACAATAAAAACACAGAAGACTTAAAAGTAATTTACTAAATTAAAATTTTCCCATTTTCTTAGTAATTTTTTTTCTAAACAACTTAGCTTTTCTCCAGTCTGATGCTTGCATGTATTAAAGTTGTAAAGAGACTCTGGTTTATATAAATATTTCTTCCTTCCCCCTAAATATTTCAAGCTCTATACTTTGGAAAGTGTATCATAGAATTGCACTTACTTACCATCTCCCCCTCCATATTCATGAGTAGTTGAGCCCAAGTCACTGGTTTTGAACAAAGAGTTGTAAGTGAAAATGGTGTGTGTTTCTTTTCAGTTCAGTATTTGGTAGCCTTTGCAAGACACTCCAGAGATTTTTTCATTTGGTACTGTGACTAATGGGACTCAAGCTAGCCTCTGCTTAATCAGCCTTGATCTTTGAACAGTTAGTGAGTAGATCCTTCTGCTCACTTACAATGGATGTGTAACATAAAGGGAGAAATATGCATCCACAGTTTTAAGTTATTCAAATTTTGTATATTAACAGAATATACTTATAATCTTAACTGATTATAAATTATAATCAGAATAACTTATAATCTTAACTGACGCAGAGGAGTAACACAGTAAAAGATAAGTAAAAAGTACCCTAAAAGATATAGATCCTGATAAGTCAGAAAACATGAAAAGTCACTCAGTGGAGTGCTAAAAGCAGGATTTAGGAAAGATACTAGGACTCCATTTAAAAATAGTAAAGTTACAGCTACATAATTTTTATAAAAAATTAGAGGAAAATATATGTGATAGCTAAGACTTGCCCATTTTCCAGAGGGATTTTGACAGAGGTTGTTAAAAAATAGTCCATGTTGGCTGTGAGTCTTCTTCAAGGCATAGCCAAGCCATTCTTAACCTGTATATGAAAAGAAACTTCCTTAAAGAAAACCAGATGCTTAATCTGATTAAGTCTAATACTATATTTTATAATATATTTTATTAATTTCTGACATTGATTTCTTGTCTTACCACTTTGTGACATCTATGTCTATGGACTTTAATAGGTATATGCTAATGGTCCCTTCTAGCTTTTCTTTCTTCATCTTTTATAATTAATAAGGTGTTTTTTTAGTAATAAGTGAATTATGTTTATGGACACTTGGTTTATAAGAGTCTCATCAATTTTATGTAATTATGCTCGGTCAACCAAGTTTTCGGGGGTAAACATTCTCAAATTTTGTACTAGGAAAGTGTGAGTCGGTGTAGACCATAAAATATTTAGCATTTGGTCATTATTTTATGTTTTAAGTGTTTGCTAAAAACAAGTTAATCAGCAGAAAGACTTAATAGTCTCACATAATGGAAGCAACACAGCAAGTATCAAAATAGAAACCTTTGTTAATAAAGCATATTTCATATTTATAGTTACCAATATAGTCTTAATAAGGTAATACACTGGTTTACATAATTTCCATAAAAATGAGGATGGGATCTACAGTTTAAAATCAACCCTATATTAATCACGTACTAATATGCATTTATAAGAGACCATTAGATAAGTACCACTTAGGGCCCAGAGGGGAGATGTAGTGTCCTCTACTGCTCTGTCATTTTATATTTGCTGGAAAGAAAATTGTATCTTGAGTAGTCTAATGTGCATATGGCTGCTGTAACAAGGAGAAGCCCCTTCAGGGCTACCAAACAACCTGCTTCCAGATCATCTCTAGTTAGTATTAAATAGCCCCTATTCTACAGGAACTCTAGATGAAACACCAGCTCATACACTTAGAATAAATCTGCTGTATTTTTTCTTCTCTTATACTTATCATTTGTAACTTTGTTAGTGTGACAAGGTAGATATAAGCACACTACTTAAAAGTATGATAATTTTTTCTTTTATTTCTTTCAAATTCTATTATGGCAATAGTATTATAATAATATTCAAGGTTTGAAAATACACAAATACACCCACACATATATATAGTATATATATGTGCAAATATGTAATCTCAACTTTAATAAACTGATTCTATCATTTTCAGGTAGGTATAAAAATTACAATGAGAACATTACTAAGAATACAGGAATAGACTTTTACAAATAAATCACAAAGGATCAACTTTGAGAATGTTGGAATGAAGACCTCAGGCATGGCTTTCCCACAAAAACAATAAAAATACTGGGATAAAAACCTAAATTTAATAATTTCAGAACTCTATAAATTGGCCAAAGCCAAGGAAGAAACTGGACATTGCCTATGGAAGAGAAACTACGGAACCTTAATAAGCCAGCAGGCTGTGATGCTTTAACTTCCTCTTTCTCTAGCATGGTAGCATGGAAAACATAAAAAGCTGCCTTTTAGCCAGCTGTGTTTTAGCAAGAGGAAAGACTGAACCATTTTGGAACTGTGTTAAAAGCACCATCTCCAGAAGCACTTTTAATATTTTGCCTAAACTTGCAGCTCTCTGAAAATTCCCTATTCTAGAGTGATGGTTATTTGATTTGAGTCAAATTTCTGTAAAAAGGTGTGGGGAATTCCCTATCCACAGGACATGCCAATATCATAAAAGTTTGCTGGCAACATCACAACCGTCAAAGGCTATGAGTTCTGGTAGATCAAACAAGAGCTTTGCCAGGAATTTAAAAGGGAATAACAGAGAGCTATATAACCATAGGGAACTTTGAAAAACTCCCACATATTCCTAGGGATCTATGTGCCTGTTTAGGAAAGACCTGGGAAACTAGAAATTCCCACAAATATCTGGTTGATATTGAGGTCTCATGCAAGCAGAAAGTGAAAGTTAAAACTACTGTAAACTACCTGAAGCTTGAAGGCATGCCCTCTCACACAGATCCCTTTGACAGGAGAGAGACACAAAAGCAAAGCCTTTTAGGAAATCTTCTGAACAATCACTCCCAGACCCTTAAATTATAGTAACCTTGGGCTGATCACTAGGAAGCTAGACTTAAAAGAAAAATAATACCTAAAAATAATCTAATAGAGTTCAGTGGCTGCATATTACATTAAATACTGAATCTACAGAATTAATTGAGGAAAACTGAAATTAATTGAGGAACAACGATAACATAAAATTCTTTAACAACAAACTTTGGGGGATAAGAAAGGATCAGATACCAAAGTAGTTACAATGTATTATCTAAAATGTCATTTTTCGGTATGAAAATATAAGAAATGCAAAGAAATAGGAAAGCATGCCACATACAAAAGAAATAAAAACAGCTAATGGAAAACGTCCATGAGGACAATAATAGCACAAGGAAGGAGGCGAAAACAAGGTCCTTTCGGGTCAAAGTTTTGCATACTATTGAAATTAAGTTAGTACTGATATACTGTATTGTTTTAAATCAAATATTAATTATAAGCCACAAATCAGCCACTGAGGAAGTTGCTCAAAGAAAAAAGAAGGTTAAAAAACACATGGAAATTTCAATGATACATGAAAATAAACTAACACAAAAGATGGCAATAATTGAGAAATAGAGGGAAAAAGCTACATAAGTCATACAAAACACCAATAGCAAAATGGTAGATGTAAATAACATCATTTCTACAATTACATTAAATCTAAATGAATTAAGTACTCTAACCAAAAGGCAAATATTGGCAGAATGGGGAAACAAGTAACATGATCTAACTATGCAAGAGATGGTCTTTAGATTAAAAGGCATAGATAGTTTAAAGAGAAAGAATGGGGAAACATATGCTAAGCAGTAACCAAAAGAGAGCTGGAGTGGATATACTAATTCAGACAAAATTGACTTTAAAACAAAAAGTGTTACTACAGATAAAGAAAGACATAACGATAAAAAGATTATGGCTCAAAATGCGTTTAAGCATAACACATAGCATTAAAGGGAGAAAGAGACAGTTTATAAATAATAGTTGAGGAATTCAATGCCCTACTTTCTGTAATGAATAAAATAACTAACAGAAGATAGAAGACTTGAAAAACACTATAACTAGACCTAAGAGGCATCTATAGAATACTCTGCCCAATAACAGTAGAATACACATTCTTCTCAAATGTACATGAACAATTGTCTAGCACATTGGCTCTATGTTATGACATGAAACAAACCTCAATTAATTTAATGGTTTGAAATAATAAAAGTTACATTTTCTGACCACAGGTATTTCAGCATAAATTAACAACAGGGGAAAATTTTAAATTTTATAAATATATGTAAATTAAACCAGCTGCCACCAAATAAGCAATTGATCAAAAAAGAAATCACAAGGAAAACTAGAAAATACTTTGAGAATACAAAAACAAACAAACAAAATAACATATGAACATGCTGGTAGAAGATGCAGGTAGAAGAGTGTTTAGAGGGAAATTTGTAGCTGTTTCCACTTATATTAAAAAAAAGTCCCCTATCAATAACCCAACCTTCTAATTTAAGAAACTAGAAAAGTAAGTACAAGATAACTCTCCAAAAACACACAGAAGGAAGAAAATAATAAAAACTAGAGTGGAAATGAATAAAATAAAGAATAAAAAGATAATAGAGAAAAATCAATAAAACTATAAGTTGATTAAAGGATCAACAAAGTTGACAAATCTTTAGCTAGACTAATCAAGACTAAAAGAGAAAAGATGCAAATATTAGAATCCAAAATGAAAAAGGGACATAATGAACAATCTCACAGAAATGTTTTACAAATTATAAGGAGCACTATAATTTGTTTTACAAATTATAAGGAGCACTAAAACTATATGACAAAAATTAAGTAACTTAGAAGAAAGAATTCCCAGAAAGAAATACTATGAAACTAATTCGAAGTTAAATAGACCATCTAAAACAGACCTATAACAAGCAAAAAGACTGAATTAATAATTGAAATACTTCCTACAAAGAAAAATTCAGAACCAGATGTCTTTACTAATGAATTATACTAAAAATTTAAATTACGAATATTATTTGTCACAAACTTTTCTAATGTCTCAACTCATTGTATAAGACTAGTATTCCCCAATATTCAAACCAAAAACATTAGAAGAAAAGAAAAGCTACACAATAAAGAAGTTCAGCAATTTTGCAGGATACTAGATAAATGTACAAAATTCACGTATTCACTAGCAATCAGCAATTCAAAAATAAAATCAGATCACAGTTACATGTCAATAGCATTAAAAAAAAATCCAGGAATAAATTAGGTCAAAGATATGCAAGGTTTATACACCGAAAACTACAGAACATTGTTGAAAAAAATTAAAGATTAAATAGAAAGACATTACATGTGCATGAATTGAGAAATTTAATATTAAGCTACTAATACTCCCCAGCTTATCTACAGATTCAATACAAACTATTTCAAAGTTCCAGCCAAATTTGTTTTTGTGTTAGGGGTTGGGAGGGTGGAAATAGACAAGTTTATCCTAAAATCCTTCATATAGAAATTTAAGGAACCCAGAATAGCTAAAACATATTACAAAAGAAAAAAGTTAGAGAACTCAGACTTTTTAATTTCAACGCTTACTAGAAAACTACTATAATCAAGGCAGTGTGGTACTGACATAAAGAAAGATATCCAGATCAATGGGATGAAATTGAAAGTCCGGAAATAAACCCTAGCATGTATGGTAAACACTATCCACAAAAGTACCAAGACAATTCAATGGGGAAATTATAGTCTTTTCAATAGTGCACAGGCAGCTATTTATATGCAAAAGAATAAATTTGGACACTTATTTTACATAGTGTAAAGAGTTAATTCAAAATATATTATCTATCTAAATTTATCACAAAACTATAATATTTGTAGAAGAAAACATATGAGCAAATCATCATGACCCTGGTATAGGCAATGGTTTCTGAAATATGACACCAGAAGCATAAGTGACAAGAGAAAAAATAAACAAATTGGGCCTCATTAAAATTTAAATTTTTTTCTGTATTAAGAACACCAGGAAGGAAGTGAAAATAGAGCCCATAGAATGAAAGAAAATATTTGCAAATCATACAGTTAGCAAGAGATGTGAATTCAGAATATATAAAGTACTCTTATAAATCAACTTTTAAAAAATTTTAAAAATGGCAATGGATTTGAATAGATAGTTCGTCAAAGAAGATATTCAAATGGTCTATAAGTACAAGAAGAGTTGCTGAAAATCATTAGTCATTGAGGAAATGCAACTTGAAAGCACAATGTAATACTAATCCACATTCACTAAGATGGCTGTAATAAAAAGACAGTAACAAGTGTTGGAGAAAATGTGGAGAAATCAGAACTATCATGCACCAATGGTGGAAATGTAAAAGCATGTGGTGCTTTGGAAAGCAGTTTGACAGTTCTTTAATATGTTAAACACAGAGTTATCACATAAACCAGAAATTCCACTCCTAAGTCAGTGACCAAAAGAAATAGAGACATTTGTCCACACAACACTTGTATGTGATAGTTCATAGCAACATTATTTACGGTAGCTAATAGAAAAAAAGTCCACCAACTGATGAATAACTAAAAAATATATGGTATAACCATAGTTGGAATATTATTTGGCAGTAAAAAAGGATAAAGTACTGACACATGCTGCAACATGGATGAATCTTGAAGAAATATCTTAAATGAGAGAAACTAGTAGCAAAATACTACATATTTAATTATCTAATTTATATGAAATACCTAGAACAGGAAAATCTATAGAGACAAAATGTAGGATAGCAGTTGTCTAGGTTGGAGAGTGGTATTGGGAGGAAGTGGTAATGACTGCTAATGAACACAATCCTTCTTTTTTTTTTTTTCTGAATCATGAAGATATCCAAAACTTAGATTGTGGTGATACTTGCTTAAATCTATGTCCATATTGAAAATCCACAGAACTGTACCCTATAAATGGCTGCATTTTATGGTACATAAATTATATTTTAATAAACATTTAAAAATTCATGGACAAGTACTTAATCTCCCATATCACGATTGAAAACAATACGTTTACACTCAAAGAAATATAATAATAATAACACAATATTGGTTGCCCTTTAGTAACTTTTACAGGAGCCAAGTGAGAATCAGACATTGATTAACTGATTAATTTGGGTGCATGAAACTGATCATTAAGACAATATTAAGGAATAGATAATATTAATAAACATATTACACAAGAGAAAATGGAATGTCATAAAATTAGGTCAGGAGCTCACAGCTAATCACCTGATAAATGGTAGAACTAGAATATAAAATCAATATGTAAAGTCTGTGCACTTTCTTTGATCTATCTGGCCTTATGAAATATCTAGAGCAACATTTAACATAATGTTTTTGCCATGTATTCCTGCCAGTAATGTTTCTAGATTTTACATTTTACAAGGGTTCCATGGTTAAAAACTGAAAAAAACCGATTCACAAAACGTATATTCTTTTTGAGACTCTGTAGTAAGAACACTAATTCAATTATTTCTGTACAAATGAGCTAACAAGCCCATATTAAAACAAGTGACTTTCCTAATGTTTCTTAATCTGTGGCCACACCAAAACTGCCTTTCAAATCAGTGGTTTTACTCTACTATATCAGCCATATATCAAGGACAAGGGCTTGGCTTCTCTGCTTAATGATTTTGGACAATTAACAACATTATTATCACTCTCTTCAAAATGAGTTACCTTGCCTCTCACTACATGCCAACAGTAGCACAGCACCATCTTCACCCTACTCAAACAAGAATGATATATTTTTCTTGATTATCTTGTCCAGGCATGCAAAACTGATGGCATTTATGGCATTCTAGTTTCATCAGGTAATAAGGATCTTCTACAACAAAGACTGGCAGAGCCCTGGTCTCAGGATCCTCTCTTGCCTGCACTGAATACATACATCGAATGCATATTTAATATGCATTTGTGTGCCCAGTGGGTTGTACTAGGTATCACAAGTAACACTTATTAAGCCAAACGAATGACTTATGAATAAAATGTCCCAAACCCTAGCTGTATATTCAACTAAACACCCACCATTCCTCTTTCCAATACTATCTACTTACCACTGCATACTAAATTTCAAAGCCCTGTTTTGATTAGCTTAATCACCTACTCAAGAATCATGAATGGTTTTTCTACTGTCTGCAAAATAAAATCCAATTTATTTAGCATGTCATTTATTATTTTCCCAACACATGGCCCACTAACCACACCTAATTTCCAGAAAAAAATATGCAACTTGCTCTTCTTCCAAATGAGCCCCATATTTCATAATTGCTGGGTCTTTGTCCATGTTTTTTTCTGATGCTCAAAATTCTTTCTTTTCCCAACTGTTTGACAAAATTTTATTCATTTTTGTCTCAAAGGCAACCTCCATAATAAATTCTTTCTTAATTCTCAAATCAGAAATAAGTTGTACTTTTTGTGAATTCTTTGGAAAATTATTTATAAAACTCATCTGACACACATATGATAGAATACAAGAGAAATGAACTTACCCTTAACTCCCCACTATTCTGTGACTGAAGAAATTGATACTTAGAAAGGCAGCCCCAGGTCAAACTCCTAATAAGGGCCTGCAATTTTATTCAAATTAATTTAGCTAAATCCAAGTCTGAGCTCTTATGATAATCACAGTAGGTAACTTTCTTTTCCCAGTCCAGCTATATTTAAGGCACTGTTCTCTTTACATTTAAAAACCCTTCTCTTCTTCTTGAATCTCTTTATTCTCCTGTCTCTGAGACCTGGTTTTTCTCCCATATCATTGTATACTCCTTCTAAGTTTCTATTTCAAGATATTTTCCTCTTCTCAATCCCTAATTGTTGGAATGTCCCAACCTTGGACTCTTTATCTTCTTTATCGACACTCATTGTCATGGTTTTAAATACTATCTATGTGCTTGTGACTTCAAGATTTACATATCCAACTCCAATCTCTTTCTGAGCTACAGACAAAAATATCCAACCACCTGCTCAGAACCTCCATTTGGATGTCTAATTTAAAGTTAAAATATTCAGAGGAGTTTCTCTGTTTTTCTCCCCTACCAAAATACATTCCTATACCTCCTTTTTTCCTATCTCACCAAAGAGCACACCATCCACCCAGTAGTTCAAAGTAAAAGCCAGCCACAATCCTTGATTGTTCTTTATCCTTGTCATTTAGAATCCACAGCAAGTTCTTTTGGTGGCCACCAAAATGTCTGATAATTTCTCATCATCTGCATTCTTACCATGTTCATTGAAGTCACCGAAATATCTTGCCTGGAACTTGCCAAGTTTTCATAACTAGGTCTTCTTCTTCCAGTTCTGCCCTAACACTGGATAGCTTCTGTTTTCCTCTACAGATCTGTTCACCAACCTCTTTGCCCTGTGTCTCCTGAGGCTGACCTGAATGGATGCACCATTAGGCTCCCTTGCATTCTAAATTGCACTTGGTTTGCTCAACGACCAGGCATGGGGGAGGGCATCAGTGAGAGTTGTGGGCCAGGAAGGGTGTGAAGGGAGAGATTAATCCCCATGATCATCCCGTGCAGACTGACCTCTGGTTGACCAGGTCCTGAATGCAGGTTCTCAATTTCTACCAGACACCCCTCTTCACAAAAGCCTTTCTCTTCTCATTTCACTAGCATCTGCATTCCCCTGTCCTTTTGGTTTTAGGAGTGGTAAAAATCTCCCAGTTACTGGCCTTGGTTTAATGAACTATAGTTTGCTGATTGGCTACATCTTTATGAACAGTCCTATTATTAAATTATTCTCAAACTAGCCAATATGAGTGTGTCATTTGTGCCCAGCAGGGACTCCAACTGATACACTATCTGTGGCTTATTCTACATATATCAGCATATGTGATCTTTCAAGAAAAATAAATGAAATCATGAACTGTTTCTTCTCCAAGCCCTCCAGCGACTTTCCTGTTCCTTTAAACTGAGATTCAAGTCCCAAACTATAGCCCTTTAGGCCCTGTGGGAGCTGGCTCTGCTCATAACTCTTGCTTCATCTTCCACCACTTTCCTTTTCAGTCCTCCTGTTCCTGCTGTCCTGACTTACCATTTGTCTCTCAATAAGACTATACCATGCTGAGCATTTTTTTTTTTATCTCTGAGCCATTGCATTTTTCTGTTCTGCCTGAAATATCCCTCATATTGCTTGCTTCCTCTTTCTTTTAGGTATCATTTAGAGGGGCCTCCCTAATTTTGAAAGATTTTCTCTCTTCTGCATTTAATATCTAACCTTTTGCCTGACTTTATTCTTCTAGGATTTATCCATATCCAAAATTATATATTTACTTATTTGAATATTGTCTGTTTTATTCACCTGAGTATATTTCACAATGTCAAGGATTTTACCTCTTTTAGCCACTATTACATTTAGAATGAGAAAACAGTGCCTGTCACATACCAGCGCTATGAAAAAAAAGAAGAATGATTTGAGCACTTTAAATGAATGAATGAATGAATGAATGAGGTAGCCAAGTAGGTGCTATTATAAATCACTATTTTACAGATAGAGAACTGAGAGTTACCCAGAAAATGATAGAATATTGAACTGCTTTAATAGAGGCAAGAACAATGTCTTATTATGCTTTTAATTGTCCTTAAACTCTCACACAGTGCCTTGCACATACCAGTCTTTCAATTGATTGATGTTCAGTAATGAGGAAAGCTGTTAAGGATGGGCAATGTGGCAGCAATGTGAATATTGGCTTTAGTAGGGAAACGAGTTAGGAATTTATTTGAGTGCTTAGATGTATACTTCCATATAGTCTCCAACAACATAAATTGATCATTAAAAAGGTATTTTAATGAAGACATCTGTGACTATTACAGGCAAATGTTAATGATTTACGTGTATCTGTTTATAATTACTTACCTAGTTTGTAGATCATCCAGGCCTTTAGCTGCTGCTTGTCTTTCGGAAGGTCTACTCTTTGGACATTGTGGCTCATTAATAAATTTATCAAACAATTTTGTACAGAAAAAAGTATCAGAAATTCATACTAGTCATTTTAAAACTTTTATTAGTAGTTCTGCTACAAGCAAATGAAAACATTTTAGAAATAAATCATGATATGCAAATTTTACCCTTGAATTTAGCTTCACAACTATTTCTTCAAATGTATACTGAATATATAATGGTTTATAATGTGATATGTGGGATTTTAAAAATTTAGATATCAACCCAGCTCCATATTATTTGGTTAAACATGATAAAAACACACATATAAAGCAAGTAGATACCAAGTTCAAGACAAGATGCTACATAAGCTCATACAGGAGGCAGTGGACCAGATTTGCTTAGGATTTGAAAGTCTGTCCTTATATGATTTTCATGAAATATTTTGATTTTGTTAACCAGTTAGATACAACCATACCATGTCTGACATTCGTAAATATAGTAAGGGAAATTTTTTGTGCTTTTCATGATTGTGATTGGTAATTTTGATTCTGGTAGAATCTCTGGGTACTTTTTTTCTCATGTAAAACCAAGAAACAGCCACAAGCCTTTTTGTCAAAACATTGTAAAATGACTTAAAGCATACAGCTCCATGATAGGAACATACTTCCAAATCACAAAATTTGACATTAAGAAAATATCATTAGAAAATTTAAGGATGAATTTTAGAAACTGCTCTTGAGGCAAAGGAACATTCTGTGATGCCCAAATGTAAGTCTAATAATCAATGTCAGAGAAAAACAAAAACCAAAAAACTCATTGCATAAGAGTACATAATATCTTCATATAGTCCCTTAATGTAATTCTACATACTCATGTTTGTCTTAATTTGATTGATTCTTTAAAACAGTTTTAAAGATTATTGTCCCTGGTCAGTAAATTGCTATTAATTTTTCTTCCAAAGGGCAGAAAGAGTTTCTCTTTTGTAGAATGTCTAAAATCTGAAGTTAAAATATAGCATTACTGTAAGATACTTAGTGGCCACTAAATCTTAAAACAATTCCATAAGATCAGTCGACTGATGAAAGAACAAGTATTCAGACAAGTTTCAATTCAATGCCATGAACCAAATATACACAAATAGAAAATTTAAATTGAACTGGTTGCAGTGGCCCAGGCCTGTACTCCTAGCACTTTGGGAGGCCGAGGCAGGCGGATCACAAGGTCAAGAGATCGAGACTATCCAGGCCAACATGGTGAAACCCTGTCTCTACTAAAAGTACAAAAATTAGCCAGGCGTGGTGGTGCCTGCCTGTAGTCCCAGCTATTCGGGAGGCTGAGGCAGGAGAATTGCTTGAACCCAGAGGCAGAGGTTGCAGTGAGCCAAGATTGCACCATTGCACTCCAGCCTGGGTGACAGAGCAAGTCTCCATCTCAAAAAAAAACAAAAAACAAAAAAAAAAAAGAAAAGAAAATTTAAATTGATATACATTAGAATCTACAATGAAAAGATTTATACATCAAACACAATAGTGTTAAAATTCACAGAAAATACTATAGGAAATGTAAAAGGGATAGAAACACTTTTAAAAACAAATTTCTATACTAGGAAAATTTAGAAGTTGCAGGAATATTGAGTCAATTTATTACTTACAGCGTGTGCTGATCATAATCCCAAAACACACAATTCTGAACCCTGAAATCCTGAATGATCAAAAATCTCTAAAGATTAAAATCCCTAATTATTGTATTTTTGCTTTTATACAGTATAGTTGCATCATGTTGCACCACGTTAGGTGGAACTGTTCCTTTGTTATTGTATTCATTTGGAAATTAAGTGTGGTTTAAGGAGATGTGTATGAGTAGAAACTTGGCAAAGGGTAGACTTGTGGACTCCATTTTAGATATTGACGGGATTAAGAACTACCTATAAATGTGGTAATGCATTACCAGGTTTGTGTCTGTGACATTGTTTCAGAGATTAGTGTTTGAGGCTAAGTGGACTAGATGGGGAAGATCTGCCTTCAGTGTTGGTGGGCACCATCCAATAGGCCAGGGCTCAGAGTCAACAAATACAGAAGAAGGTGAACTGGCCTCTCTCTAAGAACTGGGACAGACTTTTCTGCTGCAACTTTGGACATAGACTTCCAGGCTTCTCAGTCTTTGGCCTCAACAACTTATCCTACTTTGTCCCCTAGTCCCAAGGCTGTTGACCTTAGGCTTACCTGGTTCTGAGGCCTTGGACTTGAAACGAGCCATTCTACATGCATCTCAGCCTCTCCAGCCTGCAGATGGCCTGTCGTGGGACTTCTTTGCCACCATAATTGTGTGAGCCAATTCCCCTAGTAAATCCCCTGTCATGTATCTATATACATATCCTATTGGTTCTGTCTCTCTGGAGAACCCTGACTGACACATATTTGGTGTTGGGGTAACCAAATATAATTCATTCTTACTGTATTCTCTACAACACAGTGGAAGAGATCTGTAAAATTATTCCATCATGAAAAGGCTGTGATAAGTGAAGCGTACAAGGCTACTTAATGGTGAAAGATAAATGTTTAAAACCTAATTATTTTGGGTGCTGCAAAAGCAGAAAATCACTTCATTGCAATGTCTGGCCAATAACCAGATTGAAAATGGACATCATATATTTACAAAATGTGTAGACCATAACCACTCTCTAAATTCAAGTGCAGCTAGTGTTTTCAAAATTATAAAGGAAGGGACAACACGGGTGAAAAATACCTGCCACAGTTTGGGGTGCCAAGATGGGCAGATCACTTGAGGTCAGGAGTTTGAGACCAGCCTGGCCAACATGGTGAAACCCCATATTTGCTAAAAATATAGAAAATTAGCTGGGCAGGGTGGTGTGCACCTGTAGTCCCAGGTCCTTGGGAGGCTGAGGCACAAGAATCGCTTGAACTAGGGAGGTGAAAGTTGCAGTGAGCTGAGATCATGCCATTGCATTACAGCATGGGTGACAGAGAGAGAATCTGTCTCAAAAAAAAAAAAGAAAGAAAAAAGAAAAGAAAAGAAGAAGAGACTCCCAAGTTATTCAATTTTGTATGACTTCTGCCCCTAACTAAACCCAAAGCCAGCAGAAGAAAAGAAATGACAAAGATCAGACCTGAACTAAATGAATTGAAACAAAAAAAATACAAACGATAAATGAAATTAAAAGCTGGTTCTCAGAAAACATAAACAAAACTGATAGGCCATTAGCAAGATTAACCAAGAAAAGAAGATCCAAATAATCGAAATTAGAAATGAAACCGGAGATTTTACAACTGATACCACAGAAATACATAATATAATTCAAGGCTACTATGAACACCTTTACACTCACAAACTAGAAAATCTGAAGGAAATGAATAAAACCCTCCTACATTAAATCAGGACGAAAGAGAAACCCTGAACAGACCAATAACAAGCACCGAGATTGATTCAGTAATCAAAAAGAAATTGCCAACAAAAATAAAGTCCAGGACCAGATGGATTCACAGCTAAATTCTACCAGACATTCAAAGAAGAATTGATACTAATCCTGCTGAAACTATTTCAAAAGATGGAGAAATAGGGCATCCTCCCTAAATCATTCTATGAAGCCAGTATCACCTAATACCAAAACCAGGAAAGGACATAACAACAAAAAAATAAAACTGCAGACCAATATCTCTGATGAACACAGATGCAAAAATCTTCAACAAAACACTAGCTAAGCAAATCCAACAGCAATCAGAAAGATAATACATCATTATCAAGTGGGTTTCATCCAGGGATGCAGGGAGTGTTTAACATACACAAGGCAATAAATGTAAAATATCACATAAACAAAATTAAAAACAAAAACCATATTATCATCTCAATAGATTCAGAAAGCGCATATGACAAAATCCAGTATCCCTTTATGATAAAAACCCTTAACAAAATAGGCCTACAAGGGACTCACCTCGAAGTAATAAAAGCCATCTATGAAAAATCCGTAGCCAACGTAATACCAAATGGGGAACAATTGAAAGTATTCCCCTTGAGAACTGGAACAAAACAAGGATGCCCCACTTGCACCACTTCTGTTCAACGTACTAGTACTGTAAGTCCTAGCCAGGCCAATCACGCAAGTGAAAGAAATAAAGGGCATCCAAATTGGAAAAGAGAAAGTCAAACTGTTCATGCATGATATGATTGTACACCTAGAAAACCCTAAAAACTCGTCCAAAAGGTTGCTAGATCTGTTAAACAATTTCAGTAAAGTCTCAGGTTAAAAACTAATGTACTCTTTAGTAGGAAGTCACTAGACACATCTTACATAAGGGGTGGGATGTTATCTTCCACTTCCTTGAAAGAGCAGTACCTAAATAATTTATCTGAAATTCTTAAGCATGGAAGATTTGCTTACTCACCTTCCTTTGTTTATTTATTCAGTCATTTAGACGTATTAGCCCAACACATGGATAATTGTTTTATTTTTCATGTTACAATCTAATACTGCCTTATTTATTATATTGCTCAAATTGTTCCAGTTTCAAGTTCTCAGAGTTCTTTCAGCAGGTTTCTGTGTACCTTTGACATGCCCTCACTATTTGGTTATTTAAGTATTACTTCATTTTCTGAATAACAAAATGCTCAGTGACTCATCTTGTGTGTTCCCTGTCTCAATCCCAGAATCAATTGCTCATCAAAAAACTCATTACCACCCAGTCATGCAGATTTCCTCCTGTATTTTCTTCTAGACAATTTATATTTTACATTATATTTTGATATTTGATTCATTTTGAATTAATCTTTGTGTAAGATATGAGGTCATTGTCTAGGATAATTTTTATAGAGAGTTGTCCAATCGTTACAGCACCAGGTTTTGAAGATTGTCCTATTCCCTATTGAATTGCCTTTCCACTTTCGTCAAATAGAAGGGTACATAATTTCTGGATATATTTCTGGGCTCTCTATTCTATTCCCTTAATCAATGTGTTTATCATTTGCCAACACTATACTTTTTTTATTACAGTTGATTTCTAAAATCAACTGCAATCTTGAAATCATGCATTGTATTGAGTCTTGAAATTGAGTAATGTGATTCTTCCCATTTTCTTCTTTCTTTTTAGGATTTTGTTAGCTATTGTAGGTCCTTTGGCTTTGCATATAAACTTTGAAATTAATTTGTAGATTCTTAAAAAACCTGCTGAGATTTTGATTGCAATTGCATTGAATCTACAGCTACATTTTGGATGGACTGAAAATTTAAAATTGAGTATTTCAATCCATGGGCACAAAATATCGCCCTCCTATTTTGGTCTTTTTTCAGTACTTTTATCAATGATTTGTAATTTTTCATATACAGATCCAGTACATATTTGTCAGGTTTATACTTTATTTTGGAATGAGGGATGTTAGTTTAAGAAGTATTGTTTAAATTTAAAATGTTAAATGTACATTGCTAATATACAGGAAAGCAATCAATTTATTTACTAACCTTATATCCTGAAACCTTGCAATACTCACTTATTAATTGAAGAGTTGGGGAGATTTTTGTGAAGAATCATTTGAGTATTTTCTACATAAATCATGTTATCCACATGTAAAGACAATTTTGTTTCTTCCTTCAAATTTGTGTACCTTTTATTCATATTTCTTGCCTATGCAACAACTAGGATATCAGTACAATTTTGAACATAAGTGATGAGAGGATATCTTTGCCTTATTAGGAAAAAAGTGGCCACTCTTTCAATATTATATCAAGTCTAACTTTAGCTGTAGGTTTTTCTATATACCATTTATTGAACTTTGTCAAATACTTTTTTGCATATATTGATATAATTATGTTTATCTTATTCATTCTGTTTATATGATGAATTACTCTCACTGATTTATAAATGTTGAAACAGCCTTGCATTCTTGGAACGAATGTCATTTGGTGGTGATGTATTTATTTATTTATCTTTCGTATTGCTGGATTTGATTCGCTAATATTTTGTTAAGAATTTTTGCCTCTATGTTTATGAGAGATATTGGTCTGTAATATCCTTTTCTTGTAATGTCTTTATCTGGTTTTGGTATTAGTGTAATAATGATGGAATAAAAGGAGTCAGAAACTAGTCCCTTTTTTCTGTATCCTAAAACAGATTGTATAGAATTGTAATTAGTTCTTTAAAGAGTTGGTAGACTTCACCAGTGAAACTTCTTTTGGCTCCCTGATTTATTTTTTGGGTTGTTTTTAACTACTAGTTTAATTCTTTAATAGATACAGGCTGTCCAAATAGTCTATTTCTCCTTGCATGAGTTTTGGTAGTTTTGTTTCTTCAAGGAATTGGCCCATGTCATTGAAGTTATTAAATTTTTGACGTGGAGTAGTTCTTAGTGTTTCTTTTTATCATTGTAATGTCCATGGGATCACACGGGATCACCAGTGATGAATGACCTTTTAATTCTGATATTGACAATTTGTTTCTTCTTTCTCTCTCTCTCTCTTTATTTATTTATTTTTTTTGGTTAGCCTTACTAGATATTTATCAATTTTATTGATCTTTTCCAAAATACTAGCTTTTAGTTTTATTCATTTTGAATTGCTCCCTGGTCATTGATTTCTTCTCTAAAGTTATTATTTCTTTTTTTTTTTCTGAATGCCTTAGGTTTAATTTGCCCCTTTTCCTCCAGTTTTCTAAGGTTAGAAATATTGGGTTATTATTTTTTGATTAATGCTTCTCAGAGATTTCTATCTTGCAGCTTTTTCATATATAATCCAGTTAGAATGCTGAAGGCTTGTAGGCATGGTTAGTAGGGTGTGGAGAAGGGAAAATATTCCAACATCTTCTTATTAAGTCTTAGGGATTTGGTTTTCAAAAGCTTTTCTCTCTCTTCTAGAAGTGTGCCATTTTTACTCCTGTTTCCTATTCCCTTTCTTGGTTGCAATGTCTCTTATCTATTTTCTTGAAGCCCTGTCCCTCTTGACTTTTTCCCTATAAATGATACAGGAAGAATGGAGCTGTGGCCGAAGCACATTTCTCCAGCTGGGATAATTTTTCTGAATTGTCTGATGAATTATCTTTCCCTACAAGTTAAGCATTTATTAGGAAGAAGATTCTACATGGGTGTCAAGATGGCCACTCTCTTCCTCTCTCAGCTAACACCATCAGAAGATCTTTCTCAAATTGCCACCATCAAAAATGTGTAGATTTACTGAATAAAAGTCTGAACTATTGTGGGGGCCTCTTTAGGACTGAAGTCCCCAGGAATTTCTCATTTTCAAGTTAGTCTGCTCTCAGCTTCCAGTAACTTCTCAAAGTTACCATGTCAATGCTGCTATTTGCTGAAGGATTCCTTTAATATCTTCTCTAGGTAAGCAAATCTCTAGAGATATATCTTTCTGGATGTGACTGTATTTACAAATTTTGGAATTTGAGTTTGCCCTGTTTAATGATGGGTCAAAAAAAATCATTGATATTTATTTTGCCCAGGATATTTTGTTGTAAGATGGAATGACAACTTTCCATCAATTTGTAAGTGATGCTAATCTCAAAGTCTCTAGAAAGAGATGTATTCTACAACTCACAGCATGGCAGATCAAATTGGTATCATGCAGAATTCCTTAAATAATGAGATTAGTAAGGTCATATCAATTGTCATGCTTTGAACTGTGTATACTGAAAAGATAGAATAAAATTTATTTTTAAGAGCTTAGCAAATATTTATGAAAGCTGATTATGTAAAAATATCAGACCACAAAGTAAAACTTTAATCAATCTCATAGCTAAAACTATATACATTATATTTTAATGGGAATATTATTAGATATAATTTTCATAGGAAAAGGGTGAAATAATAATAAAGCTGTATTTTTATAAGCAAACATTTGTAAAATTTAAATACGATTACTTGTTTACTTTATTATACCTAGCAGTAGTACCAGGTTATTTTATTTTCATTTTATAATTTTCTAATAATATTAATATTTAATAAAGTAATATGTTGCAAAATTGTTCTAACCAAAACAGAGGTTATCACTATCTTAATTTTTAAAATAAACATCCTTTATTATTCAAATTAAAAATAATTTGTATGTTTTGACACCTTCAGAACACTCCACTTACAAATTTAGAATCCAAACCAAGGAGTTGCCAATCACTGGATCCCAAAATATGTGCATCCAACATTTAAGACAAAGCATAGCAAAATGTGAACATTTAGTACAGCTATAATTTTGCCTAATTTTCTGGCTGAGGTTTAAAACTTTCAATTCCTTTATGATCATGACAATTCCTTTCAACCCTGAAGCAAGAAAACCCAAATTCCTTGTAGAAAGATTACAGCCACTGTAGAAACCATCCTGATTTGCAGCAAGGTTCCCATCTATTTGTCTTTTACCAGTTTCCTCTTTTTGTCTTTGTAGGAGATATGTGCTTAAGAGAAATAACTAGTTGAACTTCATTCTGCAAAATCTATTTTTTTAAATAGATTTTTTTTTTACTCCTATGCTTTTTTCACTTTCTATGCTTTTTTGAGGGAAATGGATTCATATAAATATTTTTAACTAGGAAATTTTAGTTTGCTCAGTTTGGGATTTATATAATTGATATTTTAACTCTGGGATTGTGCCCTGAAGCAATTTCATAAAGAGCACAACTTTTGAAAATCAACTGGATCAATAGGATTTCTGCTATGATTTCCATTTTTTAATGATAAATGTTCCTTGTGGCTTCAGGCCTTGCATTTAGAAAGATTTTATAATAGAATACGAAATAATAGAGTTAAGGTGAAATGGCTATTAAAATGAATCAAGGCCAGGCATGGTGGCTCACGCCTGTAATCCCAGCACTTTGGGAGGCCAAGGCGGGCAGATCACAAGGTCAAGTGATCGAGACCACCCTGGTCAACATGGTGAAATCCCGTCTCTACTAAAAATACAAAAAATTAGCTAGGCATGGTGGCGCACTCCAGTATTCCCAGGTACTCGGGAGGCTGAGGGTGGAGTATCTCTTGAGCCCAGGAGGCAGAGTTTGCAGTGAGCTGAGATTGCACCACTGCACCCCAGCCTGGTGACAGAGCGAGACTTCACCTCAAAAAAAAAAAAAAAAAAACCAAAACAAAAAGAATCAAAACTCATCATTTTATAAACAACTGAAAAATAAGTTGGGGAAAATGCATCAATTCTGTTGAATGAGTGTCTAAATTTCAGCATTTTGCAGTCTCAAAAATGAATCAATTATTTTAAATAAATCCTTTATTTTCAAAAGCAGCTGAAAGGAATAAGAAAAAAAATTTTATTCATTTGAGAAGAAAATGAGTCCTTTGGGGAACTTTGCATGGGGGTTTTCATGGGTATAAAGAGACAATCAGGGCCCAAAGCAGGCTTCTTAAACTTATTTAAAATATTTCTTTTTGCATTTTTTAAAAATTTTGAAGCTTTCAAGTTTTAATCATTACCATATGGGATTTAGTAAGAAATTGTTAAAAAATAATTGCTTAAAATAATCATAAGTGGTCTGAATTAAATTAGAGCAGAGAGTGAGAGATGAAGTGGTGAGTATAAATTTGCTTTTAAAGACAAATGCTTAATGGAAGGACACATTTAATATTGTATATAAAAGTATTTGTCACTGGCAAGAAATCATAAGCATTTTGAGTTCAAATGAATAATATTACTATTTGGATTCAGTTATCACTCATGCATTTCTCATTTTTTTTCTAATGCTATTAGTCAATTCACAGAGTATTAGGGAAGATAGTTTTTATGTGTACAAGCTCTATAAAGACAAAAGCTTTGTGTAAATAATGTTACGTTATTTTGACAAGAATGTTCAATGTATTTTCCTTTATTAAAAAAAGGTAAAGCAAAGGACCTTAAGAGATCAAAAATCTGCTTGCATAGACCTAAAAAAAAGTGAAAAGATGACAAATGCATGACGAAAGCAATGCACATAAATCTCAATGAGATAAGACTTTTCACCTTTCAAGTAAGCAACAATTCAGAACTTGAAGTTGTGGAGAAATACATATTTTCCTACACAGCTGGTCTGATTTCAAAATGGTACAGCCCATACAAAGAGAAATTAGTCATAATGTAAATGAAATCATTTATGATTTTTGCCCTTTAATCCTGCAATCCTACACCTAGGAATTATCCTTAAGACATACCTCTCCAAATATGAAACAACATATGCAGATATTTATTTATTATTACATTATTTGTAATAGCAAAATATTAAAAATAACTTTTACTAGGTTCTAGCTCAATCAATTATTGCATATCTTCAAAACAAAGTATTAAGTTCATCAGAGGAATGAAAACTATTAACCAATGTGGAGAGATTTTCAGGCTATCATAAGTTAAAGAAAAAAGAAAGAAAAAAAGAAAGGAAGAGAAAGGTACAAAGAATGTATATTACATTATTACATGCAGCCATTGCTGAAAAGAGAAAAAGATAAAAATAAATATATCAAAAAATCAATTTGTTTAATTCAGTAATACTTAGTAGCATTGTGTTTTAAACTCTAAAATTATTTTCAATGAATTGAGGATTAGAGCAAATGAGTGAATATACTGATGTTTTTGGGAAATTATGGGAAAGAGTGATACAGCTTTGGAATAAAAATAGAAAACAATCATACTGTGATGTTGAATTTGATTCAGAAGAATCTGTAAGAACTTGTAATTTTATATGTATATAAATATGGACATATGTATGTGCAGACACACACACACACACAAACATTTTCCTGCTCTAGTCTTTAAAACTATACAGAAACAGTGACATCACAAAAGCAAAGAGCATGTTTATCTTCAATTGTGAAATCCCATTTCCCCCTAAAAAGAAGTCAAAGCTAATGGAGAAAAATGGTGGATTTTATGTCTAGGATAAGGAAAGTTCTAGGTGAACTTGGAGCGTCTTATTGTCCAGACAGTATAAAAAACATGTTCAAAGACGTGTGTATCACGTCAAAAGGAAACAGAAACTAGCTCAAAAGTGCTCCTCTGGCCACACTTGTGATTAGTATCAAAAAATAAAAACAGATTGCAAAACAGTGCATTTAAATACAAAGATCCATGGGTTCCTAATAATACTAAATGAATAAGTAAGAAACAGATTTAAAAAGAAAAAAAACACATTTATTTCACAGAAGAACGACCACTAATAAAAAAAAAGGGGACTAATAGAAATAGAACCCCACCATTTTGTTACCTCCAGAAAAAAAAAATGGATGCAGGCAAAGTCAACAATGGATGCAAAAGCCATGTGGTAGAAAATTGTCAGGGAAATATTGCCTCAGAAGGTATGCTTTTGCAATAAAGAGGTCTGGCTGTCACTATCTCAATCAGGTGGTCAAACAACATTGCCAATAGTGAGATGGTCTGACTTGATATGCCTCTTGATGTGAGGTGATGTGCTTCCTAAGGGGTACAACATCATCTATAAGATGTGAGATTGTTTTTATACTGTTTAACTAAATTTTATCCTAAGGAAGCAGTCAGACAATCTCAGGCTATGGGATGATCTGCAGGACAATTTGACTAGACACTTCAAATGAATAAATACGATGAAGAAATGAGGCAGGTGGAGAGTCTTTCAGATTAAGGTAGGTGTAATGATTAATACTGAGTGTCAACTTGATTGTATTGAAGGATATAAAGTATTATTCCTGGGTGTGTCTGTGAGGGTGTTGATTAATATTTGAGTCAGTGGACTGAGAGAGGCAGATCCACCCTCAATCTGGGTGGGCATCATCTAATCAGCTTCCTGCGAGACTATTATAAAGCAGGCAGAAAAACATGGAACGAGCATACTTGCTGAGTCTTCTGGCCTCCATTTTTCTCTCGTGCTGGATGCTTCCTGCCCTGGAACATCAGACTCGAAGTTCTTTAGCTTTTGGACTTTTGGATTTACACAAGTAGTTTGCTGGGGTTTCTCGGGCCTTTGACTGAAGGCTGCACTGTCAGCTTCCTTACCTTTGAGGTTTTAGGACTCAGACTGGCTTCGTTGTTCCTCAGCTTGCAGAATGCCTATTGTGGGACTTCACCTTGTGATTGTGTGAGCCAGTTCTCCTAATCAACTCCCCTTCATGTATACACATATATCCTATTAGTTCTGTTCCTTTAAAGACCCATGACTAATACAGGTTTAGGTACCAGGAGCGGTTTTAGAGGAATAGAATTTTAAGGATGGATTTCTCTAGTTGGTTTTGAGATTTCTGGAGTTGGCTGCTTAATATAATTAGACTCCAAAATGCTAAGGACACTACTTCTAATAGTATGGAGGACACTGATAGTCCTTGGTGTGAACTCTTTAGAAAGTTATACAAAATAAATGCATTTGGTACTCCTGATTCACCACTTGTGAGAGGCAAGCAGTTAGCGACTCTATACATAATATCTTTGACCATATGTGGAGAACCAAGGAATATAAAGAAGTTGGTTGATTGCTCCTAATTTCACTGGAAAAGTGATGAAAGAAAAGCATGAGCTCAGGGATTCTAATTTCGGGCTCCAGAAGCACATACTGAGGCTCAAGTTTTCTAAGACTGCTCTTAGTGAGAGTCTTATCTCCTATAGACAAAGGGCTGAAAATGAGGAAAATCAGACATAAGCTCTTATCATGTGAGTGGCTGAATTGCAACGAAATTCGCACACTTGGTCTTGCCAGGTGTCTACAGTTAAAGTGAGGTCATTGATTGGAAAAGAATGAGACCCTGCAACTTGGAATGGGGACATATGGGAGGATCCTGATGAAGCCGGGAGTACTGAGCTTGTAAACTCTGATGAGCTTTTCTTGCCCTAGGAAACAGCCTCCCCATCCCCATTCGTGGCAACATCCCCTCCTGGACCCATCAGCCTTTTCACCTTTGTCTGAGAAGATGAATCCTGCACTGCCTGAGGCAACAGTGGTGGCCTTCCCTGAGGCAGTTGCCAGGCAAGACAATGCTGATTGTCCTCAAGGACCCATCCCCAACACCCCTCTTTGCTTCTAGGCCTATAACTAGACTCAAGTCTTGGCAGGCCCCTAGAGGTGAGGTTCACAGTATGACCCATAAGGAGGTGCAGCACTACACTTCAAAACAACTGCTAGAGTTTTCTAATTTATATAAGCAGAAATCAGCACCCAATATATGGTACTGTTTCTCCCATAACCAGGATTCCCAGATTCAGGAATCAAGGTGTGGAAGTGGAAGTGGCACCACTCACCATCACTCCTAGTGTCCCACTAGCAAAATTTTTGCTTCATGTTCCTGTGGCATTCCATTCTGCTGGCCTAGAGGTTTTAGTTCCAGAGGAAGGAATACTGCCACCAGGAGACACAACAATGATTCCATTAAACTGGAAGTTGTTGTCTGGACACTTTGGAATCCTCCTACTTCTAAGTCAACAGGCTAACAAGGGAGTTAGTGTTGGGTAGGGCCCAAACTATCAAGATGAAATCAGTCTACTAACCCACAATGGAGGTAAGGGAGAGTATGCATGGAATACAGGGGAACTCTTTGGGCATCTCAGTATTACCATGCCCTGTGAATAAGATCAGTAGGAAACTACAATAACCCAATCCAGGCAGAACTACAAATGGCCAGACCCTTCAGGAATGAAGGTTTGGGTCACTTCACCAGGTAAAAATTCACAACCTGCCGTGGTGCTTGCTGAAGGCAAAAGGAATACACAATAAGTAGTAGAATAGGGTAGTCATCAATACCAGCTATGACCACGTAACCAGTTGCAGAAACAAGGACTGTAATTGTCAGGTGTATTTCCTCCTTATTTTGTTAAGACCATGTTTGTGTGTGTATAAACTTGTACTAAGAAAATATCTTCCTTTTATTTCCTTTCTTTTTCCTTTATTACATGACATAAGATTTATTGACTTCATATCAGTATTTAAGTGTCATTAACTTTAGGTAATAGCATTGAGGTTATGGATTGATGAATTTCCAGTTGTACAAAGGATAGGTATATTATGTTAGGCATAATTATAACCTTACATGTTATGTGAAGTGTTATAGCCTCAGCTTACCACTGTGCTTTGGCCAAAAGGCATTGTGTGTGCGTGTGTGTGTGTATGTGTGTGTTTGTATAAAGATGAAAAGATGGGAGCATATGTGACAAGGTTTTAACAAAGGATGAATCTGTTTAAGGGGTAAGTGGGTTTTCATTAGTATTTTATAAAGTTTTCTGTGGGTTTAAGCTACAGTTGACCCTTGAACAGTAAGGATTTGAACTGCCCAGGTCCACTTGTCCACAGATCTCTATGCTGAATGTGTCTGCCTCTCCTGCCTCCTCTTTCACTTCCTCCACTTCTGCCTCTGCCACTCCTCAGGAAACAAGTCCAATCCCTCCTCTTCCTCCTTCTCAGCCTATTCAACATGAGGACACCAAAGGTGAAGACCTTTATGATAATCTATTTCCACTCCATGACTAAAAAATATATTTTATTTTTCTTATGATTTTCTCAACAACATTTTCTTTTCTCTAGATGACTTTATTGTAAAAATACAGTATATAATACACATAACATACAGACTATGTATTACTTGACTGTTTATGTTATCAGTAAGGCATTTGGTCAACAGTAGGCTAATAGTACTTAAGTTTTTGTAAGTTTTGGGGAGTCAAAAGTTACATGTGGATTTTCAACTGCACAGGAGTTGGCACTAACCTTACATTGTTCAAGGGTTGACTGTATTTCAAAATAAAAAGAAAATAAATATGATGCATATAAATAAACTTTAACATCCTCCTCTCTTTAATCTTGCAATTTACCATAGTAAAAATTATAATATGATCATCTGTGGTTATTATTATTTATAAGTACAATTTCAAATTGTTTAGACTTATTGAGACCACTGTTGAAATGCAAAATAAAATATAAGAAACTATCAAGAAAAGCAAAAATTACATTTTATGTTAGGGAGGTGTAAAGGCAAGGGAGACTATTGGAGAGAGGGATATTGTTCAATGTATTAACTGAATCAGATGATATGTGTAATTAAACAATATATATGCTTTTCAGAGTAACAAAGAAGATAGAATGTTCAATTTCTTTGAATTGCATTATTTCCTTGTTCAAGTTTTTGTTCGAATAACAGTTCAATTTTAATCATCAACCTTATTCAGAAATTTAAAACAAAAAAAATTGGAATTTATTTCAACAAATGTTTTTTGAAAGCCTACTATGTGCAAAACAGAAATGCATGTTATGAAAGCAATGATGCTCAACTAATGTTTTTACATGATATTATTTTCAGTATGTATTTTGGAATTGGACACTAAATGAATGATTACTTAATATTTTGTGCTCTGCTTACAAAAAAAGTGATTCTGTATACATAATTTATATTTAGTTAGCCTAAAACATGATCAATAGTGTTTCAAAGTAGAACTATCATGAAAAATTGGGCATATTTGTTTAGGAAATTTTCTGTGATGCAGTTACTTATTGTAATATTTATCAATAAATACATGAAGTAAACCAAAACAAACAGTCACATTTGGTATCTTGCTAGAAAAGTATGTATGATACTAAGAATACCAGCTTTAGAGTAAGATTTTGCATTCAGATTTTAGATCTCTCTCTTATTATCTGTGTGATCACACACAATCTACCTAACATCTCCAAGCCATAGTTTCTTCTTCTGTCAAAAGGAATAAGATAATACTTCTAAATTTCTTATCATGGTGTTTGGCATGTAAGAAGCACTGCATAAATGTTATGACTGTTGCTAACCTTGTTAAAAAAAGTAACCTTGAATTGTTAGATTCAAATTATAAATAAGGAGAGTTTCTGGAACTATTTATGTATCCATAATAATTAGAAATAAAAAAAAAACAAAGAGTTTCAAAGGAGATGATATAAAACTAGTTAATCAGCACAGAAACTGCTTTACACAATAACTATAAATAATTTATTATAAAAGAAAGCATTACATACCTATAAAAATAAATACTTCCTAATTTACAGAGATCTAAAGGCAGGCACAAAACTTTCTCCAGGTTTTCCTGTTATCATTGTCAAAGAGAAGAAGTGAAAGATGAGAAGTTGTGGAACATGCATGGACATTTTAGCCCCAGACTGGAAGCCTACATTTGGGTCTGCATTTGTCCACTTACAGGAGCCTGACCTACTAATGGGCATTCCTTAATGTGGCAGGAGAAGAAAGCTTCCCAAGGCTTCTTTTGTTTCATGAGGAAATTGCAGACGCTTCCCTTAGATTGCTATTACGTGTTTATTTTGACAATAGTGAATATACAAAAAGAAACCAGCTTTTGTTAGAATGATTTAAATTAATCGTTTATAGCTTCTTAAATTAGTTCAATATTGTATTTTTCTTATATTTAATAATCTTAGAGAACCATATGTCTTTTTCTATTTGAATGATAGTGTAAGAAACAACTAGAGATAAACACACATTGAGCTAGACTGTGAGATTTTTCTTCCATCTCCTCAGTATCTACGACAGGCAAGAATTTACCTCTTATGATTATGTACCTTTTGACTAAGTTTTCAGACTTACCACATAGAAGAGAAAAATTAACTGTCTATGGTATTGATTTGCATTTGTTGTAAAAATGTTAATTGACATAAACTTTACAATATCCCTCATACTCACACTTAGCTCATTTTCTCCCACCAGATTCATTGGAACCAATAACATGATCAGTGAAGCTACAGTAAAGAGAACAGTGGGCCAGTTTCCCATGGCGTCTCCTCTTCTCATTTACGTGGATATAGATCCAGATCCAGCAGAGAATCATTGTATTTATTCGATTCCCAAATATTTCTTTTTTAACATGTTAATATTCTGAAATCACCTAGTATATTAATATTTCAAATAAACTTGTTAGCCATTCTTTTTTTTTTTTTCAAAAGACTTGTTAAATCTATGAGACGTCGTGCAATTGATGCTGTCTTAGATTCCTCAGATCCAACTGTGGCTTTATAGCTTTTAGGTTTTACGATTGCTAGTGAATCTTATCATAGATGATACTATAGAGACGTAGTTGCTTTGTATTTTAGAGAATTTATCAGCTCTCATCTTTTAGGCAGCCACATCCAAGGTACTCTTCTGAATGATCCCTAGATTGTTTCTCTAGATTGTTTCATGTACCTATGATGCTGTGGTTGGTGCCTCACGGACCTGTTTCCTTGGACAGATGAGTAGATGACATTTGATTATTAACCTAAGAGTAGCCAACTTCAGGCAAGCCTTCAGTTCTTATGATGACCAGGCATGACCGGTCTGCCCCCAAATTCTTTATGCTGAAGGGTAATCAAATCAACTGCCTCCAAATTATTTACACTGAAAGGTAATCAGCTGAACCAATCATACCCTCTCTCTTTTCCAGTTCAAAGGGCAGGTCCTATGGAAACAGCACAAGGCCAAAAACCAGGCAATAAGCAAAAGATGATGTAAAGAGGAGAGTAGAAAGAGAAATGAAATATCAGGTAAAACCAGATAAGTACCTGAGCCTGACAGAACAACAGAAACTTTCTTCTGAGGTGGCAACCACTAGTATGACCACCAGGTCATTTGTAACATTTTGGACTACCATAGTGACATGTGTCCTGAGTGACATTCCAGTTCTCTGTGACTTCTGTGTGAAGATTGTGCAAATATTCTGAATGGTGCTTTTAGTTTCCATGAAGCCCTTGGAAATACTTCTCTTCCTTCCCTTTACTATTTATCCCTAAGCTAAGGCCTTATCACCTGAGCTGTCTAGTTACAACTCCAGAGAAAGAAGAGTTTGAGTAAATAGTATAGTTAACATACATAATGAAACAGAGTTAAAGTGAGGAATACTAATATGTGCCCAAGAGTTTTTATTCAGTCTCGGAACTCTTAAACAATGGGTTATATCATTATGACATGTTCTGGTTAGGGCATGCAACACAACACTGGCCTAAGTCCATCAACACTTTCTACCCATATCTTTGTTGCCTGTAACTGACAATCAGGGTTATAAAGTTTTGATTTTCCCTCAGGCTATTAACTAGATACTATTGTCCGAGAATTTCAGATTGGGTTCCTAAACAGAGAATAATAGGAGACAGGTGTCTTTACGTTTTAGAGAGAGTTGCTACATCAATCAGTGTTTTGCAAGAAAGAAAAAGCCACTTTAGGAGTTTGGAGTAGAAAGAGATTTAGAGGTTTTTACAGACTTCACAACTGTTGGCATGACAGGAGAATAATGTTCAAGAGGGCCACTATTGACTTTCAGCAAATTTGAAAGGGCAAAGATTGCAGGGAAGCTGATGTCAAAGACTCCAGCTACCTATAGCACCGAAAGGAAAAGGAGAATGCCTGAAGCTGGTAGAAAACCCTTTTGTCTGCCACCTGCCAATACCATATACCTGCTTGCAGCTCTCACCAGAAAATAATGGCTTTGGGTTTCTTCAGTTTTCCTAACCTTTTGTATCTGTAATTGGCAAAGTTAAGCCCACACTATGCTGACAAAAGATTCTGAAAAATATGTTTCCCAGATTTCTTCTTTAAAATCTACAGGGCAATGTAACAAGAGATTTGATAATATACAATCTTGCACAGCGGCTAAGGAGCTTCTAGACTTCAGGGCTTAATAAGCCTTATAGGGTTTCTCAGAGGTCGATACGATGTTCCTGAGATGATCACCTCATCAGTGGTCTTGAGCCTTTAGAAAAGCTAATTATAGGCTTATGGGGGAAATACTTTCTTCTTCCCTACCTAGTCAGGAAGTAAAGTAAGTGCTCCCTCCTGCCCCACATACACGTGAGGAGGCACTTGTAAAGGTGGACGTCGCCGCATAAACATCTCAAACCCTGTTCCAGAGCTTGCTGAGCAGCTGAAATTAGTCAACCCTTACTGGGTGCCATTTGAGTTGAAAAAGTGAAGTGAGATAATTTTTTTTTATTGATATGTTCGGCCCTCCTCCTCAACCCTGTCTTTGAGGGCATGCGCCTGCTTCCCATCACAATTCTGAATGTAAGGTATTAATTGGAGCAACAGCAGAAAGATTTGGGAAAGCGATGGTAAGACAAGCCTGTGTACCCACTGTGTGGTGCAGCAAAGACACGTGAATTTCTCATGGGTTCAAAAAGGGGTTATAGAAGTTGACCAGGTTATGAGCCATCCTGTAGGAACTCTTCACTGGAGGGTAGCCTGTGTGGTTAGGGTATATCCATAGCACAAAGTCATGGGTAAGTCCTGGGAATAGAACCTGAGGGGGTTCCAATATATCGGGCAAAGTGTGCATTATACACATCAGGCATGTGTGACCTATGAGAAATCTACAAGCGAGCATGTTAGCCCACTCTACACGAAGGACCAAATTATACATGATTTTTCACTTTTTTTCCCCATTCCTCCTCCTTAGCCTCAACACATTAAAGAAGGAAGGGGAAAGAAGAAGAGGGAGAGGCACAGTGAAGAAGAAAAGTAGAGTTAAATAGAGTCCTTAGCCACTTGCCCACGATGGGTCTTGTAGCCACGTGTTAGACCTAAGCCGGGGTGAGAAGGGTGCGAGTGAGGAGGGAAAGAAGTTGAACTGAATGCCTTCAAACTTAAATTTGAAAATATTAGGTCTTTAATATTTAAACTGAATTTAAATCATAAAATTGAAAGTATTCCCATAACTGAAAGGCCTGAAAGCAACGGGATCCACTCAAAAAGTAATTAAAGAGAGAGGGAGGTATAATTGAGAGAGCATATTTGAAGACAGTAGTTGAAGAAAAATAAAAACAGTTCTTGTTTACTCTCCACTGCATTCTGTGCCTTCAATATTCCTTTTATGTCTACAGTGCAAAAATATCTACTCTTGCTCTGCCATACATTTTTCTTACTTTCTTCTTCATAACTCCCAATTCCATACATTTGTCCACGTTTACTGAGGTAAAATTCCCATACAATAAATATCCCAATTCAGGTGAATTTTGGCAACCGTGCGCAGTTATGTAAGCACCAGCATAAACAAGCTACAAGACATTTTCAACATTCTGAAAATTTTCCTTGTGCACTTTATTCCCACCCCTGACCCCATCCCCCACAACTACTGATCTGCTTGCTATCACTAGAGTTTCACCTTTTCTAGAGTGTCATATGTATGGAATCACAATGCACGTAGCATTTTGTGTTTGACTCCTTTCACTTAGAAAAATGTTTTCAGATTTGTCTATGTTGCTGCATGTGTCAGTATTTCATGTTTTTTCACGGTTGAGCATAAATATACTGCAATTTGTTTATTCACTCACCAATTGATGAACAGTTGGGTTCCTTCCAAGATTGGATGATTAAGAATAAAGCTCTGTGAACGTTCATATACAAATCTTCGTGTGGATGTATGTTTTTATTTCTCTCGGGTGGGATTGCGCATCATATTGCTAGCATATTCCCTTTATTTTGTGTTTATAATTAAATCCAATATCTATCATTATTGCTTTTACTCCCTTATAGTAGAAATCATCTGCTTCTGAAAATACAAATAATTATACAAAATTGTTCCCTTATCTTAAAATAATGGTTTGTGTGTTTGTTTCTATTTCAAACTTTCTGAAGTATTATAATTACTGAACCTATAGACACCGTTGAGTGGGTCTTTATTTTATAACTGCAGTATCACATTTATTCTAATCAGGTATTTTAGCTGACAAAGAGAATTTGCTTTTGATTAAATGACCTTTGCATGACAAGTTATATGTTTGTTTTTGGTGAATTAATCTATATTCATTAAATGTTTTGAAAAGTATGATAGGAATTGAGCATCATAGAAGTTTGTAGGCTTCCTGAAGACTTAGGTGGCTCAGGAATACTCACAAAGGTTAGAAATAACTTTGCCACAATATGCCCAGGCTGATGTGGTACACTCAGACTGGAAAAGAGGTATTTCTAACTTCCTTCAAGGAAAAATGTTTTGAACTGCTCATGTCATGCCACTTATTAGTTCTCCTACATGGATCATCTTAAGTTGTCTTAAGAAACATGCAAGATATAAATGGTAATCCATTTTTAAATAGGCAAAAACATAACAGTTGGAATGAAGGAGCTAATAAATTACACAACTCTTCCTCTTGCAGGATTTTTGCATTAACTGAGAATGACAGTGGTCACACAGTTGGATGAAGATACAAATGGAACCTTTATTACTAATTATGGCCAGTGCAAATGCATGGATTTGCACTGTTATCTATATGAATTTGCCAATAGTATATACCCGAAATAGACACATGCAAGCTCAAAAACTAGTCCTTTCCTTGGTAGAGCTTTTGCTGCTAAGCTTAAGAGCTCCATAGCAGGCCAAAGCTCAGGCTTTCTGAACTCACAAAGAGAAAGCAGCAGGAACATCTAAGCTACACCAATCAGATAACCAATGTCTTCTCCCCTGGAAAAGTACAAGCAAGTGGGCAGAGCAAAAACAAAAGAAAACAAAATCCTCGTTTCTATATTGAAACATGAAGCTGGGGAAAGTGAATTGCCTGTCTCAAGTTTCTCCAGCTTTACATTCTCATTACCTTTTAGTCTATGTTAGGCAAAAAGTAGGACCATCACTATTAGGGGAAAAATCAGCAGGCTATTAGTACAGCCCTAAGACTATTTTATCAGACTGTTCTTATAATTGTTACTACTGTTTCTGTTTGTATGCTCTTGGGCCCACTATTAGACAACTTTGATTTTGCTGCCAGAAGGCTTGGAAATAAGCCAAAAGGGCACTTTTATGAAATTAACTACAAGGCCACTGTACCCTAGGCTGAACTTCCATTCCCTATTTGATTTCCCATCTCAATTTAAGTCTATCTATGCTGGCCAACACATTTTGAGAGGTCTATTTATTTACCATTTCATCAAATACATGCTGGGAGCCCATGGCAGACACTGTTATAGCACAGGTATTGAACAACAAATAAAGCAATATCCTTGCTTTCATGAAATGTGTATGTTGTAGAAGAGAAACAAAATATACCTATATAAATATAAACCTATAGTGTGTCAGGTTATGATTAATGCAATGGAACAAAAAGCAAGACCCGAGACCAAAGTAGGCCCTCTTTGAAAAAATAACATTAGAGAAAAGACCTGAGGGAAGTAAGAAAGAGTGCTTTGAGGGTGTCTGTGAAAAGTTCATTCAAGATGGAGGAAACAAAGTACAAGGGTACAAGGTGGAGGAAGCAAAGTACAGAGTGAATGACTGGACCAGAGAAGCAAGAAGATGAGATTGAGGAAGTTGAGAAAAGAAATATTACCATACAGCCTGGTAGGCCATAGAAAGTACTTTGGATGTTAATTGGAGTAAAGGTAAAAAGGAAAGCCACTGGAGAATTTGAGCAGAGAGTAAGCCTTATATTTTAAATAAACAGTAAGACTCACGTTTTAAATGAATCATACTGACTTTGATGTGAAAAATAGAATATAATGAGGCAAGTATAGGAATAGTCAGAAACTATTAGAATATTGTAAGGATTTGGTGGCTAGATGAAGATAGTCATAGTAAAGGCAGTTGAGAAGTGGTGAAATCCTGGATATATTTTGAAGATAAGGGGACAGGATACTCCAATTGATTTGTATGGAGGATAAGAGAGAAGAATTTAAAAGTTTTGGACTGAACAATGGGCTAAACAGAGCTGCCATTTATAAGAGGGAGACATACTGTAGGAGAGGTAGGATGGGCAAGGCCGGTAGAGGGGTGGAAATCAGCAGTGTATTTTCAGATATGCAGTATTTGATGCCTATGGTATATCCAAATCAAGATTCTGAAGAGACCATTAGATACACAAGCCTGGAGTTCAGTGGAGAAGTAATGGGACTTTAAAGGAGATGGCCTTTAAAGATGTGAGTCTAGATGAGATCCCATAAGCAATGAATGGAGACAGAGAAAATAACAATACGAATCAAAGAGCCCTAGAACACTTCATCATTTACGGGTTAGATTGAAGAGGGAATCCAGCAATGGAGACTTAGGAGGACCTCAATGTCACATCTGCTTTTTGTCTCAAGTTTCCCAACCTAATAAACCAGCTGAGGCCTGAAGGAGCTGACAAATAGCTCTAAGAGACAGAGGAGTGAGACATATTGAAATAAAAATTATCTGAGAGAGTTGAGAATGTTGCTTAAATATGTACAAACAATGTACTACCTAATTTTGACCCATTGTTACTGAAAATCCACGGGTTTTTGAGGCCAAAGTTTCACCACTAAATTTACTGCAGGATTAAGAACAAAACAGTTCATATTCTCTGTGAAAGCAAACAGATCCTAAAGAGGAGAAAATAGAAGCTGCCACCTTTTCTCCAAACTCACAAATTAGACAAGTCATTGCCATTTCCTAATGCTGATCACTGAGGGTGATTCTGACAACCAGAAAACACGTTTAAGAATATTTGGAAACATTTTTGGTTGACATAAATGGGTTGAGGTGCTATTGGCTTTTTGTGGGTAGAGGCCAAGGGTCCTGCAAAGCACCTAATGCACGAGGTACCCCTCTTCACATGCACACACACAATAAATAATTATCTGGCCCAAAATGCCAATAGTGCCGTGGTTGAGAAACTTTGCCTTACTGGGACTGTTTAGAGAGTTATGCAGAGATGTTTTGCACAGTTATATTTTTAACGCATACGATTTGTTAAGATTTTAATTTGTGTCTTTTTCCCCACTTAGCACTGTTTTATTATGATTATAATTATTATTGTGGTAAAATATACATAACAAAATTTACCACTTTAATCCTTTTTAAGTGTACGCTGTAGTGGCATTAAGCATATTCCTTAAATACATTGTTATTGCATTATTTCACTTACATGAGGTACCTAGGGTCGTCAAATTCAGAGTCAACACTTTTGATACCTTTTTTTCAAGAAATATCACACTTTTAATTTCACATCATGGGATATAATAAAGGGAGTTAGTTACAACATTTTTGGAAAGCTAAAAATGCACACAGAAAAAAAACTGAGATAACCCATATTTAGGAACTATAGCAAGAAGTTATGAAGCTTAGGACTGAAACAACAAAAGGGAAGAAGAAACTAACTGCTTAGAGGAAAGAATTTTGTGGAGCTGGTGCTCAGACCTCTTGGGAGAGGGTGTCATCTAGCTCTTGCTGATACCTCTGAAAGAGCTCAGATTCTGAAGATGCTTTAAAAAAGCTATCAGGTTGGTGCAAAAGTAATTGCGGTTTTTGCCATTTAAAACCTGCAATTACTTTTGCACCAACCAAAGAAATGCCTGGTCTAATTGCTGCT
Source organism: Homo sapiens (assembly GCF_000001405.40). Taxonomy (NCBI): domain Eukaryota; kingdom Metazoa; phylum Chordata; class Mammalia; order Primates; family Hominidae; genus Homo; species Homo sapiens. The sequence goes on from NC_000009.12 coordinate 73,734,056, forward strand.
GTTTGAATGCCTCTGAAAAATATAGAAAAAATCAAGAAAACAGGGTGTCTTAATTCATTTAGGCCGCTACAACAAAATGCCATAGACTAGGTGGCTTAACAAACTGGAGACTGGGAAGTCTAAGATCAAGGTGCTGGCAGATTCATGTCTGAAGAGGATCCATTTCCTTATAGACAGTTATCTTCTCACTCCAACCTCACATAGTGGAAAGAGTGCTGGGTCTGTTTTACAAGGGCACTGATCCTATTCCTGAGGACTCTGCCCCTGTGACCTTAACACCTTCCAAAGGCTCCACCTTTTAATGTCATCACCTTGAGGGTGAGGATTTTAACTTATATATTTTGGAGAGACACAAACATTTATACCATAGCACAGGAAACTTTTCATTATCTTTTTATCCCTGCCTGATCATTTATTTTAGTGCCTCCTATCGACAGAGCAGAAGAAAGAAAAATGTCTTTCTGAGATAAGCACTTTGTAAGATCCCAGTTGCAGCACAGCAGAGATTAGAGAACAGGTGTGGAGGTGAATTATGAGTTATATAACAGCATGATACTTGTAACCCATCGCTGTTTGCTACACAACAGACATTATGATTTGCACCCACATATTTTACCTATGGATTCACCTATCACTCTCTCAGGTTGTTCCCAATGAATTGCCACCACAAATTATGTTGTGAAGGTTACTCTAATATATCTAGCTATTAGGTTATAGGTATCTTAAATATTTATTTTACTGAGTAGTTCCAGATTAATCTTTAGATTGTTTGATCTTCTCTAAAATCCTACCAGCTGTCTGTAAATTTGAATCTTCTCATGGCATTTAATTGTAGAAGTATCTCAATGGTTGTGTTTGATCTTTCAGTTTAGAAATCAATTATTTGCAACTACTGAGACCAAAGATTGATTGATCTTACAACCTTTCTTATGTTCAAACTACCTTTTCTCCACCCCTCAGTTTCATCCTTACCAAGAAAACATTCCATGTTTATCATCGTAGCCACTCCCTTGAATACAATGAACCCAGGACCCTTGCCTTGTATTTGTCAGTTGGGTTAAATCCAACTCTGTCCACTGCATGCCTGTGCCCAGGCAGCTGCACACAGCAGAGGAAAACATACAGCCATGGTTATAGGTCTCAATTTAAATCTGGGTCAATAACTCAAGTAGACTGGCTAACAAAAGACATGGAGAGAACATTTACAAAAAATTGCTAACAATATACTAAAATGAACAATCTGATCATGATTAAAGACAAGGAAATTAAAATTACAAGGTTATCATTGTTATCAAACTGGCAAAAGGCTACAATGTTTGATGATACCCAGTGTGGAAAACAAGTATCCTCCCACACTGTTGATTCATTCAATTAATAACGTATACTTGACTGAGTTTCCTCTATATCATATCAGACACCTTTCTAGGAAATAAGAAAACAGCAGGAACCAAAATGGAAAATGCCTGTGATTCAAGAAGTTAACATTTTAGAAGAGAGAAGGGAAGCAAATATATAAAAAATATAATGTCCATTATTAATAAAAAGCAATAAATTAAAGTAAAAGGGTAGGTAGTGATTATTAGAGTGATATTTTCTCATAAAGGGCTCCAGGCATACCTCTCTAAATCAAAAACCTAAATAAAGTGAGGGAGCAAGTTGTGCGAGAGTATGGGACAGGGTACCCCAGACAGATAGGACAGCAAGTGCCAATGTCCGGAGGGAGGGTTATTGGTCTATTGACAATTGTGTGGTTACAGCAAAAGAAATAACAGGGAGAATGGAATTTGATGGGATAAAAGAAGTAGAAAAGTGTCAGGTCAAGAAAATGATAATGAACTTATTTTTAATTAGAATTCTTCTGGATTTTAAAAATTCGTATTCTTCTGGAGTTTATACTTTTGGTCTTAGAAGAAATAGACATTGGTTCAATCGTATTGAAGGGTCATTTAGTAATATCTGTCAAAATCAAAAGGGCAGAAACTCCAACCCAGTAGTTTCAGTTACTGAGGATAATTTCTTATACTCAGAAATATTCTCCTAAGTGTGAAAGTGTGTAAACAAATATGTTTATTTCAGTAATTTGAGTAATAAAAAACGAGGAATAAACTAAATAAGCTACATAATTTCATTTCTCCATATTATATCATTTATTCAAAGCATGACATTCATTCAGTCTTCCAGAAAATATTCACTGAGTGCCTACTACATACGAGGAACTGTGCTGTAACCTTGAAAAACAATGGTTGAAGTCCCTCAAAGATTTTACAGTTTAGTGAAGGAGGCAAATAAATGAATGATAGTTACAAAAAAGTGAGTGTTGCTACAAGATGTGTAAGTATCAGCTGCTGGGGGAAAACACAGAGAGGGCCTCTCTACATATCTCTGCCCAGGCATGTCAACAGAATGCATCCAAACCCACATCTGCTGTTGCAGCTCTCTTCCTCCGTAATTATATATCCAAATGAAGTGTCCCAAGGTCCATCCAGCTGCTCACAGCAGAAAGCTACACACCCAATCACAAACCATACTCTGTAAGTTTTATTACTTAAGAGTTCGTTATCTCATTCATCTCAACTCAAAATCTTTAATTCTGTCCTCATCATTTCTCTCCCTAGATTAATAAAATAGACTCATCTACCTTTTTCAAATTGAGGTTCTTCTGATACATTCTTCTCCCTAGTCCTGGGACTGTCCTTTTAAAAAGGTATACCTGGGCATGATGAAGCCCTGTTTTTTTCTTCTGCAACTCCTCATTTCCTTCAGGATAAAGACCTACCTCATCTATGACCATGATTCCACTTGTATCCTTTCCTTCTAATAATTGTATCGTAATCTGATGAAGAATTGAATTTTGGAGCAATTAAAAAGCAACTATGTTCTTTAAAGAATGTTTTAAATAGTTTCTTTTTTTCATTTATTCATTCAATTAATAAATAGTCATTGAATTTTTAATAATGTACCAGGTACTATGCAAGGGACTATAAGGAGATAGTGAACAAAAAGTAAAAATAATTCCCTAGCCCTTACCCTCAGAGAACTAGCAATCCAATAAAAGATGGATTTCACTTAATTTCCACTTTTTCACTTAATTCAGTGAAAAAGCACAATGATATTAAATGCTTTAATGTGGAAATTTATGATGCTGTAGAAACACTTAACAATTGGATTTTATCACATCAGGATTGGCCAGAGAAGGCATACATAGGAAAGTGACGACTGAGCTTAGATCCAAAGGGTGGTTAGGAGTTTATTAGGTAGAGAGGAGGGAAGAGTGTCTTCCTAACAAAGGGAACAGCTTGTACATGAGCCCCATGGTAGGTGGCAACATAAGAATACTTAGGTCCTGGAAAGGCAATCTAGTTGGAATAGAGAAGAAAAGAGATTCAGGTATAGAGCAGGTTTTGAAGGACCGCTGAAAGGTTTTAAGCAGGGATAGGACAACCTGGGGGACTGAGTCTGGACAGAATAGAATGGAAGGATGAATGCTATAACCAGACGTGTTCTGTAAAGATAACTGACTACCCTGTGGAAAACTGACTGGAAGAGACAGCAGTGACTATGGGGAGACCTTCAGCAGGGTTTTACAAGGGTGGAGGTGTGAGGTGATGACACTGTGCAATGGGATGTACTAGTGTGGATGAAGAAAGGTTGAAACTACGAATATGGTTAGGAAGTAACATTCTGAAAAGTTGTTGGCAAATTAGTTATAGACAGTGAGAATACAGTAGATGTCTTGTTTTCTGATGTGGGTAACCTGGGTGAATGGCGTCACAATTCACTGAGATTAAAAAAAAAACACTATATGTAAAAAATATACTTTACGATGTATCTGTCAGAACCCTTTTTCTCTTTCTCTTTTTAAAATAGCCTTTGGGTTTTTTTTAGAGTAGTTTTAGGTTTGTAGCAAAATTGATAGGAAGTTGCAGAGATTTTCCATATACTCCATGTGCCCACATACACATAGCCTCTCCCGTTATTAATACCCTTTACCAGAGTGGTACCTTGGTTACAATTGATGAGCCTACATTGACATATTATTATCATCCAGAGCCCATCATTTATATTAGGATTCCTTCTTGGCGTTGTACATTCATCCTATGGGTAACAAATGTATAGAATGACATGAATCCATCATTATAGTGACAGAGTAGTTTCACTTTCCTAAACATCCTCTGTGCCCTGCCTATTTATCCCTCTCTCCTCCCTAACCCCTGGCAACCACTGATCTTTTTGTCTCTACCATTTTGCCTTTTCCAGAATGTTATATAGTTGGAATTATACAATATGTTGTTTTTTTCAGACTGGCTTCTTTTATTTATTAATATGCATATAAGTTTACACCATGTTTTTTCATGGCTTGATAGCCTGTTTCTTTTTAGTGCTGAATAATGTTCAATTATCTGGATGTACCACAGCCTATTCATTCACCTAATGGAGGACATTTGAAGCTACTGAAGCAACTTATGTTTGTTTCCAATTTTGGAAATTATGAATAAAGCTTCCATAAACATCCATGTGCTGGCTCTCGTATGGATATAAGTTTCACCTCCTTCAAATAAATACCAAGGAAAATGATTGCTGGATCTTATAAAAGTATGTTTAGTTTTATAAGTAACTGCCAAATAGTCTTTCGTACTGGCTACAGCGTTTTGCATTCCCACCAGCAATGAATGAGAGTGTTCCCGTTGCTCCATGTCCTTGTCAGTATTTGGTATTGTCAGTGTTCTTGATTTTGGCTATTCTAATAGGTCTGCGTGGTGGTATCTCATTTCAATTTGCATTTACCTGATGTCATGTGATGTGGTACATCAATTCATACACTCATTTGTTACCTGTATATCTTCTTCAGTGAGATGTCTGTTAAGGTCTTTGGCCCATTTTTTAATTGGGTTGTTTGTGTTCTTATTGCTGCACTTTAAGAGTTCTTTGTATATTTTGGATATCCATCTTTCATCTGATATGTCTTTTGCAAGTACTTCTCCCAGTCTGTGGCTTACCTTTTCATTCTTTTGATTGCTTGTATGTCAAATGCCAAATAAGGTTAAAACTATATTTGTAAATATTAAACTCAATATTAACCTAATTTTATTCTTTTAACTTGTCTTGTAAGAAATTAAATTAATCAACTATAAAACATTAAAAGCACTTAATGTAAACATTTGTTTGGAAGAGGAACAGGCAAGTAGCCTATCATGGCTTGGCATCTGAACAAACCCACAATCACATCTGAAGTTCACTGGTATGATATGATCCAAACGTAAAATATCTAGAAGATGATGCCAGAACTTTGATTGCTAAACATAGGATTCTTAAACAAGAGTGATGACTTAGAGACAAACTTATGTCTTGAGCTCTGTATGCCAAGAGTTTAAAGACGGAGCTGAGGATTGAATTGATTAATATGTCAGCTCTTATTAAGGCAGTTTAAACCTCTCAAATGATGGTGGTTTTAGGAGATATGTTTTGCTTCTAGGGAATCCACAGTTGCATTAAGCACAAAATGAATTACAATGAATGTTCCTCATGTTGCCACTTAAAAAAACTATAATCTGTTTGAAGGAAAAATTTAATTTCCAAATCCAAAGGCAAAAGCATCCTATAAGTTAACAGTATCAGGCCAGGTGCAGTGGCTCAAGCCTGTAATCCCAGCACTTTAGGAGGCCGAGGTGGGTGGATTACCTGAGGTCAGGAGTTCAAGACCAGCCTGGCCAATGTGGTGAAACCCCATCTCTACTAAAAAAAAAAAAAAAAAAATACAAAAATTAGCTGGACGTGGTGGCGCACATCTGTAATCTCAGCTACCCAGGAGGCTGAGGCAGGAGAATCGCTTGAACCCAGGAGACGGAGGTTGCAACGAGCCGAGATCACGCCACTTCACTCCAGCCTATGTGACAGAGCAAGGCTTCATCTCAAAAAACAATAAAAAAAAAAAAAATAACTTAACAGTATCAATGGTAAAGATTTTGCAAATGGGTATTACATTTCTGGAAAAAGTTTTGAAAAGTAATTTAAATTTTGATATGGAATCATTCTTCTATGTTAAAGAAGCTGAACATAAAAATTATTTGAGACTAATTTTAGATTCTTCTGGAAGAATGGATAAGGTGAGCTAAAGTGAGGGAAAATAACTTATGCTGCTGCTGATGACTATGATGATACTGATGTTGATAATAACAATGAATAATAAAAAGGAGTTTCCTAGGTGCCAGAGTACTGTACATGAATTAGGTTATGAATCTTCCCAAGAACATTTGGGGTAAGGTACTGTTGTTATTTTTATTTTACAGATGAGGAAACTGAGGCACAGAGACATTAAGCCTCACTAATTGCCTTAGGTGACATTGCTTGTGTTGGTGAGCAGGGTCTTGAATCCAAGAAATCTAACTTCAGAATGTGTGATCTGAACCATTATCATTCCTATTAATCATAACTTTAAGAATTGATTAACTTTTCTGGTGTTATTATCTGTTAGAAGTTTTAAACGGAAATGAGGAAAGGGACAAAACATTCCTTTCTTTGATGTATCCTACTGAGAAAACCCTGAAAAAAAAGTAAACAAAAAACACTCTACTAATGCAAGCTTGAGGTGATTTTGACCCCTTCAAGTCAAAATCTCCCCTATAATTCACTACTAGGCAGGGATTCTAGTAGAATTCAGAACATAAATATTTAAATGCAATAATTGAAAATTTAGAGTTGACTTTTTATCTCTGTGGTACACTCTGCACTGTGAACTGAAACGCAAAATCATGCTGAGAAGAATTTACAAATGACTTTTCCTCTGGAAAAAAAGAAAAAAATGCAAATTGTTGCAAAATCCTAAATGTAACATATAATTCCCAAAGGTGGCTTTGGGCTGTTCTTCTTTACACTGTTAACCTGAGCTCATTAATTAGCGTTTCATTATTTTTTTTGTTCCTGGGGAGATGAGGTTACAGTGTGGTGTAGTGGAGACAAGAAAGGCAGTTCAATTCCACCATTTAGCAGCTACATGACTTGAGTCAGTGATGCTCAAGGGGTAACTTTCCTATTCCTTGCTAGCCTCACATGCAAAATGAAGGTTTTAATTGTTACTATAGCCAATCATTGTTGCGAAGATTACATAAAGCTCTTAAAACAGAGCCTGACACATAATAAATGTTCAAAAGGTGGTAACAATTACTTTCATTCTCTGACCTTAAAATAGCAGATTGTTAGTGTCTACAAACAAGGACAATATTTATGTATTAATGAATCCTGACTTTTGGAGAAAATGAAAATGTGTCTTTTAGATTTCCAAACTTTTAAAGAAAGCATTATTGGTATTATAAAATACAGCTGGTTATTTAAATTTAGCTATTTTATTTTTTAATTAAAAATCTCTCATGGGTTATATTGACTACAAACAGGGTAAAGAGAGACTGTTTTCCAGACAGCAGCCTGGAGGCTATTGCCAAATGGGTACCCATGATCCCAGGCTGTGCACTAACTCTCTATGACTGCTTTGTGTCAAAGCAAAAGAGTAATTGACATGCTAGTTAACACAGGCTGAAAAATGACCTTGATTTTCACATTGTCCCTGGCTTAGCTAGATAGTTAAATCTGCCATCTTTTACCTGTTTAAATAAAGGCCATAAAATACTATTTTAAAACAAAACCAGTAATATCCTCACGGATTTATCCTGAGCAAATACTTCAAATGTTTATATTACTCATTTTTAGTATTGTAATTTTGTTTACTGATATGAGTACGTATGAATACAATTTCTCAGATAGTTTGCCTCTGTTCCAGATAAAATGCAATATATACATATGTGTATTAATGTATAGCTATATATATATGTGTGTATGTGTGTGTGCATACAGCATTTAAGTGCTTTTTTTGGTAAAATGAACATAAACTCAAAAGACATTATTATAATATTCATTATTCCACTCAAACCTACATACCAGGAATTCTGACATTTTACTGCTAAAATAAATGGTTTTTGTTTGTTTGTTTTTAGAGCACTTAATTTAATGACTTAATCATTTGTCTTTTTTCTTCTATGGCCCAAATTCCATATTTTATGGTAGTTTTCTCGTTGGTTTATATACATGAACCAAATTTTTTTTTTTTTTTTTTGAGACAGGGTCTCATTCTGTTATCCAGGCTGGAATGCAGTGGTATGATCTTGGCTCACTGCAGTCTCAACCTCATGGGCTGAAGTGATCCTCCACCTCAGACTCCTGGATAGCTGGGACTACAGATGTGCGCCATCACACCTGGCTAATTTTTTATAGAGATGGAGTTTTGCCATATTGCCCAGGTTAGTCTTGAACTCCTGAGCTAAAGCAATCCACCCACTTTGGCTTCCCAAAGTGCTGGGATTATAGATGTGAGTCACTGTGCCCAGCCAGAATTCTTACGGATAAGGTATAATGAAATTTTTCTAGTATGAGATTTATAAGGCCAAGAACTTACTATCTTAATATTTTCCCCTGAAAATAACACATTAGCCAACCATATTTACATATATCTTTATATCTCTGATCTCTTTGGCATCATCTTATGTGTTCCTGGTCACTGGGTGCTGCTGCTGAAGTCTACAGCTAATAAATTTATAATTGGATTTCTTGCTGGCAGGGCCTTTGCTGGCATGTAAAATCTAGCAGAAAGCAAATATTTTATTACACGATATTACATATCATCATCATTGCATCAGATGTGAATTGGAAACAAACTTGAAAATATTCATGCTCTTAATATACTAGTAAATTTGACACGAGGTAGTTTAAATTTTTTAGCTAAATTTTTGTCATAGTATCTATTACCAACTTTGCCTAGTAATTTTTAATCTTTGTTTTAATAGCAAAATAAATAAAGCACTAAAAAGAATACATTTAACATTGTTAATAGACCTGAATAAGCAAATATTTAAAATAGCATTTTTGTGGATAGTTATTAGGCATATACTGTTAGCATTCATAGAAACATCAGACATGATTTAGACCAAGAGAAGCGAACTCAAAGAGGCAAATTACCCAACAAGTGATGTAATAGCAGGTAAGTGGCCCTACTAAAAGGTGAGGTAGAGACTGTGGCAAACAGCAGAGTTCATGCCCCTGGAGAAGGGACAACTTCTATTCGGTTCCAGTTAATTGTTGCCAAACAGACATGGCAGCTCAATATGGCCAGTTCATTCAATGTTTTGAAAGAGCGATAACTTTTGATTTTATGTGAAATCACATTTTGAGAATTGGCAACTAATTTTAAAAAATAAACACTGTGAGTGCTAAAGAAAGTAAAGCAAAACAAAATATTCACAGGCCTGATAAAACTCATAGTCTGACAGTTACTCATCCTTTTTAGAATAACATGTTATTGTCAAACATGAGGTTACTGATGCCCAGAGAAATTTAGTAACTCACCCAAAGTTAAAAATTACATTATGGCAACCTAGGTTATCCCAAATTACCATATTCTCCTAGTATGAATTCATATACTTACCCTATCATTCCTGAAACAATTTGTAATTAGGTTATAGCTATCCAACCTGAATTAAGTAATTTTGCATGTGTATGTGTTGCACACTTGTATGTTGGTTAAGTACTTTTATATACATTGTGCTGAGTTCCTATACATTGCCTCATTTAATTCTCTCAATTAGCATCTTCATATGAGAAAGAAAACCTGGAAACCAAATCCTCGTGTACTATAAAACAATGAATAAAAAAGAGTATCAGGAACAAAGTAAGGAAGTTGTTAAGTTTAGGACCTAGAATTGGCTCTAATATGCTCTTTAGGTGAAAGCTTGTTATATTTTTCATACGTGGAATTCATTAATTTCTTATCTGAAAGCAGAATTTGGTAATTATCAATAATTAACCTCCATAAAGTTACTGCTGCTGATTATTTAACCTATCTTTATGTTGATTTGCTTTGATGACTAAGAGTTAACCAAGCTGAGGCAGTTATAATGTATCTTTTCTTCTGTAAGAACAAGTCACCCTTCAATGATTCATTCATATATTCCCATCTTAATAGCCTTCTTACTTAAGGCTTCATCATTGGTCTGCTTCTCTAGTAAATACTGTATACTCACTTATGTCATCATTTAGACAATCTCTCAAACTTTAAGTTAATTTTTTATCATACATTTTCTTAACTCATCAAAATATGCATTATATTGATTTTCAATTAATTTATGTTGAAATGAATGAGATAAAAATGTGGAAAAAATGTTATCTAAAATGAAACAACAGTATAGGATGATTAACATGATTAACGTATTAGTCAATTTAAAATTCCACTGCTATATTGCCATAGCTATGGAAATGTTGTGATATGTTCATTCTACTAAATCCTAATATTTAAATGTGTTTCCTGGAGTATTGTGTTAGGCCATTCTTGCATTGCTATAAAGAAATACGAAAGACTGGGTAATTCACAAAGAAAAGAGGTTTAATTGGCTCACGCAGTTCCACAGCTGTACAGGAAGCATGATGCTGGCATCTGCTTGGTTTCTCAGGAGATCTCAGGAAACTTACCATCATGGCAGAAGGCAAAGTGGGGGCAGGCAACTCGCATGGCCAGAGTAGACGGGAGAGAAGCAGAGAGGTGCCATACACTTTTAAATGACCAGATCTTGTGAGAATTCACTATCATTAGAAGAGCACAAAGAGGATTGTGCTAAACTGCTCATGAGAAATCCACCCCCATAATCAAATCACCTCCCACCAGGCCCTGCCTCTAACATTGCAGATTATAATTCAGCATGAGATTTGGATGGGAACACATATCCAAACTATACCAGGTATGAATCAACTACACATAAAAATACAAACTTTGCAGTCACAACTTCATAGCACAGAACAATACCTCACACCCAATTTGCAAATCACAAAATTTGCTGTATGGTATATACTTTCTGGTATATAGTCTACAGGTATTGCTGAGAAACACTCTTGGTATTGTTAAATGACTGGTAAAAGTAATGCTTAGGAATTTCTCTCCCATTATAGAATTATTTGCTATTCATACAATATTATGGCTCATAACAACGTCATTTGGTATTCAAGCATGTCATATGGTCCTTCGTAGGTGTTCATACACACCTAAAATTAATTACTCTTTTTCCTCTTTTTGATGATAATTTAATGTGAAATACATTTGCACTAACAGAGCATCTACAATCCACCTGGTACGTGGGAACAAACACCATTCTCTAGCATCTGGATTATTAAGGCAAAGAGTTGTCTTTATAAAATTGTAATCTGGTTATGAGGATGAGCAAAAGCCTACAGAAAAATTGCATACCATTATAATTAGGATTCACTTAAATTAATATGAACTATATAAGTGAGATTTTGAAATGTAATATTGAGTGAAATAAAACGTGAGATGATGAAGTTTGAAGCTATTTATGTAACCTTAACATAAAAACACACATAACAATAATAAAACTTTGTAAGATTATAGCCACATACACACACATATATAATATACACGCATATAGTACCTAAAAATAGATTGGAAGGGTTGAGGTTTTTTTTTTTAAATTTCAACTTTTATTTTAGATAAATGGAGATGTACAGGTTTTTTACGTGAGTATACTGAGTAATGCTGAGGTTTGTGGTACAAATCCCATCACCCAGATAGTGAGCATAGTACACAATAGGTAGTTTTTCCACCCATGCTCACCTCCCAGATCTCCCTCTCTAGTAATCTGAACTATCTATTGTTCCCATGCTTATGTCCATGTGGTACTCAATGTTTTTTTCCCCACTTATAAGTGAGAACACGTGGTATACTGCTTTCTGCTCTTGCACTAATTCACTTAGAATAATGGCCTCCAGTTGCATGCATGTTGCTATAAACAATGTGATTTCATTATTTTTTATGGCTGCGTGGTATTCCATGGTATATAGGTACCATATTTTCTTTATCCAATCCACCATTAATGGGCACCTAGGTTGATTCCATGTCTTTGCTATGGTTAATAGTGTGGTGATGAACATACAAGTGTATGTGTCCTTTGGATAGAATGATTTATTTTTATTTGGATGCATACACAGTAATGAGAGTGCTGGGTTGAATGGTAGCTCCATTTAAGTTCTTTGTGAAATCTCCACACTGCTTTCCACAGTGGATGAACTAATTTATGCTCCCACCAACAGTACATAAGTGTTCCCTTTTCTCTGCAGCCTCTCCAGCATCTGTTGTTTTTTGACTTTTTAATAATGCCATTCTGACTGATGCGAGATGGTGTCTCATTCTGGTTTGCATTTGCATTTCTATGGTGATTAATGATAATTAGCATTTTCTCATATGTTGTTGGCCACTTGTAAGTCTTCTTTTGAGGAATGTCTGTTCATGTATTTTGCCCATTTTTAGTGGAGTTATTTGTTTTTTGCTTGTTGATTTCAGTTTCTTATAAATTCTTGATATAAGACCTTTGTTAGAAGCCTAGTTTGTGAACATTTTCTCCCATTCTGTAGGTTGTCTGTTTACTCTGTTGATGATTTCTTTTCCTGTCCAGAAGCCCCCCTTTATTTTTTGAGATGAAGTCTCACTCTGTCATCAAGGCTGCAGGGCAGTGGCGTGGTCTTGGCTCACTGCAACCTCCATCTCCCCGATTCAAGCAATTCTCCTGTCTCAGCCTCCCTGGAAGCTCTTTAGTTTAATTAGATTCCACTTGTGAATTTTGTTTTTCTTGCAATTACTTTTGGGGACTTAGCCAAAAATCATTTGCCAAGGCCAATGTTGAGAAGGAGATTTCCTAGGTTTGCTTATAGCATTTTATAGCTTGAGGTCTTCTATTTAAGTCTTTAATACATGATGGGATAATTTTTGTAGATGCTAAAATGTTAGGGTCCAGTTTCATTCTTGTGTATATGGCTAGCCAGTTATCCCAGCACCATTTATTGAATACAGTGTCCTTTTCTCCATTACTTGTTTTTGTTGACTTCATAAAATATCAGATGGTTGTAGTTGTGTGGCATTATTTCTGAGTTTTCTATTCTGTTCCATTGGCTTATATATCTGTTTTTGTACCAGTAGCATGCTGTTTTGGTTACCGTAGCTGTATAATATAACTTGAAGTTGGGTAGTTTGATGCCTCAGGTTTGGTCTTTTTGCTTAAAATTGCTTTTAGTATTTGGGCCCTCTTTTGGTTCTATATGAATTATAGAATTTTTTTCTGATTCTATGAAGAATGACATTGGTAGTTTGATAAAAATAGCATTGGCTCTGTAAATTACTCTGGGCAGCATTGCCATCTTAATGATATTGATTCTTCCAATCCATGAGCATGGAATGTTTTTCCATTTATTTGTGTCATCTCCGATTTCTTTCAGCAGTATTTTACAATTCTCCTTGTAGAGATTTTTCATCCCCTTAGTTAGATATATTCCTAGATATTTCATAATCTTTCTGGCTATTGTAAGTGTGGTTGTGGTTTTGATTTGACTCTCAGCCTGGACATTATTGGTGTACAGAAATGCTGCTGGTTTTTCTACATTGATTTTGAATCCTGAAACTTTACTAGAGTCATTTATCACTTCTAGGAGCCTTTGGTAGAGTCTTTAGGGTTTTCCAGGTATAGAATCATATTATTGGTGAAGATAGATAATTTGACTTCTTTTTCTATTTAGAGGCGTTTTATTTCCTTCTCTTGCCTGATTGCCCTGGCTAGGACTTCTAGCACTATGTTGAATAGGGATAGTGACAATGGGCATCGTTGTCTTGTTCTAGTTTCTAGGGGGAATGCTTCTGGCTTTTGCCTGTTCAGTATGATGTTAGCTGTGGGTTTGTCATAGATGGCTCTTATTATTTTGAGATGTGTTCTTTTGATGTTGCATCTGTTGAGGGTTTTTATCATGAAGAAATGTTGGATTTTATGGAAAGCTTTTTTTGTACCTATTGAGATGATCATATGGTCTCTGTTTTTAATTCTGTTTATGTGGTGGATCACATACATTGATTTGTGTAGGTTGAACCAGCCTTGCATCCCAGGAATAAAGCCTACTTGATCATGGTGAATTTGGATTTTTGATATGCTGCTAGATTCATTTTGCTAGTATTTTGTTGAAGATTTTTGTATCTATGTTAACATGGGTATTGGCCTGAAGTTTTCTTTTTTCTTTGCGTCTATTCCAGACTTTGGTTTCAGGCTGATGCTGGCTTCATAAAATAAGTTAGAGAGGCGCTCCTCCTCCTCAATTTTTGGGAACAGTTTCTGTAGGATTGGACCAGCTCTTCTTTTTATGTATGGTAGAATTCAGCTGTGAATCCATCTGTTCCAGGGCTTTTTTTGGTTGGTAGATTTTTTATTACTGATTCAGTTTCAGAGCTTGATATTGGTCTGTTTAGGATTTCAATCTCTTCCTGATTTAATCTTGAGAGATTGTATGTTTCCAGGAATTTATCCATTTCCTCTAAATTTCTTAATTTTTGTACTTAGAGTTATTCATATTATTCTCCAAGGATCTTTTGTATTTCTGAGGAATTAGTTATAATGTTATCTTTGTCATTTCTGATTGTCCTTATTTTAATCTTCTCTTTTTTTCTCTTTTAATCTAGCTAGTTGTGTATTATTCTGGCTATTTTTTTTTCAAAAAACAAGCTCTTGTTTTCATTGATCTTTTGTATGGATTTGTACATCTCAATTTTCTTCAGCTCTTCTCTAATTTTAGTTGTTTTTCTTCTACTAGCTTTGTTCTTTTTTTTCTAGTTTCTTTAGGTGCAAATTAGATTGTTTAGATCTTTCTAATTTCTTGATGGTGTTTAGTGTTACAAACTTTCCTCTTGACATTACTTTAGCTGCATTCTAGAGAGTTTGGTAAATTATGTCACTATTTTTTTAGTTTCAAATAATTTTTTGATTTCTGCCTTAATTTTCATGTTCGCTCAAGGAGTTATTCAGGAATAAGTTGTTTAATTTCCATGTATTTGTTTAGTTTGGGGAGATCTTGATATTGATTTCAATTTTTATTGCACTTTGGCCCAAGAGTGTGCTTGGTATTATTTCAATTAGAAAATGATTTTATTGAGACTTGCTTCATTGTTCAGCATGTAGTCAATCTTAGAATATGTTTTGTGTGCAGATAAGAAGAATGTATTTTTTATGGAGTTTAGTAGAGTGTTCTATAGATTACTATTAGGTCCAATTGATCAAGTGCTAAGTTTAAGTCCAGAGTTTCCTTGTTAGTTTTCTGCCTCAGTGATCTGTTTAATGCTGTCAGTAGGGGGTTGAAGTCTCCCATTATTATTGTGTGGTTCTCTAAGTGTTTTCACAGGTCCAGAATGACTCGTTTTATGAATCTGGGTATTCCATTATTGGGCATGTATATATTGAGGATACCTAAGTCTTCTTGTTGGATTATCACTTTATCATTATACAGTGCCTTTCTTTGTCCGTAATTTTAATTGATTTATAGTCTGCTTTATCTGATATAAGAATAGCAACTCCTGCTCTTTTTTTTCCCATTTTCATGGTAGATCTTTCTCCATCCCTTTACTTTGAGCCTGTGGGTGTCAGTGTCAATATGTCTGAGATGGGTCTCTTGAAGATAGCAGATTGTCGGGTCTTGGCTTTGTCTCCAGCTTGCTCCTCTATTTATTTTAAGGAACTGTTTAGGCCATTTCCATTGATAATTAGTATTGATATGTCAAATTTGATCTTGTCATTGTGTTGTTAGATGGTTGTTATGTAGACTTAATCATGTAGCTGCTTTATAGTGCCTGTGGGCTATGTTCTTAAGTGTCTTTTTGTGGTAGTAGGTGTTGTTGTTTTGTTTTCTGGCTTAGCTTTCCCTTAAAGACCTCTTGTATGGTTGGTCTACCTGAAAAAATTTCCCTCAATGTTTGCTTGTCTGAGAAAGATTTTATTTCTCTTTCACTTACAAAGCTTAGTCTGCAGGATATGAAATTCTTAATTGGAATTCCTTTTCTTTAAGGATGCTGAAAATAGGATTCCAATCATTTTTGTCTTTTAAGATTTTTGCTGGGACTCCCTTTGTACATAACCTGATCCTTCTCTCTAACTGCCCTTAAGAAGTTTTTTCCATTGACCTTGGGGAATCTATGTGGTCTGTGGATGGACCTCTTGTATAGTATGTAGCCAGGAATACCTGTATTTCTTGAATTTGAATGTCAACATCTCTAGCAAAATTAGTAAAATTTTCATGGCCTACATCCTCAAATATATTTTTCAGGTTGCTTATTCTCTCTCCTTCTCTCAGGAATGCCAATGAATCAGATTTCGTCTCTTTACAAAATCCCATATTTATCAAAAATTCTGTTTATTTTTTAATTTTTGTCCAGCTGATTTGATTTAAAGAACTGATCTTTGAGCTCTGAGTTTCTTTCCTCATCTTGGTCTATTCTACTATTGACACTACTGATTGTATTATAAAAGTCTTTTAGTTTTGTAGCTCTGGAAGTTCAGTTTGGTTCTTTCTTGAAATGGCAATTTTTCTTTCCACTCTTGGATTATTTTACTGGATTCCTTAGACTCCTCGGATGGGGTTTCAAGTTTCTCCTGAATCTTGATGAGCTTCTTTGCCATCCAGATCCTGAATTCTATGTATGTTATTTCAGTCATTTCAGACTGGCTGAGAACAACTGCTGTAAGCTAGTGGACTTGTTTGGAGGTAGAGGGACACTGGCGTTTTAGGAATTCTTGCACTAATTCTTTCTCTTCTAGGAGGATTGGTGTCCCTTAAACTGAGGCATACATTGATTACAGTCAGTAGGCTTCATTTCTTGATGTTTTCAGAAGTCCAGGGCTTTGTACAGGATCATTTGAGGCTGAATTATTGTCCTTGGTTTCATAGAGAGGTATATTAGCAAAATATTTTTGGTATTATAGTTTGGACTATGATCCAGTAGATGGCACTTAATAGTAACGGGTGAGATGAGATCCAGTGCGTTCAGCGTGGTATGGCCGTAGACAAACCTACAGCACCTAGTATTCCCAGGTGGTCTCCCATCCAAGTACTAACCAGGCCCAACCCTACTTAACTTCGGAGATCAGAGGAAAAAAAAAATGGGTGGCAGGTAGGGTTTTATTCAGCCATGTGGCTCCTTTGTATCTCCTCATGTTTGCAGCCATGTTCTGTGGTGCAGGGGGTAGAGAGCTGATACCCTCACCAGGTCAGCTCCTGGGTCTTGGGGAGCACCCTCCAATCACTGGCACTGCACCCACATTTCTTCTGTTAGGTGTCCAGTCTGCAGGGATCCCTTGGCAGAGACCACAGGAAGGAAATAGGCAGGCCCTACAGAGGGAGACATGCCCTGCTCCCATTCCAGCCCACGAACCTGCACGTCTCACTCCTCTCAGTCCTCTGAGAGTATGGACTCCTCTCCTGCTTGAGTGCCAGTCATAGATATTGGCTCAACATTCCCAAACTATGTGCCACAGACCTGGGACGCTGGGATTGGCTCACAGATCCATCCTCTGGACTGTTGCAGATGAGTTCACGGTATGCTGGGGAATTCAAAGTGCTCCCAGACCACTGGGAAAGTAATCAGGTAGAGCAAATCACCAAGGCTGGGCAGCAGAGGCTGTGCTATGCTCATACTCCTGCAGGGTGGCCAGATAGTGACTCTGAAGAGGGCTGGAGGGCAAGAGGCCAAGAGGGCCTAGAGAACAGATGTGTCCCAGTCCCATGAGGAAGTTGGCTCTGCTCTCTCCTGGCCTAGCAGTCAGCTGGGCTAGAGCTTCTTGGAGGAAGATGGAGAGCCTTGGGGAATGGGAGCCTATGGCCACACTCCACCAGAGCTGCACCATTCACAGAGGCCAATGGTTCCACACTGGCTGAAACCATGTCTCTGCTTACTCTCTGGGAAAATCTCTCTGTCAGCTCAAACATCGATGGACCACATGGGGCCTCCTGTAGCCATAATCCCAGAGGTCTGTGGAGAGGATAGGCAGTACCACAGTCCCTTCACTCAATCATTCCTCAGGGGCATTTCAAGGCTAGGAACTAGATTCAGTGTTTGGGTACCCCATGCAGGGTTCCCAGATTCCTCTCTCCTTAAACTCAGTGTCTGCATCTCCATCCATTTTCAGTGTTTTCTCTCTGAAGATCTGTCCAAGTTATTAATATACTGGCTTACTCAAAACCTTGGTCTCTCTCAGTTGGAGCAGCACCTCCTGGCTGTGTCTAGTTGACGATCTTGTTACCCTCCTTTCCCAGAAAAGATTAAATTACACTCATGGTAAGGATTATTTGAAAAGGGAGAAGGAGATATGGGTTTAGCATGATAATAAAAGGGGACTTCAGATATATCTACATCTATGTATCTATCAATCTATTATCTATCTATCTATTTTAAAAGACTAGAAACAACTATATGAATATGATAATAGTTAATTCTTGACCATAGGAATATATATTTATAACTTTTATGTTTTTACAACTCTAAAACCATACAACTTTCAGAAACTTCAGTCCTATTATTTCCACGCAAGTTTTTGTTAGAACTAAAATAACTCAATAGCACTAAAAGTAACCAGACAATAGTTAGACATATCTTTAGCTATGGCCATGAAAACATCTTTGTACGAAGCTGTATCCAGATCAATCTCTCTAATGTGATATTTTGGACTTTATGTAGTAAAGGTTGGAGACTCAGATATGGTAATGCCTTTCTTGCACCTAAATATTTATAAAAGATAAAAATATACTAGTTGCAAGAAAAAATTTTAAATGTCATAACACTTAGGAAGCCTGAACTCTCACTCAAGCCATGCTTTCACTCTTGTACACTGGGAGGTGGGCCCAATCACTGATGGTCTCTAAAGGCCTTTTCCAACCTGTGTTATGCAATAGTATTCATGGAAGATTCCATTCCACCCTTATCCGGGATTAGGGGATTCTTTATAAATTTCCCTAGAATTTGATAGGAAGTAGAAAAGATATGATCCAACATATTCTAAATACTGTGAATCTAACATTTTATATATGTTACTTATTTGGTGTTTAAGGCAACCCTAAAATGTAAATACTGTTTTCTTCATTATTGCAATAAAGAATGGAGAAGTATGGAATTCAAACAATAACTAGAATACAGTTATTGTCTGGGGTTTCTCAAAAAGCTAAAAATAGAACTACCATATGATCCAGCAATCCCACTGCTGGGCATATATTCAAAGGAAAGAAAATTAGTACCTCAAGGAGATACCTGTGCTCCTGTACTTATTGCAGCACCATCCACAGTAGCCAAGATATGGAGTTAATCCAGTGTCCAACAATGCATTAATAAGGAAAATATGGTATATATATATATATACACACACACACAATGGAATGCTATTTAGCCATAAAAAAAGAATGAAAGCCTGTCATCATGGCAACATGAAATGTTATGTTAGGTGAAATCAGTCAGGCACAGAAAGATAAATACCACATGTTCTTACTCATACATGGAAGCTAAAAAAGTTGATTTCATTGAAGTAGAGAGTAGAGTAGCAGTTACTACAGGATGGAAGGGCAGAAGAAAAGGGGATTAGGGAGAGGTTAGTTAACATATACAAAATTACAGATAGATAGGAGGAATCAGTTCCAGTGTTTAACGGTAGTGTAACTATAGAAAACAATATTGTATTTTTCAAAATTGCTAGAATAGGGGATTTTGAATGTTATCAACATAAGAAAATGATAAATATTTGAGGTGATATATATGCTAGTTACCCTTATTTGATCACTGTGTGAGTGCACTGAAATATCATACGGTATCCTATAAATATGTACAATTATTATGCATCAATTAAGTATATACATATATATTTAAAAACTGTTAAAAATGACAGGTCTTGTCTAACTCCCAAGCCTATTATACAGGAATGTGCTTTCAGAGTTCACATTTATCAAGCTGGTTACTGGAATTCATAGAGAGATTTGAATGTAATATAATGTTATCTTCTTACCCCTTCTAATTTAGCTGCCTATGAAACAATGGTGACATATTTCAGTATAGAGAAGGTGTTCAAAAAGAGGGCAGTAGAGTTGGTTTAAAAAAATATTTTCATGTCATTCTGATAGACCCTCCTCCTGCTTCTACACTATTGAAAATCTCTCTTTCAAAGAAAAAAGTTAGAAGCAGGGCTCTCTAAACACATTATAATCATCTAGTGGCACTGGAAATAGGTAAATGACAAGGTGACTGAGCAAATGCAAGACCTTCCAGTTCACTGAAAGCTGATAGCTATTTTGCACACTTTTGCCCACCATTTGCACAAGCCAAGGGAGCAATTGATGACTTAAGTGTAATCTGCTTGGGTACCAACCCAGACACATACCTATTCCTCATGAGTGTAATTGAACCTCATTTGATGGGCAGAGTGGGGAAACAGTTCAGTAAAACTTATGGGACTCATCTCTACAATTAACTTCAAAGATAACTTTACATGGAGACAGGTAAAATTATGGCAAGATAATTGGGTCAATTCAAGTTGTTGGTTTCTGGAGCAGGTATTTAAGAAAGCAAAATAAAATCATAATTTAACTGTATCATTGAAAGGGGGCTATTTGGAATGTTTTGAATTTGACTTTTAACATAAAATTCTTGCAAATGTATTACAAAACCTTATAGGTGGCCATTTTAACTAACGATGTAAAAGAAATACATAAGTTTATGTTTTTAGCACTTTACATTTTTATCTAAATAAAAAGATTTATTGAACTTAGGTTCAAATTTTATTCATCCTTATTGAATCATGTCATGAGTTCTCCAATGTTATATGATTTAGGTTTCCTTTATTATTGTTTTCATATTTTACTTGAAAAGTTGAGGTTATTAAATATAGCTGTTTTCCAGTGAATAATCCAGCTCTCAATACATGTCTACATCTTGGCTAGTTCCCAATCTAATTAAATCAGAACCCCTGCAGATGGAACCCAGGCAATTGGCCTTTACAAATGACACCAGGTGCAGCCAATTCTAATGTGCAACCAATGTAGAGAACTACTGTTGTATTTATCATTGCACTGACTATTTGAAGCTTTCCACCTAGCTAGTGTTTACATTGTTGCTATTCTCTCCACAAGCATCTCCAAGCAGCTAACTTTGTCCCATTGAAAAGATAAAGGAAAGTAACTAAAAAGCACCTAACTATAACTAGCTTCACTGGAGTAAACTTAAAGAGGTGGACAAATCCCTAAGAAGAGATCCAATGTATTGTTTGATTTCTCCTCTAGTAGTCTATTTTACTAGTAAAGTATTTTAACACATTGTTTAATAACCCAACATTTCTCTACTGAAGGTAAGCAGTATTTCTGACATAAGAGACACTGTCCTCTCCCAATATTTTATATTTAATTATTAGCAGCTGTAAAAAGTATGTACTTCAGATGCTGTGTTTCAAATGACCCTTACAGTGGTATATGAAATGTACTATCTACTATCCAGCCAAAGTGAATCTCACCTTATTCCATAAGAACATTAAGCTACACATAACATATGTTATTACATGTGTACCATTCTTAGATTAGAATTTTCTATTTGTTTATAATTATCCCAAGCACCACTGGCAAATTAAACATTATATTATGTTTATATATTATTATAATTGTAATTATAAAGTTTTAAATTTTTTTGAAAAGTGGATAACTGACATGTTATTACTATATTATCAGATATACATATAAGTATATGCAAAATACATATTAGCTCAATACAATTGTGAGAAAAATTTATTGAAGAGTAGATATGGCAGAGTCACATTTCTATGACAGAGAGTAAAATCATGGCGGGAACATCATAAATAATATACACCAAAATATTACCAAAGTAGAGAGATTCGAATAATTATTTCTTGTGTGTATTGCTTCTCTGTGATTTCTATTATTTCTACAATCTTAATTATTGTGTAGTTAAAAATTTTAAGTCTTTCTTAACTAATATAAAGAATTACATTGGAAACATTCTGTGTTATATTTATCTCTGTTTCTTGGTAAAAACAAGATTTAGATGTTGTTTGTAGAAATCAAATTAAATTATACATTATTTAAATTAAAGAATATTCCAAAACTCAATGTAATGCTTCCCTATTCTTCTAAGGTCCACCCCTATTTATATGATGCCTAACACTGGAAATTAATGAAAAGTCTATGATTATTACTACTATTTGCACACACCACACACATTAGCACTATTATGAAAGAAGCCTCAGTGTTTTTGTCAATGGAGTGCATAATGCAACCAGTCCCTTGAAAATTATTTGTAATTCTCTGAGTTCTTCAAAAAAATGTTTAGTTACATACACAAAACTCATTTCAAAGCCCTTCTTGCTCATGATTTGAGTTGGCTGTACAGTAGCTGGCACAATATTCAGAGAATAAGAAAGATAATTCTTAAATTTTTAGCATTCTGCTTTATTTTTGCAGATATATAAAATATTTTTATATATCAAATATCAGTATAAATTCTGATTGCTCACCTAACATGCAAGGACTGCCTTGAGTGACAAAAACCATAATGGTCTCTAACTTGCATAAGATTTTCTATAATTTATGTTTCTAACCAAGTAAGTTTAAGATCACTACCTAAACATCTACCTTTGATTTATCTTTCAGAGAATTCCTCACCCGTGCATTGCTGGAAACCCCTTTGAATCCACAGATACCCTTTTGATGTCTATACATCACTATTTTAATTGCTACTAAGTCAATTATCCTATGAAAATACATTATACATACAGAGCTCACTTTTCCTCTTCACTCTCATATTAAATTGGTGGGGGGGAGGGGAATGGACTATATTAGGAAATCATTCATGAAACACTGAAAAATGCATTTACTGTTGCTGGGCATCCGAGCACTACAGACCTTAAACTGATCCCCAAATTGTCATCAATAACCATTTTCTAAAGACACTTTATTTATCTACCAATGAGTTAAAAATAATATTTATTGGGAGGTGGAGACAACATGGTTCACAGTCAAAACTCACTAATAGAGGTGCATTGTTCTCCACTGAAATGCAAAGAAGTGCGAAAAGTACAGTGAGACAACTTTGATAAGTTCAGCCTAAAAGAGAGATGGCCATACTATTAAAATACACATGAAAAATCAATTCCAAATAAAATTAAATATTTGTGTTTGGGTTTCTTCCAGAGTCTGAAGCAAAACTTACTTGCTAATCTTTTGTGAGGTATAATTACAGGGGAGAAAGAATGAAGTACAAAGAGAAGTGAGGTAGGCATGCAAGGAAATTAAATGAAAGGTGGTATGTTACTAAATTTACTATAATCATATGAACATCACAGCTCCCATTCTGTTATATAACATCTCTGGAGGAGCCGTATGAAAATCACATGCCACCGAATAGTCAAGTCCATTAGGGGAGGAAGGTCATGGAACTTCCCTGTCATCTTTGTCCAGCACTGGTCAAAATACAGTCCATGTTAGGGCATTCTACCATGCTTCTTGATTGTGTTACCTGGCTCTTTCAGGAAGACTTTGAAGAAGCCATTGTCTCTGTGAATCAAGTTAGATTGGTCCAGATGCTAAAGTTGCTACAAATTCAGACATAATGAGTACTATGAAGCTTTCACGAGAGGCTGAGGCATCTGGGACCATTTGGAAGTCAGCCAGTGATGATGGTGGATAGATATATACAGCAAGGAAACAAGGATAGTATGGATGCTGCAGTCATGCCAAACAAAATCTAGATAAGCAAATCTAGATTAGCAAAACCTCCACTGAGGGGTACAAAATATAGATGAATTATACATATATTTGTATGTGTATGTATATAATTACATATATATATAATTCACATATTATTGTATGTTATCTAACTTTGCTTTTCTACCCATACTACAACAAATTTAATTTCTTTCTCCTTTGTGTTCTCGTGTGTGTGTGTGTGTGTGTGAGTGTGAACACAAAGGAAGAATAATTTAATTCTGCTACAGTAGAAGTAGAAAAATTGGGTAAATTTAATGACAACAAATATTTAATTGTACACTGGAAAAATAAAGGTTATTCCAAGTGGAGGGATTGGAGTGCTCAAAGGCACAGAAGCTTGAGAATATATGAGAGATCAACTATGTATCTCTTATGGATAAAGCTTAAGAAGAGAGGGGAATAAAAACTTTAAATTAGGTTAGGAACAGATGAAAGAGAACATAAAATATCAAATTTAAGAATTGGACTTCATCAAAAGAAGTATGGACATACTAGAATTTCATGGCATAGGATTAAGCCATTAATCCTGATGTATTATTATCAGGTAACTCTACTGGCAATATGTTAGAAAGATTAGAAGTCAAAGTCCGAAAGCAGAGAAACCAGTTTATTCTTTTCCTGGGAGAAAATAATTAAAATTTCTATCAATACAGAAAAGTTTACAATGATTAGGAAAGAGTATATTTCAGAAACATTTAGAGCTAGAATTGACAAGATCTAGTAGCTGGAGTGGCAGGTGCCTGTAATCCCAGCTACTTGAGAAGCTGAGGCAAGAGAATCGCTTGAACCTGGGAGATGGAGGTTGCAGTGAGCCGAGATCATGCCATTGCACTCCAGCCTGGGGGACAAGAGCAATGCTTCATCTCAAAAGAAAAAAAAAAGAGTTAAAGATGTTTTATGTTTTTTTTTTTTTTGCATTAAGTGGTCAGATGAAGGCAGCACTATTGGTTCATTTATGGGCTATATTATAATGCAGACATTTTATACATACATATGTACAGTACATGTATATATATGGCACATATAAAATTGTACCATCTACAATTGTAATAACTTCATTTTAAATCACATAATACTGTTTGGGATAAAACTACCTTAATTTTAATATATTCTTGGTTTATTTCTGAACTATTTTTTTCCTGGTTTCTCAGGGTTCCTGCTTCACTAATTATCTCTAAAAGATATTTTAGGTAGTAATGATTTGATACTAAGTTGGGTATCAAATAACAAGAACTGGCTTTTCCAACTGCTAGTTCCTATTATTTAACAAAAAAAAAATTTTTAAAGATGGTTATGTATGAATCAGCAATAGAAGTGTGGGATAAACCAACCATTCTGAATAATCCATCTGTTCACCTGAGGAACAATTACAAAATGTAAGCAAAAAAAGAAATAAAAGCATCTTCCCATAGTTATTTAAATTACACTATTTATTTGTTTCCATCCTAACATAAAACTAGTTTTCCACCTGTGTAATGAACTTTATTCTCTCTTGCTTACCCCAGAATTTAAATGCCACAAATATTTCATCTGTCTTTCAATTATTATTCCCATTTGCACTAAACTATTCTCCTAAACCTACACATATTCTATATTATGTCCCACTGGAAAAATCAAGAGATGCTCCCTTGATTTCACATCTGCCTCCAGCTAGCCTTACATTTCTCTGAAGCACTTTGTAGCAAAACTCCTTTTAGAAATTTTCTTGTCTTTTGAACTGTCTCCAGCTAGTCCCACCAGTTCATTAAAATCACCCTCATTTGACATTTGTATTGCCAAATATAATGGTTATTTATCTATCCCTATTCATACAAACTCTTACATAGTTGAAAACTCATTCCTGGAGAGTTTCTTTTGGTTTTTAATTTGGATCTGGGATATCTCTTTTAGCTTCCCTTCTGCCTCTTGTCTGTTCCTTGAAGTCTGAATTTCATATTTCTTTACTGATTCTGGACAAATAAATGTCAAAGTATTTCAGCCAAAGTCTTTTCTCCCATCGTCAGTGTCTCCCTTCGTAAATTAATCCAGGTCTATAATTTTACATGCTATTGGTATGCTAATGACTTCTAATTTATATTTCTAGGCTTAATCAAACCCTGAATTCCCAGAGTCATATATCTGTTTCTTGGAGATCGCTGCTGAGTAGTTATCCTAGACTTAACATGTCCAAGACAGAACCACTGATAGCTAGCCACAAAGGGTTAACCTTTTCTACTCTGTCCCATTTCTGTAAAATATGCTTCTGTTTTACAAGCTGTTCAGGCCATACGCATAAGCTTTGCATTCTTGATCCTTCTGTCTCCCTTTGGCCCTATATCTGTTAGCAAATCCTGTCAACTCTATCTTCAAATTTTAATTCCGATTCTAAACTTTCCCAACACCTCTACCATGACTTTAATCCAAATCTCTGTTCCTCTGGCCTGGATTTCTGCAAAGTTATCTTTTATCTCTAATTTTCTGTGTTTACACCATTGTAGCAGCCACAACCATCCTCTAATTGAAAAATCAGATCACTTCACAACCCTGCTCAAAACCCCTCAGTGGTTCTCTATCACAGTTAAAGCACACGCTCCTCATGATAATTAATGACCTCCTCTACCTCAATGATGGCTTTTACTACTCTAACCCTGTCTGGATTTTTGCTCCCTTAAAAAGAGCATTTTTGCTATCTCTTCAAGGCCTTTAAACTTGTTGTTCCTTCTTTCTGAAATTCTCCTCTTTCAAATATTTGCATGATATTTTTCTTTTTATACTTTATATCTTTGTTCAAATGTCACTTCCCCAGAGAAACCTTTCTGAACATCTGTCTTAGTTCATTTTCTGTTGCTTGTAACAGAATATTTGAAACTGGGTAATGTATAAGAAATGAAATTTGTTTCTTTCATTTCTGGAGGCTGGAAAGTCCAAGGTCAAGTGGGTGCATCTGGTTAGAATCTTCTTGTTCGTGGGGCTCCTCAATAGTCCCTGGGTGGAGCAAAGTATCACATAATGAGGGGGCTGAGCATGCTAATGTGTTATGCTCAGGTCTTTCTTTATCTTCTTATAGCCATTAGTTCTGCCACCGTGGTGACCCATTAATTCATTAAGCTTTAATCCACAAACCCAAAAATGGATTAGTCCATCCATGAGGACTCTGCCTTTTAAAGGTCTCATCTATCAGTACGGCCACACTAAAGATTAAGCTTCAACATCACTTTTGGAGGCAACATTCAAACCATTCCACCACCCTATCTAAAATATTAACCCACCTGCCTTTCTGTTTCCTTTGGCCTTGCATTATTTTTTTTTCTTGAGCTTAATGCTATTTGAAAGCACAACATTTATTTGTTTACTTTTCTAGTGTATATCTCCTCCAACAAAGTTCAGGTTCTATGAAGAAAGTTTGTTTCCTGTTCATCCACGAACTAGCATAAAAACTGATACATAGCTGGAGTTTAATATAATTTTACAAAATAAATAAATAGATAAGTCAATGCAGCACACCAACATGGCACATGTATACATATGTAACTAACCTGCACATTGTGCACGTGTACCCTAAAACTTAAAGTATAATAATAAAAAAAAATTGAAGCATATGATAAATTGCACTCTCTATTGGCAAAAATAAATAAACCAGGGGATGGGGGAATGACCAAGGCGGCTTACTAGAAACAGCTAGTGTGGGGGTGTGTGTGTGGTGGTCACAGGGAGGAAAGAAGGGGTGAGTAAACACAGTACCTTCAGCTGAAATATCCAAGTACCCACTTTGAGACTTGGATATTTCCAAGGTGTGCCTTATCCACACCTACAACAAGCTGCAGTCAAGCCAAAGAGAGGAGGTCAGTTCATCTTCTCTGGGTCCCACACACTCCCAATGGTTCATAATCAAGGAAACAATTCAACCCACAGAGAATAGAGAAAAGCAAGGCAGAACGACAGCCCACCCAGGAGAAACATGGTGCCAAAGGAACCTCCCCTGCCCAGGGAAGTGGTGATTGAATTTGTGACTCCGGGAACCCTTGTTTCACCCACGGATATTTGCATCCTTGGTTCAGGAGATCCCCTCATGAGCCCACTCCATCAGGGCCTTCAGTCTGACACACAGACTTATGTGGAGTCTTGGCAGAGCAGCCACTCAGGCACGGGCAGACACAGGGGAGCTTTAGGTACTTGGGCTTTCCGAGCTTCCCAGACAAAGTAGCAGCAACTCTGGCAAACCAGGTGATTAGCCCCCAATATATGATCCTAGGAAAGAGGCTGAAGCCAGGGGGTTGAGCAACAAGTCTGCTGCCCCCACTTCCATGGCTGGTCACATGATAAAACTCACTGGCTTGGAATTCCAGCCAGCCACCTGTAGCAGCATTGCACCTCCCTGGATTGAAGCTCCCGGATGGAGAAGCGGGCCGCCATCTTTGCTGTTTGGGTGACTTAGCTGTTCTGGTCTTTGGGCTTTGAAGAGTCTAAGCTGACCAGGGGCAGAAGCGTCCCCCCAGCACAGTACAGCTGCTCTATGAAAACATGGCCAGACTGTCTCTTGAAATGGGTCCCTGAGCCCCCCTTCCTCCTCACTGGGAGGAACCTCACAACCAGGGCCTTCAGCCACCACCACTGGTGTTCTCTGGCCTACACAGATTTGAAAACTCCTTGGGACTGAGATCCCAGAAGGAGGAGTGGACCACCATCTTTGCTGTTTGGACTACTTGGGCTTTGAAGAGTCCAAGCTGATCAGAGGTGGAAGCAATACCCAAGCACAGCATAGCTGCCCTACAAAAATGTGGCCTGGCTGCTGGCTGCTATTTTTAAAGCAGGTTCCCAATCCTGTCCCTCATCGTCAGGTGGAGCCTTCCAACCAGGGTCTCTGGCTACCCCCGCCAGTGTTCTCCAGCTAACAGGTTTCAGGCCTCCCTGGGATGGAGTTCCTAGAGGAGGACCTGGCAGCCATCTTTGCTGTTTGGGCAACGTAGCCATTCCAGCCTTCAAGCTTTGGAGTGTCCAAGGCGACCAGAGGCTGAAGCAGACCCCCACAGAGCATGGCTGCTCTACAAAGATGTGGCCAGTCTGCTTTATTAAGTGGATCCCCAATCCCATTCCTCCTCACTGGGTGAGACCTAGCCACCTCCTACAGGTGTGTTCAAGCTGGCATTAGGTCCATACCTCCCTGGAACGGAACTCCCAGTGGGAGGAGCAGGCTGCCATCTTTGCTGTTTTGTAGCCTTCACTGGTGATACCTTCAGGTACTGAAAAATCTAAGCTGACTAGGGACTGGAGCAGATCCCCAGCATATCACAGCAGCTCTATGGAAAAGTGGCCAGACTGTTATATGGATGTCCATTCCCATATCTCCTCACTGGGCAGGTCCTCTAGGCCTGGGCCTCTAGCCACCCCCAACAAGAGCTCTCAAGCCGGTATCAGCTGTTACTCCCTGGACAGAGCCTCAGAGGGGCAACTGAAAGCCTGTCTGCCACTGCCTCTGCAGTGGAACTGTCCTTGCTACCCTCAGGCTAATGAAGGGGCAAAGACCCTAAGTGCCTTATCCATACCTCCAACAAGTTGCAGTCAACCCAAAGAGAGGAGGTCAGTCCATCTCTCTCAGGTCCCACACACCCACAACTGCTCATCATCAAACAGGGAGCCCCTGGCTTGGGCTCATAGCACGAACTCTCCCTTCTGGGCTGATTGCAATAAGTGATTGCTGACCTGGTCAGTATCACTAATCATTAGACAAATGCAAATTAAAACCATAATGAGATAACATCCCACACTAGTCTCAATGGTTATTATTAAAAAGTCAAAAAAATAATAATAGATGCTGAAGAGGTTGTGGAGAAAGGGGAACACTTGTACACTGTTGGTAGGGGTGTGAATTAGTTCACCCAGTTGTGGAAGACAGTGTGGAGATTCTTAAAAGATCTAAAGACAGAAATATCATTCAAGCCAGCAATCCCATTACTGGGTATATACCCAAAGGAATATAAATTGTTCTATTATAAAGACACATGCACACTCATCTTCATTGCAGCACTATTCACAACAGCAAAGACATGGGGTCAACCTAAATATCTATCAATGCTAGACTGGGTAAAGAAAATTGGTACATATACACCATGTAATACTATGCAGCCATATAAAAGAATGAAATCATGTCCTTTGAAGGGACATGGATGAAGCTGGAGACAATTATGCTTAGCAGACTAACACAGGAACATTTTGCAAATCCCACAAGTTCTCACTTATGAGTGGGAGCTAAATGATGAGAAAACATGGACGTTTAGAAGGAAACAACACATCCTGGGACCTATTGGAGGGTGGAGGGTGGGAGGAGGGAGAGCATCAAGAAAAATAACTAAAGGGTACTAGGCTTAATATGTGGGTGATCTGTAAACAAACCCAATGACACAAGTTTACCTATGTCACAAACCTGTGCATGTACCCCTGAACTTAAAATAAAAATTATGAATAAATAAATAAACACTGTTACTACGATAGAAGAACTAGCTGCTTACCCAGATCAATTCCCAATTCTTCCTGGATTTCCCTGGACTTGAACTCCTTTGGACTATTTACATAAGTGAGAAATAATTTCTTTTTTTTTTTAATTGACTTTTTAAAGTCTACTTTTGCAACAGTTTGACTAACCAAGTTAGTATGGAAACTGTCCAAATTTCAACCTGAGTGGATAAATGCCAGACACAATATTCCCAGTGTCAGATGCAGAAGGCAACTAAGATTCCAACACAGAATATGAATTTTATTATATATATATATATGCTTGCAAATTTGAGCCTTGTGCTAAGATGTACAAATAGCAACAGATCATTTGCTCAAATCTATAGCTTTTTCAATTAATTCTATTGCTAGGGGTGAGGTATCCTAATAACCTATTGGGATTGGAGGAGTGGCCTCCTGGTTGATCACAAATGGGGTGAGCACCTGGAAACATAACCACTTCTAATTAAAATTTTCAATAAATTCTACAGTGTTTATCTCTGTGCATCACACACCTTCTGAAATACCTTTGGTATTTTAAATATTTTGGTGGTAAATTGGTTATATATCTTTGAGGACAGTTAAATTATGGATATGAAATTCTGAGTTGAAAATTATTTTCTTTAAGAATGTTGAATGTTGGCCCCCACTCTCTTCTGGCTTGTAGGGTTTCTGAAGAGAGATCCGCTGTTAGTCTGATGGGCTTCCCTTTGTAGGTAACCTGACCTTTCTCTTTGGCTGCCCTTGTAGCCTATACTACATGGCTGCAGTAACCAAAACAGCATGTACTACAACAGAAATATAGACCAATGGTGCAGAACAGAGGCCTCAAAAATAACACCATACATCTACAACCATCTGATCTTCGACAAATCTGACAAAAACAAGCAATAGGAAAAGGATTCCCTATTTAATAAATAGTGCTGGGAAAACTGCCTAGCCATATGCAGAAAACTGAACCTGGACCCCTTCCTTACAACTTATACAAAAATTAACTCAAGATGGATTAAAGACTTAAACACAAAACCTAAAACTATAAAAACTCTAGAAGAAAACCTAGGCAATACCATTCAGGGCATAGGCATGGGCAAAGACTTCATGACTAAAACACCAAAAGCAATGGCAACAAAAGCCAAAATTGATAAATGGGGTCTAATTAAACTAAAGAGCTTCTGTACAGCAAAGGAAACTATCATCAGAGTGAACAGGCAACTTACAGAATGGGATAAAATTTTTGCAATCTATCTATCTGACAAAGTCTAATATCCAGAATCTACAAGGAACTTGAACAAATTTATAAGAAAAAACAAATAACCCCATCAAAAAGTGGGAAAAGGATACAAACAGACACTTCTCAAAAGAAGACATAAATATGTGGCCAACGAACATATGAAAAAATGCTCATCATCACTGGTTATTAGAGAAATGCAAATCAAAACCACAATGAGATACCATCTCACGCTAGTTAGAATGGTGATCATTAAAAAGCCTGGAAACAACAGATGCTGGCAAGGATGCAGAAAAATAGTAACATTTTTACACTGTTGGTGGGAGTGTCAATTAGTTCCACAATTGTGGAAGACACTGTGATGATTCCTGAAGGATCTAGAACCAGAAATACCATTTGTCCCAGTAATCCCATTACTGGGTATATACCCAAAGGATTATAAATCATTCTACTATAAAGACAGACGCATGCATAGTAGTAATGTTTACTATAGAAACAGTAAATAGTGCTGTTTATTGCAGCACTATTTACAATAGCAAAGACTTCGAACCAATCCAAATACCCATGAATGATAGACTAGATAAAGAAAATATGGCACATATACACCATGGAATACTATGCAGCCATAAAAAAGAATGAGTTCATGTTCTTTGCAAGGACATGAAGCTGTAAACCATCGTCTTCAGCAAACTAATGCAGGAACAGAAAACCAAACACCGCATGTTCTTACTCATAAGTGGGAGTGGAACAATGAGAATACATGGACACGGGGAAGGAAACTTCACACACCAGGGCCAGTCGGGGGTGGGGGGCAAGGGGAGGGAGAGCATTAGGACAAATACCTAATGCATGCAGGGCTTAAAACCTAGATGATGGATTGATAGGTACAGCAAGCCACCATGGCACATATACACTTACATAACAAACCTGCACGTTCAGCACATGTATCCCAGAACTTAAAGTAAAAAAAAAAAAAAAAAAAAAAAAAAAAAAAAAAAAAAAAGTTATGTCTTTCCCTAATCTTCTAACTCAGTAATCACCACAATGTCTCTTTTCTGGGTTCAGAAAAACTACTTAAATTGCTCATCTGTCCATGTCTATTCCACTGTTTTCTTTGTCCTTTTGGAGTTTGTATCTCTTTTGAGCCTTTATTGCCACTGTTATTTTAGTAATGTTTTAGGAGAGTGAGGAAAAGAATCTCAGGTAGTCAACCTTATGTGGATAATTGGACACTACTCTGCCAGTTTTAAATATATACAAGCATCCTTCATCCTAAGCAAAACAAAACAAAACAAAAAAACTGAAAAAAAAGGACACCATACCCC
This sequence comes from Homo sapiens, assembly GCF_000001405.40. Taxonomy (NCBI): domain Eukaryota; kingdom Metazoa; phylum Chordata; class Mammalia; order Primates; family Hominidae; genus Homo; species Homo sapiens. Next base: position 73,766,735 of record NC_000009.12, read on the forward strand.
TCTCGTGATAATGCCTAATTTCTCTTCTCTCTAGGTCAGTAGCTCTCAATTGCTGTCAATTTTATCTCCCATGGGACATTTAGCAATGTTTGGAGTTATTTTCAGCTGTCAAAACTGGGGCGAGGGGGAGCTGTCAGCATTTAGTAAGTAGAAACCAGGAATGCTGCTAAACTTTCTACCATGCATAGGACAGCCACACGCCCTAACTGGCTCAAATGCCGCTAATGCTGAGGGTGAGAAAACTTGCTTTGGAGCCAGCCTTTTCAAAGAGCAGGGCCTAATTCTTTACCATCTCAATTCAGAGCAATCTGAATTTTGCCTTCCTTCTCTGTTCTTCAACTGTTTTCATCTGACCTAGTAGGTCCTTATTAATTAGAGATTGTTCAGAAGAAATGGAACCGGCAGAGTTTCTGTGCCTTCAAACCTGTGCTTAAAAAAAAATCTTCCTCTAATAAACAAAATCAACCTGATTGGCTCTCCCTTAATCCCACCATCTTATAGCCACAAGGCACTCCCAATTCTACCAAGATCTCACAATCCAAAAGGCGCAAAGGCAAAATATGTAGGCCTGGCTTTCCCACTTTATGAAAACGTCCCTCTCTAAGGAGAAGACACTTAAGATGTGAATGAAAGTGCACTTCCATATAACTTTATCTAGAAAAATCACAAAGGTCAGCCCTGCAGGAGGAGGGAAAATAGGTAGTCTTACACGATTTGTTTTCCTGGAGTGCAGGGTGAGAAGACATCCTGATGAAAACACATCATCTAATCTTATATGTCTATGAACTGAGATATTTTCATAATATTAACTGTGTGAAATATCCCTTACCCATCCCTCAGTCACTGCCCAGCTTTCAGTCTTAAAGGGACTCCCAAATATTGAATCTGACATGCCACTTGTTATGGACGGAATTATGTTTCCTCAAGCATCACATGTTGAAGTCCTAAGCTCCCAGTGTGATTGTATTTGAAGACAGAACCCATAAAAACGCAGTTATGTTTAAATTAAGTCACATGGGTGGGTTCCGAATGCACTATCACTTGTGTCTTTATAAGAAGAAGGAGAGATATCAGGGATGGGTACATACGGAGAAAAGGCCATGTGAGAATATAGTGAGAAGGTGGCCATCTAAAAGCCAGGAGAAAGGCCTCAGGAGAGATCAGACCTGCCAAGATGACCTTGTACTTCCAGCCCCTAGAACTGAGAGAAATAAACTTCTGTTGTTTAAGCCACCTAATCTGTGGCATTTTGTTATGATATCCCTATCAGTCAACTTCCTAGGTTCATTGTTGCTTGGGAAAGAATGGCTCTTTACATGCTATAGCATCTCTACAAAAATATTAATGAAAATCCTGTGTCATTACATTATTCGTATCTGTGTTTTAAGAGCAGCTTCATCTGTCATCAGTAATAAGAAAAAATAAATAAGCACAGATTTTGCAATAGTAAGTCAATTTTACAGGATAGAAGTGAGAGAAATTTTTAATGATAAAATTAAAATGAATAATTATTAAAAAGCAAAATTTTACCCAGTAAAACAATGCCAAAGACTTCAAATGACAATGTAAAGAGATTTGTTCCAAATGAGCGCCAATGTTTAATGTTTTCCGCTACTGTATTTTTGGAGATTTTTGGGATATATTTCTAATTTCTGTTATTCTCCTCTCAGATGGTTTCCATTTAGTCTATTTCCTGATGTTTCAAATCCATATTTTCAAATGTAAGTGATTTTCAATGAAGCCGGTTCATAGCTTTGTTTTTGGAGTGTTGGAGCTATCATCATTTAAACCAGTATTGTTCTTTGAGATTTTCTAGCCATTCTCATGCCTCCTCAAATTTCAAATAGCACTGCATAAACATACATGGAGTGCTTTCTATGCATTCACTCGACCCTAATAATTTTGGCCAACATATTCTGTTCGGTTCTAAGGTTTATGGGGTTGTGATGTGTTTGTGCCAAAATGTCTCAGTGGTTGTTGAGATACTTCCCATTTATTTTCTGTTGTTTTAGAGATATCCAAATACTTTTTCATTAAACTCAGTAAGATGAAAGTGTTCATGGTTGAGTTAACATTTTATATTCGGATACATAAGCTCTTTCCAAATACATCTTGTAATTTTGGTTTGCATCAGACTTCATAGTTCACTGTAATTCTTGTGCAAAGTTTCTGGTGGTACTTGACTTTTTCTCTATAAAAACAATTTTAGATGAAGATTACTATTGCTTAGTCCTTACCAATGCAGTAGCCCAGGGCTGAGTCCATTTCAGATATGTCTCTAACATGATCAAAATTATCTACCTTGTTAGAAGTCAATTACAGAGGCCCCGGAGGTACTCTTATCCTTGTGAGGACAACATGGAGCCCAAATAACGAAATTTTTATGTTTAGTCTCTTCTCATGATTGATTATGTAACCCACTATAAATTAATTGGATCAAGTTCCTAAACCTCCTGAGCCTGCTCTGTCTCTTTTTTGGCCCTTTAGAGGAGGAAAGTAAAACATGTTTGGTTTCTTTAATACAGTTCCGTTTGTCTACTCTGGGATATTGCTCTATCAATACCCTGCATTTTAAATCCAACATTTTCCTCTCTATTTTTTTTATGTTAACATGTTTACACTATTTTAAAACAATTCTCCCTTACCCTTATCTTTTTCCTAGATCTTTCTCTTTGCCCCTGTCAATCTAGATAAGCTCCTATAACATTTTTTACAAACATTCTTTCTATTAATGTTTGTTTCTTTTCCCTTTTGATTAAAGAAGAATTTACATATGATGAAATGTTAAAGTTTTATGAATTTTCATAAATGCATACAATTGTTTAGTCGACACCCATATGAAAAAACAAAGCAATACCCTCTCCAGAAAGTTCCTTTGTTATCCCTTTCTAGTCAATCCCTCACCACACCAGAAGCAAACAGTTTTTATTTCTAGCAGCATAGTTTAGTTTTGCCTGTTGTAAAACTTTATATAAATGGTATCATACAATAGTGGTTGTATGTGTACTTTCCCTCAGCATAATTTTTTTGAGATCTTCCCTGTTTGTTGTTGCATGTATCAATACTTTGTTCCATTTTATTGTTGAGTATTATTCCATTGTTTATCCATTGTCTACTTGATAGGCATATGGGCTGTTTTCAGTTTTAGCTGTTATGAATAGCTGCTATGAACATTCATGATCACATCTTTTTTGTGGACATATGATTTTATTTTTCTTGAATAAATATGTAGAAGTGAAATAATCGGGTCACAGGGTAAAGGTTAGAGGTGTATGTTAAATTTTATAAGAAACTTCCGAACATACTTCACATTAATTTTTACTTTTTTTGGTTTTGTTTGTTTGTTTTTGAGACAGAGTCTCACTCTGCTGTCCAAGCTGGAGTGCAAAGGCTTGGTCACAGCTCATTATAGCCTCTACCTACTGGCCTTAAGTGATCCTCCCACCCTAGCCTCCTGAGTAGCTGGGACTACAGGCACATGCCACCATGCCCAGCTAATTTTTTTTTCTTTTTGGAGAGATGTGGGTCTCGGGTCTTGCTTTGCTGCCCAGGCTGTTCTCAAACTCCTGGGCTCAAGCAATTCTCCCACCTTGGCCTCCCAAAGTGCTGAGACTATAGGTGTGATACACTCTGCTCTGCCAATTTTTAAGTTTTTATAACCTACATAATCCTTTCAATTGAAAGATATTAGACAGTTTATCTTACAAAGCAAAATATATATATATTCTCCAGGACATCTTCATATGAAGACACTACACTTCTCCTCCTCTTGATAGGACTGCAATGATCTCATGTGGTCACATTTAGTGTATCATCCCTTGAAATTCTCTTCTTAGACTTTGGTACAACTGCTTTCCGTTCCTTCTTCAACCTCTTCAATTTTTTCCTTACCTCTTTAGATATTCCTTAAAAGCTTGAGTTACCAGGGCCCTCTGCAGTGTCCTTCTCTTCTTTTCTCTCTCTATTTCTTTCTGTTTCTCTCCTTAGGAAATCTCATATACAAACCTGACTTTAATTGCCATGTATAGTCTTATGATTTCCAGATTCAAACCAGACGTTTTTGGGGAATTTTTGTTTTTGAGCTCTGGACTTATATTCTGTTTATTATCAGTGGTTATCTTTGTGTCCTGTGAAGGACATCATTCTCATTTTAATACTTGCTCTTTAGTCATAAATGGATTTTTACTCCTAATATGTGGAATAGGGTCAATAATATAAAGTCAAAGGGCTGGTTCTTTGATGATAAGACATGTGTGGATACATCGTCAGGGACTCTGATGACTCCAACTGTTGCTTTGTTTGTCCTTGACTTATAGTTTCTATGGAATTGAAAAAATGCTGTTCATAATCTCTCCTCATTTATTCACTGGTCAATGAAAACATGTAATTCAATGAAACCTTTAACAGATAATGAGCAAGATTGACAAGGATTGGAAGTTAAAACAGTAAATGGCTAAACTGCTACTTTAGGGGGAACAAACTGAGAGACAGATTCCTAGCATTTCCTTTGACTGGGATGGGGTAACTTTTCCTGTTGACAAAGACAGGTCAGTCTGAAATGTCAAATTAAGACTTTAGAAAGAAAGACGCGAAGCTTGTTTGTGTATGTTTATGTGCGTCCATGTGTATGTGTGTGGTTGTTTGTGTTAAGCCTTGAAATCGACCTTGCAGATTATTTCAGTGATAACCCTGTCAATACGCTTGCTCAAACTAAATTTTCTTGACTCATTTCTCTTTTCTCCACCCATTGATCAATTTTGTTTGCCATTTCTAAATTTTCCATATCCGGTGGGTCAATTTTAACTATAAAATATCTGGTAAGTCTCTCTTGCACGCTCTGTTCCCATTCCTAAATCCTTACAGAGCATATACATTAGTCTTTGTATATGACATTAAAAACAATTCATTACTCTACATCAGGACTCCAGGTGCCTTCCTCTGTGACCCATAACACATTGTTGACAGGGTAAATTCTCTTATAATACAATTCTTATTATGTTACTGCTCTATACATCCACTTTTGGCCAACCATTACCACCAAGCTTCAAAGATAGTCTCTTGTATCCTTTGTAGGATACATGAGGTTTATTTTGAGAGCAATGTCTCTGTGTCCATTGATTCTTCAGCAAACAGTTGCAGTGTCCATCACTCTCTCACTATCGTTTACTTTAGTCTATGATAAAAATGCTTTCTCTTCCTGAGACATAGCGTACCTTTCACAGCCCTATGCCTGTGCACACGCTGCTATCCCCACCTAAACTAACTTTTCCTTGTCTACTTTACATCCATGTATTCAGTTTTCATAATTCAAGTCAAACATGAATAATTATGCACAGCCTTTATTTTGACTGGCACTACAATTCTGAATGTATGATATGAAAACAAAAGTGCTGTTAGTCCTGGTATCTGTTTATAGAGAATATAATTAAATTTAGATAAAATGAAATAGACTTTAAAGCATATTCTTCATAATTACAACTATTGAGGTAAGTCAATTGAATTGCATTTATAAAGCATCTTACGTGAGTATGTATAAATAGAAGAATTATAAAAAATTGTCCCCTCTTCCCTCAAACACATAAACAGAACTTCTTCTACATGAGGGAGAACTTGTCCAGTATCCTAATCAAATTTTAAATGCAGTCATTTCAAAGCTTTGTCTTACGGTTTTCAGGTGCAATCATTAAGAGGAGTCTAAGGAACCATTATACTTTTTCTAGGCAGAGATAGACAGGGAAAAAGAGAGGAACTAATTATGAAGTAGTGCATTTTATTAATGTCACTGTGGAAAAGGCAACTCTGCATTTTCCACAGTGCAATTAATAAATTATATTGCAATTATCAGGCATATAGAAAGATTTATTTTTATCAGCATAGGTTAACCAAATCTCAACCTACAAGGAGAAAAAAAAATGTTTTAAGGACCAAGAGAATGAAGTGACAGTTAGCTGGTCAAGAGGGCATGCACATACATTGTGTGAGTAATGAAGCTGTCAAAATGGAGAGCTCAAGCCTAGTGTACAACTACTTAGATCCATCTGCTTGCTATCGCTGAAAATGTTATCACAATGCAACATAAAATTTAAGAAATGCCACTATCCTGACTTTCATGTGAAATTTCTGATTTTTAAACCTCTATTTGATTCTTTAGAATCATATGAGATTAAATAAAACAATCTTGAAGTTCATAATTGGACTTTTTTGCACTCTGGTTTAGACTGCAGCATCTCTAATAATTAGTTTTTATTTTTGAGATTTGTGTGTTTGTGTGTGTGTGTGTTATATTGTATGTAAAGATGTGGTTTAATAATTACCAGCTAAATACTTAAAAAAATAAAGGGACCCATGTGACAATCAGAAAACAAAATAAATGTCTACCACTCATGCTATATCTTTGTCCTGCTTAGACTTCCATGTGAAACTTTGTATATCAAATATCCCTCTGGAGCCCTCTGGAGCCCTCTGGGATATTTATTCTAGACTGAAAATCCCTTAGCTTTGGTTAATACACCCTGTAGAATGAAGAATCTGTGTGGCTACTTGTATGTATAGTTACCTGAAAAGTAGGGCATAGGAGGGAAGTTAAGAACAGGAGTATTTCTGTAAGAGAAAAAAAATCAATGAAGATAGCTCCATTATACTAAGGAGAGAAATGCTGCGACCAAAGAATTTCAAACAATGGTTAGCACAGTATCTGTGGCCCATTCAGAGTAAGGAAGAGTACTCAACTCCCAAATTAAACAATAAAGAAGCATTTTTTCCCCTCACTTTCTAAAATCTGTTTGAGCAAACACTCTCCTTAAGGGGAAAAGGGAAAGCTGACCCTTGATTTATATTTAGATTTCTATTGCCTTTGAAATGATACATGATAGATACAATAATTCATATTGATCCTGTAGATAAATATAAATTTTATGTTATCTTGGGTCATAATCAGGCTTGGGTGACAAAACAAAACAGAAAAACATAAATTTGAATAATTCTGATGTCTTAGAAATTAGAGTGAAAATATAAAGAATTACACAATACAAAGTTCACAGTCCTGATGTTTTAAAAATATTGCAATGTGCCTCACAACTAGTTCAAACTCAACTAAAATAGTATTTACTCAAATGTAGGACAATGAATTTTACAATCCCAAATTAAGTTACCATCCTCTCCAAGCTGTGAAAATACCTAAAAGTTAACTCATTACTTCTAGCATTTGTTGGCAAAATTACTAATTAATAATGTGAGAAAATTTAATGAATTTGATACATTTTCTATGTCAAAAGAATAGCCATATCTTCCAGCAAAAGTTGCTTTGGATTTTTGTAAGATGAATCAGTTTTGCAAGAAGAGGTAGCAAGAGTGAGCCAGCTAAAAGTGCTATAGAGTTTAATGTGTTTTCCTTTATCTTTAGTGCCTTTATTCCTAAGGGGAACATTGTTCAAATAAAGCAGGATGTACTTTCTCATTCCAGGAGCAAAAGAAGTACTCATATTAAAAAGATGAAAGTGGAATGTTCTCCCTTTTTACTGCTTGCGGGTGGAGAAAATAACATTTGGCATTTTCTCTTATTTCCCTGCTTGTCTTTGTCATTCTGCCAATTTGTTAGTACATAAAGATCAGCTGAAAACAAATTGGCAAAATGCAACCTGGAAGATACATGAAAGGAAACAAAGGTAAGAACTGGTACCAGTAGAAGTTTTTAAGGCGCTCAGAAAAGAAAACCGGAGTTAGAAAGAAATCAGTTGCCGTGTTCCCTTTTTTCACTTAAATGAGTTGTGTCCAGGATCCCAAACAGAAACATGAAATAAAATTAAATTTTAAATTAAATGGCACTGCTTCGTGAATCCACTTATTTTTCAGACTTTTTATTGAATCTTTCACAAACATATGGCACTACACACCAATGAAATCAGTCATTCAGTTTCCATTCATCATCCATCCACCCTTCCATCCATCCATCCATCTAGCCATTCAATATCTGCTCAGCAAATTGAAAACTTCATTTTAATTTTCAATTTAGTGTTAGAATGAAATCTGAGAGGTAGTTTTTAGAAAGTAGGTAATTATTTAAAGGGAAGCCTGTGAAGAGACCAAGATTTCAACGTCTTTTCCACAGTGAAACTTTGGGTGGGTTCCTGTCTCTTTAGTAAGATTCATTAATATCTTCAGCTCTGGAGTTTTAACTGAGCCTTGCTAAAGTTTATGGGAATAGTTAAATTTCTAATTAGATGTCTAATCAGATATTTATTTTATAGAAAATAAAATGTCAATACTGATGGTAATTTTAAGAATAAGTTTATGAATGATTGAGATCTAAAAGTATGTTTTCTCTTTTTATTGTTCATTTTTCAAATCCTTTTTCTTGATTTAATGATCATTCTATCTTAAATATTAAGCAGTACTGGATTTGGCCATTTTTCCCTGCAACCTCCTACATTTTATGTTCCTTAGAGCAACCATTGCTATAATATCTGAGAAATGATATTTTGTAGCTGTGTATTTGAAAATATTTAACAAACTATGCTGGAAATAGTGGATGGTTTGTTTTTGTTTTGTTTAATTTTCTGCTGCCTGTTTGTTTTATAAGTAACATGAGATTTTGAAGCTGAAAGGGATCTTTTAGCTAATTTGATTCCCACACTAATTTTATAGATGATCAAAGTTAGCCACCAAAAAGGAAAATTTGATCCTATCGGTCACTGAGTATTTTACTGGAAAAATTAGGGCTAACCAGAACTTAAAAAAAATATATCTACCACACTCTTGGTTTTCTTTGGAAAATATAATCCTCTTCAAAGAGAAGTAAGGCAAAAGTTTAAAGTTTTCTTTCCTTATTCCCTCTAATTCTGGTCTATGGTTGTGTTTACGGTTAATTTGCCCATTCATTTGAAAATTCATTTTTTCTGTCAGGTTTAGCTTGGCTTTCTACTGAAGTTCTTACAAATGAGGCACAAGTAAAAAAACCGTCCTATAAAGTGCTTTTGCTAAAATTGACTTAAATTGGAAAATTTGGTAAACGGGTTAATGGATAAACCACCCAATTGGTGGGTAAGAAGTCAAATCCGAGGCTCACACCCAAACATGTGACTTCTGTGTGTTGCTTTCCTAACTAAATAAAAATATTGTAATAGAACATCTATATATTATCTTGTAGGTCACAAATCTTGTATTCTCTGAGAATCGACACAAATATGAGTCACTGCTCTTGAAAACATAACACTTTATAAAATAAGATTTATGAGCCAGGCACAGTGGTATGTGCCTGTAATCCCAGTTACTCAGGAGGCTGAGGCAGAAGGATCATTTAAGCCCAGAAGTTTGGGAGCAGCCTGGGCAACACAGTGAGACCCTGTCTCAGATAAATAAATAAGTAGATAAATAAATGAAAAGACCTAGCTGTCATGCCAAAATAATAATCTATATTTTTCCTAATTATCAAAGTAAAGAAAAATAAATTCAACAAATGATTAATATTAGTAAAATTTTGGAGTAAGAGAAGACTCCTTTTACTATAGCATTTATTCAAATCCATATTTATGGTTTACTCATAAAGATTTGTCAGCTATAAGAATTTTTTTATTATGCTTAAGATTCACAATTTAAGGAAAGAATGCATAGAAGCATAGAAATGCTACCATTGTTCTTCAACAGACTAAGGCACAAAAGCCAGAAATTCCAATAAAAAATGTAAATATGCTTTTTATGTAAATACTGAAAATTGAGAAAAATTGAAAAATAAAATTTGGTTTGAAATAATTGTAGCAAGTATCTAAGTAATGTGATTAGTTTATTGTTGTTCAAATCTGAATTTCAAAATCATGTGACCAATTTCCTATGAATAAAAAGGAAACAGAGAAAAGGAGAAAAATTATATAGAAAGGGGTTGAACATTATATAGGAGGGGTTGAACATTTAAGGTGTTAATTTTAGTCATTGTTTGTCATTTGTTCCATTCATGCCTTCCACATGGAAAAATACTTATTTATCAGAAAAAAATACCATGATTTAAACTACTAATAATTAAGTACTTACATTAATGCTATTTTCCTGTTTCAAAACCCTAGTTAATTTTATAGGACAATAAATAATCTTTCTCTGAATAGAAAGCAGCAATGATTATACACACTCAGGTGTAAATAATCACACAGCAATGGTGTTATTATAAATTATGATGAGAATTATAAAAATATTTTGATTTATCAAAGGACTTAAGGAAAAGAGAATAAAAATATTTCCATTTAAATACTTCATGCAATAGTAAAAGCATGCACCACTCAATTAACTTCGAGATTTCTCCTCCTCACTCTTTAACTCTTTTTGTTAAAACATGAATATTTGCTTTAATGAAACAGTAGTTATGTAAGCAATATACAAAAATTACCACATACCTCAAATATATTTGTAAGACAGCACAAAATGTATCACCAAATTTAATTTTATTTCAACTTCAAAATTTTTACTCATTTAGAATAAATATTTATGATGCAGGGTTGAAACAATGCTGTTGACATTTTTCCACGTAATAATTTTATACTATGGATTTAACATCAAGAAAGAAACAGCATTGACTACAGTGTTGTCAAATGCCTAAGAAAGAAGAAACAGGAATAATTTTATTTTGATAGAATCTAAAAATTAGTCTTAATTAAATTTTAATATTTCTCTTTAATAAATTAATCATCACTTCACTTTCTACTTATCTTTCTTTTTTAAGTTATTTAAGCTAATTAATTATGTATTATTATTCAACATCATTCATATCACAGTTACTATCTCTGCTTTTAAAACATATTGCAAAGCTTCATAGCTTAAAACATTAATTTGTTATGTCCATGGTTTCTGTGGATCTTAATGATGTTTAAGTCTTCACGAAAGGCTTGTGATGATTCAACAGCCAGAAGCTGACATTATCTGAATGCTCATTCATTCACCTATCTGGCATCTAGAAAGGGGTGAATCTAAAACTGGAATTGCCAATCAGAGTACCTACATGTGACTTCTCCACATGGCTTGGCTTACTGACAGCATCAAGCTTCTCATATGGTGGCTCAGGGAAAAAACTACACACATGCATAGACACACTCACACACACACACACACACACACACACACACAGAGGAAGAAACTACATTGTTTTTTATGAGGCTAGCTCAGAAGTTGTATTCCATTACTTTGGTCATATTCTATTTAGGGAAGCAGGCATGAGCCTTTCTAGAGTCCAAGGGAGAGGTCACAGGTCCTCACCTTTTGAGCAGAGGAGTGTCTGACAATTGGGACACATGTTTAAAATATCCAGAGTTTGCTTCCTGAACACAAATTATTTTCATTTTTCCACAGGCATAATACACTCACCATTTTCCTCATATTACTCAAGTTTTGTCCCATTTTAGAATCAATTCAAGGTCCAAGATCTTGTCACCTAAATCATGTCCAGGTATAGATAATGCTCCAGAGATACATTACCCCTGTACAATTTCTCTGAATATGAAGACTCATGAACTGAAAAGAGAAGATACTTTCCATCACACACACACACCGTACAATGATACAATAACAGAACACATATAGGACAACTTCATAAATATTGTCATTCAAAAGGAGAGAAACAAAACATGGCAGGTACACAACAGTTAATGGTCCATAGCAATTGTGAAAGCTAGACAATTACACATCGCCAGTTTCTTGATTAAAACAGTTCCATTTTGTGAGTGTTGCTCTCCATGGCTCCTGGTTCCACATTTTGGAATCTTGGTTCTGTCCTCTATTTATTCTTTTTCTTTTTCTTTTTTTTCATTAGAATTGACCACTGTTTGCAACTAAGTAGACTTCTCCATTGACTTTTTGCAAATAAAAGTTAGGGAGGTCAAGAGAGTCTTTTTTTAAAATAAATTTTTCATAGTTTCTGCCCCTTTCAGATACAAACTGAAATAAAATTACTTTAAAATCTTTATAGATCTTTTGCGTATCAATTAGCAATTTATATATCTACTCCATTAGACAAATACCTCTGAGACAAGCCTTTCTGTGTCTTGGAACCTCTGTGAGAAAGCTATTGTTTAACAGAGAAAGTGGGTACAATATGCCGTTAATGTTCTTAGAAGCCCTTTATCTGTTCAATAGTTTTATGAAGACTGTTTGACTTTATTAGGGTTTTTTGATCATTTCCCAAGTTCAATCTTTATCTCAAAACTTTTTTTGACATTGCTGTGGATTTGATTTTTGCTCTGAGACCCTTCTTTGAGAATTTTGTTATAGAGAGAATGGAAATGAGAAATCTGTTTTCTAACATAGTCAGTCTGATATGGTTTGGTTCTGTGTCCCCACCCAAATCTCATCCAGAATTGTAATCCCCCAAATCCCCATGTGTCAAGGTAGGGACCTGATAAGAGGTGACTGGATCACTGTCGTGGTTCCCCCCATGCTGTTCTCATTACAGTGAGTGAATTATCATGAGATCTGATGGTTTTATAAGTGTTTGGTGGTTCTTCCTTTGCATACTCCCTCCTCCTGCTGCCTGGTGAAGAAGGCGCCTGCTTCCCCTTCCACCATGAGTGTAAGTTTCCTGAGGCCTCCCCAACCATGAGAAACTGTAAATCAATTAAACTTCTTTCCTTTATAAATTACACAGTCTCGGGTATGTCCTTATAGCAGTGTGAAAATGGACTAATACAGTAAATTGGTACTGTGGAGAGTTGGGCACTGCTATAAAGATAAACTGTAAATGTGGAAGGGACTTTGGAATTGGGTGATAGGCAAAGGTTGGAACAGTTTGGAGGGCTCAGAAGAAGACAGGAAAATGTGTGAAAGTTTGGAACGTGCTAGAGACTTGTTGAATAAGGTTTTGACCAAAATGTTGATAATGATGTGGACAATGAATTCCAGGAAAAGGTGGTCTCAGATGGAGATGAAGAACTTCTTGGGAACAGGAGCAAAGATCACTCTTGCTATGCTTTAGCAAAGAGACTGGTGGGATTTTGCCCCTGACCTAGAGATCTGTGGAACTTTGAACTTCAAAGAGATTTAGGATATCTCATGGAAGAAATTTCTGAACAGCAAAGCATTCAAGACATGACAGAGCATAAAAGTTTGGAAAATTTGCAGCCTGATGATGCAACAGAAAAGATTTATTGAATGCCCCACTGGATTTCAGACTTGCATGGATTCTATAACCCCTTTGTTTTGGCCAATTTCCCCCATTTAGAACAGGTGTATTTACCCAATGCCTGTACCTCCATTGCATCTTGCAAGGAACTAAGTTGTTTTTGATTTTACAGGCTCATGGTGAAAGTAACTTGCCTTGTCTCAGATGAGAGTTTGGACTTTGGACTTTTGGGTTAATGCTGAAATGAGTTAAGACTTTGGGGGACTCTTGGGAAAGTATGATTGTCTTGAAAATGTAAAAATGATGTGAGATTTGTGAGGAGCCAGGGGCAGAATGATATGGTTTGGCTCTGTGTTCTCATCAAATCTTAAATTGAATTGTAATCCACATAATCCCCACATGTTGAGGGAGGAATCTGGTGGGAGGTGAATGGATTATGTAGGTGGTTTCCCCCATACTGTTCTCATGATAGTGAGTGAGTTCTCAGGAGATCTGATGGTTTCATAAGTGTTTGGAAGTTCCTCCTTTATTCACTTCTTCCTCCTGCCAACTTGTGAAAAAAGTGCCTGCTTCCCCTTCTGCCATGATTGTAAGTTTCCTGAGGCCTCCCCACCATGCAGAACTGAGTCTATTAAACCTCTTTCTTTTATAAATTATTTAGTGTTGGGTATGTCTTTACAGCAGTGTGAAAAAGAACTAATACATAGTCCTACATCCTTTGTTTCCTCAAATTTTGCTTGTGAATCGAAAGGTTCTTTCTATCCATATGATATTATAAGCAGTTTAAAAAATTAGTTGGCACTTTCCACATTCAGAATGTACTTCTAATCAACTATGTGCATTTGATATATTTTCTCTTTTTCACAACATTGGTGAGTTGTGGCAAACTTTTTGCCCCTTCTTAATAAGGATTATTTCTTTTTTCAGTTCTCAGAAACAATTTTTCTCCCTGTCTTTGCAGACTTCATCAATAGTTGCATTGAACCTTTTACAACTTTCAGTAACAGATTCCTCAAGATCCTTCAAGTTTCAGCCTGGCACCCAGCCCAAAGCCAATGGTAAATTTTTAAGTTTTTATTACAGGAGAACACTATGTTCAGGTACCAATTTTTTGTTCTAAGAAACAGAAATTTCTGTTTCATAACAAACCACCCCAAAACTTTGTGGTTTAGTATAAGAATTTTATTATGTTAATGGATTCTTCTCAGGTCAGGATTCAGATCAAGCTCAGCAGGGATGACTTGTTTCTATTACACAATTTCTGTGCCCTCAGTTAGGAAGCCACAAAACCTTAGGATGACTCACATTTCCAGTTCCTGGGTTTAGTGCAGGACATAAGGCCCACTCTAGGAATTTCCAGCTGAAGGAATGGACTACAGAGAATTTGTTGCTAAAGAATTGGGAGAGAAAAAGTAAGGGGGTTCCAATAGACTTTGAGTTTCTCTACCACACTTTGCTAGCTGTAGTTCAGAGGTCAAAAAAATGCTGCTGCTGCTACTGCTGCTACCACTATTTCCCCCACTCCCAAAAACCCCAGCATAACTGCTTCCCACCAAGTCTTGAATCCAGAACATGAGATTTTGGGGTAACTTGCCAATCAGCTGCTACCACTATATGTGTCTGTCCCCCTTCCACCTTTATAATCTCCCAACTGCAAGAGCATCTGGTAAATACATATTTTACATTGTCTAATCATTTTAACTAGAAGTAAAAGAGAAAAGTTAATTTCAACTAAAGCAAATCTACAATCAACACTGGGGCTCTCATCTGCTTTCCCTGAAACTGCCTTTCTTTCTCAGAACATTGAGTTATGCATAAACACTTAATGTTATCCATTTGTAAGACTGAACTACTGTATTCTCAGTACTTCTGAAGATTTTTCATATTTCATTTATTGATGGCATCTCTTCTCTCTTCTTTATTTACTAATTTTTAATATCTTACTATTCATTGTATTTTTAACTTGTAAGCTAAAGTGTGCATAAGCATGTGTGTGTGTGTGTGTGTGTGTATTTGGAATGAGAGAATAACCTTTATTCTTTGTGAACTTTGCTATGTGTACTAGGATTTTCTACCACTTAGATTTTTTTGTTGTTGCTCTAATCGGACAACATCATAAAATTGTGCTTTTAAAAATTTAAACATTTTACAGAAATATAAAGTAAAAATTCATTCACAATTCAACCATAGGCTTAATCAACTAATTTATAGGCTTTATCCTTCTATCATTTTCTATACCAAAATAACCCTATTGTCATGTATGTTTCTTGTGTTGGTGGTGTGATGCTTGAAAATATAATAGGAATTAATATGTCAAACCAATTTATAATTTATTATACACAAATGCACCCAGAAAACATGCAGGTAGACACTACAGTAACCCCCTCCTTAGCTGAGGTTTTATTTTCTACAGTTTCAGTTACCCACATAAACTGCCATCTGAAAATATTAAATGAAAAAATGTTGGAAATAAACAATTCATAAGTTTTAAATTGTGCAACATTCTGAGTAGTATGATGAAATCTCACACTGTCCCATTGCATCCAAGCCAGGATGTGAACTGTTTCTTTGTCCAGCATATAAGACCCTGTCTATGTACTGGCCTGTTAGTCAGTAGCCTTGTAGCTTATCAGTTAAACTGTCGTTGTCTCACAGTGCTTGTGTTCAAGCAACACCGATTTTACTTAATAATGGCCTAACGCCCAAGATTACTGTACCTAATTTATAAATTAAACTTTAATATGGATATGGATATGTAGGAAAAAACATGATATGTATAGAGTTCGGTACTATCTGCAGTTTCAGGCATATACTAGGGGTCTCAGAATGTATCCCTCATGGATAAGAGGGGACTAATGTATTTTTTTGTTAAAACAGTATTTTGCAAAATGACAATTAAAAAAATATACAGGGTGTGGCTGGCAAAATGGCCAAATAGGAACAGCTCCAGTCTGCAGCTCCCAGAGAGATCAACACAGAAGGCGGGTGATTTTCACATTTCCAACTGAGGTACCCAGTTCATCTCATTGGGACTGGTTAGAGAGTGGGTGCAGCCCATGGAGGGCAAGCAGAAGCAGAGTGGGACGTCTCCTCACCCAAGAAGCACAAGGGGTTGGGGAATCCCTCCTCTAGCCAAGGGAAGCTGTGACGGACTGTGCCGAGAGAAATGGTGTACTCCAGTCAAGATACTATGCTTTTCCCATGGTCTTCACAATCCAAAGACCAGGAGATTCCCTCGTGTGCCTACACATCTCTAGGGCCCTGGGTTTCAAGCACAAAACTGGGTGGCCATTTGGGCAGACACCAAGCTAGCTGCAGGAGTTTTGTTTCATACCCCATGGGTGCCTGGAATGCCGGTGAGGCATTTCCCCTGGAAAGGGAGCTGAAGCCAGGGAGCCAAGTGGTCTAGCTCAGTGGATCCCACTCAGCATATTCCACCCTCATGGAACCCAGCAAGCTAAGAACCACTGGCTTAAAATTTCACGCTGCCAGCACAGCAGTCTGAAGCTGACCTGGGATGCTCCAGTTTGGTAGGGTGAGGGGCATCCGCCATTACTGAGGTTTGAGTAGGCAGTTTTCCCTCACAGTGTAAACAAAGCCACCTGGAAGTTTGGACTGGTTGGAGCCCACCGCAGCTCAGCAAAGCCGCTATAGCCAGACTGCCTGTCTAGATTCCTCCTCTCTGGGCAGGGCATCTCTGAAAGAAAGGGAGCAGTCCCAGTCAGGGGCTTATAGCTAAAACTCCAATCTCCCTGTGACAGAGCACCTAGGGGAAGGGGCGACTGTAGGCGCAGTTTCAGCAGACTTAAACGTTCCAGCCTGCCAGCTTTGAAAAGAGCAGCGGATCTCCCACCACAGCGCTTGAGCTCTGCTAAGGGACAGACTGCCTCCTCAAGTGGGTCCCTGACCCCCATGCCTCCTTATGCAGGAGAGCTCTGGCTGGCATCTGGCAGGTGCCCCTCTGGGACAAGGCTTCCAGAGGAAGAAACGGGCAGCAATCTTTGCTGTTCTGCAGTCTCCACTGGTGATACCCAAGCCAACAGGGTCTGGAGTAGACCTCCAGAAAACTCCAGCAGACCTGCAGCAGAGGTGACTGACTCTTAGAAGGAAAACTAACAAACAGAAAAGAATAGCATCAACATCAACAAAAAGGATGTCTGCACAAAAACCCCATCCAAAGATCACCAACAGCGAAGACCAAAGGTAGATAAATACACGAAGATGAGGAAAAACCAGCACAATAAGGCTGAAAATTCCAAAAACCAGAACACCTCTTCTCCAAAGGATCACAACTCTTCACCAGCAAGGAAACAAAAGTGGACGGAGAATGAGTTTGATGAATTGACAGAAGTAGGCTTCAGACGGTGGGTAATAACAAACTCCACAGAGCTAAAAGAGCATGTTCTAAACCAATGCAAGGAAGCTAAGAACCTTGGAAAAAGATTAGAGGCTAACTAGAATAACCAGTTTAGAGAAGAACAAAAATGAAATGATGGAGCTGAAAAACACAGCATGAGAATTTCGTGAAGCATACACAAGTATCAATAGCTGAATCGATTAAATGGAATAAAGGATATCAGAGATTGGAGATCAACTTAATGAAATAAAGCATAAAGACAAGATTAGAGAAAAAATAAAAGGAATGAGTAAAGCCTCCAAGAAATATGGGATTATGTGAAAAGATCAAGCCTACGTTTGATTGGTGTACCTGAAAGTGACAAGGAGAATGGAACCAAGTTGGAAAACACTCTTCAGGATATTATCCAGGAGAACTTTCCCAACCTAGCAAGACAGGCCAACTTGCAAATTCAAGAAATACAGAGAATACCACAAAGATACTCCTCAAGAAGTGCAGCCCCAAGACACAACTGTCAGATTCACCAAGGTTAAAATGAAGGAAAAAACGTTAAGGGCAGCAAGAGAGAAGGGTCAGGTTACCCACAAAGGGAAGCCCATCAGACTAACAGTGGAACTCTCTGCAGAAACCCTACAGGCCAGAAGAGAGTGGTGGGCAATATTCAACATTCTTAAAGAAAATAATTTTCAACCCAGAATTTAATATCCCACCAAACTAAGCTTCACAAGTGAAGGAGAAATAAAATTCTTTACAGACAAGCAAATGCTGATGGATTTTGTCACCACTAGGCCTGCCTTACAAAAGTTCCTGAAGGAAGCACTAAATATGGAAAGGAAAAACCATTACCAGCCACTAAAAAAACAAACCAAAATGTAAAGGCCATTGACACTATGAAGAAATTGCATCAACTAATGGGCAAAATAACCAATTAGCATCATAATGACAGGATCAAATTCACACATAACAATATTAACCTTAAATGTAGACAGGCTAAATGCCCCAATTAAAAGGCACAGACTGGCAAATTTCATAAGGAGTCAAAACCTATCGGTATGCTGTATTCAGGAGACCCATCTCAAGTGGAAAGACACACATAGGCTCAAAATAAAGGGAAGGAGGAAGATTTACCAAGCAAATGAAAAGCCAAAAACAATAAAAAATAAAAAAAAGCAAGGTTGCAATCCTAGCCTCTGATAAAACAGACTTTAAACCAACAAAGATAAACCAAAGACAAAGAAGGGCATTGCATAATGGTAAGGGATCAATGCAACAAAAAGAGGTAACTATCTTAAATATATATGTACCTAATACAGGAGCACACAGATTCATCAAGCAAGTTCTTAGAGACCTACAAAGAGACTTAGACTCCCATACAATAATAGTGGGAGACTTTAAAACCCCACTGTCAATATTAGACAGATCAACAAGACAGAGAATTAACAAGGATATTCAGGACTTGAATTCAACTCTGGGCCAAGTGGACCGAATAGACATCTACAGAATTCTCCACCCCAAATCAACAGAATATACATTCTTCTCAGTACCACATTGCACTTATTCTAAAATCAACCACATAATTGGAAGTAAAACGCTCTTCAGCAAATGCAAAACAACAACAACAACAACAAAAACAGCAATTATAACAAACAGTCTCTCAGACCACAGTGCAATCAAATTAGAACTCAGAATTAAGAAACTCACTCAAAACCGCACAACTACACGGAAACTGAACAACCTGCTCCTGAATGACTACTGGGTAAATAATGAAATTAAGACAGAAATAAATAAATTGTTTGAAACCAATGAGAACAAAGACACAAGGTACCAGAATCTCTGGGACACAGCTAAAGCAGTGTTTAGAAGGAAATTCATAGCACTAAATGCCCACAGGAGAAAGCAGAAAAGATCTAAAATTGACACCCTAACATCACAAAAGAATTACAGAAGCAAGAGCAAACAAATTCAAAAGCTAGCAGAAGATAAGAAATAACTAAGATCAGAGCAGAATTGAAGGTGATAAGAGACATGAAAAACCCTTCAAAAAAATCAATGAATCCAGGAGCTGTTTTTTTAAAAAAGATTAACAAAATAGATAGACCATTAGCTAAACTAATAAAGAAGAAAAGTGAGAAAAATCAAATAGACACAATAAAAAGTGAAAAAGGGAATATCACCACTGATCCCACAGAAATACAACTACCATCAGAGAATAAACACCTCTACGAAAATAAACTAGAAAATCTAGAAGAAATGGGTAAATTCCTGGACACATACACCCTCCCAAGACTAAACCAGGAAGAAGTCGAATTCTTAAATAGGCCAATAACAAGTTCTGAAAATGAGGTGGTAATTAGTAGCCTACCAACCAAAAAAAGCCCAGGACCAGATGGATTCACAGCTGAGTTCTACCAGAGGTACAAAGAGGAGCTGGTACCATTCCTTCTGAAACTATTCCAAATAATAGAAAAAGAAGGACTCCTTCCCAACTCATTTTATGAGGCCAGCATCATCTTGATACCAAAACCTGGCAGAAACACAACAAAAAAAGAAAATTTCAGGCCAATATCCCTGATGAACATCGTTGCGAAAATCATCAATAAAATACTGGCAAACCCAATCCAGCAGCACATCAAGAAGCTCATCCACCACCATCAAGTTGGTTGCATCCCTGGGATGCAAGGCTGGTTTAACATAAGCAAATCAATAAATGTAATCCATCACATAAACAGAACCAATGACAAAACTGCATGATTATTTCAATAGATGCAGAAAAGGCCTTCAATAAAATTCAATACCGCTTCATGCTAAAAACTCTCAATAAACTAGGTATTGATGGAATGTATCTCAAAATAATAAGAGCTATTTATGACAAACCCAGAGCCAATGTCATACTGAATGGGCAAAAGCTGGAAGCACTCCCTTTGAAAACCAGCACAAGACAAGGAGGCCTCTCTCATCACTCCTATTCAATATACTATTGGAAGTTCTGGCTAGGGCATTCAGGCAAGAGAAAGAAATAAAGGGTATTCAAATGCAAAGAGAGGAAGTGAAATTGTCTCTGTTTGCAGATGGCATGATTGTATATTTAGAAAACTCCATTGTCTCAGCCCCAAATCTCCTTAAGCTGATAAGCAACTTCAGCAAAGTCTCAGGATACAAAATCAATGTGCAAAAATCACAAGCATTCCTATACACCAATAATAGACAAACAGAGCCAAATCATGAGTGAACTCCCAATTACAATTTTTACAAAGAAAATAAAATATCTAGGAATACAACTTACAAGGGATGTGAAGGACCTCTTCAAGGAGAACTATAAACCACTGCTCAAGGAAATAAGAGAGAACCCAAACAAATGGAAAAACATTCCATGCTCATAGATAGAAAGAATCAATATCATGAAAATGGTCATACTGCCCAAAGTAATTTATAGATTCAATGCTATCCCCATCAAGCTACCATTTACATTCCTCACAGAATTAGAAAAACTACTTTAAATTTCATATGTAACCAAAAAAGAGCCCATATAGCCAAGACAATCCTAAGCAAAAAGAACAAAGCTGGAGGAATCATGTTATGTGACTTCAAACTATACTACAAGGCTACAGTAACCAAAACAGCATGGTACTGGTATTAAAACAGATATATAGACCAGTGGAATAGAACAGAGGCCTCAGAAATAATGCCACACTTCTACAATCATCTGATCTTTGACAAACCTGACCAAAACAGGCAATGGGGAAAGGACTCCCTATTTAATAAATAGTGCTGGGAAAACTGACTAGCCATATGCAGAAAACTGAACCTGGACCCCTTCCTTATACCTTATACGAAAATTAACTCCAGATGGATTAAAGACTTAAACATAAATCTTAAAACCATGAAAACCCTAAAAGGAATCTTAGGCAATACCATTCAGGACATAGGCATGGGCAAACACTTCATGACAAAAACACCAAAAGCAGTGACAACAAAAGCCAAAATTGACAAATGGGATCTAATTAAACTAAAGAGCTTCTGCACAGCAAAAGAAACTATTATCAGAGTGAACAGGCAACCTACAGAATGGGAGAAAATTTTTGCCATCTATTTATCTGACAAAGGGCTAATACCCAGAATCTACAAGGAACTTAAACAAATTTACAAGAAAAAAACAAACAACCCCATCAAAAGGTGGGTGAAGGATATGAACAGACACCACTGAAAAGAAAACAGTTATGCGGCCAACGAACATATGAAAAAAAGCTCATCATCACTGGTCATTAGAGAAATGCAAATCAAAACCACAATGAGATACCCTTACACCAGTTAGAATGGTGATCATTAAAAAGTCAGAAAACAACAGATGCTGGAGAGGATGTGGAGAAATAGGAATGCTTTTACACCGTTGGTGGATTGTAAATTAGTTCAATCATTGTGGAAAACAGTGTGGCGATTCCTCAAGGACCTAGAACCAGAAATACCATTTGACCCAGCAATCCCATTACTGGGTATATACCCAAAGGATTATAAATTATTCTACTGTAAAGACACATGCACACATATGTTTATTACAGCACTATTCACAATAGCAAAGACTTGGAACCAACCCAAATGCCCATCAATGATAGACTGGATAAAAAATATGTGGCACATATACACCATGGAATACTATGAAGCCATAAAAAGTAATGAGTTTATGTCCTTTGCAGGGGACATGAATAAAGCTGTAAACCATCACTCTCAGCAAACTAACACAGGAAAAGAAAACCAAACACCACATTTGCTCAGTAAAAAGTGGGAGTTGAATAATGAGAACACATGGACACAGGGAGGGGAACATCACACTCCAGGGTCTGTCTGTGGGTGAGGGTTAGGGGAGGGAGAGCATTAGGAGAAATACCTAATGTAACTGATGGGTTGATGGGTGTGGCAAACCACCATGGCACTTGCATACCTATGTAACAAACCTGCACGTTCTGCACATGTGTCTCAGAACTTAAAGTAAAATTAAAAAAGAAAAAAAAACAAACAACAAATAATACATATACAGAAATATCTGCTGAATACCAAGAATATTCTGATTATTGAAGCATTTTTATTACCACTCTAAGCTTTTCTGCACATAACACAAATGGAATTCATTTTAATAACTTGTTTTCTAAACTGATTTTAAATCTATGAAGGTAGTAATTGCATACATAGATAAATCACAACTACATTGGCATTTATACTGACCTTATAAATTCTATGTGCTTTTATTTTCTTGACATGTTTTATTATTTCAGATATTTTAGTAATTGTCCCTATGTCTCTATAGATACGTGTGGTTGTACAATATTTTAAACCAAGATAACCAACTCTATCCTATAGGGCATTATAAACTTAAGATTTCACAATGGGGGAAAAAGAAAACAAAGTTACAGGATATGTATGGAACATGCTTATATAAGTGTTCCTTCTTTTGCATCATCAAAAGCAATATAATAAATATCTGTATATTAATGACTTTGTGAAGGTTCTTACTAAGAAAAATTTTATTTTTTGTTATGAATTTCTTACTGTATTTTTAACAAAAATCTATGGAGTATTTTAGGAGATGCTATAACATATGACTATATTTGAGAAAATTATGTTTTTTAATCACATCTACACTCAAATCACTTATAAAATACTCCATTGAAAATCTGTTTTAAATATTATCTCACAGAACATTTTGATATTTTAGCCTTTTTGGTTTGTTTTTGCAATTTTTTTTGTTAATTGAGAAGGACAAGGTTTACTTCATTCTTGACCACCCAGGATATAAAATCACATCATAGATAGCTGTGTAAATCCTTAGAAATAAAAGAGATAACCATCTGTTCTGAACGGTTCAACCCCAAGAAAAATTATTAGATCTCTCAAGTTTCTTCCAGTTTAATTATTTTTCTGTTAGGAAATTTTAGAAAAATATTGCCCACTGACAGTTAAGATCAAAATATACATTTGCAAGTGTACCTTCAATGCATTCTTTCCTTATTGTTGGGGAAGAGCAGAGTGATAGGGATGCAGGAATGGTTGTCCTATTTTTTCTCCTATTTTCTCATCTAGAGGAAAATCGCTTTGCACGTTTTCTTTTATATCCATATTTCAAAAGGACACCCTTAAGGATGAGAGCAATAGAAATAAATTTATTTTATAATTTTCTTCCTGTTCCATATCTATTGTAGAACTGTATCCTCTATATATGGGGAAAAAAAGAAATGTCAGCTGTGAGATTCATGGTTTTTGTGAGATGGGATGGGTTACAAAAATAAATCCTATAATCTAAGTTTCCATTTTGTCTTGGTTACCACATTCAATGCCTAATTTTAGACATTCTAAATACTTGACACCATCTACTCTCACTGGCTCCTTTAAAAATGTATAAAGATTTTATTCTTTAATGTATTTTACTTTTGTAAGTTATTTTAGTAGATAAAATGTACTCCACCTTTTATGGTGGAGCGAAGTTATTATATAAATATAAAAATCAAAATGCCTGATTTTGTTTTAAGAAACTCTGTATAAATGAAGATGAAAAAGGATTTTATTAGAAGAAATTGTCTCTGGATATTGAACTTTGAGCCAGAGCATGGCAAGTAAAACCCTTTGGTTTGTAGTGAGGCAGTCTCCTGAATGAAAAAAAAAAAAATGTTGAAGGAAATATCCTAAGAACAGGTTTTAGTACAAGGCCGAATGATCTAACCATTACTGGCTACGGAATGAAAACTACACATCAACATTACACAAATGGGAAAAGTTAAAGAAAGGGAATTGTCGTGCTCTGGAGCCAAAGGGAAATAGCAGCAAAAAACAACTCAGTCTGTATGTAGTAGCAAGCACCTCTGTGATCTCTCCCATAGATGGAAACCATAGTTAACTTGCAGAGATAGATAGAAGCCACCTTCATTCCAACTTCCAAATGGCTCTTGCATTGTTACTAACACTCTAAATGAAGGTACTTATTGTCTTACTCCTATACACATCTTTGAAACATAAATGTTTCTATGAGTGTAACACATAAGTCTGAGTACGTTTTTCAAGGTATCTTTACTCTGAGACAGGAGGCTAAGCTAATTTAGTCATATGAAAACTTCAGGGTATTTGTGAGAGAGCTGGGGAGAGGTTGGGATTAGAGGAAAGATAAAAGAGAAAACAAGGAGAAATAGAAGAAAATAAGGGGGTATATTGAGAGGAGCCATAGAGTTGGAATTTGGAAGGTGTTAATGTGGTAAACTGAATTAATCAATTAAGCCTGGCATTTCTATGATAAAATTTACTTCAGCATATATTATTTTTTATCATTTGTTAATAATTATCCTCATAAATGAAAGTGACTATAATTTTCTTTTTCTTACTATTCTTGCCCAATTTGAGACTCAGACTTATTTTAGCCTCATATTATGAGTTTGGGAGCATTCTGTTTCCTGGAAAAGTTTATATGTTCCTTTAAGTTTTGAGAAAACTAATCTACACAATTTTCTGGATCTGAGAAAACTAAAGAGAAAACTTTTAAATTCCACCACTTTCCTGAGACTTCTCAATGAAACCTCTTTATAGGGTCATTGATTTTACCATATCTGACCAGAGAGTGAGCAGAAAAATCTGCAAATATAAAAGAATATAACAAAATATTAAGAGTTTTAGTAATTTTAATAATTAAATGAAATCATGTCAGTTGGTTACTCTTGCGTTTTATCCTATTCAATAATTATTGGGATTTATGAATGGTTTAACCAAATACATAATATTGAATCATCTAGCATTAAATCTAAATATTTCTCCACTTTACTTAAAATATGACCTATTTAGCATTTTGGCTCTCAACTATGATTATGACTTTAAAGTTTACTAAGAGTTTGCCATATGTGATATTTAATCTAAAACATTAAAATTCAGTATTTGTTTCAAGCCAAACTTTCTGTTTTGGATTTTTATTTATCCATTACCTTTATTGAATTTGAAATGTTTTTAACTTTCATGTGATAGTAATCTTAGTTATATTTATCAAATCGCCTTTTTCTTTCTAAAATAAAATTTGTAGTTTTATAGAGAAGGGAAGAAACAAAAGATTTTTCCTTTAGTCACGTTAAAAATTAGGATAACAAGGAATCACAAATAATATCAAAATAGTATTAAGATTTCTTCTATGTTATGGATTAAACATTTCTTACTGAAAACAAGCCTTTTGACATTATCCAAGAAAATATACATCATGTCTATTTAACACCAATGGTTCTGGATGACAAGAGGAAACTTTAAGCAAGTATCATGGTTTTTTAAAATTTGTATATTTTTATCTGAACGAAATCACTACAATTCTAAAACGTTACCACTATGATATGTTAAAGCATTGAGAAATATTGTAATATTCAAATGTTTGGAAGCATTTGTTCTTTTAATGTCAGATTGTGCCTAAGTTTTTGGCATTGTGTATCTTTGATAGTAGCATGAATACATGGAGTGTATTTGAATAGGAAATAATCCTTTGAATAGTATTTTAGAGTTTACAAGTAGTCTTTTTAATCATTAGTTTTATTTGATCCTTGCCAATGTATTTGGAGTAGCTATGTCAAGTGTTGTTAATGGCATTTAACAAATGAAGAGAGTGAGGATGTCAAAAGTGAAATCACATATTAAGTGCAAAGTTGAAACTGGTATCCACATGTTTCTTTAAATTTAATGACTCCTATAACACAGGAAAGTAATGGCAGTAAACTGTAATGGCAAATACAGCCAGAAAGGAAAATATGGTGGTAATAATAGAAATGGGCATAAATAAAGTGTGTATTCTGTGTTTAAAATATCATATCATGTTTAATATTACTAACAATTTTATGAGGGAGAAAATCTTATCGCCAATTATCAGAGGTCAAATCCAAAAGGTTAATTTGCTCAAGGTCATAAAGCCAATCATTTTGGATATGTGATATAATATTTTCAACTCCAAGACAATCAAAACGAAGACTCCTTAAAATCTGATAGGAGATTGTCTTAAAAACTAAAATGTGTCCATTTATCTGAGATTTGAAACCCAATCATTTAAAATAAATATTTGAAGTTAGAGAGTTGTGTTTTCATATCCTTGTCAGTTGTCCATTTTTGCCAGTCTAGAAAAGGGGGAAAAATTCTTCCAGAATTTTTAGAAAATCAATATCAAGAGCAACTGGTTCTCGGCTTTTTCTTAGACAACTGATGTTTATATTAGTTTCATTTTCATTACTATAAGTTACCACTGAAGTTTTCCTACCCTGCCAACCACTCACATCTATTATTTTGTCCTATAAAATTAGAAAACAGAACAAAAGAAAGGAGAAAGTTAATATATCCTGTGGTATGGGATATTGTTGCTTTGAACATATTAAGACAGAATTTATGGGGAACCAGATTAATTTTAAGAAACTCCCTGTGGGTTCTGTTTGTTGTTTTGAATCGCTTTAATAGTAAACTTGCATTATTTATGTTTATTAATATTTAGAATGCACTCTGCAAGGATGATTTTCATCTGAGTTATAATTAGTCTCAGCTGATGAATGCAATAAAATGATTATAAACAACTTTGTGAGATCATTATCAGTGTCGTGGGAGAAAATGTTAAAACACTGTTCCAATGTTTTACCTTCAGAGATCCACTGAAATGAGTTTCAACCCATTTAAAACCTTACATACATCATTATAAATTTATACTTTCTCTCCTGAAGTTATTGAACTTTATGTACTGATTCACTCTTCCAGAATCCAACTGACATTTCTTCTGTCTAAAATCTTTCTTCTGTCTAAAAATCTTCAAGCATTCTTTGTTATTCATTTCTGAATCTAAAGATATGTTCTTTGTGAAATATTTAGAAAATAAAGAGTTATATAAATAACTACATAAACATTATCCATAAAATTATCATGCAGAGATAATAACTCTTGGCTTTTAAACATATTTTATTTAATTAGGACCTGCGATGATTTATGTGGTTGTGTGGTTTATGTATGGATATATGCATTTTACATAATTGAGTTGATATTTTATGTATAATATCCTAGGAGTTATTTTCACTTGACACCAAGTAAGAACATTGTTTATTTCTTTTAATAGTTTTTGAAAACTTTTTTTTTAACTAACTAAATAATTTGGATAATATTATAGTGAAATTAACCACTTCACTCTGGTATCTTTAAGTAATGTTTTTGATTTGTCAATGAGATGAATAATAATATAATGGTAATAGTAATAATAGATTGTTATTTGAATATTTCCTCTGCCTAAATAAATATGACTTTAGAAATGAAGCTTACCACAACATTTTTAGGGCTTTTTATATATATTGTAAAGTTATGGTTCAGAAAAGTTTTATCTATTTGCATGACTACCAGTATTTGAGAGTACCCGCCTTAAGTGCACTAAATATTATTGGTAACATTTGCGTAGTTGATCAATGTAAGAGTTTGTTCATTTTATATTTACTCTATTTTCTTTAGTTATTTGTAAGAAGGATTTTTTTCCTTTTTCAAATAACCATTTTTAATTTTACCAAATATGTACATTACATATTTAAACTGTTACATTTTCTAAGAATAGACTTTTCAGAATTTTAGTTAATGTATTTTGTTGCTTATATTTATAAGAATAAATAATGAGGCTCCTTTTTAATGTTTTGATACTATTAGTAGCAGTAGTACCAATAAATATATACTTTTTACTTCTAATTTCTTTGATTTTGTTTTATTACTTTGTTTTTTAACCAAAAGCATAATCTGCATTTTTCTTTTTTAAAAAACATACAGTTTTTGAGTACATCTTTTGTGGTAGCTCTTAGTTTTGATAGGTTGTTTTTGCATTTTTATTTGCTAAAAGCTCAATAATTTTAGTCATGCAATGTGGTTTATTTGGGACAATTTGTATATTCAAGCAATTTGATTATTTTCTGTTGATACATTTTGATAATTAACTAATAATAATGAGAAAAACAGCATACTCAAATATTTCTATGGAGTTTTTACCCTAAATTATCATTTTTCTCTAAGCATTTTGTGCACATTTTGTGTTATTAAATGCAAGCTTTATTTTACTTATGTTATTGACTTGTTCCCACCGTATTAATTTCCTTCTTGTCATACCCATTGCAACACATGCTCCTCTGTTTTCTTTTATTCAGCCAAATCTCTTCATAGATACATAATTGTAAAATCCTAGGTAAGTGTTTCCTTTTCTCTATGTACTTTTACCAAATAGATCTCATTCAGCACTATGGTTTCAAATAAAATCAATGTGCAAATAACATCCACATTTATATATTCAGACTTGATTTATCCATTGAGCTCCTCCAACCTACTTGACACCTCCATTTGGGTTATCTGTTATCAAGCTCCAATTTACACATCTAGAAGAGAATTTTTTTTTTTTAGTCAGTCTAAATGTCATCCTTGGATTTCTATCCTCCTTTTTCACCACCCACATTCTACCCATCAACATATGATCAGTCCTCTAACCCAAATATTTCTTGAATCTATCTGCATATATTCTTCTCTTCTATGTTCCTTCTTCAGCTGTTACTGTTGACCTGGAACCTAGTCGCCAATATTTTTTTCAGCATATCTGCAAAGTGCCAATATGATATCCCAGTTTTCTCTTGTTTAGAGTTTTGATCAATTTCTCACACATCATCTGTACCAAACACCCTCCTCTGCTTTCCCGTTATATATAGTACATCCAAACTTTTTCTACTGACCCACCACCCTATGGGATCTGGCATTGGCTTATCTGTCTCTCCTCACTTTCTTTCTTTTTTTTTTTTTTTTTAATTTTTTTTTTTTTTTATTATACTCTAAGTTTTAGGGTACATGTGCACATTGTGCAGGTTAGTTACATATGTATACATGTGCCATGCTGGTGCGCTGCACCCACTAACGTGTCATCTAGCATTAGGTATATCTCCCAATGCTATCCCTCCCCCCTCCCCCGACCCCACCACAGTCCCCAGAGTGTGATATTCCCCTTCCTGTGTCCAAGTGATCTCATTGTTCAATTCCCACCTATGAGTGAGAATATGCGGTGTTTGGTTTTTTGTTCTTGCGATAGTTTACTGAGAATGATGGTTTCCAATTTCATCCATGTACAAAGGACATGAACTCATCATTTTTTATGGCTGCATAGTATTCCATGGTGTATATGTGTCTCTCCTCACTTTCTATCAGGAAATGAGAATCCTTTCTCATTATGTCTGCTTTGACCTCAGGATGTTTTCACTTTGTAATTTCTCCACTGAGAGAGCTATTTTGCTAATCTCCTCATAAGCAAATCCTTTTCATTGCTTAGTTCTCGGTGAAAATGTTCTTTTCCAAGAGAGGCCATGATTCTCTTTCCTAATGCTGTATCTCCATCATTCTTCTCCTCACTAATCTGTTTTATTTTGCTTATAGATATTATCAATAATAGAAAAAATTAATTATGTATTCATTTTTAAATTTCCTTATGTCTCCCTTATTAGAACTGATTTTAATAAGAACCAGGGCTTGTCAAAATTGCACATTAATATATCCCCACTATAAAAAAAAGAAAAGCAATAGTGAAATCTCTACAGATATTTGTTGAAAAACACTACCATATCATTATTATAAATTATAGGTTTTATCAATATGTAATCGCACTCTTTATATGATTTGACAGCATTTTGTTTAATTCTAATATTAGTATCCACTTATGGATTTTACTTTTACCAAATAAAATTTCACCTAGTCTTTAATTTTCAACCTTTTTTATTTTTGCTGTTTTCAACTTCATTTTGTTTTAAATATCTATTTGAATCAGCATGTAATTAGATTTTGTTTTGTAAGACAATTGATGAGACTTTCTGTTTTAGAAGATAAGTTTAAGCCAATTACGTTTATTATCAGAACTCACAACTTCTATCATATTTTTCCATGCATTTATTTTTTAATGTTTTCTTATGAATTCTTTTTTTTATTTGATTATCTTGGCAACTCAATGATACTTGTTTTCTTAATTTCTATGCATGCTTATTGGTTTTAGCCATTATTTTACATACGGTGTTATAATCATAAAAATTTGCATGTAAACTTATATTCTAAGTCATCTATAGGAAAGATGAGGGCTTCAGATATTTTTCTTACTCTGCTGCCTTATCAGTTGTTGTTAGTGAGATCTGTGATTTCCAATGGGAATTATTGTCATTTTTCAAATTTCATTATTTATTTCAATAATTATTGTTTATTCTTTCATTGTCTTTATCATATATAGCTATTTGTCTACTTCTACTTATACTTCTTTAAAGCTTTAGTATAATTTTTAACCCCTCACCAGTTGTCTTATGCTATATTTTTTGTTTATCAGTATTTAATTCTGATATATACATAAAATATTTAGATATAGATTGCAGAAACATTGATGCCTTTTTGTGTGTATTTAACATAAAATTAAAAAACTAAAATTCTAAGCATACGATCATCTGATAAGGAAGTTTTAATCAATAGTTAACCAAGCTAAGATCATTGGTTTGAGCAGAGGAATTAACATGCTATTTTACTTACAGAATTGTTATAGCTTTATCTATTATGACTATGACTAGGATCCATTTCAAGTTAAGTTTTTGTATTAATGGAAGATAATGGTCAAGTTCATTGTTATTCCTATATGATTATCCTGTTGCCATAGTTCCAATTGTTGAAACGCCTACTGTTTTTCTACAAATCTATTTTGGAACATTTATTAAAAATCAGTTATCCATAGGTGTGTGTATATTTCTGAACTCTTTAATTATATTAAGAAAATACACCTTTAACAGTGATATTCAAGTATTTCTTTAATTCCAGGAAATTGTGGAAAATTATAGTATATCTTTTGAAATATTTTTCCTGTACCATTTCTTACATCATTTTTCAGAAACTCCAAACTACTCTATGCATTTTTGTGACCTTTCAATTTCTACTTCTTCTTTTTTCATATTTTATATCTCTTTATTTCTCTATGCTTGATTGTATTTGAATATTCTCCAGTGTATTAATTTGTCACGCTGAATCATTAAATTCCACCTCTAAAGTTATCTTTACATCAAATTGAATACATTTTTTAATTTTCAGGATTTCTATTGATTCTTTCACTTATGTATTTATTCTTTTTGCCTTATGTCTTATTATGTTTCATAATTTAGTTTTCTTTTATGATTATAGTACACTTATTTTTTACTAAACATTCTAAATGTATTTATTTTAAAATATTTAAAAACTATTCTTTATAATTAAGTCCATTTGGATAAAATTCATGTTCTGAGAATTTATTTCTTCAATACAGTTATGAGAATTAAATTTTCTCTCATGTGTTTTGGAATTATAATTTGCCAGTTTATGTTGAGTGACATATCACACATAATGTTTTAAACTATATATATAATAAATATATATGTGTATTTATGTTTATCCTTCCTTTCTTTGCTTTCTTCTTTATGTGTTTGTTGTGTTCGCCTTTTGTGATCTAGTAGTTTTTCACTGTGTCCACTAGCCACTTCCTCGTGTCTCACTTTTGGAATGCCTTCCCACACTGGCTTTTGTTCTGAGGTGATCCTGTAGATCAGTGATTTGTTCAGCAAAGTACTTCCTACATGTGAGGTCGTGCCTTGATTCACTTACCTTCTCAAACCCCTAGCTTTCTGAAAAATTTTAGTGCAGGGTAGCAGGAAAACAGACTTTTGTGGCTTATGTTATTGTTGCTCCATTTTAGTTCCTAAGGTCAAGGAGCCAGGCTGGATCCAGTGTTCTATTTCATGTGGAATACTTTACTTCTGTTGCCGCGCAGAAGCTTAATTCTTGGGCTGCTGCTTTCAGATTAAGAAAATAGTCTGTGTCTTCAACTACATACAATGAGATGTATGTAAATGTCTTTGTGACTATGCTTTTACTTGTCCATGAAAATGTACCTATTGTTTTTTTATCTCAATGTGTATTATGATTTCACTTTCTAATTTCTCTCATCATTGCCAATAACCACTTTAAGTTGATCTGAAGAGGGACATTCGCATGATAATGAATTAGTTGTTTCTAGTGTCTGTTGACTCACAGAAACATCATTTTGAATAACTGTCCATGCATAAAAATATTTTCACCAGAGCTCTCTTTGGTGAGAGATTATAGCCTCTGAATAGAACACAGAAATAAAAACAGCAACCAAAAAAAGACATTGATGGAGGTAAATAAGACAGTTTTACATTATCCATACGTCCATACATTATACATACATACATACATCCTTCTTTAAGCCCATGTAGTGCAGTTTAGTAGAGAGAGAGACTTCCTCCATGTAAGGAGACTGAAGTGAGCACTCTACTTCATTGCAAACCCCAGCACCAGATCTGACAGCATAAACCAGGCATGAGTCCAGCCCCTGCAGACCCAGGTTCCAGTATGTCCCCCATGACTCAGGCTCTAGGGTGGCCCACACAAACTCAGGGACCAGGTCAGCCTCTGTGGTCCCAGGTGCCAGGTCTACCCATCTGATGACCCAGGCAGCAGGCCAGCCTGACTGATGATATTAGCAGCATACCTACTTTTGTACCTCACTTTTGGACCCCAGCTGTTCCACCCAGAATTTCTGAATAGGCTAACTGGTGAGAGCTTTCCCTTCTGAAGCCCCTATATAAAGACTGGTAGAGATGTCTATTTCTTCAAATGTGCAGATACCAACACAAAGCTATAAGTTTCTCAAATAACCGGGAAACATGGCACCATCAAAGGAACAAAGTAAAGTAGCAATAACTCACCCTAATGAAATTGAGACCTATGAACAGCCTGGAAATTAATTTAAAATCTTAAAGAAGCTCAGTGAGATATAAGAGAACGTAGATAGACAATTAACCAAAATCATAAAATTAATCATGAACAAAATGAGAAGTTTGACAAAGAGATGAAAATAATAAAAACAAAAGCAACAGAAATTCTGTAGCTGAAGGACACATTCACTGAAAATAAAAATTTCATAGAGAGCTTCAACATCAGACTTGATCAAAAGACCAGACTTAAGAAAGAATCAGTGAGCTCAAAGACAGGTGATTTAACATTACCCAGTCAGAGACACACAAAGAAAAAAAAAATTAAAAGAGAGAAGAAAGCCTACAGGACTTATGAGACACTGTCAAGCAAATGAATATATGAAGTATGGTGTTTCAAAAAGAGCAGAGAAAGATAAAGGGGCAGAAACTTATTTTTTAAAAAAAAACAAATCTGTAAAGAAAAATAAACATCCATATCCATGCAGCCCAAATAAATAAAAAATAAAGAGATCTTTACCAAGTTACATTATGATCAAATTCTCAAAAGTAAAAGACAAATAATTTTGAAAGCAGCATGTGAGAAGTGACTTTACCTATAAGAAAATACCCATAAAATCATCAGATTTCTCAGCAGAAATCTTAATTCCAAGAGAAAGTGGGATGATACATGCAAAGTGCTGAATAAAACAAACAAAAACCTGCCAATCAAGAATACTATACCCTGAAAAACTATCCTTTCAAAATGAAGGAGAGATAAAGACTTTCCAAGTCAAACAAAGGCTGAGATGTTCATCACCACTAGCCCTACCTTTCAAGAAATGCTAAAGGGAGGTCTTCTGGTTAAAACAAAAGAACAGTAAGAAAATGACAACATATGATAGTACAGAATCCATCTTAAAGGTAAAAATATAGATAAATTCAGAACACTTGAACACTGTGGAGTGATACATAAATCACTTTTAACTCTAGCATAAAAGTTAAAAGACAAAACTATTTAATAGAATAATCTGTTAATGGATAAGGGATTAATGTCCAAAATGTATAAGGAACTGAAACAACTCAATAGCAAAAATAAATAGCCTAATTTTAAAAATGGGCAAAGAATCTGAATAGACATTTCTCAAAAGAAAATGTACAAAGATCCAGCAAGTATATGAAAAAAAAAGTTCAGCATCACTAACCTCCAGGGAAATGTACATCTAAACCGCAAGGAAATACCATCTCATACCTTTTAGGATGAATGTCATCGAAAAGAAAAGTGTTGATGAGGAGGTACAGAAAGAGGAACCCTTCTACGCTACTGGTGGGAATGTAAATTGTTACAGCTATTATGGAAAACAGTATGGAGGTTCCTCAAAAAATTAAAAATAGTACTACCATGTGATCCAGCAATTCTGCTTCTGGGTATATACCCAAAAGAAATACAATTCGTATCTTGAAGAGATGTCTGTAATTCCATGTTCACTGCAGCATTATTTATAAAAATCTAGACACGGACTCAAGCTAAGTGTCCATCAATGAATGGATAAAGATAGATTTTTTAAATGAACAGTATGATGAATAAAGGCTGAAGGAAATTCTGCCATTTGTGACAAACTGGATGAACTGGGAGGATACTATGCTATTGAAATAATTTGTCACAGAAGACAAATACGATCTCATTTATACATAGAGTATAAAAAAGTCAAACTATTAGAAGCAGAGAGTGGAATGGTGTAGGGATAGAGTGGTGGGGAAAATAAGGAGATATTGGTTAAAGGGTACAAAACTGCAGTTTGCAGAATAAGTTCTGATGATCTAATGTACATCATGTTGACTATAGCTAATAATACTGTATTATATGCTCAAAATTTGCTAAGACAGTAGATCTTAAATACTCCCACAAAAAAAGGTAACTATGTGAGGTGAGAACATGTTAATTACCTTGATTTTAGTGGTAATCATTGTACATGTACATCAATGTATATGTATATCAAAACATAATGTTATACATCTTAACTATATACAGTTTTATTTGTCTATTATTCTTCAATAAAGCTGTGGAAAAAATAACAAATTTAAGTCAAAATTTAAATCAGAATGATTGGTAGGGTTAGTCAACTGTTGAGAGTTAAAGAGATGATTTTGTTGCTAAGAAGAGAGAATAAAATAAATCATGTGAATTGACAAAATACAAGTGCAAAATTCAACGTTCAATGTTTATAGTTTTTATTTTTATTTTATTATCTCATTTACATAAGCTTAGTCTTATTAAAAGTGATTCAGGCAGGGCACAGTGGCTAACTCCTGTAATCTCAGTATTTTGGGAGGCCAAGGCCAGCAGATCACGTGGTCAAGAGATCCAGACCATCCTGGCCAATATGGTGAAACCCCATCTCTACTAAAAATACAAAAATTAGGCCAGGTGTGGTGGCTCACACCTGTAATCCCAGGACTTTAGGTGGCCAAGGAGGGCAGATCACGAGGTCAGGAGTTCAAGACCAGCCTGGCCAACATAG
Source organism: Homo sapiens (assembly GCF_000001405.40). Classification (NCBI taxonomy): domain Eukaryota; kingdom Metazoa; phylum Chordata; class Mammalia; order Primates; family Hominidae; genus Homo; species Homo sapiens. The sequence goes on from NC_000009.12 coordinate 73,802,456, forward strand.
TGAAACCCAGTCTCTACTAAAAATACAAAAATTACCTAGTTGTCTTGGTGGGTGCCTATAGTCCCAGCTACTTGGGAGGCTGAGGCAGGAGAATCGCTTGAACCCAGAAGGCAGAGATTGCAGTGAGCCGAGATCCCGTCACTACACTCCAGTCTGGCAACAGAGCGAGACTCCATCTCAAAAAAAAAAAAAAGTATTTAATGTTTAGAAAAAAGGCCTTGCTTATTTCTAAACTTTGTTTGTGTTTGCCAGGAGGATTTTGTGCTCTGAAGAGATATGTACCAACTTGAGTGGTGAAAAGAAAATGTATATTAGACCTTATCTATAAATTTATCATAACTGTCTATTTAGTTCTATATATTTTGTGCCATGCAGTGTGTTAAGGTTCCCAGTGCAATCTCATGTATATGTATTCCCAGATCTTTACGTGCAATTGGATATTTTACACATCAAAATCACTATAATATATGTCTTTAAGGAAAAAAATCTTCGTTTTTTCTCATGAGGAAGAATCAAGCCATTTTCACAAATCAGATGTGCTCTTTTGGAAAATGTTAAGGCTGCCTACACCCAGTTTATTATTATTGTTATTATTATTGTATTTATTTATTTTTTTGAGACGGAGTTTTGCTCTTGCTGCCCAGGCTGGAGTGCAATGGTGTGATCTTGGCTCACTACAACCTCCACCTTCCGGGTTCAAGAGATTCTCCTGCCTCAGCCTCCCGAATAGCTGGGATTATAGGTGACCATCACCAATCCCAGCTAATTTTTTATATTTTTAGTAGAGACAGGGTTTCACCATATTGGGCAGGCTGATCTTGAATTCCTGATCTAAGGTGATCCACCTGCCTCGGCCTCCCAAAGTGCTGGGATTACAGGCATGAGCCACCTCTCCCAGCCCCAACCAATTTATTATTTCAGAAATATCTCTGCTTTTCTAGAATCTAACTATGGAAATCTTTAAGAATTTAATATAACTTCTTGATAATCTTCATATACTTATTAACAGCATACAGTTTAACCATGGTAGAGTTGATAATTGTAGACGATTTGACACAGGAAATATAGAGTAGGGGGAGCTTATAATTTGGTTATGGAATAAAATATTTTAATAGAGGCTAGAAATGACACCAAAGAGATTGGATTTCAGCACAGAATAGAGACTAAAAATTTCTCTTTGCAGAAACTATTCATGTTTTTCTACCTATGGTGAGTATACATCAAAGTAATCTAAAGAGGCAAAACATGCATGTGTGACTGTGGCTGACTAAAGAACTGGTTATTAACTGCACAGAGTAGTAAATGGATTTTCATAATCCTGCAGTGGGTCCAGGGAGGACTGAACCAACCCATATTCACTCAGTGTGAGCAAGGTGAAACGGAGGTCAAAACAATAGAATCTGGTGGATCCAGGGATTGGTTTATCATTTTCATTTTCCAGCTAATGAGTTATTATTTGTTATATCCTGTTTTATGTTAATTAACCTCCTTAATAAAACTCTGTGCCATGAGTGCTTGGTAGGTACTGTGCACTAAAGGAAAGACACACCTGGTTCAAAATGCTCCCAGTCGTGTCCCATGGTGTATTTATGAAAATTATGACCTGGGCCCTATTGCAACAACACTCAGTATGGAAGTTACCCTTCAACTAATTTGGGGTTTTATGCATTCCACATCATTGTATTACTTACAAAAGATTTGGACTGTACATTCTCTTCAAAAAATAAACATGACTTCAAATATTATGCCTACAGAATAATTATATCCAAAGTACTTAAAATAATTTATTTCACCTTAAAACAACTGCGTATGTTAAAAATTATTTAAATTCTCCCCATCCTTCAATGAGTATATCAAGAAATAGTTTTTATTTGAACCCCTACCACCCCATCTTTAAAGTAATCTTTTATTTACCTGGATTCCTACAAATTTCATTTATTATCTGTTTCACTAATTTGGCATTTAGCATCGATTGCATTATATAATTAGTTATCCTGGATCTTCCTTTTTACTCAGCTTAACTGTAAACTTTATTTGGGCAAAGAATATATTTTATTTCAATGTATACCTCTAACTCTCAATGTAGTAAATTCATATGGCAGGTGTTAGGTGTTCAGTCAATATGTTTGAATGATTATTCCACTGAAAGAGTCAAACATGCCAATTAATATGCAAGATGCAGTCCTATGAATGGCAATATATTCAAAGTATGCAACATTTCATTAATATTTTATTACAGTTAACATTATTTAAACATCAGTCTGATAACTAAAAATATTTCCTCTGTTTACCTGGAGAATGTGTGAAATAAAAATGTAAATATATACAGAGCCTTGATACATACCTTGTCACTTACATGAGGTTGATTTTATTTGTTTGAAAGTGACAAGTCTCCCAATCCAAAGCACATTTGAACTTGGTCTTAAGTAGGGTTTTATGTAGATAGGATTTTAGCTAAAACCTGGAATTTTCTGTGTTTCTTTAATTTATACTCATCTTAAAATATAGGAAAAAATATTGTTTTGTACTGACTCAAAATACTGGCTAACTATGTCAAGAGATATCTAATATGTAAGTCAGGATTAACTTAGAGGTCTAGAAACCCTATTTCTTTAAACTGATCTCTAAGTCAACTAACATCTTAGATCTTTCTTCCTGCAGATATGCATCTCAGTCCTTTGCGGGAGTAAAATGTCATCATCAGTAATGCCAGGAAATAATATCTTCATCAATCACATTCGCACATTCCAGAATTCACCAAGGTTTTGACAGAGAAGATAAGCCCTAGAAAAAGAAACTCTAGAGAATGCTGTTGCATTAGTGGCCTTGGCTCTGCTACAATCACTCTTGAATTCTGGTTGCCACAAATATGCTATAATCACTAGCATTCATTTTTTCCTCTAGATTTCTGGCTCACATATCAACAAAAACCCATTTGCCTAATTTCCATGAGCCTTTATGAAACAAACTGACTTCCTCAAATATTTTAGGAAATGTTTACCTAGAAACATAGATACTCAGAATAGACATTTTCCAGACTTCCTTGTACTTGTTATTGCCATATTACTAAGTTCTGGCCTGTGGGACACAAGTAAAAGTGTTCTATGTGCATTGTGGAAAATATTTATGAAGATCAGGATTGGGGAAGAGGGTGGCCCTTCCTTTATTTCTTTCTTCTTTCCATTAGTTAGAATACAGTCATCATGGATGAAATTTTTGCCAATGGTCCTGCAGTGAAACTAAAAAAGCAGCAAGACAAAAGAAGCCAAATTTTTACATGAACTAGAAATAAAAGTCCATCTTATTTAAGTTATTGTAACATTAGGCTTTTTGGAATTCATATGTGAACTTGACTCAAATGATACACTGCTATATTCCCAATACCAGCATGTACTCATTAATCAGTAAATATTTGTCAAATGAATAATGCTAAAATATTAACTGGCTTACCAAATTATGTTCCAGAGTCTTTTTTAGGGAGCTACTGGCTAAAAATCCTTACTTCTTAGTTTTACTTTCTTTTTCTACTTTCTTACTATCTCTTTATATCTAGAGAAGACATCATAGTCCCAAGAGAATACTTAGAAAATAGTGCTGACTGCTCTTTCCTGATTACAAACCCTCATATTTTTGCCTTGAACTTGTCATCATTGAAGGAGTCAATGCCCAGGAATAGAAAAGACATCTTGCCACAGAAGCATAGTTAGAGTCCAGAGTAACAGTTCATGTTCTTATTTCTACAGTTCACCATTAGAACTCTTCTTAAGGCTTCCCATATTCTCAAGGCTTTAAACATGTGCACACACACACACACACGTGGGCATTTATCTATGTATCTATGTATCTATGTATCTATCTATCTATCTATCTATGTATCTATCTATCTGTCTATCTATCTATCTATCTATCTATCTATCTATCTATCTATCTATCTATCTCTATCTATCTACCATCTAAAGCTATTCTTGGTTGAAAGAAGGTACATGACAAGTCATTTTGAAGAAATGACCACATGAATATCCAGGATAGTATCTACCTCTCCATGGTTTCAGTATAAATCCAGAAGATACTATTGAACTTTTCCAATGCTGGTGGCAATGACTAATAAAAATGTTTTCTTCTCTGGAGCTAGCAAAGCTGAACACTACTTATTAGCTTTCTAAACTATTCATAGGTCATAGCAATCTAAGAAGGAAAAGTATCCCAAATACATTATGCATTTTGAGTGCAAATAAATTAAGCCTTAAAAACCCCATGCCACATAAATTACAGTGATAACATTTGATAAGTAAAACATAGATGGGTTTAGAAAAATCTAGCTACCTACAGAAATTTCTTAAAGGCCCAATGTGAGTAGTCAATACCAAGGGAGGAATCTCTGAGAATTTGTGTTTTATCTGTATGATCTTAAGACAGAATTATTTGTTTATTTTAAAGAGATAAAACAAACAAAATAAACTAAAAACAAGCACAGTGTCCTGAACAACTAAACCAAAAATGAAAAAAAAATGACTTCAGCAATGTAAGACAGTTTACAAGTAGTAAAAGAAAAGGCGTCCCAAGCACAGGACCCTGAATGTCAAGCGTTGGCCTCTAGTGAATGGAATGTTCTTGGCTGTTCTGAGATAAGGTTTTGACTACTTTGTTCTTCCTTTTCCTCTGCTAACTCTGGCAAGTCAGAGCCACATAGCTCCTTAAGCATCTGGCAGACAATTTGCCTGAACTGCTTTATCTGGATTTAGTTTAACTTCATAAATTGGTCAATGGGAGTATAGACACACACCTACAAACTGTCATCAGAATAGTCCAGTATTTTTTTGAAAATGTCCAGGGAACTGTGCTTGACATTATTGTAACTACAACCCCAGATTATCTCCCCGGAAGGTAGAAAAATGTTGAGATGAATGTACTCAAAACTAGAGATGTGATCAATGGGTCATATACAAAAATTTAAGATTTCAAGTGAGTGCTTTTACTAATTATCTTGTAGTTTTAGAAGATGTTAATATTTATGCAAAGATTTCTTGACTTTTAAAATAGTATTTTATTTGAACTTATAAGATTTATGAAATTAAGCTAATAATACTAAGTAAAAGTACAAAAATGTCCAAGCAATAAAAGAGTTAATTTGGACATATGTGCCCCTTCTAATGAAGTTCACAGTAGAGCTGTAGGAAAAGCTGTCATTAGAAAAATAGTCACTCAAAGCAGAGAATAATTGTTTTCTGAGTTTGAAAATGCTAGTTTCTTTTCTTAAAGCTAGGCTCATCTTGGAGCCAGAAGAAAGAGCGTGGTACACAGACACCAATTGCCAATAGTATTGCCTTCAAAAAGTCAATCTTTCAAGGCTTTGGTAGCCACTTCTCTAATATGCAAAGAATGTCTGCCTTATGAGAATTAAGTAAACTAATACACATGCATACAATTAACACATTAACATAGCACATTGTCAAATACTAATCAGTATAAGTTGACTTCAAGCAGATGTATTACTATGTCATTGTGTATGTGTAGGTTAGGATTCTCCAGAGAAACAGAACCAATAAATTTGTTGGTTAATGGCAATAAATTGTGTCATATGGTTACAGAAGCTGAATTTTCTCAAGATCTGTAGTCAGCAAGTTGGAGACCCAGGAGAGCTGATGGTATCATTCTAGTGTGAGTCAGAAGGCCTGAGAACCAGGAAAGCAAATTATTTAAGTTCCAGTCTGAGATCAGAAGACGGATGTCCCAGCTCAACCAATGAGGCAGGCAAGGTTTCCTCTTACTCCATCCTTTTGTTGGATTAAGACCTTCAACTGATTGGATAAGCCCTACTCACATTAGGGAGAACAATCTGCTTTACTCAGCATACAGATTCTAATGTTAACTACATCCAGAAACAACCTCACAGGCACACCCAGAAATAAGATTTGAACAAATATCTGGGCGCCCTTGGACCAGTCAAGTTGACAAAATTAATCATTACAAATTTCCTGACTGGCCATGTATGATGAGAATGCAAGTAACTCAGTTGACATGATGCAATAATTGCCATAATGTTGTCTAGAATACCTCAAATTCCATTATTATGTATTTTTTCATTGTATTATGCATCATCTATGGTTCATATTTAAAATCTAAATGCCTTTGGGATACAGAGAACTCTGAGAATAGATTTCACTCTCTAAACTACTCTCCCCATTGCCAGTTGTAAATGGTAATAAAAATAATGTTTATTAGATGGCAAGCACTGTGTTGTCTCATCGAACACTCTTCACAATCCAGGCTGTGAGATAGCTATCATTATCATCCCCATTTTAGACATAAGAAAACTGAAGCGCAGCAATTTTACATCATTTATCCAAGTTTATTTGCCATAGGTGGCAAAGCTGAGATTCAAAAACAAGGCAATCTGTTCCCATGCCCCTAGTTATTAACTTGTCTTAACCCTTTGCTAAATTAGGGCAAAGCACAGTTCCTCTGCTCCACACCAATCAGAAAGATTGCAAATTGAGAGGTGCTCTCAGGTAGCAACGGATGTAAATGGTGTGAATGGCAACCAATATGGTAGTGGGAGTATAACTGAAATAAAATAACATTAGAGGAAAAAAAAAACATTTCTTGGTTTTGCACTAATGTCCTGTCTGTGTGACTTTAGGAAATTCCTGGGACTTATGAAATGAAGCTAATAATACTAAGAAAAAGTACAAAATATCCAAGCAATCCAAGAACTTAACTACTCATCCTTCGTAATGACATGTAAAATAGATAAATACCCCTTTATCTAAAGTGCACTTTCCCAGAATTTAATGAAGTTAAATGCTGAAACTAGTTATTATTGATGCTATTATTAAGATAAAATTTGTAAAACTTTGCAAATTTATAGAACATGGCAAGATAACATGATATTTTGTTTAAAAGAAAAATCAAGGGATTCACATACTTCTATGCCCCTGGTAACCACTGTTTTATTTTCAATATTTGTATACTCAACATTTAAAAAATATTTCACATTTATGTTTCATAACTTAAATATATACAATAAATTTTAAAAAGAGAGAGAGAGACAATACAAAAAAATTAACTTGGTTGGAGGTAGGAATTTTTCACTAGCAAGAAGTGGTAGATAATGTGATAAAAGAGAATAATACACACATGCTGGAAGGCTTTACTGTTTAAGTCCAAACATGTGGTTTCTTCCCGTAGTTTAGATTATGGAGTTCCTCAAAACCTTCTATACAAGGAATCTATACAGGGAATGTGATGTGAAACTAAGAATTTTAATCTTACAGTGAAGTGCAGGATTGATTAGATTTTAGAAATGAGAGTAGGGGATGAGGTTCAGATATAAAGTGAGAGAAAACTGTGAGGATGAAGTCCCTGAAATTAGAAAGTAAGAAATAAATCTGAAAAACGGAGTGTGAAAAAGATCAACTGGGCTTAAGAGTGGTCAGAGAGAAAAAAATTGTTTCAAGATTTTAATATTAAATAACTGGTGACTAATGATTGTTATTAGCAGAAATTATGAAATGAACGGTTTGTACTAGTTTGACAGGAAAAGATAATAAATCCTGAATTTTAGATAGTAGTGAGAACCCTAATTGGAGATATCCAATATGAAGGTGAAAATTAGAAGCGAAACCTGGAGAAGAAATTAGAATATGTTTTCTTGTTAACTATGTAGAAGTGACCCTTAAGACAAAGCAAATGAAGCCGTTCAGAAAAGGCAATTAAGAGAGGAGAACAGAAGACAAAAACCTGGACATCTCAACCACTGGTCTTCTGTGGTGCAAAGGGTTAAAACTTTTGACATGAGGGCAATGCCCTTCCTAGATTAAAAGCATCTATCGTTAAAACCTCTTTATGTTACCACAGACCATTCTTTCAAAGGCAAGAAATGTATTACAAAGAAAGTTGACCTTTTAATAGAGGTCAATAATATATTAGAATATTTCTTTCAAAGGATTGATCTTCTTACCTTATATATAATAATATGATTATTTTTCTCAAATACAAAACATAGCATCATTAAAATGTATAAAATTAAACACTTAAAATCTGTCCTCAAAAGAGCATTAACTTTCCTTGTTTTAAAATATGAAAGGGATTTAAATGTTTGTATATTTTTCCCCCATGAGAAATTTTACCCTATTTTAAACTCATCAAGGGAACTAGTCAAGGAAATAGTAACTGAAAATATAATGGAAAAATCACATCATTTTAAAAGTTCTTTTTACCAAAATTGTCTTTTTTTTCTGCTTACACCTAACAGTAACTCAATATGACTAGTCAGTTTTTCAAGAGAGGAAAACAAATTGTTTCAGGATGATTATGCATATGACAAAACAAAATAACGTTGGAGTTCAGAAGCTCAGCTCATATTACATCTTTGGAGCAGATGGGGGCAGGTAGAGGTTATGGGTACAGGAGCATATTTTTAACTTTTAGATGAGGGAAAACAAAACAAACTTGTTCTTTACAATGGAGACACCAACAGCACCAGGCAATCCTGAGGATCTCAACATGTGCAAGAAGAAATCAGGAGCAAAATATCGAGGCACAAATGTGATTTAACATGTGCCTATGACATTTTGTGGTTTAAATTGGTCAACAGTTACTCTGCCACAATAGAGTAGCAACCAATGAACGCACAGTCCAGATCTGCACAAAGGAACAGACTGTTCATTTTTTGAGGTCTGTGCCTAATCAGAGTTTTCCACAACTGCATTGTATCTGGGGTTTCACATATTTGAGGGATTTTGTAGATTTAACAAATATTCACTGGACAGATTTTAATGCAAAGCCTGTTCTAAGTTGGAGGATGTGAAGAAAATGCACCCACACCTCCTGAGGTATGACAGAGAAAATAGATAAGCTAGAACCAAGACCATTACCCACTCCTAGTGTAAGTTTCCAGATTCTTCACAACTCACTTTGAATCAGTGTGATCTTCAGTGTAACTGAGTAGGATGGAAAATGAATTATCCAGTGTCTGAATGACTTCTTTTCACAGGAGAAAGCAGTCAGAGTAGAAAACGGACCACACTTCCATGTGTGTAGTTGGGAGATTTGTATGTCAAGAACTTAGGACTTGGAAATGGTTAAATAGAGTTTGAATGGTGCATGGGAGATGGGGCAGGGTGGGAATAATGATAATAAAATAAGTACCATCATGGCAGTAAAAAATCTGTGTGTGTTGGGGAAACAATTATAGTAGATAATATAAGAGTAAGAATTTGGGAATGTTCTCTAAGATGTTTGTTTGTTTTGTTTTGTTTTTACATATTATGAACCACGTAAAACACAAATGCCCTATGGGTGCTCTACCTAGATTGTCTTTACTAACCTGGCATACCTATCTCCTAGCTACTGTGATTTTTGACTAAGAACTTGCTGTTCCCTTCTCCAGAAAATTACTTGTGTCCAAAGGACAGCTACCTTTCCCTGCCAGGTACTCTAACCTCTAGGCCACACCGCAGCTGATGGTTTACCAGAGCCGCATTTGCCTCAACCTGGGCTCATCTCTGTGGTTCTATTTGTGTTCTAGAGCTCCTTGTGGGTTTTAGCTAAAGGTGGAATTCAGTAGAGATTACATTCTTGTTTGGCGTTTCATTCCTGTCCTATCCATCATGACATTCTCCTGAGAACACTGCCTCAATGAATACTTTTACAAAAAGTCCCTTATCAGATTCTAAGTAATGTTTAAATTATATCATTCAATCTAGTCATAAGAAAATGTTCATAAATTCAAATAATGAAATTCATGGATTTTTTGAGGGAATATCAGACTTGTGTTTCTTCCAAAAGTTTCACCTTGCTAACATTTGCCTTAAGACAACAAAATTTTTACTGAAAGAGCAATCGTATTAATCTACATTACTACTCAGTGGTGGCCCTCTTTGCCTTCTTTGTAAATAAGAAAATATTCCATGGTCCCTTATTTTATCCATGGACCAGGAAACCTGCCATCCATTTAACAAACTCACTCCATCTTCTGCATGTCCAGGTGACACTGTATTTTCTATACAGAAACATCAAATGAGGAAAATTTACATATTAATAAAGTATAAAAGAAGTTAATGTAATATTGTTCTTTGTCAACTTAACACAGAAACATGTTTCCCAGAATCTAATTTTCCAGGTTAGCATTGGCTATAAAAGACACATTTCATTGTATTAGAAGCACGGGAAAAAAAGCAGGAGCCATACTTCTTAGCTTTGAAGGTTGGTAAAAGGTGCCAGGCCCTGCGGCAACTTGTGTGTGTTGTCACTAATCTGTTACCTCCCCTGTTTAGTGAGGGCTGCATCCAGAACCCCAGCTTCCCCAGCTCTAACCTGATCTCCTACTTTACCTTCTCCTAATGCTGAGTCAAACGTCAACTCTGATGAAGTGCACCAGCTTCTTCTGAGAGTCACTCATGCAACACTGAATTCCACTTCCAAAGGCCATGTTACCTACCAACAGTGGAATAGCCAAACTTCCAATGGGAGAGACCCACACTGAGTGTCTGATAAGACACCATCACCTAAAAGATCAGCCAGGCACCTTTTAGCAAGTTAATTACATTGGACCATTTCCATCATAGGAAGCACACCATTTCATTCTTATTCCAGATAAAGATTTTCCCTCCTTGTCTGCATTTTTTTCTTGCAAAATCATCATTCTTAAACTTATAGAATACCTTAATCGCTGTCACCTTATTGCATACAGGATTGCTTCTGACCAAGAAATTTATTATCTGACCAAAGAATGCTGAATAAAAAATGAAATATAGCAATGAACTCATATTCACAGGATTAACTGATATTACCATGTTCTCCATCACTCTGAGAATTGTGTAATGGACTTCTAAAGACTGTTAAAGCACCATTTGGGAGGCAACACCTTGAAAGTCTAGGGTATTTAGGATGTTACATAACTTCTAAATTAGGTCGCCCCACCAGGCAAGAAATCATATACACCTGGGTTGCTTGCTGAGCGCAGACGTAATAAGAAATGGCTAGTGGAAAAAGAGATACTCATAAATAATGGCTATGACCACAAAATGAGTTGCAGAAAAAAAATGATCACCATGGGTCATCTTAATCACTTTATTATTAAGAACATCTTCTAATGAGGTATCTTTTTGCTGAGAATTCACATGCAACATTGTTTTCATGTTTTGTGCCCATTATGAGTATTTACTATTTATTTTAAGATGGGTAGACTTAAATCACTTGGTGACTCCGATTTCATCTACTTTTCCAATTATGATTTCATTACGTGAGTAAATCAACATATTTCTATGACACTTTGTATATAGTCACTGAGCTGTTGGGTTTTTAAATGAATTTGTCTGATTAAGGCATTCCATAGGTTTAAGAATCATGATTTTGCAAGAAAAAAAATGCAGACAAGGAAGGAAGATCTTTATCTGGATTAAGAATGAAATGGTGTGCTTCCTATGATGGAAATGGTCCAATGTAATTAAATTGCTTTTAAATGTATTTGTTTTTTTCCATTCCTGCTAGAAAAGAAAATCAGAAGCAGTTTTATTTCACCTGGGAAGATTAGCAATATACCCTCACAGTCCTACCTCTGTGCTATATCAGCTCCTCAGTCCTGTAATACACTAATCTGCAGGGATATCAATAGCTTTTCCAGCCTATGGGATATCACACTATTTCATTACATTGATTATATCATTTTGCATGGACCTAATAATGAGGAAGTAGCAACTACTTTAGAAACTTTGTTAAGACAATAGAGTTCTAGAAAATAGAAAGTAAATTTCACAAAACCTCTAAAGCTTGCTATCTTGGTGACGTTTCTATGGGGCAATTAGTCTGTAGCTTCATGTTCTTTTTCTATTGCTACTGTACAAATTACCACAAACTTAGTGGCCTTAAAAAAAACAGAATTTTATTATATTACAGTCCTGTGGGGCAGAAATCTAATATGGCTCTCACAAGACTAAAATCACTGTATTACTAGGTTACATTCCTTTCTAGAGGCTTTTGGGAAAAATCTCTGATATGGTGGCATTTGTGAAGAGACCTGAAGGAAGTCAAGAGTCAAAGCACATTGATACTTCAGTAATTGCAGTTAGACAAAAGGAAAAAATAAGCACCAAGGCCATTAAGCAAGAACATGCCTATCAAGTTTGAGGAACAGTGGACATGTTCGCGTGTAGTGGCACACAGTGAATAGAGGAGAGATGTACGGGAAATGTGTGAGGAGTAGATCTGGGAAAGGGAGTGTTGGCAGAGAATGTCGGGTCTGGATTATTATATAGAATCTTATTTTCAGTGAGATAGGGGAGGGGCATTAGAGTGATTTTGACACATGAATGACATAACCAAAGATTATATTCCTATAAGAAAAAGCAACATAAGAACAATTTATAAAATGAATAAGATCAAATATGAGTACCTGAGAAATAATCCAAGAAATGACTTATTTATATGTAAATAGCCCTGAAAAAGATAACAGAAGGCTTGTTTTTATGACTGAATTTTGTAACTATTTATTTATGTGACATGGGATTTAATCCATGTAATGAATAGGGTGTGTGTGCAATGAGAAATACAATCTTTACCAAAGTAATTAGTAAACAAAGTCATCTGAACCCCAGCCAAATATATTAAAGCCTCTGACATCTCTTTTTATCCTTCCCGGCTTATTTCAAAATTAAGTAAAATGTATCTGTAGTTGCAATTTAGTGATTCTTTTCCAATAGTCCTGCACAGGAGCCAACAGATAATATCTCTCTCAAATGAATGCAATGATTTCTGTAGCACTCTCTTTACTCCCTTGGCTAGATTTACCTTCCCATTGAACTAACTTTATCCATAGCAAGCCTTCAGTGAAAGGAAAGCCCAAAAATTCTGAGCCTGTTTGGAACCTGATAATTTTCTGTGCATATAAAATACATATTTTTAGAATGTAAGAAGAGTATATTTATTTTTTAATTTAAAGCTGAAATTTTGAGGAGATTTTAAAAGGTCTGCAGTCTTTAAAAGTCCTTTACTTTTTAAACTTCTGGCATTTCATTCATAGTTATTATTTATTTGACTTTGACTAAGAAGTTAGTAAAGGTTTCAATCTCAGGTTATAATAACCTATATTTTAAACTTGAAAAATGTACTATCCCATATAACAGGGTAGAGCCACAGTGTAATAAGGCTGTTACTTTAGCAAACTTACCAGATTTAATACATTCATAGGAATGGTGATCATTTCAAACCATTCACGTTCAGAAGATGTTTTGATTACAGGGTCGTTACCATTATTCAAAACACTAAAATCATTCCATTCTTCATTGATATACTCCTTTTGATTAAAGGACCTCACTGCTTTGCAGTATAATTAAAAATATTCATGGAACAATTACAGTGTGCCAAGTTCCTTCCTAAATACCAAGAATATAAATAAATAATATAGATTTAAACATTTGCTCAGTACTAGTGACTTTCTAGGTGCTAATCTATTCATCCAAAATACAAATTCCTTGAGGAACCCAACAGTAGCTGTTATCTCTTAGTGTATCTGCCAAGACCTAGCCTCACCTCTTGGTTACAGTAACTATGTAGTTCTATCAGTTCAAAATTAGCAACATCTGGTCAACAAAAGAGGTGACATTCCTTTATAAATAGTGAGAAAATACTTTTACAAAGCATACAAATGTTATTTTAGAAGCAGAAAATTTTTGGTGACAATGTTCCTCAGAATAGTCTATTTTAGCCACGCTTTTGCCAGACTTTGATAAATCTACTAGTATTGGAGCATGAGTGAACAACCTGCTATTGCCAATAAGTCTTTTAAGTTGGCATTTTCCGTGAACTCCACAAGAAGGAATATGGGGAAAAAAAGACATTTTTATATCACAATTTACTTTATATCATAATCCCAAAGAACAGTTCCCAAGACAGTTATGTTGATGGCCAAAATATCAAAAACAGATTATAACTTTAGTTAAATTCTAATATCTTAGTTCCAATGTTTTCCTTTCTTCATTTATATTTAGTGGGCTTGAGCATTCACTTTCTAATAATGCAATCAATATACCATATAAACTCATTTCCTATGAGAATTCATCCATTTTTAACGGTCGTAACCAGTGATCTGTGAAAAAATAGCGGTAAAATATATCATATAAAATTAATATCATAGAAACATTTATTCCTCCAAACTTTAGGTTATTAGTAGTTTGTACTGATTACAAATAAATCTACTAGGAACATTCATAGTGTTCAGTTTTCTGTGTGTATAAATGTAAGTTTTCTTTATTCTAGAGAAAATTTCTGGGAATGAGAATGTGGATTATTTGGTAAATGTGTGTTTAGTTTTGTTAGGAATAATGCTCAAAATCCTATGGAAATTGAACACTCGAACAAACGATTCTTAGCAAAGCAATTTTACTTCTGCGCAGAGGGGTGCCTCCTTGGCCACTTGCCATGGGAGCACACCTGAACAAAGGGGCACGAGAGCCTTTATTCCTGACGCAAGTTCTGCCCCTGTGCCGTTTCCCCATTGGCCGGAGTCAGGTCGTACAATCTAAACTAATCCCTGTTGGCTAAACGTTTGATTTTTTTTGGATAGGGTGGACACGTAAAAGAAAGTGGAGAGGAGGGGGAAGGGGTGTCTGTAATGAGCTAGAAAGTTAGTCCTCTTTCCAAGTAAGGAAAGGAATGTGAGCTGGTATTGATAACACCTGGTACTGAGGCGTGCCTGGGCATCTAACAAGGCAAAAAGGAAAAAGGAGAAAAAGGCGGGGCGGTACTACGAATTAAAGAATAAAAGATTGATCAGATTACTTGAAGAAAAACCTCATCATATCCGTTTCATAAGAAACTTCAAAACGTGTGTGTGTGTGTGTGTGTGTGTGTGTGTGTGTGTGTTTGTGTGTTTGTTTCCAGAGTGGCTCTATAGTTAAAAGGGTTCCTTCAGGACTTTGGAATATAGAGTGAGATTTTTACTTTTATTTTTATTTGTCTATTCTCACTGACATTTCTAAATTGTGGGCTGCTCTAGGACCCAGGGCAGAATAGATACAAATATTACTGAAGACACTGTCCACGGAACCACCCCTAGACAGTTCATCTTCCATTTATTTTTTAGACTATTCTGATAGTTGCTTTATGTGTTATACTCAGAGTTTTAGTTGTAATTAGTGGGAGAGGTCTGGTGGAATGTGCTTACTCCATCTTGACTGGAATCAAAATCATCAGCCAAGACCATTTATGTTTAATACCCATGCATCTTGAGAAACTCTTGCATTTTAGAAAGTCAATCCAATCATGGTGAGAGCAAACTGGTGGTAGCCACTCTATACCTCAGTTTCTGAGAAGGAAACATGTTTCTAGCAACATATGTGTTCCAATGTCTCACATTACAGGAGGATTCTATGTTAGCAGCACTGAGCACTATGTGAGTGTATCAAGGGCAGAATAGGATTTACTTTAAGAATGAAAACAAACTTCCACATGGCTGTCTTTTTTCAGCTCTGTACAAATTCACAATTTAAAATCCCATTTAATTGAACTGAGAAAGCGCCAGCCTCCCCACCCACATGCCCAAAAGCCATTCTGCTCACACTTTCTTGTTTGGAGCACTATACTTTTATCCCCTGCTTTGAAGGAACTCACAGGACATCTGTCAAATAACCCCACAGAAGCTTTACACCAGGGTGTTGAAAATATTCTTTTTAAAGAATCTGTTCCAAAGCCACAACATTTTAAAATTAGCATCAGTAACTCACAGTGCATTGCCATTAATATCGATTAGTAGAGTTTAATTTGTTAAGGTCTCACATTAGCTCCTAATGACTATATATTAACTAAAAGCTAGTAATTTATGCACACTGATGTACCAGACACTGATCTCTTTTATAACTATAATTTATTCCTAGTAGTTTTATAACAAGGTAGTTATTTGATATAATTACTTATATATAATACACACAAATACTGGTGTTGATTATAATTATTACATGAGAAATAAAAATAAATTTGCTTGAGTTTCATAAAAGACATGTATATAATAATGTTAAGAGGACTCTACCAAAACAAAATTAAATGCTTTTTCAAAATAAATTATAGACAAATTGAGATCACCCCATACATCTAAATGTATGTTTATGTTTGTCTTTATCTTACTGAAGTTATACATCATCATTCATGTGTTAAAACAGCATGAAGGACGAGGAATAGTTTGGCTTTCCAAGAGCTGAAAGGAACATATTTCTTTGGGAACAAGAAAGAAAAGCATTGGTTGAGGATATACCAGTTGCTTATGTGATATTCTTTTTCAAGCACTTATGTCAGTATAATGTTACGGCTTACAGAAGTCAAAGAAGATATTAAAGATCCCATGAAACTGTTCCAAAGAGGTCAGTCTACTAATGTGCAGTTAGGTAATAACAATGAGGTTTACCACGGAATAAAATCCATAAGTAGTCTCTTTGCTTGTTTGAATCCATAATGCAGCCAACTTGAATATGAAAGGTTTTGCTCTATCAAAGATCATGTTTACATGTTTATTTTACGTGAAAATCACATACTATGTCACATTTCTCCTCTAGTAGTACTCTGTGAGTATATCCTTCTCTAACGCAACGAAGCAGAAAAGAGAAGATTTGATCCAGTGTACAAGGAACTTATCCACAATGTTCCAACTGAATTCAATGGATACTTCAGAAAATCCTTGAATGTGACTTTAAAAGGTTTTCTCTCTCTCTAAAAGGAAAATTATTGATGCTATGGAGCTAGAAGCAGAGATTACAGAAGCTCATCCATCACTTTGACATCTCTCTTTACAGAATAAGAGAGGGTTATGTAAACTTGTGCACACACATACATATTTACACACATACTGTAGGTAAAATTTCACTTATGAAACAACAAATATCTAGAAAATGATAATTTTTAATTAACCAAACATACAAATAATAACTTTTTCTGTGAATAGTCAAAAATGAGTTAAAATCAACACTGGCTAGAACCTAACCATTGTGATCTCAAGCTATTTAAAGAATGATTCATCTTGTGGATAAGTCTAGAAATAAAACACTAATGATGTGATAGTGATTAGCCAGCTACTATTATGTTTGGATCTCTGCCTTCATGGTAATTGAAAATATTGTTCTTTCTTGATGCTTATAAGTTAAACATGGTCATCATATGTCTTGCTGTTGTTAATGAAATGTAAGTGGAAGTGACAAGTGTTGCTTCTAGACAGAAGCACTAAATTGCTGGTGCTAAACTTTTCTTCCTGTAATTCAGCAATATTGAAAAAGTATATTGATATAGAAGGGCAGTGCTAAATAATCACATAGAACTTACAGAGTCATCCAAACCTGTAGAGGACTTTGTGTCAGGCAGGAATAAGCCTTTATTATTTTTAAGCCACTTAGATTTTTGAAATTTCTTGTTACTGAAGCAAAACCTATCCTATCCTGACTAAGCCTATTGACAGTGTGGAAATAAGAGGATTAGCATTTATTGAGTGAGCCTAGTACCGTGTAAGAGGTTTTCAAAAGATTAGTACATTACTCTTCATAATAATCTATATAAGGTTAATATTATCCCCATTTCAAGAATGGATTTTCAAAACAAATTTGTCACATGTGCCATTAACTGCAGTGACACACTCTCCAACTTCATTTTTGATAAGTTCCATCAATGGGGTGGATGATGTGGTTTTACACTTTGTAATTAAAAAAAAAACTGCCTGAATAATCAATGACCATCCTTATTCCCTACAATTCTCTATTTAACTTCTCTAAATTTGCAAAGAAGTGGGTTATCTCAAGATAAATATATAAGTCTACTTCCATCCTCATATTTGTTGTTTTTATCTGAACCTGTTGCTAATTATTGGAAATATACAAGAAATATACGTGATTCACAAAGACAAACAGATCCAAGTAAATAACACGTCTTGCATCTACCCAGTAATCTCACATATTCAACTCAAGTTTATGGAAAGGGCAATATGTTATACTGGTTAGGCACTGGCTGCTGTGCTCAGAATAGCTGTTTCTAATCCAGACAGCCATGTACTCACTTTATGATTTCAGGCAAGCTTTCCAACTTCCCGATGTTTTGATTTCTTCACTTTGAGCAGTGATGCTGAATAAAGTTTGTGAGCAGGTTAAATAAGATAATCAATAGGAAGAGCTTAAAATGCAGCTTGAAATATAAGAAATGGCCTATATATTGAATATTATTATATACTGAAGGGAGAACAAAAATGACATAATATGATAACTTTTTTGAGTACTTGCAATATGCTAACAATAAGTTTAGCACTTTTTCTAAATTATATCACTACATTTTCATAACTCTGAGACCTAGCTGTTCTTACACACAGCTTAAAGATGCGGTAACTTGCATTTTGAAATGGTAAGTAAGAATTTGATCGCTGTTCTAGTTGACTTTATCTCACCCCAGAGTCTATTTTTTACCCTATAGCAGTCCCCAGTGTGCATAAAAGAAAACAATAAGATACAGGCCCAGGGTCTCAAGAATGTTATCAGGCTGATGTTAAAACAAGAAAAAATAACATTACAATACATTATGTGCTACAAGATATGTAAAAATGAAGTGTTATGAGAGTTCTGAAGAATGACCTTGACTCTGAATGAAGCAGATGGTTTCATGTAGAAAGAATTTGGAATTTTAGCAAGCTTAGAAGATAGGTGGAATTTTGACAGGTGCAAAGGATGCAAGAACATTGCTGGAAAAAGGAACAGCAAGAAAAAGTATATTGCAAAAAATGTACAGCACATATTAAAAATAAAGCTAGGAGACTTGAATTTGCGAAAGCATTTTCAAAGTAAGTGTGACTACAATTTTTCTCAGTAAACGATGACATAATTCCTATAAGCGACTATATTTGTTGTCTATTAGTGTGTAATCCAGATGTTAGTAGCTTAAAACAAATGTTTCTTTTTAACATTTTCTACAGGTCAGGAATTTGGAGAGACTTAGTTGGGAGATTTTGGCATAAGGTCTCTCATGAGATTGCAGTCAAGTTGTGGGTCTGTGCTGCAGTTATCTAAAGACTTGACTGGGATTACAGGGTATATTCTCAAATTGGGTCACGTAACCTGTTATCAGGATGCCACAATCTCTTGCCACATGGGCCTCTGCAGTGGGCTGTTTGAGTGTCCTCACAACATGACAGCTGGATCCCCTTAGATTGGGTGATTCAAGAGACAGCAAAGTGGAAGTCTCAATGTTTTCTTCTTATCTAGTCTCAAAAGTCACACACTGTTATTTCTTCAATATCCTCTTCAGCACTATTCTTTGTGGGAGGGAAATATCCCGAGGTGTGGATACTAGAAGTTGGAGTATCACTGAGGCCATCTCAGAAGCTGGCTACCACAGTTATCCATGATTTTAAAATAAAATCATGTGCCTTAGTTAAGCACAGATTATTATAAGAAACCAAGAAACTGTCAGAAATCATACTAAAAGGGTTACCTAACAAGGACATCTGTTCTCACAAACTCACCCAATAGACTGAGATCAGAAATATCTAGTCTTCTCTTTTACATATCTTTTTCTCAAATCACCTTTCTCACTAAAATTTTAAGTGATACAATTCTCCCGAATCATTATAAACAATTTGTGGTATGACATGCTACATGTCTTAGCCTAGCACTTTCTCAAATCACATTTATCCCAAATTATCTTTTGTTCAACACGAAGCACATGTGAAGGGTAGGAGCTCACCATGTTTATCAGGTACCAAATTAAACAGGAAAAGTTGTCAGAAGATTCATTTAAGGACAATCAAGACCCTTTGCTTGAAAGAAAGGAGAAAAAGCCAGTGCTGGTTCTTGGTGCCATTCTGTTGTGAAAACTAACTTATTAAATAGCCAGGTAATGAAAAGAGGCAAAAGTTAGACCTGTCTTTCCATAACCTAAAAAATTTGAAAATAAAGCAATCTGGCAGCTTTCACTTTATAGATTATTTTCTATTGCTCCAGTTTTAGTTAATGTTCTCAAACCATAGCTGTTTCCTACTGCTTTATCTGGCCTCTCGCTTTTATTGGTCCCAAGTTCAATCAAATGAACTGCTGAAAGTGAAATCTTGAACAAGCTCATCTGCTGAACAATGAACTCAAAACAAGCCTAGAGCAGCAAACGGGATTTTAATTGCCTACGGCTATTTCTCTAGTGCCTTGCTCTCTAGGTGTCTGTGTGACAAGAGGCCTCAAAGAATTCAGAATTGTGGGACAAAATGCATAAGCACAAACGGTAATCATCCATGACCTTGATCTTGCTTGCATGTCTTTTCTAGTCCAGGTAATGCTACTTAACACAGTCTCCTAGAGGTATTAAGAGATTATAGACTGCCCTCACTTCAGAGAGCTCTTGAAAAGGCAGAGGGGAAAAATAATTACATTATCCTTGCCATTATTAAGCACTTATTGAATGCCACCAGAGGGCTAGGCATTATAACAGAGTATCCATTTTGCACTCATTAGGAAATGCATATGCCTTTTACTTAGAAGTATATTAACACCATTGTTCTTTCTGTCACTTTTACTCTCATTTCCTATTGAATCTTTTGGGACATCTTAGGTAGTAAAGACTCATTTGGATTGTCTTTCTAGAATGAACTTTCATCCTCCTTGCCTGTTTATCCCAGTTGGGAAATATGTCTATTCCCAGAAATGATCTCCCTCCTCAGCCATTTCTATATTGTCAGAGGGCAAGGATTCAATTCATTTCCAAATAGTTGAATGGAAAGAGTAAAAAGTAGCAGAGACGAATAACTATTTACAGCACTTGCTTCTGCTTGGCCTCTAAAGCAGTTAATATTTCAAGGGAGCCAGTATGGATCCTTTAATGGACCAGGTACTTTTGTATGAAGTACTTATATACACAATGCTGGCCTGAAGTGGTAGCTCATGCCTGTAATCTCAGCACTTTGGGAGGTCAAGCCAGGAGAATCTCTTGAGGCCAGGAGTTCAAGATCAGCCTTAGCAAAATAGTGAAATTCCATCTCTACAAAAAGAAAATCAAAAAATTAGCCAGGTATGCTGGTGTGTACTTGTAGTCCCAGCTACTTGAGAAGTTGAGGCAGGAGGACTGTTTGAGCCCAGAAGGTCGAAGCTGCAGTGATCCATGATCGTGCCACTGTACTGCCACCTGGGCAATGGAGTGAAAATTTCTCTCATCATTCCTCACTGTTTTCCAAGTGTTTGGCATTAAGCATGTTTTACCTTTGTAATTTAAAAAGCAATAAATATTATTAAATATGATTATGTACACGTAATGCCAGTGAGGTGGAAAAATGCTCCTACGTTGCAGATGATGAACTTGAGATATAGCTATTTAGAAACTTTCCCAAGACTATGTCAGCAGTAAATAATGAAGGCAATTTTAACCTCTATTGTCTAGCATAAAGAGTAGACTATTTCCAGTTTTCAAAACTAGTAGAAATATAGCAAAAGAAAAAAAATAGATAATTAAAAAGTTTCTACCTGTAATGTTAATATTGAAGACCATGAACACTGTATGTATGTATATGATTCTGAATTTGTAACGACTAAAATGGGGTGTGTTTATTTCTTTATGAATATTATAATTATTGAGAACAAGGGAACTTCCTAACACATATACAATGATACAACACATCATGAGGTGTGACAGGGCTCACTATCTGAGGATAAATGTATATAAAGCCTAATTACTTCTTAGGTTTATATGAATTTCAAACTCTAAAAGAATACTCTCAATTTTTTTTTTACTTTTTTGTTTGAAAGAATGTAACTTTAAAATCATTTTAGATGACAAAAATAATTATTCAAGCATGATAAGCATTCTCTCCTTTAAATATGCACTTGTAATAGTTGTCCCAACATTTTTACCAACTCAGAATAAGATGCCCACATATTTATTCTTTTGTATTTAATATTATATTATATACTACAAAAATATACATAACTAGCTTTCACAATTATTTATTTATGTAACTGCATGATATGTCATTGAACAGCTTACTAAAATTGACTTTACCATTATTTAACTATTTTACACTTAAATATACTGTGCTTTGCAATTATGAATATTGTTGAAATAAATATCAATTGGCATATATTTCTTTCTTTTAAATTTTTTTCTTAGGACGTATTTCTAAGAATAGACAAGAGATAAGAGTATTTATTTTACATGATCATATTTAATAATGTTTATTGCTTTCTTTAGTTACAAAGGTAACACATGCTCAAAGTCAAACATTTGAAAAACACTGAAGAATTAAAAAAAATTAAACTATTCATTGTAGTATATCCTGATGTTTTTCCTCTCTAGTGTTCTTTCCTACCTTTGTTTCTACCTAATCTGGGGTGAGGAGAAATGGCTTTTACAACACTTACTGCATATGCTTCAGATGGGCTCAACTCTCAGCTTCCGAGACACAGCATGTAACCCAAGCTGATGAATCAACAGGATACATGGTCCCTAAACCATTCTGATAAGCTCAGGGGCAGGAACTAGTGGTTCATGCAAAGTGAATCCTGGAATTTATGTCAAAGCTACTGGAAAGAGATGCTTTTCTTTTTCTTTGTCCCTGGATTTAATCACAAGAAGACAGAAACTTGAAGCTACCAGGGACTATCATATGCAACTTAAGGAACAAGAGACGAGAAACAAAAAACCCACATAGCAGAAATAGAGCTGAATACTGAAGAGAAATAAAATTATTCTCACATTGTTTCAATGCCTGGATCAATCTCTGCTAGGAAACAGACTTATCTCTGGACTTTTTAGTTACATAGGGAAATTAAATATTCTTTTTGGTTAAGTTCTTTTGAGTTGAGTTCTGTAACATGCAGTGTGAATTCTGACAAATAGACCCTTTATTTCACAATCAAAGGAATAATCACCATTGGCATCTTAGAGCATATGCTGCCTGTCTCTTTTTAAATACACATAACAATGTTTATCATGCTATCTATTTTATATCTTAGAGTCCTAAGTAGAATAAACCACAAATCGCAAATATTTTAAAGTATAATTATTGACCTTTTGTGTATTATAATCAACTATAGGGTAGTCTAAGGTATGAATGTTCTGCAATTTGCATAACCAATTCTCTATTATTAGATATTTATGATACTAACACATCTTCACTGTTGAAAGTGTGATTAATACATAAATACATACATGTCATTTCTTATTATTCCTTTTAATGCACTTTTCTAGAAATAAATTTGTTCCTTAAAAATGTATAAATATATTTGTTACATAAGATTTTGTGTCTTTGATGGCTTTGTGTTATATATACATATACATATACATATATTTTTCATTGCAAGGCTTTTATTTTGAAATCTTTCTCTCACATTAAAATTGCCAACTCTGTTTTCCTTTCCCAATATTTTTGTTTATCCTTTTGTTTCAATATTCCTGAACAATTTTATTTTAAGTAACTTTCCTGTAATTAGCAGAGTTAGATTTCATTTCTGACCTACTTGGAGAGTCCTAGATTTTTACCAGAAGAATAAAATTCATTTTGCATTGTTACAAACAATATTCTTACTTTTATTTTTATCATCCTATTTTACTGGTTTTCCTATTTCATATTTTTATATTTTTTGGCTTGATTTTTTTCCCATTTCTTCTGTGTTTGCTACATTAACTCTGGTGTCTTTCTTGTTCTTAAACTAGTCATTTGGAAGCCATGATTAGTGCCTTAAATTCTGGTAGTAAAGACTTAGAGGTTTTAAACAAAATCATTGGACTAAAATTTCTCTAATAGCAACAATATTAATGATAAGAAAGCCCATTTTAACCTTACCTTACATAAAGTCAGGCAATTAAATCATTTTTACTTACTATTTAACTCTGACCTTGCAGCTTTTATTGTTATATATCATATTTTTTCTGTATTTTATTGTCAAATTCTTAGTTTATTCTACATCTTAATTTCCAGAAATTATTGCTGACATTTTTATTGTTTTATAACTGTATTCATAATTACTTAGATGGTTACTATTTCTTTCATAGTTGTTTCTATATCTTTCAGACAATTTTTTAATTTGTATTTTTATTTGTATTTATTTTTTTCTTGAATAAAGTATATCTTTAATTGCATAGGTGATGTCCTTTCTTTATCTGGAGTCACACACGATTATTTGACTTTCATAAGTAAAATATTTAGAAATTGTGATCTTTGTTTAATTCAAATTCTGTAAACATTGATCAATTATTTTCTGTCAGATACAAAGTGTTAACTTTATTCCTTCAATAGTTATTTCATTTTCCTTCTGGATGTTTGAAGAAATTCTAATTCATCCTTGAAATTCAAATATATCACAAGTTTGGGTCATAATATTTATCACTGACCTTTTCTCTGTTTACTGTGAATCTACTTAATATGCAGTTCTACCATTCCATAAGTCAGAAAAGTTTTCTTCCATTAATACTAACCATGGATGCAGGCCCATTTGTTCTAATGTCTTTTTCAAGAATAGAATTAGAGGTATTTGTCTTTATATTGGTTGTTGTTAAGCATTATTTTCTGATAGCTAGTTGTCCTTTGTCCTTCTCTTTTGTGTTTTGGAATAGTTTCTTGCTTGTTCTCTACCTCTCTGAGTTTATTTTTTTAATGCCAATTGTTGATTTTAACTAATGTCGTCCTAATTCCACTATAGCTTGATTTATTCCTCTAATATTCATAATTAACTTCTGATAGTCCCTTTTAGTTTTACTCTATAATCTTACCTCATCTTAGATATCTTTCAAAGTTTTTATTTTCAATTTAATATAGTTTATAAAGGAGAAGATACAATCTGAAATACCTGATTTTAACATAACATATCATATGTTAAAGTTTATTTCCGTATACTTTGAGGGATTCTGTATATTTACATAATTTATATTACACTTTCATCATAGATTCCATTTTTGAAATTCTAGTCATTAATCCTGAAAGACGATATATATCTTTAAATTTTTTGAGACAGGGTCTCACTGTTGCCCAGGCGAATTATATCTTGCTATTTAATTTTCAGAAAAATGATGTGTACAGATCCTTTTGTGGATCCTGTCACTGATCAACTGTGCGATACTAGAATTCTCATCTCAAATATGAAGTTTAATCATCAGATTAAAACTTTTCACAGAACTTCTAAGTGACCAGTAACATAAAGGGAAGAGAAGCGTACAGGTTACAGATATTATTTTGAATACTAATAAAATTCTACATTGGGACTATTTTTTTGCAACCTCTTTTCTCTCTTGACTTCCATTTAGGTAAATAGATTCAGATTCCTCACTTATTTTCTATTGAAAAATTAGAAAAGTATCTTACATCAAGAATTGGCTTTAAATATCAAGGAAAATTTGAATCACAGACAAGCCAAAGCAATGGCTGACTTTGTGTATATTTTGCCTCTATTTGCACTTAAAGACTACTCCTGCATCTACCTGTAAAAGTAGCAGCAAATGATATTAAACCAGATAGGTCAATATTTGTACAAATTTTCTCCCAATTTTTTCAATTATTTTCTGTTATCTTTTTTTAATTGACAAGTAAAAATTATATATACTTAGAGTTTACAACAGGTTTTGATATATGTGTACATTGTGGAACGGATAAATCAAGCTATTTAAAATCTGAATTGCCTCACATATTTATTTATTTACTTTGGTGAGAACACTTGAAAGCTGCTCTGTTAGAAATTTTTAAGTATACAATATACTGTTAACTGTGGTCACCATAATGTACAATAGAGCTCTTTAACTTATTTCTACTCCTTAACTAAAATTTTGCGTCCTTTGACCAACATCTCTCTAATCCCTCTACACCTTCATTCTCTAATTCTGTGAGTTTGACTTTTTGCATTCCATATATGAGATCATGTGGCATTTGTCTTTCTGTGCCTGGCCTGTTTCACTTAAAATAATGTCCACTAAGTTCATCCACATTGTCACAAATAAGAGCATTTTCTTCTTCTTCTTCTCCTTCTCCGTCGTCTTCTTCTCCTTTTTTTTTTTTTTTCCAGTACAGATGGGGTTTTGCTCTTGAACTCCCGGCCTCAAGTAATCCTCCCACCTTGGCTGCCCAAAATGCTGGGATTACAGGCATGAGCCCCCACGACTGGCCTAGATTTCCTTCTTTTTTAAGGTTGAATAATATGATATGTAATGATATATAGCACAATTGTATTATAATTATATAATGTATATTTTTAATAAAAGTATAATAATGTGTTGTATACATATCACATTTTTTATGCATTCTTCCATCAGGGCACACTTAGGTTAACTCCATATCTCGGCTATTGTAAATGACAATACACTGATTATGGGAGTGCAGTTGTCTCTTCAACATGCTGATTTCATCGCCTGTGGACATATACCCAGTAGTAGGATTGCTGGATCATATGGTATCTTATTTTTAATTTTTTGAGGAACCTCCATACATGTTTTCATAATCGCTGTGCCAATTTACATTCTCTCCCACAGTGTACCAAGGTTTCCCTTTTCTCCACATCCTCACCAACACTTGTTATCTTTCAACTTTGTGATAATAATCATTCTAACATGTAAGATGATACCTCATTGTGGTTTGATTTGCATTTCCCTGATGATTGGAGATGTTGAACACATTTTAAATATATGTATTGACTGTGTGTATGTCTTCTTTTTAGAAATGTTTATTTGGGTACTTTGACCATTTTTTAATTTTTTTTTTTACTATTGAGGTGAGTTATTTATATATTTTGATATGAACCCCATATCAAATATCTGGTTTACAAATACACTCTCCCATTGTACACCTATGTTCCATTTCCAAGCTACTGACACTATATTTCTGTTAGCAAGTATAGTACACCTTCAAAATGATAAGAAAAGTGCTGGTGTACTGTTTAATTCTAAGTTACAAGAATGGTTCCAGTATAGCATCTTGTTTTTAACATACTCTAAATCCTTTGTGTTCTAGGCAACTGATTTTTCCTATCCTGTTCTACATAAGGAATGAAGGTTATGTTTGGCAAGATGATGACTAAATTTTGTTGTTTTTCTGGAGGAAAACAGATCCCTACCCCCTCCCCACTAAATTCTATTGTTACATTCATTCTTTCTACCTGCACACACAAAGATAAATGAATGACCAGCAAACCCATACACTGGCTGAATGTGATAACCAACTTCATTTAAAGAAGAGTTGAGTTTTAAATCAGGATTTTCACATATCTTACTTTTTAAGGAATTACCCCTCTCTCTTCCTAGAACTTACCTGGATCTGATTGGACTTGAAAAATAAATTTCTGTCTACCTCCTTCGTTCCCTTAATTTGCAAAGTGGCATCTGGGTGGAAAATGGGTTTAGGGAATATCTCAAATTTACTGATTGCTAAACTGTATAAAATTGGGTAAGTACTTAATTTTACTAAAGCATAAAAGATATATATATATATATATATATGCTTTATAAGGATTTTGTGGTAATTAGTTGATATGAAGCATGCAATAAAGTATAGCACAGTTTCTACAACTTATTCTGTGTTTAATAAAGGTCAGTTTCCTGTCCCTTCAAGTTTTTCCAAGTTTTTGTTGTTTCTTTATTTGCTGTTTTGTTTTAACTTTAACCTTTCTTAAAAACTTGAGGGTTTAAAACATCCTCTGCAATTTCACAACAACCAGATGTAAACCAGAACTAAAAGTGGAGCTTGAATTAAAATCTCTGCATACTTACAATAACAAGATAATATTCCCTGCATTCCACATGTTGGAGATTTATTTTGCAAATTTGAAGCCTCTATTATATTTGTTGCTTAATTGTTAAGGTTGGTTTGAATTATATACATGTTAACTCTCTTCATATAAAAATTATCATTTGATAATAGAATGTATGTTTGTCTCCAAATGTTTTGGCCTTTTTAAATATTGGTTTGATCATAAATTGGAGATCTATGTTATTCACTGATAGTACAAATTAATAGTGGGTGAACGAGTAAATAACTATTCTACACATGATGGTTTGGGGTTATTTTTGGAAGCTAATTTATGAACTTTTGACTGTAATTCTAAAATCTTGACTTTTCAGAAGGAACTAGACCTCAGAAATCTACTCTATTTAAAATATGCTATTTGATAAGTAAAAGACAACAATACACAATAATACAACCTACCTGATCTAGTAACGACTCTATCGTTTATACATTTAATCATCACAATGAATTTGTGAGGTTGGTCCAATTATTGTTTCAATTGGTAGATGATGACACTGATATACAGAAATCACAAGTAACTTGCCTGGAGTCCCACAGTCAGTAAAGGATAGGGTTTGAATAACACACCTCTCTCAATTAAACACATACCCAAATATTTGAAGGGAAAGTTTGTTCTAGAATAATGGTATGAGGACACATTGTTCTTTCGTACATAGGGGTCCTGACTTTTTATATAAATTCCTAAATAATAAGAAGGACTAGAAGCTAATACACAGCATTGGATGAAAGCTTGAATGCAAAATAGTCAACTTTATTCATCAATACTTATTTAAAATCTCACTGCTGCTGTCAAGAGCTGGTAAAGCAGAGGTTGGTGTATATACGCTGTCTCTAACTGGGATACATCAAGAACTGTCCCTGATTACATAAATAAATGGAGTAATTGAGCTCACGCTGCATGTGGAAAGTCATGTTCCTAGCAATTATTCCTCTTTGGGAAGATAAGTTTATTTATCAATGTCTACTTGCTACACAGTTCAAATAAATCTTTTTCTAAGTGAAGCATTTGACTTGCAGTCCATGACTATCTGGAAAACATGACCATTCAACCCAATCTGAGATTTACACCTTAGCTCAAAACAGGCTCAAGTGCAACATGCAACTTGCTGGCTGACAATGTGTTGATGTTTAATTTGACATTAAAATCAATTATTGGGAAAGGGGAGCAACAGCACCATTAGGGAAATTGCTGCTGATTTTATATTCTGTCACATCAAAGTGAACTGGAGATTAATATTCTCATATTTTATTGTTAAAACATTTTAATTTCTTTTAAGTGTGTATTTCAGGTTGTGAATCCTTCATGAGAACCCAGCTCAGTCGTTCCAATTTGCATATGAAAGCTACAATATTGTGACACTTACCTGTCAGCAGGTACTTTAGCCCGTTGAAGGTATTCACCTGCCAAAAGTTCTTTAATGTTGGAATCTAACTGAAGAATTCAGAAAATATAAAATACATAAATAATATGCCTAATGCTTATTTAAAGCCTCTCCCAGATTTGCTGATTTTCTGATTATAGAAAGAAAGAAAGGCTATTTTCACTTTCTGGAACGACTGAAGAAAGCATTCAACTTTGTTGAGCCTAAATTTGTGGATAACTGTTGAACCTTCCCATATGGGATATATTTAAATACTCTCCGAGCCTGTTGTATTCTGCTCTTTTATTTTCAGAAGAAGGAATTTCCAGCCAAAAGCAGACTCTGTGCCCTAACAAAGAATGTACTGGGTGTACTGGGCTGAACAATATAAAAATGAACCTGAAGTACTATTATTATCTCTTTTCTTTGCCCATATCTGAATTCTTCAGACTAAAGGGTTGCAGAGAACAACGATAGTAGCCTAAAATTTCCAGGGATTAATCCAAAGTTTATTGAAGAAACCTCATCCAAAGAAAACCAGCTTCTCCCAGTTTATAATGCCCTCCTTCTACTGAGGGACCCCATTGACAGGTACACATTTGTAAATATGAAGAACTGGAAACGGATGTACACCTCTGCATTAGTTTTTTTCTTTTTTTCCTTCTTCATGGCTTAGCTGTAAGAATAATTCACCTTTAAGCTTTCCTCCCTCTGATGTTCTCCAGCCTTTTTCACTAAGTAGATTTCAGCCTTTTGGGGTCAAGAGGTTTTTGTACAAATAGACATTCTGATAGTCATGCACATATCCATTCATTTATTCCTTCCACAAACTTCTACTGTGATAGTAAAGCAATAAAAATAATAAATATTGGAGTCAGACTTATGTGATTGTGACCATTTATCAGCTGTGTAAACAAAGGCAAATTACCTGACAACATGATTGTCTACAACTTCTGCTGCAGAATGAAAATATATTGTAAAGATTAAAGGGTACTGTATGTGGCAAGTGCCTAGTATACTGATTGTCTTGACCACAATATGTGTTCTTCAATAGCATCTCTAAAATTAGAGGAAGATTTGCACAGCAGAGAGAAAAGGAAAAAGTTTTAGTCAAAGAAATTGAGTTCAACTTCTGTTTTGCCACTAGACTGTAAATTTGGTAAAATAATCTCTCAGGCTTATTTTTTAAATAACCTTAACAATAATATCTATCTCAAAAAATTATTGAGATATTTACATGAGATGATGACAGATTAATCATTTAGCACTGTTCTTCTCACAGAGTGGTTACATAAATAATGATACATATTAAAGATTATTTTTATTTCTAATAACATGTGATGGTGATAGACTAAGTAAACAGGGATGAACACGTTGTAAGGCCCAAAACAAAGATATAACAAAGAGCTGTGAGAACATCTCACTCTGCCAGGAAAAATATAAAAATGCTTGCAATGAGCTAGAGTTTAAGCATAACCAAGTAACTTTGAACCATTCAGCCTACAGAGAAACTTGGACTCCCGATGAGATATCCCCAAACTTTACTGAGATTGGAGAGGACAGGCATTGCAAAATGCAGTGCAACTTAATAAATGTTTATTTTCTGTGTGATCTAGCCCCTGTTGTAGGTGCTATGAATATAAAGATGCATGCAACTAATCTCATTCCCCTAAAATATGCTACAGTGGCCAATTAGAGATTCTAGAACACTGATTAGAGAGTTATTAATTCTGTTGATTTGTGGGAGGTGAGAAAACAGTACAAAGAGATGGAATTTGGAGATCAGATGAACAAGTGTACACAAATTGGACAATGAAAGAAAGGATGTTATCAGTGGACAAAAGAGTCAAAAACTGAAGTAATGCAGATGTCATGGTATGTACAGGAAATATATAAGAATATATAACTTACTAAGATTTTGGATTTTATACTCCATGTAAGAAGGTCTTTGTGCATAAAAATTCCAGGTTTAGAATTGTGTTTTCATAAGATGGTTCTGGGGTAGTAAATTAGGAAAGGAGAATTAGAAAATGTGGGACATTTGTTTCTTAAGTTATTTTTTGCTAAATATGCCAGGCAGGTGTTAGGGATTCAATAATAAACAATAGGGTCAAGGTTTTGATCATCTGCCTATGGCAACAGAAGGGTTAAGAATGATAGTGAGTTTTTGGAGTATTTGTTGTTTGTTTGTTTGTTTGTTTGTTTGTTTGTTTTAGACTGCGGCATGCTTCTTTAGAAAAGTGCTTTTCCCAGGCAGAGACACAACAAAAAAAGAGAATTTTAGACCAATATCCTTGATGAACATTGATGCAAAAATCCTCAATAAAATACTGGCAAAACGAATCCAGCAGCACATCAAAAAGCTTATCCACCATGATCAAGTGGGCTTCATCCCTGGGATGCAAGGCTGGTTCAATATATGCAAATCAATAAATGTAATCCAGCATATAAACAGAGCCAAAGACAAAAACCACATGATTATCTCAATAGATGCAGAAAAAGCCTTCGACAAAATTCAACAACCCTTCATGCTAAAAACTCTCAATAAATTAGGTATTGATGGGATGTATCTCAAAATAATAAGTGCTATCTATGACAAACCCACAGCCAATATCATACTGAATGGGCAAAAACTGGAAGCATTCCCTTTGAAAACTGGCACAAGACAGGGATGCCCTCTCTCACCACTCCTATTCAACATAGTGTTGGAAGTTCTGGCCAGGGCAATTAGACAGGAGAAGGAAATAAAGTGTATTCAATTAGGAAAAGAGGAAGTCAAATTGTCCCTGTTTGCAGACGACCTGATTGTATATCTAGAAAACCCCATTGTCTCAGCCCAAAATCTCCCTAAGCTGATAAGCAACTTCAGCAAAGTCTCAGGATACAAAATCAATGTACAAAAATCACAAGCATTCTTATACACCAACAACAGACAAACAGAGAGCCAAATCATGAGTGAACTCCCATTCACAATTGCTTCAAAGAGAGTAAAATACCTAGGAATCCAACTTACAAGGGATGTAAAGGACCTCTTCAAGGAGAACTACAAACCACTGCTCAAGGAAATAAAAGAGGATACAAACAAATGGAAGAACATTCCATGCTCACGGGTAGGAAGAATCAATATCCTGAAAATGGCCATACTGCCCAAGGTAATTTACAGATTCAATGCCATCCCCATCAAGCTACCAATGCCTTTCTTCACAGAATTGGAAAAAACTACTTTAAAGTTCATATGGAACCAAAAAAGAGCCCGCATGGCCAAGTCAATCCTAAGCCAAAAGAACAAAGCTGGAGGCATCACACTACCTGACTTCAAACTATACTACAAGGCAACAGTAACCAAAACAGCATGGTACTGGTACCAAAACAGAGATATAGATCAATGGAACAGAACAGAGCCCTCAGAAATAACGCCACATATCTACAACTATCCGATCTTTGACAAACCTGAGAAAAACAAGCAATGGGGAAAGGATTCCCTATTTAATAAATGGTGCTGGGAAAACTGGCTAGCCATATGTAGAAAGCTGAAACTGGATCCCTTCCTTACACCTTACACAAAAATCAATTCAAGATGGATTAAAGACTTAAACGTAAGACCTAACACCATAAAAACCCTAGAAGAAAACCTAGGCATTACCATTCAGGACATAGGCATGGGCAAGGACTTCATGTCTAAAACACCAAAAGCAATGGCAACAAAGGACAAAATTGACAAATGGGATCTAATTAAACTAAAGAGCTTCTGCACAGCAAAAGAAACTACCATCAGAGTGAAAAGGCAACCTACAAAATGGGATAAAATTTTCACAACCTGCTCATCTGACAAAGGGCTAATATCCAGAATCTACAATGAACTCAAACAAATTTACAAGAAAAAAACAAACAACCCCATCAAAAAGTGGGCGAAGGACATGAACAGACACTTCTCAAAAGAAGACATTTATGCAGCCGAAAAACACATGAAAAAATGCTCACTATCACTGGCCATCAGAGAAATGCAAATCAAAACCACAATGAGATACCATCTCACACCAGTTAGAATGGCAATCATTCAAAAGTCAGGAAACAACAGGTGCTGGAGAGGATGTGGAGAAATAGGAACACTTTTACACTGTTGGTGGGACTGTAAACTAGTTCAACCATTGTGGAAGTCAGTGTGGCGATTCCTCAGGGATCTAGAACTAGAAATACCATTTGACCCAGCCATCCCATTACTGGGTATATACCCAAAGGAATATAAATCATGCTGCTATAAAGACACATGCACACGTATGTTTATTGTGGCATTATTCATGATAGCAAAGACTTGGAACCAACCCAAATGTCCAACAATGATAGACTGGATTAAGAAAATGTGGCACATATACACCATGGAATACTATGCAGCCATAAAAAATGATGAGTTCATGTCCTTTGTAGGGACATGGATGAAATTGGAAATCATCATTCTCAGTAAACTATCGCAAGAACAAAAAACCAAACACCGCATATTCTCACTCATAGGTGGGAATTGAACAATGAGATCACATGGACACAGGAAGGGGAACATCACACTCTGGGGAATGTTGTGGGGTGGGGGGAGGGGGGAGGGAGAGCATTGGGAGATATACCTAATGCTAGATGACGATTTAGTGGGTGCAGCGCACCAGCATGGCACATGTATACATATGTAATTAACCTGCACATTGTGCACATGTACCCTAAAACTTAAAGTATAATAAAAAAATTAAATAAATAAATAAATAAATAAATAAATAAAAAGAAAAGTGCTTTTCAAACTTTCCCATTAAAATACCCACAAAGGCAAAGGAAATTTAATACACAACCTCACAGGGATTGCTGTGAGGAAGAAATAGAATAATATCATAAAATACTTGGCCCGTGTTAGATGTTTGTCTTGTTATTGTTCTTAATGTCCTTGTTAAAATAATAAAATATAGACACATGGAACTCAGAAGCATCTTTTTCCTTACTATTCCTATTCTCCTATCATTGAGTCTCTCCCTGGCTCTCCAGTCTTTTAACTCTATACTTACACTCTTAATTTTTGCCCTTGGCCCTTCTCTATTTAGCTATAGTTCTGATTGGTTTCTGTGTGACTTCAGACCTTCTCACTTCATTCTCAAATCAACATCATTCCTGGACATCACCATCATTTTCAAATGCTGGTAAGTAAGACACAACCCTTCCAAATGCTACTGAGACCTTTCACTTAGCCCACAATCAGAGCAGAGATTTGGACCATTTTTACCCTTCCATTTGTAACTGTTCTCACCTTGAAACTGTTAAACACCCTGGTCCAATACAGAATTATTTTAAATATTTAAATATACAAGTTGACTAATGTCTTATAGTCAGAGATTCTTTTTTTTTTTTTTTTTTGAGACAGAGCCTCGCTATGTCGCCCAGACTGTAGTGCAGTGGCACAATCTTGGCTCACTGTAGCCTCCACCTCCCAGGTTGCAGCAATTCTCCTGCCTCAGCCTCCCAGGTAGCTGGGATTACAGGTACATGCTACCATGCCCGGCTAATTTTTATATTTTTAGTACAGATGAGGTTTCACCATGTTGGCCAGGGTTGTCTCGAACTTCTGATCTCAGGTGATCTGCCTGTCTCAGCCTCCCAAAATGCTAGGATTACAGGCATGAGTCACCGCGTATGGCCCAGAGTTTCTTAAGTAAGATTTGATACTTATGCTCAGTGGAAGCAAGGGTCCATGCAAACAAATTATAATCAGCTTAATGTCAATTATCCATTAATTATTGGACCATTTTAATATGTAATTAATTGAATTGATAACACATTGATATTGTTAAACATTTTAAAGGTACAAAAGAGTATACAGAAAAATGTCCATCTCCACTCGAGTCCATTCCAGCCATCCAACATCCACTCTTTTCCAAGGGTGTTTGAGGTGGGGGCAGGGAAATATTGTCAGTTCCTCTACTGTTCTTTTAGGATAGTTTATGCATGCAGGAGCAAACACAATATGAACTATTTTACTTTGATAAAATACATACAGAACTGTGTAGACTTTGTTTATTGCCTTGCTTTTTCACATAATACTGTACCTTGAAAATTGTCTTCAAACACCTTTTTTTCTTACTTTTTTTTACAGCTGCACAATGTTCTATTTTATGTGTGTATCATAAATATAACAGTTGAGTTATGTTTAGGTACTGCTATATTCAGGCAGTTGAAAAAAAAATTGAAAGTTTTACCAATAGTCCTTTTTGGGCCCTAAGCTGACAGATGTTATTTGAGGTGAAAGAGCTCCAGAATGAGAAAACTTTCTATCTTCTCCTAAACACTGTGAGCAAGACAAGAAGTTCTGTAGGTTTTGTGTAGTTGAAGCTTACAGAAAATCAGGTTACAGTCCAACTACAACATACTCAAACTTGAATATGTTAAAATACCAACAGACTTGCCTATACCTTTACTAAAATGTGGCTTTTTTTCCCACAGAAATGATGTTTTAGGAATGTTTATCTTTACAATGTCAAACACAAATGACTGAAAATAGAATGCTACTGAATTTCACTTGCATCTGACTTTTTTTTGTCAAATGCTTCAGTATATCTGCTCACTACAGAATGCGTTTACACTACTGTGTCTACTTAAGATTTCTGATCATCTGTGTCTGCTGAAAAGGCTACAATGTAAATTATAATGACTGTAACTAAAATTAGTCTTTCTATGACACACACATAAAAAAACTTAACTATATATTTTCAAAAGCATTATTTAATTTAATTTCAACATATATGGTTTTTTTTCTATTCTTGGGCATTGTTTTCCAGGTTAATATTAAGTTGGATATATTAAGATTTACAAAAATCCCCAAATCTACAAACTCCAGATAGTTTTAACACTGTTAAATACAGTATCCATTTTATAGCTTCCAATTTTCTGGATTTCACAAC
Source organism: Homo sapiens (assembly GCF_000001405.40). NCBI lineage: Eukaryota > Metazoa > Chordata > Mammalia > Primates > Hominidae > Homo > Homo sapiens. The sequence goes on from NC_000009.12 coordinate 73,838,467, forward strand.
AGGATAGCTTTTTCATTAATTCTTTCCCTCCAGCTTATCTTCAACCATAATTCTGTTTTACTTAACTATATTTAAAAGAGCTCCTTCAGTACTAGGGTAAATGTCACCATTAAAAAAAAGAAAACAGCAATTTTCAAAGTGTGGCAAACTTTAAAAAAAAGTTCAAATATTCAAATGGCTTTTAATATTAATATTTAAATACCTTAAATTAGAAAGTACTTGAATAAATAAAATGTCACTTCTCCACCAGTATTCATAAGTAGATGCCTGTCGTTTCTATACCAAATTGATTAAATGGAGGTGGAGTGGACCTATGTCATTTAATTGAATCATTATGCTAACGGTCATCAGTATGGCCACGTTAATATATCTGTCCTAGGTAATTTGGAAATAAAATAGATTAATTCCCCTTAATTTCTTTACCATCACCACTTCTTACCACTACTTCCACTAAACAAACAAACATAAATGTACATGCACACATACATACAGCCCATTATGCTTCAGTAAAGTTTTACTGAATAAATAACTTTGGGTTGAGGAAAGGAAGCAAATATGAGGAACCTTCAGATGATAAATTATATTTGAAAATCAAACAGCCAAATTTTATAGGCCTTTTCTCTGTCTTGTAAACATTCTCATCCTGCATACTCATGGAGAGAAGTAATGGAGAGAAGTAATATGAAAGAGCAAACCTAGATTATTTGTGTAGTAAACTAAATAGTATATTCCCCAAAGCAAGCAAACAAATGGTAAAAAAAAGAAGTTGAGCTATTCTGCATTTATATAGAAAGAATTGCACAGATTTCTTTTTTCAGGAGAAATGACTTGTGAGATTCTTTTACCTAGTTTTCCAAATATAGACTTTAACTCCAGCAAGCCTGAACAGATAGCTTAATGAAGACAAAGTCAACTAGACCCTTCTATAAAGATGGAATTTAAACATTGGTGTTAGCATTCAAGAGCCATGTGAGTCTGTTGACCATTTTGAGTCTTGGTTTTCATAGCAGCAAGTGCTGGAATAAAGGAATGGTTTTTAAACTGGTGCAGGAGCTCTGCTGAGCACCCAGTCTCTGAGATCCCCTCCTTCACAACAATCCATTTATCAAGTTCTTTTTTTTAATCTCTTTAACATATTTGCTTTTAGGTAATATTTCACCTGAACAAATAATCCAGTACAGTTAATCAGAAATCACTGGACCAGATCACCAGACGAAGCCTCTTCCCCCTGGATCTAAATGTTGCATAGTTCTCCAATCAGACAAACTCATAGTTATGCATAAAGCAATGTCCTGATTTACAAGCAGGTAAAATTCAAAAGTGAACAACTGTGAGGCGGAAGCTGAGGACATTGGGAAGTAAACCACATCCTTGACATCATTTTAGCTCTCCCTAACTTTGTTACCCCAATGGGTTTATAAAGTGTGAACCTTTATACAATTTAAATCAAATCCCTCTTTAAATTCTTTCAGAGGCTACTAGTTATTCTTGTGTAAAATTTAAGCTTCATGCCCAGCTAAAGACATTTTGTGACCTGGATGCTGAGGCCTGCCTCACTAGCTTTAATATTCACCACACCCTACAAGGCCCTACTCCTGACTTTTGGAGCTACTGTATTTGCACTTCCTCCACTTCACCATGCTTCTCACTCCCCTCTGTAGCTTTGCTTGCTCATACATGCTCATGCTTCTTCCAAAAAAGCCGACTTTTCTGGTTCCTCCTGACATCCTGACTTGATTAAACTTTTATTGCTTTCAGGAATCTTCCTCTGACTCTCCACAAACTGGATTAGATGGCTCTCAAAGTGGTGATTCCAAAATCCTGAGCTTACCTTTGGCAAAACACTTGCCTGAGTTAGACTTTCTTAAAATTGTCCTTCCCTGACATGATGCTGGAAACTCTTCAAAGAGAGAGACTATGACTTTAATTTCTCCCAGTGCCTCATAGAGAACACAGTAAGTGGTCAGTACATGCTTCCAGAAAAATTAATGAAGAAATAGTTTGAGATTACATATTCTGAAAATATTAAGGCCGCTTGGCCAAAATGTAAACGCTTTGTGGGGCTTTTACAATTGTTAATAGAAAAATCAAACTCTGGTCTGGGCACGGTGGCTCATGCCTGTAATCCCAACACTTTGGGAGGTCAAGGCAGGCGGATCACTTGAGGTCAGACGTTCGAGACTAGCCTGGCCAACATGGCAAAACCACGTCTCTACTAAAAATACAAAAATTAGCCTGGCATGGTGGAGTGTGCCTGTAATCCTAGCTACTTGGGGGGCTGAGGCAGGAGAATTGCTTGAACTCGGGAGGTGTTGCAGTGAGCAGAAATCGTGCCATTGCACTCCTGCCTGGGCGACAGAACGAGACTCTGTCTGGAAAAAAAAAAAAAATCAAACTCTGTAAAAATATATTAAAGAGGCTTATTCTGGGCCAATATCAGCCACTGCAGCACAGGGAAAAACACAATCCCAGGAAGCCTTGACTAAGAGGTCCAGGGGCAGATAGGTCACATCCCTGTTTTATACATTTTAGGGAAGTAGATGTTACAGTCATAAAGCAATACATGGAAGTTAAACATTGGTTTGGCCCCAAAAGTTGGGTATCCTCAAGTGGGGGCTTATGGGGCATAGGAGGGTTCAGAGATTCTTTAATTTGCAATTTGTTAAAGGAGTAATGCTTTGTCAAAAAATTTGGAGTCAGCAGAAAGGAATGTTTAAGTTAAGACGAGGAATTCTTTTAACCAATACACTGGGTCGGAGTGACCTGTAGGGGCATTTGACTTAACCCTTGTCTAGCATGGCCTTAGGTCCTGTTTATCACTTCATATCTTGTCACAAAGAGTTGTTTTATTAGTTCTATGAACTCCACTTTATTATTAATACTGCTTGGTTGTGTCTAAACTCCAAAAACGAGGGAATACAAGGGGGCGTGTCTAATCTCTTATTCTGTCATGGCCAACAACTCAGTTTTTCAGGTTTCTCTGGGTCCCCTTGGCCACAAGGGGTTCCACTCAATCAGTTGGGGTGCTTAGGATTTTATTTTTAGTTTACACAATCCCACCAAACATTAATTGCTGTAATTTTCAGCTAGTACATAACCACATACCTCTTTTTGGCTTTTTAATATTTCTACTACCTGGATGCAACATGTCATTGATAGTGTTGATTGTCATTGCCTGCTCTTCAGTAAACATTTTTAAATGGCTACATCAAAACATGCAAAATAAGTGTCAGTGGCTTGGAAGAAAATTTGAGACAATTGTAAAGCATTATTTTATCTACTAAAAACTAGATGAGTGTAGGAAAGGGTTGTGGTTGGGTCAGACGTGTTTGTCATGATTGTCGAAAGTGGAATCAAAGTAGCTTCACTGCAGATAACTACAAATTAGTTGGTTTAAGAATCCTGCCTTGATGGCACTTAATTCTTTATGAAATATTTCAAGTAATGGTCTTGATGGAGGCAGAAGACTACATTGTATGGGGAAAAGTGAACAGCAGTATTAGTTTCAATTCAAAAGTGATATTGAATGTGAATAATTTAATCACCTTGACAAATTCATTTTGCTAATTTTTTATATATGCCCGAAATAAATAATATCTATGTCTAATTAAAGGCAAAATGGTCCTTTCAAGAAGTATAAAGTGAAATTTCTAATTGATAAGAAAGTAAAACATCAAATAGAGTTGACAGTATTTTTCTTTGTTAGTAGTATATAAAATAATGGTGAGATGTCCAATTAGTGATATTTTAAGTTTAATCTTGTGGATTCAAACATGGGACCAAGCAATAAGTCTAAACCTAAAATTTAGGCACTTTTAATATTTAAGTAACTTTGTTTACAGGTTGAGTTTACTTAAAATTATTCTGTATATTATTAAATTATTTTTCCAAGTTCATTATACTTACAGTAAATTATCAGTAAAACTGAATTGCTCATGTGTTTTTTTTTTTCCACTCAAAAGAGATGAAGATAATATGTTGTAATTTTACCAAAATTGGGAGCTGTACTGTAGGAACAAATGTATGCCAAAATGGAGAGTTTGCCAGCCACCAGCATGAAAAGGAACACTTATATTTTGTTTTATTAGTATTCCAAACCAATACACCTGTCCACATATCAAATTCACTTTACTTATCAAAATCTGCTTTCACTTCCTCACCACCAATTGACACAAATCCATTTTCTGCAGCCTCTAATGCCTTGGTTTGTTTGTCTTTCAGCACAGGGATAATTCAGTGGCAGTGAATAGCTGGGATAGAAAGCATGGTGTGTTTCTCCTAAGCGTATATTGCATGTGGTACGGCACTTCATATTGTGAAGAGGAATACATTAAGTGGATGATGCATGCCATGCTTTAAAAAATGAAAAAAGAAAATAGCTTTCTTTCAAATATGAAGGACTTAGAATGAAATTTTAAGGAAATAGTAACATAAATACATGTAAAATTCACTTGGTGAATGTTTTTAGAAATGTTTTTTTAAATGGCAGCAAATGCATATCACTGATCTCTAGGTCTTTGCATTTTTAGACTTCTCTGATTAATAAGTAAAAATTTACATGGGGATAAATTTTGCTAGAGGGATTTCTCAATAAAGATAGTTGGGTCCCCCAATGTTAATGTAGCTTACTAATAGGAGATATGGCAAATAAAACAACTGCTAGAATATCTAAAAATTATAATCAAGATTGCAGAACATCTTAGGGATTTGTGTGTGTGTGTGTGTTTATAACTTTAAAAAGAGGGATGATATTCTACCTTCAAAAGGAACATAATTATCCAGAGCTGGTTCCTTAGTGAGGTCACTGGTGGACCAATTTTGCAGCTGAGAAACTGCCTTTCTTTCATGGAGACTCTGAATGTTGTTCTCTTAGCTCAGGTTTTACTCCTTGCCACCACTCTCTTCTTGTACTAATGTTTTCAGCTTGTATTCATCCACTAACCCCCAACATCATATTAAAGCTTCAGACAAAAAAAGGATTTGACTCATTTAGGGTCTAAGATCTGTATTTTCTTCATTGTAGCTGTATTTCGCATTCATTGTTTGTAGTGCAGAAATGTTGATATTTGCTACAGTTTGGACACACTCTTCTTATTAATATTATTATTATTTTCAGGACAAAATGTCTCATGCTTCTTTCTGAAGTGTAATATGTGTGTTATAAATATTTTTATGATAAAAAATAGTAAATCAAAGGTGCATACATCATGCTATCTTTTACCAAGCAAAATTAGTTCTCTGAAAATAAACTTCTTTATTTAAAATGTATAATCTCAGTAAACACTTATTTAGCGTTTATTATGGACCAGTCATCACTTTAAGTCCTTTATATATAAAATGATTTAATGTTGGCAGCAGATCTGTTTTATATTCAAGGAAACTGAGATATTGGAAAGTAAATAGTTAACTATTTGCTAACTAAGTAGAAACCATGGGATTTGAACACTGCTAGTCTGACACAGAGACCTTGCTCTTTCCGCTATTGTATATAGCATGTTAGCTATTCCAGACCAGTCTGTATTGAAACTCAACATCCACTTTCCAGCTTTAGAGCAATGTGCATTAAGAAATGGACCAGCAGAACCAACAAATACTTGAGTGCTTGTTACCTCAAGAAAGGAAACAGAAAGCAAAGTACGCCTGGGGAAAGGTACACCTGCTCCCACCATAGCTTCCCAGATGTGCATTAACCAATTGAAAAACTGTATATTGTTCAGCTTCTAACGTTCTGACCAGCAATAGATGAAGATTTCTTAAACTCTTTTATTTTCATTCCAATGTAGAACAGACAATTAAAATTCAATATGAGCCATTTTATCCCAGGCACAGGCATTAAGAACAATGGGAGCACCCAAGCGTGATCACTCAGGCTTTTAGGAGGGGTAGTCAATGCATTTGATTTTTTTTGTTTCATCATCCTGACTTCAGGAGACATGTTTGGTCTGTGTGGCCATACTCTTGCCTTGATTTCTGATGTATAAACTATTGCGCGTCAAAACAGCAACTACACATTGCATAAATTAAGTTATATCCAAATGTAACAATCTGGAATTTTATTTTGTAGTCAAAAAACAGATGAACACTAAATGTACAGGAAACAAATGTGAACATAGTTTCTTTTATATTCTCACATTTTTTATTGGGAAAATCAATTGTTTTCATGTTTCAAATGGGAACCTTCATTTATTACATAATAGCAATAAATTGTGAGAATTAGAAAATGCTTGGGTCTAATGTATATGTGTGATAGTAACATAGTTACAGGATTTATAAAATATAAGATATTTAAATCCTATTGTATTTAGGATTTTGGGTACTAATATAAACTCATTAGAGTCTCTAATATTAGGATTTGAGGTGATGGATTAACAATACCCCCTTTCCCCTTTGATTTTGTGTCACTTGAGAAGTAGAATTGGGCTCAAGAAGATGGAGATCAAAATATCAGCATTAGTATGAAGGAGATTTCAGACAAAACAGATTATGTGGATGGAAATGATGAACTGTGTGGTTACTTTCAGATAAGTTGTGGAAGCATTCAAGCATAAGATGAGAATATAGGCTAGGCAACTCTAATATCTCATCTAACCATGCAAGTGAGTGATTCTAAACCCAATATTTGCATTTAATTATTTTGAAACTCTTCATATTCACTACGTTTTCACAGAACATCTGGGTCTTTAGTAAAATAAAGAATAATAAAAAATACATTAAAAATCCACAAAATACTATAATTCTTGGCCAGGTGCAGTGGCTTATGACTGTAATCCCAGCACTCTGGGAGACAGAGGCAGGCAAATCGCTTGAGGTCAGGAGTTTGAGACTAGCCTGGCCAACATGGTAAAACGTTGTCTCTACTAAAAGTAGAAAAATTAGCCAGGCATGGTGGCATGTCTATAATCCCAGCTACTCAGGAGGCTGAGGGAAGAAGGCGGAGGTTGCAATGAGCCAAGATGGTACCACTGCACTCCAGCCTGGGCCACAGAGCAGGATTTCATCTCAAAAATAAATAAATAAATAATAATAATAATAATTCCTACCATTAGGTGGTTTTCATTTAAGCTATAGAGAGAAATATATTAAATA